>NC_000006.12:53288418-53934102 GCF_000001405.40 Homo sapiens
GGACTGTGATATTAGACAACCCCTAATAAGCAAAAGCAAAAAGGATTGCTATAAAGTCCAATACTTTCAAATTAAAACATACCACTAATTCAAATATGCTCCAAATCAGGGATCTATGACCTTTTTCCTGGAAATAAACACTAAAGTTAATGAGATATAGAAGTAATACCTCTTCTCTCCTTTTAATTTTGTTTCTACCAAGTACACAAACTATGAGCAAGTCTATATTCCTTCTACATTTTAAACTCGGTTTCACAGTTTTAAAACTGGGATTTAGTTATTTTCCTTCTAGTAAATTTAAAGTTTCAGTGACTTCCTTTCATTTCCTTCTGATCATCTCCCTTCTTTCAAGACTTCTTCCTATTGGCCAGATGTAGTGGCTCATGTCTGTAATCTCAGCACTTTGGGAGGCAGAGGTGGGTGGATTGCTTGAGCCTAAGAGTTCAAGACTAGCCTGGACAACATGATGAAACCTTGTCTTTACGAAAAATACAAAACTTAGCTAGACGTGGTGGCATGCTCCTGTAGTCCCAGCCACTTGGGAGGTTGAGGCGGGAGATCAGTTGAGCCCAGGAGGCGAGAAGCAGTGAGCACCACTGCACTCCAGCCTGGGCAACAGAGTGAGACTCTGTCTCAAACAAACAAAAAAACCCCGCTTCTTCCTGTCTCCTTTAAGTGACAGTTAATTTTATTTTTATTAATCTAGAACTTGCTAAAGCAGCTGTGAATTTATGCCACAGAATTAAATAAACAAAAATACCAAAGACTACTTATTTAAAAAATTCTTTACAGCCCCAAATATGCAGATAAGCAGGAAGGTAAATAAAAACTAAAATAATGACCATTACAGGTGTGTGACCACAGAAGAATGGCTCTAACTCCTGGGACATTTCTCTAAAATGAGGGGCCCCATGGGGCTTCATGATCTCCTCAGTTCGTTCCATTGTAAAACTCCATGACTGCTCTTCTGTGTCTTAGCATTCAATGGAGTAGAAATGCTAAGTATAAAAAGAAAAATGGCCGGGTGCGGTGGCTCACGCCTGTAATCCCTGCACTTTGGGAGGCCGAGGCGGGTGGATCACCTGAGGTCAGGAGTTCAAGACCAGCCTGGCCAACATGGTGAAACCCTGTCTCTACTAAAAATACAAAAAATTAGACAGGAGTGGTGGCACATGCCTGTAGTTCCAGCTACTAGGGAGGCTGAGGCAAGAGAATCGCTTGAACCTGGGAAGCGGAGGTTGCAGTGAGCCGAGATGGCGCCACTGCACTCCAGCCTGGGCGACAAGAGTGAAACTGTCTCAAAACAAACAAACAGAAAAACGTGTAGCTAAAATGATATTTGAAGTTTGAAAAAGGACACATGACAATGGAATTATTGATGGGTTTTACAATATGTACAGGAGAAAACTCGGACAAAAACCAAATGTGAATACCATCAACTTGGAGCACTAGGGCTTATTTTCAACTTGGGTATATCTGACCTGGATAGCTTTTTGTAAACTTGATTTAATTTAAGGAAACATTGCCTCTTTGTCTATTACCTCTCTATGTACTCTAAACTGTGAGTTAAAAATGTAGTTTCCCTATTCTGTATATTTCTTAAATTTCTGTATTCAGTGCTTAGTCACTGCTCAAAGTCTTCTCTTCTCACCAAGCTATCAGAGGAAAATCTGTACCTTCTATTACAATGTGTTCAGAACCCCCCACATCCACTCAGATGCACACAGCTGTACTTTATACAGTGTTTTTCTTCTCTTTACCAGGGAATCATCTGTTTAAGAGAGGATAAATAATGAAATTATAGCTATATTTCTAGGGCTTAAGAAACATTTAAGGCAAATGCTTAAGTTCTCTAAAAATCACATGAAATATTTTTCTCTATTAATATTGCCATGTATAATAATAAACTCTGTAAGAGTTCTCTTAAAGACATGGCTGTATTATCTATCAATTATGGAAAAGTAAGCAGTTCACTCAGAAACCTGACAGCTTGCTGTGGTTTTGTCCCTTGAACACAGAAATGTGCATAGTGCTGGGGCCAGGAGTCACTCCTGTGCACTTCCCCTGGCTCCAGTCCTGAACTCTCCATCTTGGAGTCTAATTAAACTGACTTCATTCTAGAATAGGACAGAAAAAAAAGCAAAAAAAGGAGTTGTAAGCATTTCTTGGCATGTCAAGCATAAAAGTAATGCTAGGAACATCTACCATTCTATTCAGAATATCTGTACCTTGGCTTATGAAACATACATGGGAGAACAAGACACAGATATCCCACAGCTGCAACACCTCTGATAATCAAATATGCCTGCACACGCCCACACTCCTGCACACCACCACACGTAGACAGGGAGACACCATCATGGCCTGAGGCTGATGGAGAATTCATTTTGACCCCTGAACACTAATTTTAAGATTCATGTTTCTATCTCTCCTCTTCCTCCCACCTCTACCTTCTTCTTTACTACTCCTTGAAGAACTAAAACCAAAATGAAACCCTGAAAACCTATACAGGAGTGCCTGTATAGGTTTTATCCAGGGCTTAATTCTCCAGAAGAGTTAGAAATAGGTTGGTGCTGTAAGAATGAAAAGTGGGTAGGCTTTCCTGGAAAAATGTACACAAACTGCTTACCACCAGAGGGAAGCTTTCCTCCCCCTTTTAGCTTTAAAGGCTATAGTGTTACCCCTTCAAAATAGGGAGAAGAGAAGGGTTGATTCTGATTTTTCTTTCATTTTTAAGCTATAACATTTGCCTTTGAGATCATCAAATGTGATTTTCAACATTGCAGTGATATAAAATAACTGGGCCTGAACTCAGACAGACAATTCAAAACCTAAATGCAGATCTCACCAGTCACACTCCTCTTAGCTTTTAAAAAACAACTGAGATTTGACAAGTTATCCAATCAGAGAGGGTGATGTGCCACAAAACATACCAAACACAAGTGCCACCCACTTCCTTCCTCCCCTACCTTCAAACAAGAAGCAGGCACTTATTAGATGCTTAATAATAAAATGCTTTCACATGTGTTTTTCACATTTTGTTCATTTTCCACTCTGTATTTTGCTTGCATGAGAGTATTTCTGAAAATACTTTAATTTTGAATATCATACGAAACATAATAGAAGAATCAATAACAAAGGCTTCTATTTTAGATATTCTAGAAGGCATACTTGTACAAACAACTCTGACATTTTGAAAAATCGATTTTAAAACACACTCATAACGCATTAAGATACTTGCTTGCCCAGTTGTCTCTACACCCCAAGCGGCCACCTTTCCTCATTTAGGAATACAATTTAGGACAGCAATATGAGTGCATTTATGTGAAAGGAAGACTGTGTTAACCTTTGACTTACCTCACAGAACATATACAGAGACAGCAGTGTGAGTCCAAGGTTATACACCACTAAAATCCCCCGGCAAGAGAATGGCTGTTTATTCCTCATGTATTTTGGTCCCAGCCATACAATTAGTAAATATATGACAGAGCAGATAAATGTGGGTATATAATTGTCCAGAAGAAACCATCCTTTTACTCTAGTATCTGAAAAATTAAAAAAAATTAATGATATATAAAAACATTCACAACTTTTCAAACGTTGAAAAAATTTCTCTAACCATGATGATATAAAAGTCACCTGGTATTCATGTTCTTAATTCCAATAAAGCAATCAGGAGAGGAGGCATGGATTTTCAATACATATCAAACAAGGTGAAGCTCCTTGTTACATGCTCTGAATAACAATGTATTATTCATGATTTTTGCTCAGTAAAATAATAATACAAATATTCTTTCCAAAGAACTTAAGAAGAAAACAAGGAGAAGGCTACACTTCCCATTAATTGGATTTATTAACCAGGTATACCAGATTACACATAGGGTGATAAAACCCAAGAAATGGCAGTCATTGAACTCTGAAGTCCTCCATCTCAGCTGTGTGTCAGTCGGCAAGTGTGGCCAGCACATGCAGACTCAGAAAACGTGCTGCTTAGCCACGTTAGTGAAACTGGCACTAATTAGAAAGGCAGCCTTTGCTATGAGTGTAATGGTCAACAGCAGAGAGGACAATGATTTAAAAACAAAACAAGGGCTGGGTGTGGTGGCTCATGCCTGTAATCCCAGCACTTTGGGATGCCAAGGCGGGTGGATCACCTGAAGTCAGGAGTTCAAGACCAGCCTGGCCAACATGGCAAAACACTATCTCTACTAAAAATATAAAAATTGGCCAGGCATGGTGCTGCACACCTGTAATCCCAGCTACTTGGGAGGCTGAGGTGGGAGAATCGCTTGAAATTGGGAGGAAGAGGCTGCAGTGAGCTGAGATCGTACCACTGCACCCCAGCGTGGGCAACAGAGTGAGACTCCGTCTCAAAAATGAAAATAAAAACAAAACAAAACATGAAGGTGAAGCAGCAATGATCAGATAAATGCCTATTTAAAGGGCAGTATTTAACAAACTGAGGAGTAGTAGCATGAGAGCGAAGACCTAGGCGGATCCAGAGGAGATACTGGTATAGGAAGGGCCTCTCCTGCCCCTATTCCTTTTCTTAGGCAGGGAGGAGGGAGAGGGAAACAGGTCAGCCGCCAGCAGCAAACTGACAACCTCTTCTTGGATGGCGGGAAACTCCTTGGCAGCCAGAGCCCCTAAGTGTTATGTGTCCCCTGAAAGATTCAGCTTCATACTCTGGCTGACCCCAGGAAGCTACCTCTGAAAAGCATGCTCCCCTTTGAACCCTGCTATGATGTTCCCCGAAAACCTGTGGCTCCTCAATCTTAACTACCCGCCAAGGCTCACAACTCCAGAACATGAGGCACATGCAGCATTCACCTACTGCGTCTTCAGAGAAGCAGCAGTTGGGAGGACAGCCTTTGCCATTTCTTTAATTTTTTTATTATTCATTTATTTATTTATTCTGAGACGGAGTCTCACTCTGTCGCCCAGGCTGAAGTGCAGTGGCGTGATCTCAGCTCACTGCAACCTCTGCCTCTAGGGTCCAAGCGATTCTCCTGCCTTAGCCTCCAGAGTAGCTGGGACTATAGACACACACCACCACACCCCGCTAATTTTTGTAATTTTAGTAGAGACCAGGTTTCACCATATTGGTCAGGCTGGTCTGGAACTCCTGACCTCAGGGGACCCACCTGCCTTGGCCTCCCAAAGTACTGGGATTACAGGAGTGAACCACCACACCCGGCTCTGCCCTTTCTTTGACCCCTCCCAGACTGGACCATCTTGCTACTCTCTCCAGTCGTTTTCACCTTGATTTCACAGAACAAGAACAGGCTCAATAAAGCATATGTCCACGTGGGGAACTGTCAGTCAGTCTTCCTTTCTTGCACTGTACACACTAAACTTTCCCAGCATTTCTCTCATGGCTGGCTTGCTTTGGCTTCAGAGGGACATGCCCTCCACACCCTCCCCACTAGTTATGCTATGGTCACGGAGGGTGTTACTGTCAGTCCGGCAGAACTGGTTGTGCTTAGAAGTCATTCAGGGAAATGGCTGGCCCCAGGGACTTTAAGGGGATGCTTAACACCTTTTGTTCTCAGCTTTGGGCCTTGGCTGTCAATTTTAAGAAAACCAGTTCCCACTTAGCAACTAACATCAGACTGTTATTTTGTATGAACATATATATCACAAACAATAAATACACACAAATCTCCCTATTTTAACTTAAACCTCTGATTTACACTTTGCTTTATTCATTTTCCCACAAATACTCATCTTTCCAAATTGGCACATATTCATCCTCCCACACCGCACAGTGCTTCCCGGGCACCTGACCCGAACTCCAGCCCCAGGTAGAGAATCCTTAGGATCTAGTCAATCTGTGGTGGTCCTAACCCCCTCTGGTGGCTGGTTCAGGCAGGGGCATGTGAAGCAATTGTGGCCAGTGAGTTTTGAGGGATGACAGCTGGCAAAGAGCTCTGGGAAACAACTTCTTTATGCTTAAAACCACACAAATGAAACATTTTTTCTTCTTCCTCTGAATGTGCTGCTTGGAGCTGCTGTAGCCATCCTACAACTGTGTGAAGTGGGGGACCCATTCTGAGGACAGAGCTGCTGATACCTGGAAGTGGCAAAGTAGAAAATGACAAGAACAAGGATCCTTGGTTACATCATACAGTCCCTGAAATAACTACGGAATTGCTCCACCTGGTAATGCAAGCTAATAATTATTATTATTATTTTAGCCATTTAGAGTTGGATTTTTTGTCCCTTACAGCTAAAGTAAGGCACTATCCCAACCCAAGCACATACAGATGGATCTAACTTATTCTTTTTTGTTCTTTTCAATGGGCCATACACTAATTTACAGAACCTCTCCCCTACTGACAGGCATCCAGATGATTCCTTGAAAAACAATGCTGTAATGAGCATCCTGATATGTATCATTGCATAACTAATCAAGGCTAGCCACAGGATAAAGTATTAGGAGTAGAATGGCTAGGCAAAAGGGCATGTGCATTTTAATTCCAACAGAAGGCAAAACAGCCTTTCAGAGAGGTTGTACTCTTTCTCCACGCCTTCACTATTATCACTATTATCATAGGTGACATGAAACCTATTATTTCATCTCTGCCATGTTAATAGACTAAGTCCTTTTGTTATTTCTTTTGTGTTTTAAAAATCATGAGAAACTGAGATTCTTTTTGTCTGTTTAAAAGCCATTTCTAGTTTTTCTGTGAGCCTAAGAAGTTCTTTATACAAAAGACTTTAAAAGACTTTTACAGATGACATCAAAAGAAGGCAATATGAAGCTGATTTACTTTCTAAAAGATACAGCAAGTAAGGTTCAGGTGCATATTTACCAGTGAGTTAACATGATACAAAATGAGAAGACCTTAAAAAGCCCTTAAAATTGTAAAAGGGGAAAGGTTTTAAACTCCTATTGCAACACTGCATTTTGGAAACTAGTTTTTCTTAAAGACTGCCAAGAATTGAGAAAAAAATGCCACTGATAATGGTGAAATCTATAGTATTCTCAGGCTACAAGCTTTACAGCATATTTTTAAACTCCAGTTAAAGTCAACGGAGGACCACCCACAGCAGGTGTCTCTGTCAGAGACTTCTCCAAATTCCTTGTTATCCAGGATAAAGTTTTAGACTTATCATAGAAAATGCTAACATTTTCTACTATCTCCTCATGCAATATTTACAAGGGACTATAGGCAGGGAGTGATGCTGCAGAAGGTAAGCAAAACCAAAAACCACCTTACCTCGAGGGCCTAGCAATGCCTTGAAATAGGTACTAAGTGATGCATCAAAATGTTCCATTTGAAAACCTATTAAGAAAAAAAAAGATACTGATTAATCTCTACTCAAAATGTTTTTTATACAGTATTTTTTCATAAAAGAATAAATTCTTTTCAAAGAATATGCTACAGACAAGGTTAAGTTCAGTTCCTTAGGTTAAAAGAATTTAATTCACAGAAGTGACTTCTGTGCTAGATCTAACTTGAAGATCAAAAGGAAAGACACAATTCTGTGAGTTCACTTTATAAATGAAGTGCCAGTTTTCTGAACTTCTTTTCTTAGTTCCATAAAAACTCTTTCCGTGAAGCTGAAATCTCAGTGGGGAAAAAAGTGGAACTAACTGGAATGAGAGGTGGCAGACAGGAAGAGATCCTGTCTGGGCAACAACTGAGGACTTGAGGTAAGACAAGGAAGAGCCATATCAGGGAACAGAATGCCACAGTGACAAGACAGTTTTTTCCGCTTGTTACTTTTATCAATTATTATTTTACAGTACTTCATATCTACAGTAAAAAAAAATTCAAGTATTAAAAATTAAAAAAAAGGGGCAAAAATCTCATTACTTCCCTCAACCTCAATCCCCAAGCCACGCATCACAAGGAACCTAATGGTAACATTTCTTCAATATACTTCCAGAGATTTCTCCTCTTTTGAGCACAAAGAGGTCATGCTAAATGGATGTTTTCACAATTGTGGGTGAAATCTACCATTAGTAGATGATCATGTCAACTTAGCATTAAAAATAATAATTGATCATAGTAGAGAATCAGAATGCTTTGCTCTCAGTGAGAATGAATATAGTTTTATAAAACTTTAGTTTTATTATATCATATTTATAAGTATAATGTACTTAGCTGTGATGTAAAATATATTCTTACTGTGGGGATCACAGTTAAAAAAAACTAAAAAAACACTATTATATATAGAAGTGTGTATATATTACTTGCTTATTTTCACTTAATAAAACATCTTGAGATACCAGTTAAAGATTTACCTCCATCTTCTAAGATTCTATAGCTCCCTACCTTCCCCAATTTAAGATTTACATTTAGAGGGTAGCTAATCAACTTTTCATATGCATACTGACTAGATTTTCCAACTTTCCTGGCCATTCTTCTTACAGGAATAATCATCAATATTATAACGTCCAAGGGCAAAGGCAGAACTGATTTTATTAACTAAGCTGTTAATCATTTAGCAATACTTCTCTTCCTTGGCTTGCCACACTGAAGCGTTATGTATTCACTGGCTAATTTTAAGATAAACTACTTTATCCACGAAATCATCTAATGGTTGTAGTAGTTACAATTAAGTCAATCCAGATGAGATGGGACGTAGAGATAGGAGGAGCCATCAATGACACTTTCAAAGTAGTTAACAGGGTTCTGTCCTGACAGCTTTCCTGCCCAAGGGTGATTGGGGAGGCTGCTGACACCAATTCATGGCTGGAAACGAAGGCACCAGCTCCCTGAAGGCACCAGCTCCCCGAAGGCACCAGCTCCCCATACCCATCTGCCAATAACCAGGTCAGCCACCTTTGCCCCTCAATAGTTACAAAACCTTAGCACAAGGTCACTTCTGCAATCCAACAATTAAGATTTTAACATACAGTAGTCCCCTCTTAATCCACAGTTTTGCTTTCTGAGATTTCAATTACCTGAAATCAACCATGGTCTGAAAATACGAGGTGGGAAATTCCAGAAATAAACAATTCATAAGTTGTAGATTGCACACAGTTCTGAGTAGCATGATAAAATCTCCCGCAGTCCCACTCCATCCTGCCTGGGATGGGAATCATCTCTTTGTCCAGCGTATCCTCACCGTAGACACTTCTTCACCCTTGAGTCACTTTGTAACCTTCTGGGTTATCAGATCAACTGCCTCAGGATCGAAGTGCTCATGTTCAGATAACTTTTACTTTACTTAATTGTTCGATTTAATTATTAGTTATTGTTGTTAATCTTACTTTGCCTAATTTATAAAGTACACTTTATTATAGGTATGTATGCATAGGAAAAAAAACCACTATATATAATATAGTGTTTGGTACTATCTGCAGATTTAGGCTTCCATTCTAGGGGCCTTAGAATGTACTCCCTGACGATGAGGGGGTACTAATATACTATATTCCTAAGAAAGGCAATTTTGGTCCTAAGCCACTTTCCTGCCCTAGATTGAACCACTTCAGGAGAGACAAGAAATTCTAGAAAATCCTGGTGCTGAAGAGAATAGGTTTAGCCTTATGTTTCGTAAAGAGAATTCCTCTTTAAAACACAGTTAAATAAGAAATGTTTTATCTATTAAAGGCTATTAAAAGTTCTGCCCAAGGTGGGTTCAGGAAGAGCACTGGCTAAAAGACAATTTGGCTGTGTCTATTTTTTCAACATCTACTGAAAATCATCTAGAAAATCCAAGTTTTGAAAGACAACCATCATGATTTTGTGACACTGAAATCACACTAACACAATTTAATTTCATCTATGATGTATGGTGGGCCATGTATATGGAGGTCACAGGGTTCCCTGCTCCCCACTAGGCTGCATCCCAAACAGCCAAATGAAAGGAAATAAGGAGGAACAAGGTCATAAAGGCTATGACTAATGGATTGAATAAGTGATGGACAAGCTGCTCACTGGGGACAGACACCTTCCTCCAAGGCATTTTAAAACCTAGATTCTATTACCTAATGGGTAATATTAACTTACTTACTTATGGGTCACATTAAATGTACAATAATCAGGTATTAAGCATGAACGGACTTTTGCTAGATTATAAGAAACTAGGGTTTGAAACCCCCCATTTTTTTTCACTTATTAGCAATGTGACCTTGGACAAGTTATTTAATCTTTCTGAAAAACGGGGAAAAGACCAAAGTAACTGCCTTTAAGAAGATTAAATAAGGTAATATAAATAAGGCCCTTAGAGCAGTGTCTGGCATGTAGGAAGCCCCCAATAGATGTTTCTGAATGTATGTCTGCCACAGGATTGGCTCCATGATGAATACTGTCAACCACCCACGGCTGTCTCTGCTTCTCGGCAGGGGCACTGCTGGCATTACAGTGGAAACAATCAATGTCCTGTGCATTGTGGATCATTAATTGTCCTTGGTCCCTGTCCACTAAATGCCATCAGTGAGCTCCAATCATTCTGACAACCCACAATGTCCACTTGTAAGCCCTAACACACCCCTAGAGAGACAGCAAGAGAAGGTGGGGGCAAGGCGGGGGGGGGGAGTTGATAATATATCAGGAGAGGAACTTGTCAGAAACAGATATTACCCAAACATGAAAGACAAAACTAAAAGGAATGTACTAATTAAATACACAAATATCTAGCACCTACTGTATATTAATACAAAGGATTGCCAAAATAGGGATAAACATAAAGGAGCATACCTGGTGACCTAGAAAAAATGAGACATTCATAATGGGGAAAAGGATCCAGATATAGTAAAGCAAAAACAAAATCCAGTTTGCAAATGAGCAGACAGTAGAATGATGATATGAATATAAGCTGAATATATGTTCAAAACCATGCTGTAACAAAATTCAAACAAAAGTATTCTGAGATCAAACAGGAGGAATATGTCTAACAAAAATAAGGGAATCAATCATTTCACTTTTTAATTAGATCTTTCAGAGGGCTGTAGTCAGGGTCAGTTTCTATGTAATGAGGAAATAAAGAAGCTGGAAACAAGAGTGAAGAAATGTTTCAAAGTGAAAATACAGATTGGTGGGGCAGGAATGGAGAGGGTAACAGTAGTGGCCCCGGAAAAATATGAAGCCCAGTAATTGCGATAAATGACCTATTACTATAAGGACAAATGCCTAGGACATAGTCCAATTTGAGAATCTAGGCTAACATCACGGCAACAGAAAAGCAGCTTGATTAAACATAAGGTAAAATTTCAGTCCAAGAGTACTGAACCAGCAGCAGGCTACCAAAAGAGACTGTGGAATTTAGTATTTGGAGATATTGAAGAATCCTGTTACAAGCCATCTGTCCCAAATAATCTGAGTCTAAACCATCTTGAAGAGGCCCTGTGGAAGCTGGCAGGCACAGGAGCACTCTTTCATCTTTATAAAATGAAATGTGTTCTCTACAAAAGCACACGCAAGAAACGATTTTTGTCAGAAACGGTACATCTGTTCTTAGACTGCATTTCTTCTCGGCTTGAGAATTTTTCTCCTAGGTTTGCAGAACTTTTCACAATCAAACTTAGGAATATATTGAAAGAGCCAACAAAACATTCTCTAAAAGAACAGATACATGTGGGGAAATGATAATAATTTTCAAATTATTGTTCCTGCTTATTGTTTCTGAAATGACTACAGTGAAAAGGGAGAAGGGGCAGGTAGAGGTAGGCCCTGGACAACAGGCCCTAATCAGGAGAGTCCTGAGCTGTGGATCCCAAGCTTGATTTTGGGCTGGACTCTGGCATGTTCAGTATTTCCCCCAAACTCTCCCCTACCACACCCACAATTGGATATATACTGTAATCTTCTCAGGCAAGGCTGTTTGTTTCTGCACAGGTTACTAAGAGACACCTTCACCAAAAGCTTCATCATTTACTCAATACAACCTCATGTTTGTCAAGGCAGCCCCATAACTAGTGTCCCTCAATACCATGTACTCATTTTTCATTCATACCACACACCGAGTGCCTACCACATGCTAGGCACGGAGACCTGAAGGCCCTGGGATTGCAGGCTGGTGAGAAAGACCATAAACATATATTAATTACAGACAGAAACACACGTACAATACGATATGCAAAATAACTGTTAGCAAAAAAAATAAAGCAGAATAAAGGGGCTGGAATCATGGAGTGGGAATTTATTTTGGAAAACATAGAGAAGGCAGCCTGAGAAGGTGGCAACAGAGCAGAGCCTGAATGGTGACAGCAAGCCACACATCTACCAAGGGAAAGGGTGGGTGTTCCATTTAGAGGCACAAATGAGCACAATGGCCCTGGGGTCAGGGCTAGGCTGGCATGCACAAGGACCAGAAGCCATGACAGGAGTGGGCAGCACAATGGGAGGCCTTCTGTCCTCCACTCCGTCTGGTGCCCAGGCCTTGCTCAGCAGTAGACAGAGGTCAGTCATGAGAGCTTTCTTGAGACCTTTCAGAGAGCTTGTGGCCAACGGGCTAGGAACAGAAGAGGGTGCCAATCCTTATCTGCTCACACTGCTACCATCTCCTAACCCTCCTTCCTGCAGCCCTCCTGCCAGCAACGTGCCCTTTTCATTCCCATCTTCCTTGCTGAGCCTCATCTGCTATGCCACATGAACAGTACAAAGGTCTCAGCAAATGAATTCTTCATCACCAGGCTAGGCTGGCCTGCCCTGTTAAGTAAATTGGGCACTTGCTGAGTGGTCTGTGGGCTGAGCTATACTCTTTTGTACTAAAGGAATGGGAGGCACAGGGCTATGCAAAAGTCTTGACACTTTGCCTAGTAATCTGGATTTATGGGAACGGCATGACCTACTTTGCACAAGATGCCCAATCACACTGCCAGGTCTGTGGTTGGCCTCACTGGTGCGGTTTCCTATCTTCTGAGCTACGGTGGGCCAATGACATAACTTCTCAATAACCCGAATCACACTACAGGCAGCCTGGGTGAGCTGGGTCAAGTGGGAACACAGCTGCTCTGTACAATTGTACTAGCAGGGACCAAGCCCAGGCACTAGGCTCCATGGAAAAGGAGCTTTAGTCCTACATGCAGCAAAAGAATAAGCTATTCTTTGATCTGGCTGGTTCCCCACACACTGACAGGAAAATGGACAGGGCTGGGAGTGGCCAGCACTTCCCAGGAAAAAGACCACGCTGACACCAAGCCAAAGCATCGATTCCCATCCTCTTTAACCAGGAGTCTCTGACCTGCACTCAACCTAGGGGGCTTCCCAGAATTACAGGTTACAACAGGGAGTAGTAACAGGGCCCAGTGAAAAAAAGTCCCAATGAAAACAGTCTTCCAAAGCTATTCACTAGTTCAAGAGCCACACACAGAAAATAATGACAGTAAAAATGGATTACGGGCAGGTAAATTAGAACCAATTTTAAAGAATTCCTTTTTAACGCACATTTTCCAAAAGACACTCCTAATTTAAAAAGCCGCTTCCCATTATAAGATTCTGGAGTGTTTTTGGTAACCATGCAACTATATTATAATTGTGTCTCATTTTAAGTATCTCACTACAAAAAACTGACTGGAGCTGACCATTCTCTTTATAAACTACCCTATATTTAAAGATACAGCTGAAAGGAGCAAGAGAGTGTGAGGGAGTTCAGCACACCTTCGTCTGACTCACCCCCACCACCATGGATCAGTTCTGCGCTCCTGGCTAGTTCCCTCCCCATGTACTATACTAAGTGTTGTAGAATTTTAGGATCCTTGGGCCTGAATTCGAGAGAAAGACTGGAACTACCATAGCCTGGAATACAAAAACCTGGAAATACTAACACGAGCAGAACAAAGAACAAAACCCAAAGCCCTAAAGAGAGTCCTGCTCATGTGGAAAATCCATCTGTCCACTGTTCAACTCCCTCCAGGGGCAAGTATATGCCCAGGTGAATCACGTGTGGGAGGTTAAGTCAACATCAGTGCTCACTTTGAACTAATAATCAAACTAGTTGCTAGAAGCATGTTTGAAAAAAGACACTACAATAAGCTTTACAGCAAATCAGTCCCCCTCCACCTCCTTTCCACTTGGCTCCCAAGGACAACAGAACATGAGGGGATGGGGGTAGGTGGCAACAACGGAAGGAGGTGGTTGGGGTTAATGAGGAGAAGGCACAGTCACAATTCTCAAGATGAAGTACGTCTCAAGGAGAGTGCAAATATTAAGCATCTTGGCCATTTCTACCTGGGGTAGGAGAGAGTGACAAAGCTGCCCAGCAAAGGAAAAGTACTGGGATCTTAAGGCAAATCTGTTTTAAAAGGTATCAAGATTTTTAAAAATATACATTATAGTAAAGAGTTGGTATAAGAATTATATTAAAGAAAAGTTTATTTCCTAAACCCACAACCAGGCTGTTTGCTGACTCTAAAACAGTAAAGATATTTTTAGGGCCAAGTCTTGGTTTGTCTGGCTTCTAAGGCAGCAGTCAGCTTGCTTTGAAAGCTCCCTTTCCTGTGGTATCAGTCAAGTCACATTCCTTTTGATTTAAAAACGTTTAGCTATTGTCTAGCTTAACTTCATCATATCCTGCTTTACTTTTTTTTTAACGGTTATTGTTCACCTAAAAATGAGTCAGCTGAGTTTACAAACCCATGTGCTGCAAGGAATCAGACTGAGATTTCCTTGCATTTTCTCTTCTCTCATTCCCATCCATCACTTTTATCAGTCAACTCGTTAACGTTAGGCAGGCATGGGAACATTCTTCAAGTTGGCTGCCAGTTACACAGAATGAAAAATTAAATGGTGCTTTAATTTGGTAGTCACAACCCTGATTCTAGAATTTAAAAAGATTTTTCTAGGTTGGGAAAATCAGTTCCCAAATAAAACCACACCTTGCTGAGGAATGTTAAAATTCAAAATGTCGTGAAGACCATAAAGGAAAGAAGATCCAAGTACTAACAAGCTTTAGAAATGAAAGTAACTTGACGACAGAATTCATGTTAAAGTGTTGGCATTTAAATAAATGATAACTCTGGATTAAATCTTGGCTCAAAAATATCTACCGCACCAACAGTGGTACATCTGATTGTGTACTGTCATCCTAACACTCTGAATCTATGCTTATTCTCTTTCTTCCCCCTGCAGAATTCCTATACTTTCTAACCTCCATTCTAAGGAAGTAACAAACTCTTGTAATTCTCTGATAAAGTCATTTTTCCTGCCATATATCATACACGAAGGCAAAAAACACAGCTCTATTTGGGGTTTTAGATGAGTAACTGCAAAACTGGGGCACTGATAGATTCTACAAAGCACTGCCACAGGTTAGCTCCACGGCTGAAGAAGGCAGAACAACCTCATTCCGGTATAATGGATAATTGGAGGGGAAATTTTTAAATGTTGCAACAATCAAATTGTTGTACAAAAATACGTTTAGGGTCAACACAGAAGCCTCCACTTCCTGCTCCTTGGCTGCTACTAGTTAATTAAAAAGCACTTTTTAACCATCGCTGGAGAAGGACATCCTTCTAACACCTTCTAACATCCTTCTAACAAGTGGAGAGTCACACCAGTGGCTGTTATCTGTGGTCCTTCCTCCCTGTCCTCTTGCCTTCATTTCCAACCCTTTCTCCAAGGCCCAGATTAGGTGTTACAAAGCCTACTTCCACTCCACTGCCCCTCTTGTTGCTGTCTAGACAACTCATTTAGTATACAGCAACTTCAACTTTTACATGAGCTAGATACTTCTGTGTTCAGGTATTATGGGAACAAACTCTGCAACTCCTTAGAGTCCAAACTCTTTAACGGCAAGTACTCCAATCTGTCCTATGAGTATAATAATTATCTATTGGTGATACTATAAATGAGGAGATACACCTGTTATTACAAAATAAAAAGAAAAGAAAATGGCACACCTGACTCCACAATGGCAGCATCCTAAAACACGGACTAAATCCTAGTTACAGATGGCATTTCCTCGGGGAAAACTTTCTCAGTGCTAGTTATCTGGAACTCTAACAGAGGTGCTCTCTTCTCTTCTACTACATGATCAGTAAAGACACTTTGTAAAGTGTGAGCCCATAAAAAACAAAAACAGAAACAAAAAATGCATGTACACACACAAACACACACACCTCTTTTATTTTATTTTATTTTATTTTATTTTATTGATCATTCTTGGGTGTTTCTCGCAGAGGGGGATTTGGCAGGGTCATAGGACAACAGCGGAGGGAAGGTCAGCAGGCAAACAAGTGAACAAAGGTCTCTGGTTTTCCTAGGCAGAGTGTTTGTGTCCCTGGGTACTTGAGACTGGGGAGTGGTGATGACTCTCAACGAGCATGCTGCCTTCAAGCATCTGTTTAACAAAGCACATCTTGCACCGCCCTTAATCCATTTAACCCTGAGTGGACACAGCACATGTTTCAGAGAGCACAGGGTTGGGGGTAAGGTCACAGATCAACAGGATCCCAACGCAGAAGAATTTTTCTTAGTACAGAACAAAATGAAAAATCTCCCATGTCTACTTCTTTCTACACAGCACAGCAACCAACCGATTTCTCAATCTTTTCCCCACCTTTCCCCCTTTTCTATTCCACAAAACCACCATTGTCATCATGGCCCGTTCTCAATGAGCTGTTGGGTACACCTCCCAGACGGGGTGGTGGCCGGGCAGAGGGGCTCCTCACTTCCCAGTAGGGGCGGCCAGGCAGAGGCGCCCCTCACCTCCCGGACGGGGCGGCTGGCCGGGCGGGGGGCTGACCCCCCCCACCTCCCTCCCGGACGGGGCGGCTCGCTGGGCAGGGGGCTGACCCCCCCACCTCCCTCCCAGACGGGGCGGCTCGCCGGGCAGGGGGCTGACCCCCCCACCTCCCTCCCGGACGGGGCGGCTGGCTGGGCGCGGGGCTGACCCCCCACCTCCCTCCCGGACGGGGCGGCTGGCTGGGCAGAGGGGCTCCTCACTTCCCAGTAGGGGCGGCCGGGCAGAGGCGCCCCTCACCTCCCGGACAGGGCGGCTGGCCGGGCAGGGGGCTGACCCCCCCACCTCCCTCCCGGACGGGGCGGCTGGCCTGGCGGGGGCTGACCCCCCCCCACCTCCCTCCCGGGCGGGGTGGCTGCCGGGCGGAGACGCTCCTCACTTCCCAGACGGGGTGGCAGCCGGGCGGAGGGGCTCCTCACTTCTCAGACGGGGCAGTTGCCAGGCGGAGGGTCTCCTCACTTCTCAGACGGGGCGGCCGGGCAGAGACGCTCCTCACCTCCCAGACGGGGTCGCGGCTGGGCCGAGGCGCTCCCCACATCTCAGACGATGGGCGGCCGGGCAGAGACGCTCCTCACTTCCTAGATGGGATGGCGGCCGGGAAGAGGCGCTCCTCACTTCCCAGGTAGGATGGCGGCCGGGCAGAGACGCTCCTCACTTTCCAGACTGGGCAGCCAGGCAGAGGGTCTCCTCACATCCCAGATGATGGGCGGCCAGGCAGAGACGCTCCTCACTTCCCAGACGGGGTGGCGGCCGGGCAGAGGCTGCAATCTCCGCACTTTGTGGGGCCAAGGCAGGCGGCTGGGAGGTGGAGGTTGTAGCGAGCCGAGATCACGCCACTGCACTCCAGCCTGGGCACCATTGAGCACTGAGTTAACGAGACTCCGTCTGCAATCCCGGCACCTCGGGATGCCGAGGCTGGCGGATCACTCGCGGTTAGGAGCTGGAGACCAGCCCGGCCAACACAGCGAAACCCCGTCTCCACCAAAAAAATAAGAAAACCAGTCAGGCGTGGCGGCGCGCGCCTGCAATTGCAGGCACTCGGCAGGCGGAGGCAGGAGAATCAGGCAGGGAGGTTGCAGTGAGCCGAGATGGCAGCAGCACAGTCCAGCTTTGGCTCGGCATGAGAGGGAGACCGTGGAAAGGGGAGGAGAAAGGGGAGAGGGGAGAGGGGAGAGGGGAGAGGGAGAGGGGAGAGGGGAGAGGGAGAGGGGAGAGGGGAGAGGGGAGAGGGGAGAGGGGAGAGGGGAGAGGGGAGAGGGAGAGGGGAGAGGGGAGAGGGGAGAGGGGAGAGGGAGAGGGGAGAGAGAGAGGGGAGAGGGAGAGGGGAGAGAGAGAGGGGAGAGGGGCAAACACACACACCTCTTAAACATTCAAGGAAATTTCTTCCCCACTGGGAGACAAAGATGTATTCTAGTCTTGAAAGGCAACACACAAATACACTTGATCTTAAAAACTCAGATATAGAACATTTTTTCAGCAGTTGGTAGCGGGAGGGTAACATGATTTTAGAACTTTATTCTAGGGGAATTCTTATTCACAGCTAAAGAAGAAATGTACAGTCAAGTTCAAAGTTCTTCCCCCAGTTCTCAGCAGAGTCAAGACAAGGACCATTTACAACAATCCACACAACAAACGAGCATTCAGAAAAGGGTTCACCACTGTAGAAAATTACTCTTGTAGAGTTTTATCATCTTAAAGCTGCCAACTTAATTTTCTTTTGAAACTAGAAGAAGAAGTGGTGATAACTTTTAATTGAGTGAAGCACACTGTTATTTGGAAAAAGACAACGATAATTCACACACAGAATGCTCCTTGCTGGTGGGTGAAGGCCAGATTGCTGCAGTTGGACTTAGAACTCCACTTTCACATAGAACTTTGCTGACAGTAACTAATTAATGCCCACAAGGCTGCAGTGAAGCAAGGTAAAAAAAAATCCATCAGGTGCAGGAGTTAGTCATCCTCCTGACTGGTTTTATTTCTGTGTGTCCAATGATTCTCAGAATGACTGCTTTTCAGGCTACCAGCCATTTGAAAGGCAGTTGACTCACTGAGTTAAAAACTATTTAATGAGTGTCTACTTTGTGTCAAGCAGTATTGCTTGTGAGGAACAGGAAAGTGACAGAGACAGACATGACCTCTGCCACAGTACAAATTAGTAAGCAGTGTGCAAAGACATCTGTGGCTCAACCACTTTTGGGTGGTAGTGGTTAGGAACATACACTTTGGAGCCAGAGAGCCTGGGTTCAAATCCCTGCTTCACCACTTACTAGCTGTGTAACCTTGGGCAAGTTACTTAACATTCTGTGCCTTAGTTTATTAGACTGTAAAATGAGGGTAATTACATTAACTTCCTCATGTGATTAAATGAGTTAAGATATGTGAAATGCTTAGAATAGTGTGTGGCACAGCAAGTACCGTAAAAATGTTTCTATTATTATCATCATTACAGAGACCTTTGACAATGATCAGTTTCATATTCAATGTTTATGGAAGAGTTTTGCTAAGGCATAAACTGGAGTTCCCTGCAAGGTCCATGGCAGTGAAACATGCTCACATCCATACCTCACAGCTCTGTTATTTTCTATTTGGCATGGACTCACAAATGATACTTGTGAATCTGGGGATTTATAAAAGACTCTAGATAAATTCCTCTGAAATGTCAAGGAGATGCTGGTCACTGACTTCTCTGTGAGTAGAAGAGCAGGCCAGTGTCTATCCCAACCTTAGTACAGAGCAGAAATAAATCTGCATCTGATAAGCCTTTTTTTTTGTACTCCTGGCAACTAGCATATGATAGATGGCCAATAAACTTATTCATTTACCATAACTGAAAAGGGGGCTGAGTTGCCAAAGTCACAGAGGTTGGGTGGAGCCAGAATTTGAACCACATCTCCAACTCTATTGCCTATCATTCTTAAAATACCCCATGCAGTCTCTCAAGAGGACATCTTCATGTATTTACATAAAAGATGGTGACATGTGTTAGTATTGCCTGAATTCATATAGTTTTACGAGAAAAAGATACAGAACTATGTAGTTTTAAAATAACATTATCAAGTTAAAAAAAAAAGTTGTTTGGAAGAAGATGTTTGGTAACAGAGTTCTTTAAGATCTCTGTAATTAAGACCTAGATGGGAAGTAAAGGGGCAGCAATCCTCCCTGACCTCATTTTCATACTCTTCATCATCACTTCTACTGTATCTCAATCAGTGATAAAATTACAGGCTTATTTTTTAAGTGCTGTGATTATCAGTTATACTGTAATTATCTGTTTATCTGTCCACATCCTATTAGGCTCTAAGCTCTTCAACGGCAGAACCTCTGGTGTTCCCATTTTATCGCTAGAGTGTCTGGATCTGTGCCTGACCAATTATTGATTGCTCATTGAAACTAAGAGTGAATGAATGAATAATGAGTGGATCAATGAATGAATGACTTTCTAGAGTTTCATATCAATGGGCTCTCAAATCTGGTTGCATCTTAAAATCACCTAACAGCTTTAAAATCAGGTTTTTGGGATCCAATCCTAGAAATTCTAATTCAATAGATGCTAGGAAATATCTTTTTGAAAAGATCGTTAGGTAATTCTGGGAAACAGCCTGCTTTGGGAACCACTGCTATATATATCAATTAAGTTTTGGACTCTTACTAAAATCCCCTGCCACCCTTTAATTTTTATCACCCAGACGGTATCCATACACTGTATTACAGAGACAGAGCCTAGACTAGGATGATGGTCTCAAGGACAAGTTATTTTTTATTCCAACAAATTCTGCAGCAATTCCCTGTTTCCTCTAATTCCACCAGCTGGGGGGAGGGGATGCGCAGGTGGGGCGGGGGGCGGGGAGGCAATCATATTTTTTCAAACATCTCTCAAGCTGAAATAAAACCTCGTATCAAGATAGAGATCAGTTCTCATATTTTTCAAACACTGTGTGACATGGTACACATCACACATAACAAGCATACATTAATCCATCCTGCACCTGATGGATTTTTTACCGGTAAGCTCTTTTTTGGGGGATGCTGTTGCAGAAATATTACTATCAGTAGAGGAGATCCATAACACCATTACTACCAGGAGTCAACAGTGGCCAAGTCTATAAAGCTCTGTGAGAACAAGGAACGTATCTGTCTTGCTCCTTGTAATCCCTAGTAGCTGTTCTTGGGACACAGAAAGGAATTTAGTAACTCCCTGTTTCATCATATTGAACTGGGGCAGTATGGAACACTGCTGACAGGCTGCTGCTGCTGCTGCTGCCAAATCAAATGTTTGGCCAAGGACAATTCCATACATTCCTTGGAAGGAGGCAAGATGGGTGATAGGAAGAACCTGAACACTGGTTGAGAAACGTGGGCTCTGGCTCTATTATCATCAATCCTAAACTGAGCTGCTTCCTATTATATTCGTTTCATTACCTAGACTACAGGACCTCAAGCTTTCTTCAAGTAAATACGGTATCTATGGGAGGCAGAGTCTAAGATGCCCCCAAAGATCCTGGTACACCTGATACTCACACCCTTATGTAGTGCCCTTTCCCGATGAACCAGGGTTGTGTGTGTGACCAACAGAATAAAGCAAAAGGGATGGTATGTCGCTTCTGGGATTAGGTGATAACAGATGTTGTGGCTTCTATCTTGGTCAGCTGGCATGTTTCTGTCTGTGTTTCTAGGACCACTAGCTCTGGGGGAAGCCAGCTGCTATGCTGCAAACAGTCCTAGGGAGAGGACAATGTGGCAGGAAATAGGCCACCTGCCAACAGCCACCTGAATGAGCTCAGAAGCAGATCTTCTGGCCTGCTCAGCTTCAGATGAATGCAGCCTCATGAAAGACCCTGAGACAAAACCACCCAGGTAGGCCTTGCTGGGACTTCTGACCCTCAGAAAACGTGTGTGACAGTAAATGTTTCTGCATTTTAAGGTGGCAAATTTGGGGGTAATTTGTTAACAATAGATAAAAGCCTTAGAAATTAACAAGGTCAGTGGGGCTGGAAGAAGAGGTTCTTACAAGACAACTCTACTTCCCCTTGCTAGCCTTCCTTTTGGTTACCACACATAATTAAGGCACCAATTACAAGCACGGCCTAATAAAATATAAACCCTCCCCCTCGATTTAACTGGAACTGGGAAGAGAAGTGAAAAGGCTTATTATCTAAAGTATAGAATTTGGTTAGGAAAACAATACAACACTTTTGTTACTAGCCTGAGACAAGGGATCTAACATTTACTAAGAGCCTACTACGTAGCTGGCTTTTCAAAGACTCACTAAGGAAATATCCCTATTTTCTAGACGAGGAAACTAAAGTTCAGAGATCTTAAGTAGTTAACTCTAGGTTTATATGGCTTAGGGTAGGCAACTGTTCTGTTTTTCTTGGGGGATTTTCCGGGATGTAAGGCTTTCAGTGCTAAAATCAAAAAATTTTCGGGCACACTGGGAAGACTTAATCACATTACTTACTGTTAAGTAGCTCACAAAGTTAAGTTACTTAAATTTGTAGTTGGTCCAAAACTTGTGCTCTTTACAATTATCACAAGTTGATTTTTTTGTTGATGTTGTTAATTTGGAGACAGGGTCTCGCTCTGTTCCCAGGCTGGTCTGGTTTTCAACTCCAGGGCTCAAGCAATCTGCCTGCCTTGGCCTCCCAAAGTGCTAGGATTACGGGAGTGAGCCACTGCACCCAGCCAATCACACAGTTGATTTTTAAAAGTACATCTTAAAGCTATTATTTGGCAGCTTATGATCTGCAACAAATTTCGAACTGTTACCTACTAAAAAGAAAACCACAAACCCCTCCAGACTTTATCTCACAATACACACAGAAAAGACCGTTGGTTTTTTCTGTGAAAGGGTAAATAATTGCTATTCATATGATACATACTAGCATGGAAATTTTTCAGCTTAAAGGATTCTGCAAATTTCTGTTCCAAAATAGCAACTGAGTCCACAAACGACACTGGTAACTCCCCTCTGTACCTCAACAGACTCTCCAGTGTGGCTAAATGAGCTGACAGGTGACTGGGTGGGCTCTTCACAGAACTTCACATCAAGTCTGGTGCTCTGGCAGGAGAGGTAGGCAGTTACACAATTTTCTCTTCCACAAAAGCCTAGAGACAGCCAACTGACACCACTGGAAACTTCAACATAAACAGCGCTCCTGTGGCTGTCCTACCTGGTAGGTAAGCAAGGCAGTGTTGCCAAAACAGCTCTTTTTAAAAAAAGACCCATGTAATAACCACTGGGGTAGCTATAATCATAAAAACAGAAAATAACAAATACTGGCCAAGTAGATGGAGAAAGTGAAATACTCAGGCGCTTGCTGTTGGCGGGACTGTCAAATGGTACATCTGCTGTGGAAAATAGTTTGGCAAGTCTTCAAAAAGTGAAACACAGAATTACCATATGACCCAGCAATTCCACTCCTAGGTATATACCCAAAGAAATGAAAACACACATTCACTCTAAAACCTGTACACAAATATTCATAGTAACATTATTTATAACAGTCAAAAAGTAAAAACAACCCAAAAGTCGATCAACTGATTAATTAATAAACAAAATGTTGTACATTCATACAATGGAATGTTATTTGGCCATTAAAAGGAAGACAGTACTGACATTTGCTATATCATGAATGAATCTGGAAAACATTATGCAAAGTGGAAGATGCCAGACACAAAAGGCCACAGATGATTCAATTCATATGAAATGTCCAGAATAGGCAGATCCATCAGTGGTTGCCAGGGGCTGGGGAAACGAAGGAATGGGAAGTGACCGATACTGTTTATGATGTTTCTTTCTAAGGTAATGACAATGCTCTGCAATTAGATATACTTAAAAATTAAAAATAACTTTAAGAAAAGGAGAGGTACTTTAAAAAAAGGTTTAATATTTTATACACTCAAGCCTACTGCTAGCAATCTACACTAAGGAAATACAAGCAGATGTGCACTAAGATTGACTTATGATTGTCATCAGTGATATTTGTAACAAAAACTGAAAGGTGGTTAGCCTTCAAGTATCCATCTAGAAGTAACCTTCTAGATGAAACCTTCCGTAACCTAGAAGTAACCTTCTGCTACAGAAATTATAGTATAGGAATATAATTAAATATCATGCCATAATTCAAATGAAGCTATTGGGCATTTATTTTAGAGAAATGAAAACTTTATGTTCATATAAAAACCTGTACACGAATGTTCACAGCAGCTTTATTCTAGCTAGAAACTAGAAACAAACAAGATACTCTCCAACAGGTGAATTGTTAAAACAAACCATGGTATATCCACACCACGGAACGTTACTCAGCAATAAAGAACAAACCTGATACATTCAACAACCTGAATGAATCTCTAAAGAATTAAGCTAAGTGAAAAGGGCCATCCATTTATAAAACACTTTTGAAATGACAGAACTATAAAGATAGAAAAGAGATTAACAAATTGCCTGGGGTTACAAAGGGTGTGAAGGCAGGATGGAAGAGGATGTGGTTATGAAGGCCACATGTGCTGATAGCAATGTTGTGTATCTGGACCGTACTAATGTCAGTATGCTGGTTGTGATATTGTGCTGCAGTCCTGTACAATGTTACCACTGGGGGAAACAGGGTAGAGAGTACTTGGGATCTCTGTATTATTTCTTACAACTGCATATGAATCTACAATTCTCTCAAAAAGTTCAATTTTTTAAAAAAATCTACGACCATGAGAAAAACAAACTAGGCTGAGCATTTGATTTTTTAAAAATTCAATCAACTTCCCCAACCCAATCACATGTGGTGGTGACTTTTTTGGCACCTGTAACTGTAAAGGAAGGTTTATGTTGGCAAGGAATAGTCTGAACTATGACTCCATTCACAAAAGTTTAAGACTTTACCTAAATGCAGGTGTTTCAAATACTCATTTTCACAGTGGTCTGATGAAGCTTCCCAGTAAACATTTTCTTATTCAGACTACTCAGGTGATGGGGATACTGTTTTGATCAACCCAATGATCTAATTAACTTCGAGGAATCATACATCTCACAAAGAGGCCCGCTGTCAAACAGTAAGAAAATCATGAAAGATACCAAATAAAATCCTCCTGATTAAAATGTAATCTTTGATGATTCAGAGGCATTTTGTGATCCTGAGGTATCTCAGAGTCAGAATTATAAATGCCAAATCTCACTTTACAATACTGTAGATGAGCAGGCACAGATAATTGGGATAAAAGTTTATAAATTTATTATGACTCTACTGCTTTATATAAGTTCCTGCAATTAGTTTCCTTGCCATTTTCCTTTTAATACATGGTACATAGAAAACTTAGTTTTATTTCATTTCTAAGATATGACATCACTCTGTCTCCCAGGCTAGAGTGCAGTGGCACAATGATGGCTCACTGCAGCCTCAACCTCCCGGGCTCTTGCAATCCTCCCACCTCAGCCTCCTGAGTAGCTTGGGACTACAGGCATGTGCCACCACTCCCAGCTAATTAAAAAAAAAAATGTAGAGAAGGAGTCTCGCTGTGTTGCCCAGGCTGGTCTTGAACTCCTGGGCTCAAGCAATCCTCTCGCCTCAGCCTCCCAAAGTGCTGGGATTACAGGCATGAGCCACCATGCCTGGCTAAAAACTTAGTTTTAGACTGTCAGATTCCAGATGTTTTTGAAAATGAAAAATAATAAAAGTTTACCATATTATAAAAACAAAAAAACTGTGCTTTCTTCCATCTTTTGGATCATTTTCTTATCAATGCACTGAGAAGCAAAAAAGGGTTAAGCAGCACTTTTACAATGTGCAGTCACTATGTGACTATAGCTTACTGAAGAGTGATGCCACCACGCTTGTGCTCTGCTCTGGGCTTTTTGCTGCCTGCCATTAGCAAAGAGCTGTTCAACCCCCACAGCTCTTCAGAGCACAGTGGATGTTTCCCAGAAAAGGCTGAGGTGACGTCTTCTGTAACCCTCCTTGGAAATTATCCAGCAAGATTAGATCTCTTCTTGGCAATGCTTTTCTTCTTTTCACCAAGTGCTACATTCAACAAATGAGCCACTGTGTTTAAAACCTCCTTGATAATCACTAAAGGTGAAATATTGAGAATTGGGTCCTAAGGTGATTACATTTTAGTGGAACTGCAAGGATTTTAGCAAGTCATGTTAATGTAACTGAATATTCCGACTGGCTAATATGATTTTTCCTTCATTTCAATTCTCTGCAAGTACCAAAATTCAACTCTAGGCTGTCATAGAGCCATTTAGCTGTAACAAAACGAAGGAAAGCCAGTGATCAAATTAACATGAAGTCAGTTAGGTGCCCACCTACAGCCAGAACACCAAGGGAGAGACACCAACAGGTTCCAAAATGAAAATTAAGGACAGAGTGAAGGAGAAACAAATACCTATTCCTGTATAGAAATTATAGAAATGCATTCCTGGAGAAGTCAATCATATGAAAATTTTAGGAAAAGAACTGAGATTGTAAAATGGCATATATAATCGTTTAACAATATGCCTTTACTGAGCACCAAATGTGTAAGGCACTATGGCAAGTGGTAGGGACAGAGAACCTGGTCCTTTCCCTTCAGCTCAGAAATCTAGCTATTCCTCCAGTCATGACCCATATTTTCAGTTCACTTCAAAACACAGAAATTGATGTCTTATGTCATAATTTGAGTGAAAAAAATAAAATTAAAAAGAAAAAAAAATCAGCACAAACTAACAACAGCTTAACACACACCCACCCTTGAAAGGCAAGAACATTTTACTGGTCAGGAGCTAGGGGATGGATATAAAATAGTACATAATATCCTACTTTGATTTGGAAAAGCTATCACATATTTCCTATGCAAAATCCAATGAAAACAATTATTTGAAGAAAATTAATGTAACTACAGAAGCAGTGACATGTTTAAAATGTATTATGTTTTTCTCCAATGATTTTTTTCACATACATGAACAATTTAATAAATTGCAACTGGGTTGGAGAAGAAAAGGAGAGGGTCTTGGCCAGCTTGTGCTGCTATAAAGAAAATAGCACATGCTGCTAGATTAAACAACATTTACTTCTCAGGGTTCTGGAGGCTAGGAAGTCCATGATCAAGGTGCCAGCAAATTAGGCTCCTGGTAAGGGTCCTCTTCCTGGCTTCAGATGGCTGTATCCTCCTGGGGACTTGGGGACATGGGGATGGGTAGAGAGAGTACTGGTCCCTCTTCCTCCTATAAAAATACTGATCCCATCATAGGGACTCCACCCTCATGACCTCATCTAAACTTAATTACCTCCCAAAGGCCCCACCCTTCTAATAGCATCACTTTGGGGGTTAGGGTTTCAAAATATGAATTGAGAGTGGGGGGACACAAACCTTCGGTCCATAACAGAGAAGCAGTTTTCCATTTAAGAGATAAACGAATGACTGTTTACAGAGTCTAAAGAAAATTGACACTTTTAAAAAACCTAGTATCTAAGATGAATCATTTTCATTCATATAGTCAAGTTATCAAAACACATAATCTCCACTTTATGAAAGGGTTGTACTATTGTAAATTAGTCATCTGGCCTTTGGAAAATAATTTTTTGGAGAAATGTTATATTAGTTGTTCTTAAATTTCCGGGGGTTCCATATCAATTGTGAAAATCTGATTAAAGCAAAAGGGAAATTCTCTCCATCTCAAAATGACAGAGAGTTTGGATTAAACTGACTGACATTTACAGGGTCGCCCAAATCCCAGTAGTCCCCAAGTTAAAAACCCTAGCTGTCAGTGGAGGACAGATCTCCAGACCAGCCCTAAAATACTTTACTTAACTCATAATGAAGTGGCAGCAATAGGACTAGATTCTCACCATTTCTATGAGAAAGATGTAATCTGTAATATGCATAATTTCAGTTAGAGTTCTCTAGGCTCTGAAACTATACTGTAATAGCATACACTGTAATATTACCTTGGGCAAGCTGCTAAAACTATATAGACCTCAGTTTCCCAACTCATAAACATGGGGACAATAATGCTTATACCTCATGGAGTTGCTGTGAGGATTAAATGAGATAATAAAATTGTATGAAGTGCTTGGCATAATGCACAAACACCTCAATTCGTGGCAGCTATTTTTATCATCATCAGAAGCACACATTCATCAAACATACATTTAACACACTGTCACAGGCACTGGAGACACAGAAATCCACAAGACCACAAATCTGCCTTCAGAAAGGTCAAAAGTCTCTAGCAAGGGAAGGAGAAACAGTAAATAACTGTAATAAAGTGATCTATGTGCCATGACAAGGTATGTACAGGAGAAAAGGATGGGTAGGGGTGGGGGGATTAATACAGAGCAGTCAATTCTGTATGGGGACCAGTGGGTCAGGTGAAGCTCTGCAAAGAGAGTAATATTTAAGGCTTGCTAGTGGGGATCAGACAGAAGGCAGAGATGAAAAAGTGAAAAACAATGTTGGAGAAGGAGGTAAGAGCTCCAGAGTTTGTTTTTAAACTGGGGGGTTGGTAAAGAAGGGGTGACAGTTGGGGCGAGAGGCTGAAAAGAGGGTGAGATCAGCATCAGGTTGGTTAAAAAAACGACTGCAAGAGTCCAGATGAGAGATGGGGGCCCTCCAAAGGCACAGCAGGAGAGGGAATGCAGGGGTCACATGGGAGAGATGTCCAGGGTGGGCAAGGTGAGGGAGAGGGGGGAGTCCAAGCTCTTGGCTTCTCACACTGGAGGGGGGTGCCATGTAGTGAGTGAGGAAGCATGGGGGCTGCGGGTGTGTGAGGGGTGGCAAGCAGACTGCAAGAAGAGAATATGGAAAGTTCTGTTCACCTAGACCTTCACTTTACTAATTTTATTAATAAATTGATTATAGTCTCGTGTATGTTTCATAACCTGTTCGATTAGGAGGCATGTCATATAGTTTGAATTAGTGGAGTGCAAGTTAGTGGAAATTCACTGTACTGACATGTTCTCTTACAGGGAAAAATAAGAAAGATAAATTGTACATTAAGTTCATAGTATTAAATGTAAGAAGTTCATCCTTAAGCTACGACCTAACCCACACATTTGCTTAGGGACTCATGTATTCCTGCTGTCCTAAGAAAACATTAAGCCAGCTATGCTCAAACATGAATTACACACTTCAGGAGGTTGAATTATTTAGCAAATTGCTATTTCCTTCACTAAATGGTCTGCTAATGACTGAATGCTTATAAGGAAGCTTTCCAAAGTGATTTCTCTCATCCCATTAACGTCTCTCCAAGAGAACCAGATAACCATTTAAAAACCTAATCCAGTTATAAATCATGCTGCTGTAAAGACACATGCACACGTATGTTTATTGTGGCACTATTCACGATAGCAAAGACCTGGAACCAACCCAAATGTCCAACAACGATAGACTGGATTAAGAAAATGTGGCACATATACACCATGGAATACTATGCGGCCATAAAAATGATGAGTCCATGTCCTTTGTAGGGACATAGATGAAACTGGAAACCATCATTCTCAGCAAACTATCGCAAGGACAAAAAAACCAAACACTGCATGTTCTCACTCATGGGTGGGAACTGAACAATGAGAACACATGGACATAGGAAGGGGAGCGTCACACCACGGGGACTGTTGTGGGGTCGGGGGAGGAGGGAGGGATAGCATTAGGAGATATGCCTGATGCTAGATGATGGGTTAATGGGTGCAGCATACCAGCATGGCACGTGTATACATATGTAACAAGCCTGCACATTGTGCACATGTACCCTAAAACTTAAAGTATAATAATAATAAAATTTTAAAAAAAGATGAGAACAAAAAAAAATTAAAAAAAATAAAATAAAATAAAATAAAAACCTAATCCCGCCCACTATTTCAAATGATGGATTTTTCCCCCTTATTTTCAAGTCCTTTTCTTTGCAGAACATAATAATGATAATAGCAACTAATACTCACTCTATCCTTACTATGTGCCAGTCTTTCTGCTGTATATTTACAAGGATAATCTCAGTCCTCATGCCAGCCCTCTCACAGATGAGTCCACCCAGGCAGACAGCCACTGTCACTTGTCCAAGGTTACACTGAGAGGAGGCCAACTGACTCCAGAGCCTACTCTTTGAACCACTACATTCTACTGCCTCCCCACGTTACAATAAATTTTTTTCTATAGTAAAATGATGTTTCCTATAGAAAATATGGAAAGTAGAGAAAAAATATCTGTCTCATTTTGAAGTAAAAACAAAAAGCTACCAAGAGTATAGCTGAATCCACGTTAACCCTTCTACCATCTATGATTAAGTGGAGTGATCCTGGGCGAGTACATGTCTGAAAACCTCAATCTCCTCACCTGGAATATTCTCTTCAAATGGGAATAACATGAATACCTAATCAGATGAGATGGTTCATGTACAGCATTTAGCATGGAGCTTTGCTATTAGCATATATAAATTTACATAAATATATTTACATAAGTAAACATAATTTTATTTCTTCTACCTTTTTCTATGCTTTAAAAAAGCACATACTTCCAGCCTGGGCAAAACGGTGAGACCCCGCCCCATCTCTACAAAAACTACAAAAAATTAGCTGGGAGTGGTGGTGCACACCTGTGGCTGCAGCTACTCAGAAGGCTGAGGTGAGAGGATGGCTTGAGCCCAGGCGGTGCTGGCTGCAGTGAGCTGTGACTGCGCTACTGCACTCCAGCCTGGGCAAAAAATTGAGACCCTGTCTCAAAAAGATAAAAATAAAATAAAACAAAAAAGCACATACTCGTAAGCTTAAATTTCAACACTAAAGCAGTCATTTTCCTTTTTTTCAACTTTAATAGTATATTTGATTTAACCCAATATATCTAAAATATTATCATTTCAACATGTAGGCAACATAAAAATAACTTTATATTCCTTTTGTACTATGTCTTTAAAATCTAATATTTTACATTTATAGTCCACTCATGTGGACACTCAATTTTCATTGGAAATATCTGATCTGCAGGCCGGGTGCAGTGGCTCATGCCTGTAATCCCAGCACTTTGGGAGGCAGAGGCGGGCAGATCACAAGGTCAGGAGATCGAGACCATGGTGAAACCCCGTCTCTACTAAAAATACAAAAAATTAGCTGGGCGCAGTAGCGGGCGCCTGTAGTCCCAGCTACTCGGGAGGCTGAGGCAGGAGAATGGCGTGAACCCGGTAGGCGGAGCTTGCAGTGAGCTGAGATCCCGCCACTGCACTCCAGCCTGGGCGACAGAGCGAGACTCCATCTCAAAAAAAAAAAAAAAAAAAAAAAAAAAAAAAAAAAAAAAAAAAAAAGAAAGAAAGAAAAAGGAAATATCCGATCTGCATTTAGAGCTCATAAGATTTGCAACTGTGAAAGTGGATTCACATACTCAAGTTGTTTCAAACACTTAAAAGTTTTCTAATAGTTGAAAATCAATAAAAAATTAGAAACTCTCAGTCATTCCAGCCACATTTCAAGTGCTCAGGAGCAACATGTGGCTACTAGGTACCATAACTGAGAGTGCAGCTCTAAAATGCTCTCCTCCCTAGGGTTACTTTAGACATTCAGTTTTAAAAAATGTATATGGATGTTGGCTTTATTTCTCATTTAGAATATAATTAATATTCCCTATTTCCTTCTTGATTGGTCCCAAATTCCTTTCTTCCATCCAACTTCCTTTTCTTTCCACAACATGCCTGTTCATTTGGTTCATCTGGAGTTCTCATTTAGTTCACTGCACTGTGCTGGTTCGGTATAATGAGATCAGTTCAGGGCTAGGGCCCTCTCTTGAACTTATATTTCAATATATTACTCAAACCCTGCTCTCCTCTATTTTAATTGTGTGCAGCCCTTTGTCATCTTTGTAAACACTTTATATTTTCAGAGTACTCTCATATTATCTGGTTTGATCCTTGGAAATGTGTAAGTAAGACGAAGGTTTGGTTTTAATCCTATGTATCTACCAGGTTTATATATTTGCCCAAGTCACATAGAGATGAAGCTAGATTGATTATAACTCATATTTCTGGCCAGGTGCAGTGGCTCATGCCTGTAATCCCACCACTTTGGGAGGCTGAGGCAGTCTGAATCCCTTGAGCCCAGAAGTTTGAGACCAGCCTGGCCAACGTGGCAAAACCCTGTCTCTACTAAAAATAAAAAAAAATTAGCTGGGTGTGGTGGTGCACACCTGTAATTCCTGCTACTCGGGAGCCTGAGGCACAAGAATCACCTGAACCCAGGAGGCAGAGGTTGCAGTGACCCAAGACTGCACCACTGCACTCCAGCCTGGGTGACAGAATGAGTCTGTCTCAAAAACAAAACAACCCCACATTTCTTTTTTTTCTTTTTTTGAGACATAGTTGCGCTCTGTCGCCCAGGCTGGAGTGCAGTGGCGCGATCTCGGCTCACTGCAAGCTCCTCCCCCTGGGTTCATGCCATTCTCCTGCCTCAGCCTCCGAGTAGCTGGGACTACAAGCACCCACCACCGCGCCTGGCTAATTTTTTGTATTTTTAGTAGAAATGGGGTTTCACCATGGTCTCGATCTCCTGACCTCGTGATCCACCCACCTCGGCCTCCCAAAGTGCTGGGATTACAGGCGTGAGCCACCACACCCGGCCAAAACCCCACATTTCTTAACTTTTGTTCTAGTGTCTTTTCTACTATGCTAGGACATAGCATAGTAGAAAAGGCTTCCTTCCACAGAATATCAGGCCCCACCTCTTACTAGTCCCACCCAATCATATATTGAATTGCAGGCAGCCTTAAAAAGTTCTTAGGACTGAAAAAACAAACCATCTCTAGTATTCGCTGTAATTACCAGAAATTAACTCCTTAGAAACCGGCTTATTATCCCAATGTTTATTTTTTTTAAATGACTGAAAATATGCACTTTAAAAACAGGATTCTTGAATTCATTTAAACTACTGTCTTGCAGTAAGGTGGCCAGAAGGATCACCTCTCCTTATTTATGTATATGGAGACCCATGAGAAAAATAGGGAAAGAGCAATTACAATGGCAACAGCCAACTGAATCCTTCCACCCACTGGATTCTTTGATGAACTGCTGCAGAAGCTCATCCATGCTTGTGATAATCACCAGACAAGAGATCCCTGCCTTCTTCCTTACGTAAGATGTTCTGTTGGGTATGAAGCAAGAGGTCATACTCGCAATTGACAGCCCATGCCATACCAAAGAGTATGTGTACTGCAGAGACATTTCCAAATAACGTTACCTGTGACAAAAGGGTTAAATCCCACAAGCAGGGTCAGTCCTGCAGACATCATGCGCATCACCATCCACGGTTCTGCATTTGGATCATTTACCTGCATGAAGGCTGCCAGCAATCATTTTCATGAACCTAATTTGACTTCTGAAGCAACATTTATATAAACACTTTTACGTATTCCTCTAATATTAGACATTTAATGTTTCCAAGTTTTCACTATTTTCAAATAATATTGCAATAAACATCTTTACACATAAAACTTTAGCTGTATATTAAAGTATTTCCATGGGTGAGACTCCCAGAAATTGGCCAATTAGGTCGAAGAGTCTTAGAATGCATTGAAAAATTCCTTTTCAAAACATTTTTATGTATTAATGTTCCCACTTGCAAGGTCTATGTAAACAGCCTTTATAACTGCAACCATTGCCATAACTGGACAATCTCATGAAGAAAAAAATTCTTCATTAATTTAGTCTAATGTAAAACACTATACTAGTATGTCAGAAATATAAATCATACCGAAATTCCAACAGCTGAATAAATAAACACTAAATATATACACTGAAAATTTGTGTAAAGAGCCATTTCGGCTAACACTGGTAAGAGAAAAGTGAAATGGCAAATGCTGTGTGTGCTCTGCTTGCCTAAGGATTAATTTGTGAACATAAGCTGGTATTTGTTAACAGGTCACCCATGTTAGGAGCCTTTCTTTCTCTCAGGTTATTAGTACACAGTAAATAGAACTGTCTGCATTCCACAAAAACTCCCCCTCAAACCAAGGAGCTAAGTCTAGTTACCAATTTTTAAAACCTCTAAGAAGTATTATGCTTCACATAAACAACAGCAATCCTTGAGAACAAGTATGGATTTTAAAAAGCACAGTTCAAGCATTTGTTAAATATCTATTCTGTCTGGGGACATGGACTGTCATTTAAAAAACTGAATCTACAAACCCATCCACAGCTTTACAGGAACCCCGTAAACAAGGGAAAATTCACTTCTGGTGAGAGAGGCACAAAACTACCTTTAAAAAAGCCAAATTTTTAAAGTATTTAAGAACTTGAAGTAAGAAGACTCTTCCAGTTGTTTTTTTAATTATATATACAACGTTTCGCAGAAGACAGGCTATTTTTGCTAATCAGTAGCTGAGTCAGCCAAATTTGGTTTATGTTATTAGTATTACTGTCAATAAAGCAGTATAAAACAGCTTGACTTTTCCAATCCCATGCGGAGGCACTAAGTGAGCAGTTGGAAAAATATTTTTACTTGCTCACAGAGAGATTTCATACTCATGTCACAGGACACAAATGAGAAACCCCAAAGACTCCTCTTGCCTGCACTTTTCGGCTCAATCACCACACCTAGAATAAACAAACAGCATAAAACACAACAGCTTCCATTTAGAATCAACCAACTCCTACCTGGGCATTAAAATCCTCACGAGGACAACCAGCCCACTATCTGGGAATTATGTCACACTGAAAAAGAAGACTCCACCAGCAAAACATTGGTCAAGTACTAAGATAAGCTATCCAAGGTTTAACAGGAAATGGCATTAACTCTGGCCTAATTTGTTACAGCATCAAACAAAGCTTGCATCATTACAGATTGCAATGCTTCACTAATGAGTTAAGAGGATTTCATTATGAAACCATAATATTCTTCCTTTATTGAGTCCCTTGCTTCAGGATCATAACACCATTAAAAACAGAAAACACACCAAGGATAATAATCATAGTAGCTAACATTGAACACTTAATGTGTGCTAAGCATCGTACCACGCACTTCACATGCACTATTTAATTTAATCTTCTCAGTAAGTTCAGTTACCGAGCCTGCACTTGTTGGAAAATGGGATTCAAACCCTGAATGTTGGCTCCACAACCTGCACTTTTAACTGTCAATCATATTAAGATTAAATTTAACTGTCAGGAAAATAGAAAAATGCATCAAACTAGCAACCTACAGATACCTGTAACACACTACTGGGTCCCAAGTAGTAGTCTAAGATTTAGGTGAGGAACAGTTTATGTCCAAGACAATCTAACACCAAGACAATGGTGTAAAATATAGAATGTCAGTGAGTCAATGGTTACATTAATTACAACGTTTATGTGACACTTAATTTGGTTTTTCTTCCCCATTCAAATGAATCATCAGATTTTGGCATCCTAGGAACAGGATAAACGTGGTCATATTAATTCTCAGGTAAGGAGGCCTGCCTAGACATGACATAAAAGCAAATACAGTGATAACATGATCTCAGTGAAGCTATGACTAAAAAAGTCTCAAATAGAAACTTCATGGAATGAGAAATGGCTCTACCACGTCCAATACTAGCCAGCTTTTTTTTTTTTTTTTTTTTTTTGAGACGGAGTTTTGCTCTTGTTGCCCAGGCTGAAATGCAGTGGCGTGATCTCGGCTCACCGCAACCTCCGCCTCCCGAGTTCAAGCGATTCTCCTGCCTCAGCCTCCCGAGTAGCTGGGATTACAGGTGCCCATCACCACACCTGGTTAATTTTTGTATTTTTAGTAGAGACAGGGTTTCTCCATGTTGGTCAGGCTGGTCTCGAACTCCCGACCATCTGACCGACCATCGGGCCATGCCCGACCATTACGGGCATGGGCCACCGCACCCGGCCCAATATTAGTCAGTTTCTAAAGCCAGGATAAGTAACAAGCTTTTCCCATATCCCTTTTAAAATACGGATATGCAGAATTTAAGGAAATCAGTTATGGGTCGGGTGCAGTGGCTCATGCCTGTTAATCCTAGCACTTTGGGAGACTGAGGCAGGCTGATCAATTGAGGTCAGGAGTTCAAGACCAGCCTGGTCAACATAGTGAAACCATGTCTCTATTAAAAATACAAAAACTAGCCCGGCATGGTGGCACACGCTTGTAATCCCAGCTACTCAGGAGGCTGAAGCAGGAGAAGTGCTTTAACTTGGAAGGCGGAGGTTGCAGTGAGCTGAGATTGTGCTACTGCACTCCAGCCTGGGAGACAGAACGAGACTCTACCTCAAAAAAAAAAAAAAAAAAAAAAAGAAAAAAAAGAAAAGAAAAACAGTTACAGATCTCTATCTATGGATATTGATTACATAAGTTTATATAACTAAAAGTAACATTTAAAAACATGGATTAAGTAGAGTTAAAAGAATTGGGGACCAGGCACAGTGGCTCACAGCTGTAATCCCAACACTTTGGGAGGCCAAGACAGGCAGATCGTTTGAGCCCAGGAGTTTGAGACCAGCCTGGGCAACATGGAGAAACCCCACCTCTACAAAAAATAGGAAAATTAGCTGGGTGTGGTGGTGTGTGCCTGTGGTCCCAGCTACTCTGGAGGCTGAGGCAGGAGGATGGCTTGAACCCATGAGGTGAGGTTGCAGTGAGCCAAGATGGCACCACTGCATTCCAGCCTGGTGACAAGAGGGAGATCCTGTCAAAAAAAAAAAAAAAAAAAGGAAAAGAAATAGAATCAGGAAGGAGGGCAGAATACTGGTCTATAGCAACGACTCTGGGATAACTACTTAGTCTTAGTTTGGAGAGAAAGCAGAGGAATGGGCTATCATACCAAAAAAAAATCAGAATTTCTTCATCTCCAAAGTGTATCAAAAAGGAAAAGAATTAGCTTGAGGTTTGACAGAAGAAACTTGCAGAGAGATGATATACAAACACTAGAAAAGGCCTAGGGTGATATTGCATAAATAAGTACCCCACTCTCTTCAATGGCTGGGGCGGACAGATTAACCGGAAGCCAAAGACTTTTTTTCTGGACACTGATAACCCTGTTCCATCTAGACCGAAACAAGGTAGAAAAGCACTGTGCTAAAAGTCACCTGGTCTCCCTGACTCTGCCCAACACCCTAGGTCCACTCGCTAACATGAATGTCCTATCCTACTAATAAGTTTTCAGGGAGGTTGCTTCACAATTTATTCTCCAAAATGCCATGTTTCACACTCAATTTACTAATGACCACTTCACAAGTGTCTAGATGTCCTATCCAAGGACAGGACAATTTATGGATAAATACAGCCAAAGAGAATCATGTATGATTCTTCAATCTAAAACACAACTTCTAGGCTTAAGATACCCATTACTGTGTCATAAGCCAAATATCTGATACTTATGTCCAAATGTCATTTTTTAAAAAAGTGCCCGTATCTTACCTATCATTTATGGAACACCATGAAGGTGATGTGATACCGCACCCTGTAGATATTTATGCCTGTCAAGTATTCATAAGCACTCTTCTGGATGCAGTGAGCCTGAGAGAGTTTCTGAATGACCGAAGCAACTAGACTCACATGAAAAGTTGATTTCCCACTAGCACCCAGTCAGAGACAGAGAGTCACAGGGCTGAGGGCTTTGCTCAGGAGGAAGATCCAGGCTTGGGACAAAGGGAGAGGCTTCACCAGAGGAGGGGGACTTCCACTGTCACTTAAAAGACTGGTAGGTTTGGGCAGGCCAAGGAGCAGGGGAAAGAAATAAGGAAATTGCTACTCAAGAAGTGGAGGCAGGAGTGGGCTGCCACAATCTGGGAAGAATTGTGACACTTGGTAGGCCGGAAAAGTGTCTCAAATTTTACCTCGACTTTATTAAGCAGCCATGTTAATTGGCTGGCATGTGTTAAACATTCCACTCGACCAGAAAACCAAGTCAGCAATGATTTAAGGCACATTAAAACGTGAATGCTCCATAAATATTTGTTAAATGAACTAACTCTGGACAGAGCATCAGGGAAGACTTCATGCAAGTGGCATTTGGCCAGGTTATTAAGGACTTTGCAGGGTGGAAGGCCTAGGAGGCACAATGGTTGGTGGATAATTCAAGCGAAGGCACAGCATGAAGAGATATAGAGGTGTGAAAGGACACAGTAGACAGAAAGGGTAGGGTATCAGAATAACTCAGTCATCTCTTAGCCTGTTGAAGCCATCGTCTTGAGCATCTTATAAATATCCACCTCTTCCTAGCTGCACCACCAAGGCCCATTTTCTTTCCTGTGGACTCCCAGCTGGCTTTCAGGCACTCATTCTTGCCTCCTTCTATCCACCTCCACATTGCACCTGAGTTCTTTTTAACCACCAAAATCAGTGGGGCCACTCTTGCCTGAAGCTTTTTGTCACCTTGCTCTCTGGATACAGCCTACAATCCCTCACTTGGCTTAGAGGCCCTTTCACACCCAGGCCCATACCTGCTTTCCCTAGCCCAACTTCTGCCGTCCCCTCTTGCTCACTGCCCCCAACCCCACCCGTTTCCTTTTCACATTCTGCAGTGTGTCCTTGACTCCGGCAGCTCCCAAGCAGGGAAAGCTCCCTTACCCGCCTGTCCCACTTCCCCTCTATCTGTGCACACCAGAGAAATCTTCCCTGATTCCTCCCGCAGAGCCCCAGACTAGGTTAGGTCCCTCTCTGTACATTCTAATCATACTCCAAATACAAATTATTTAACCTGTGGTTAACATCTAAGTCCTTGAGGCGTTATGTATCTGTGGGATGACTGTGAGGCTGGAAAGCAGCCTGGAAAGCAGTTTTGCCCTAGGCACCAGCAAGTACGGTGACTCAGCCATACCGGCCTTCACGAGAAAGCAGAAAAAAACCCAAGGTCTGCTTTCCCTCACCATGCTTCCAGCAGAGCAGGAGGCACTCACAACAGGCGCTTGGCACCATTACCCAGCAGGGCAAGATTACAGAACTTTTCACCTTGCTTGCAACTTTAGAAACTGTGTGTCCACCACTAGTGCAGCAGACAGTTATGGGTGACGCTGACCTACAAACAGATGAGATGACCCTACTTTAGATGAGCTCATGTTTCCACATGCATTCTCTAACTTAGGACCCCAAATGGACCCAAATCCTTTGAAACAGGATATTCTGCTCCCTCTTCTGACAAGTTTCTATCCACTCACTCCTCCTGTCTGCCTTCCCTAGTAGGCAATCTGCCATCACCAAAGCAGATCTTTGTCCCCACCCTCCTTACTCAGGCTGGAAGCTATAGTCACAAATACTCCTGATGCCCAACCTACCCCTGTGGTGCCTCACTGCTAGGTAAATCCAACAAGCAGAATTGATGGTTTTGCTGAGATCTGGACAGTCCCTATGAATCCCTTAAAAGTCCTCCTCCTTCAATGGTCACTCTTCACATGCTACAGCAGGGGTGGATGAAACTTGAAAACATTATGCTAAGTGAGAGAAGCCAGATACAAGAGGTCACATATTGTATGATTCCATTTATAGGAAATATTCAGAATAGGCAAATCTACAGAGACAGAAAGCAGATGGGTGGTTGTCAGGGGCTCAGGAGAGGGGAGAATGGCAAGTGGCTGCTAACTGGCAGTGGTCTCCTTTGGGGATGTGAAAATGTTTTGGAATTAGAGGTGACTGTGGCAAACAACACTGTGGATGTACTAAATGCCACTGAGTTGAACATTTAAAAATGGCTTATATAATGTAAATTACACTTCAATTGAAAAATTTCAAATAACTTTTTTTAAAAGTCCCTCTTCACCCTTCCAATTCATACAGTATCTTTCCATCGTTCTGCTTATACTCTGGATCTTTTCCCGTTTCTTTCAAGAATTTATTCATCTCCCATCTGCCTTTTACCTTCCATTTCCTCTCTCGACTGGATGCTTTTTTTCTGCTGACAAATCAGCTCCAGTGTTCAACCTAAAAGTCCTTCCCTGAACTTTATTTTCCCCTCAAATCTCATCTACAATGATCCCAAGACCCCATAAAAGTCAGCCAATTATCAATAGCCTCCACTTTTCCACCTCCTGTATCCCTCTAGTTCCGTTTCCAGCAATAAGACAACCACAGATAGTAAAAAACCTACCGGCTACCACACATATAAAAAAACACTCTTGTTAAAATGAATGAATGAACCTACAAATTTAAAAAGAAACTGCCAGATACCTTTGGCATTGCACTGCCCAATGAGACAGACAAGGGCACAAATAGCTATTTAAGTAAACTGAAATGAAAAACTAAAAATTCTGTTTCTTAGTTGTATTAACCACATTTCAAATGCTCAAAAACTAGTAGTAGTTAGTGACTACTATATTAGATAGTGCAAAATATATCCCATTAAAAAAAATCTGAGCATCTGGAAATACAGTAGCTCAACTGTACTGGTACCTGATTCAGGTATCAAAGAATCTGAGGTTATAAAAATCTTAAAAGAATTCCTTAGAGTAAAATCAAGAGGAGGCTAATGCTCTATTTACAGTCCCCAAAGTAGAGCTCTAGTTGATCTGACATTATACACAAAAGGCCAGAGGAAATCTTTTTGTAACACATAGAATTAAAGGTTAAATGGTTACATAAAACAAGATGGAGATGTGGGACATGATGCAGCAATTTTTTATTAAAACAAAGGCATTATCCAAAATCAACAGTTAAAAAAAGGTCAAGCAGTATCTATCCAAGAGACAGGAACAAAAAAGAAATCAGCTATTTTAAAACTATTCCAAAAGGTTGCTAGTCTGGAAGCCTAAATACTGTAATGTATAGATAGCAAAGAGAAAGGGATGAATTAAAAAAAATAAAATGAACATCTAAAAAGCTATTAATGCTACACTGAGACCTTAATCTCTTCGTTTACTCCTTGTTGTTTTGGGTTTTTACTTTAAAAACTGACCACTACAGCCTTACCACAGAGCACTAAAGCAAGCAACCAGTGTTGTTAAGTGGACATAAGCTTGCTTTTAAATACTGTCCTGTCTACAAAAAGTACCTTACAGATATGTTCATTTGATAAAAAGACCAAAACCAGCCCACCTGGTGAAGTTCACATGTGAAGGTGACACACATAGAGCCTGTGGCATAAAACACAGAATTTATTTAGGCAGAAGGAAACAGGAGGCAATGGCTGCTGAAGCAAGAAGGAAAAATGTTTTTATAACTAAGTAGTATATAAAGTACTTTTAGTACTATATATATAAAGTATAACTAACTACTACTACTACTACTGCTACTGCTACTGCTACTGCTACTACGAGATTACTTTTTCACTGTCACCAAAAGTTTTGAAAAATACGTTTTTATATTTTGAAATATATTTTGAAAAATATATACTTTATTATCATACAGTAGGTTAGTTATTTTTAAATGTTTTCATAATTGTTTTAAACCTATATTTTAAAACAATTTAAAATTGGTTTCTAATAAGGTAAATACTAATAGATATAATCCACATAAACAAAAGCTCTTTGAGTTTCTCAGTAACATTTAATAGCGCAAATCTTATCTTTTTTTCCTTTTGCTTTTTTAAATGTTTTTCTCTCAAGCCACTTTGTCTAAGAATACTATGTCGGTCAGGTGCAGTGGTTCATGCCTGTAATCCCAAGACTTTGGAAGGCTGAGGCGGGTGGATCACCTGAGGTCAGGAGTTCGAGACCAGCCTGGCCAACACGGTGAAACCCCGTCTCTACTAAAAATAGAAAAATTAGCCGGGCATGGTAGTAGGCACCTGTAATCCCAGCTACTTGGGAGGCTGAGGCAGGAGAATTGCTGGAACTCAGAAGGCAGAGGTTGCAGTGAGTCAAAATCATGCCATCGCACTCAGCCTGGGGGACAAGAGCAAGACTTCGTCTCAGAAAAAAATAAGAAATAAAAAAGAGAGAATAGTGTGTCTTCAGACCAAAAAGTTTGAGAGCTGTTGTATTAAAAACTGCACGTAGAATTTTCCTCTTCTGTACGATTTTATTTCTAAAAAGACATTATATATTTAGCTTCTTATCTTAATGGCAAATAACCCAAATACACTTTAAAAATAAAGAACTTCTACAGACGCGTCACTTAACAATGGCAATACATTCTTAGAAATATGTCACTGGGCGATTTCATCATGAGAACATCATAGAGTGTATTTACACAAACCTAGATGTATGGCCTACTACACATGCAGGCTATATGGTACAACCTATTGCTCCTAGGCTACAATTAACCTGTTTGGCATGTTACTATACTGAATACTGTAGGTAACCATAACACAGTGGCAAGTATTTGTATAGCTCAACAAAGAAAAGGTATAATAAAAATAGAATATAAAAAATAAAAACCAATACACCTGTACAGGGCACTTACCATGAATAGACGTTGCTCTGGATGAGTCAATGAGTGGTGAATGACTATGAAGGCCTAGGACATTACTGCACACTGTAGACATTATAAATACTACATTGAGGCTAAACACTATGCTGAGGCTACACTAAATTTATTTTAAAATTTTTTCTTCCTCAATAATAAATTAACCTTAGTTTATGGTAACATTTTTTTCTTTATAAACTTTTTTTTTTTTTTTTTTTTTTTTAGGGACAGAGTCTATGTTGCCCAGTGGGGCTATCCACAGGTGTAATCATAGCTCACTGCAGCCTCGAACTCCTGACCTCAAGTGATCCTGCCTCTTCAGCCTCCCGAGTAGCTGGGACTACAGGTGCATGCCACTGTTCATGAGTTTTACAGACTTTTACATTTTAACTTTTGACTCTTTTGTAATTAACACAACACAAATACATTGTACAGCTGCATAAAAATTATTTTCTTTATACTCATTCTGTAAGCTTTTTTCTATTAATTTTTCTTTTAAAACTTTTTTTTTCCTTAAACACTAAGACAGAAACACACACATTAGCCTAGGCCTACTCAGGATCTTCAATATCACTGTCTTCCCTTCTACATCTTGTCCCACTGGAAGGCCTTCAGGGGCAATAACATGTGATAACAATGTTTTCTTCAGGAATACCTCCTGAAAGACCTGCCGGAAGCTGTTTCACAATTAACTTTATTTTTTGGTTAAGTAGGAGTACTCTTTAAAATAATGACAGGCAGTGGCTCATGCCTGTAATACCAACATTTTGGGAGACCGAGGTGGAAGGACTGCTGGAGCCCAGGAGTTGAAGATCTGCCTGGGCAACACAGTGGGACCCCATCTCAACAAAAAATTTAAAAAGCCAGGCATGGTGGTACATACCTGTGGTCCCAGCTACTTGGAAGCTGAGGTGGGAGGACTGCATGAGCCCAGGAAATCAAGCCTGCAGTGAGCTGTGATTACACCACTGCACTCCAGCATGAATGACAGAGCGAGACCCCATTTCCAAAATAAATAAATAAAAATTTTTTAAATGATAAAAAGTACAGTAAATACAAAAACCAGTAACATAGTTGTTTATTATCCCTATCAAGCACTGTATATGGTACGTAATTGTATGTGTGATACTTTTATAGAATTAGCAGTGCAGTAGGTTTACACCAACATCTCCACAAACACATAAGTAATACACTGCCCTAGGACATTAAGATGACCCCTACTTCACCAGGCAAGAGGAATTTTTCAGTTCCATTATAATCTTATGGGACCACCATTATATAGGCAGTTCATCACTGACCAAAATATGGTTATGCAGTGTATGACTAAACTTGTCCTTTAGCAGTTAAATGAAACTTGGAGTACACCGAGTTTAAAAATCTAACACTCAAAATATTTGAAGTTTGTTAAAATGGTCATTTTGGAAATAAGCTAATTATAATGAATAAATCTTACACTAAATATATTGTAACTGTATTAGTCCGTTTGGTGTTGCTATAAAGGAATATCTGAGACAGGGTAATTTATAAAGAGGTTTATTTTAGCTCACAGTTCTGCAGACTGCACAAGCAGCACAGTGCCAGCATCTGCTTCTGGTGGGGCCTCAGGAAGCTTTTACTCACTGTGAAAGGTGAAGGGGGACCAAGAGTGTCACATGGTGAGAGAGGAAGCAAGACAAAGAAGAGCAAGAGAGAGATGCCAGGCTCTTTTACACAACCAGATCTCACATTGAACTCTTTACCATGAGATGGCACCAAGTCACTCATGAGGGATTCGTCTCCATGACCCAAACACCTCCGAGTAGGCCCCACCTCAAACACTGGGGATGAAATTTTCACATGAGATTTGGAGGGGACAAACACCCAAACTACATCAATAACTAGAAATACTCTGTGAAATAAGTTGTTACCAGTTCCCTACTAACTCGTCAAGTTACATTCAGTATGGTATTAAGAGAAATTCAACCCAATCAGCCAAACAGGAGTGAGGTGATTTTCACATTATTGGTAGGCATAAAAACTGAGTTTCTTTAGCCACAGCATGATGCTAACTCTCCTTCCAAATGAGGACGCTCCTCATGGAGACTTAATTACCAAAAACTAAAATTTAAAATCATAAATAATGAGAGAAGCAAGTTTCCTGTGGTTAAATCACATTAGGTAGTACTGCAAATAGAATGTATTCAATTATCAACCACTACATAAATGCTGAAGTGTTATACATACAAACATATACACAGAACGGAGCAGGAGGAGGGAAAAGAGGCGGAGAGAGAATGGAGAGGGAGTGAAATGGAGAGGACAAGGAGAGAAAGAGAAAGGGGAGTGCGTAGAGGAGTGATCACTCAGAATCAAAGTCAAAAATTCATTTTTCTGACTTCAACTTGCCACAACACACACTTTTTGGAAACCAAACTTTCCATTTGCCTACCATGTCAGTCAGTTTTCATCAGGTACTAGTTTCTTTGGCTCTGTTTGCTAATCAGTTCAAACTGTATCATGTAAGAGGTTCTTCAAAAACTTTACAAAAACACGAAAGCCACCCTCCCCAAAAGGGTACAGCTACAGGGTGGCTTGGGCCACTATGTGCCCCCAGCATCAGTGGCTGAAGCTCAGCTGACTCCTTAAAGCGAAGACCTGGCTGAAGGAAGAAAAGCAGGTCAGCAAGGGGGAGAGGGGAGAGAATGAATAAATAAGGTAGGGAGAAAATTACATGACACTCCCTTCTCTAAAATAAGAATCTGGGAGTGACACTCCACCTCTCCAAGCATGCCTTTCAGGGTTGGGAAGAGTATCCCTTTGCAAGAGAACGGTGTAGAGAACAGTGTTAAAGAGAGTGTTAATCCTGTGTGAACCTCAACACTTACCTGCTATAAAGGTGGATTACATATCCTCATGGGTCATGAAGAAACTCAGTGCTTTTAAACTAGACCTCTGAAAGATCATTAGTTCACAGCCACAGAACAGACACTTGCAGATTTCTCCCAACAAAATGCTTGCTGTTTGCTTTCTTCGTTTGGAAAACATTACAGAGAAATGCCTATAAAACCAGGTAGACTGTCTCATTAGAGGAAACTGACTTGATCTGAAGAATGGGGGAAAAAATCATGACTGTTTATAGTGGACAGTACAACTGAGACGTTAGTAATGAGCAGGGCACCAAGAACAGGACCAAGACTGTCTCCTCCCTCTCTGTTTTAAATCGTGCTGCACTCAGTTTATGTTTTCAGGGGCTTTGTCTTATAGGGATACTGATTAATGTAAATGAATACTCACAATTTAGCACACAAAAATCTTATTTTTATCAAATCAAAGGACAAAGGGAAGGGAGAACAAGAAATTTAACTGGTCAACTTAGAATGAATGGGCTCTCTTGTTTTAACCTTATTTCCCTTTCTGGAGAATAAAAGTAATGATAATTATAATTAAAGCAGTTTTCATGTGTGGTTTATGGAAGTCATTACTCTATTAGTCATGCCCCATATCTATATAGGATTTAAAATTTTTAAATTATACTTGGTGCAGTATTCACTGAAAGTCTTTTTCACCTGTAAGCTCAAATTCCACGGTGAAACAACATTAGGTAGAAGGACAGTGACCAGGGAGAGATAAAACAACTATGATACCACGTTGCCTGTCTATTGACCTCCCTGTCTATGGTATCCTACAATCTCTAATGTCAATATGGTCTATAGTGGCTCTGAAATTGTCTCCTATTTCCCAGGAAATAGGCTATACTTTAATCACTGCAACCAAGTTAATTGTGAAGGACAAAAAACTTCTGAAACCAAAAACTTTTAGGATGTAAACATGTCTAAAAAAGTGTTTGATGCCAAACTGACATTTTAAAAACAGAATTTAACACGTTGTAGCAAGCAGAACCCATTTCCCCTTTTCCAGCACAAGCCATCAAGTTCTGTTTGGGGCTTCAGCCTCCCAAACTCAGTTGGAGAAATCTTACAGTATGAAAACCCAAGAGACAGAGGCCACAGCCTGGACCAAGAGACCAACCAGAGCCAGAGAGGCTCCTGAGAAGACCTGCAGCACAGGGTAAAATATGCAAGGGAGGGCCATATAACTTTTATCTTTACTTAATTTATTTTAATTTACTAATTTTTAAGTATTAACCTATTTTATTTTTATTAAATCTCTGTGGTTGCACAGAATTCAAATTGCAGCAAAAATCATTCAGGGCTAAACACTGGAAAAATCTCTTAATTCTAAGGTACATGACACAATGGACTCAAAAACAGTTGCTGAGTCCCTTTCACTGGAGAAATTTAAAGAAAGGGTATAGAAAAGTTTTGACCAATTCCACCCAATCCTGCATCCCCAATTCCAATCTCAAGGACCAGTTTCCATCTGATCTCTCTCCACCTACAGATGGTGGTCCTGAATCTCCAAATCAACAAACCAAAAACTGAATCCATCATCTTCTCACACCTGGTTTTTCCTTCCAACTCCCTCATTTCTGTGACCTGCCCCATAACCTTACCAGGAATCCAGCCCCCAAAGCAGGGTGGACTCCTCCCTCTGCAATGGACACCAGGATTCAGGTCCTGTTGCTGGCTCCAAAATGCCCACAATGCCCTGTTCTCCCAAATCAGCACATTCAACAGTGACATAAAGGAAAGAGTTAGATAGAGAAATGATATCTGGTGCTGCTCCACAGCTAGCTGTGTGATTCTGGGCAAGCCATTTAAATTCTCATTCTTGGTTTCATCACCTATTACGTGAAAAGGCCAAATTATTTCTAAATTCCAAGCTCTATGGGATTTACAGGATTTGCATCCACTTCTCTTGATCCCCAAAGCCACTATGTAGCTGAAGCCACCATCATTTCCCAACCAGATTAGTACACTCTCTCCCAGTGGATATTTCCTGCCTCTAGTCTTGTGCTGCTCCTCACCCCCTGAAAGCACCTGTCTAGGTTACTCACCTCCAGAAACCAGTCAAAGGCTCCGGGGAAAATGACCAAACCTGTCCCTGTGGCCCCAGGGCCCATGTGATCAGAACCCTGTCTCCCTCTGGCTTCCCTGGTCTACTTTCTGTTCCTCATATGCTCCTCCATCACCCAACTACCTGCCCCCTTTGCCTCCGAGCCTTTGCTTCAATACCCTGCCCATTTCCTCAGTCCAGAGAGATTCTTGCTTAGTCTCTAGGCAACGTTTCCTCATCCCCTCCCCCACCCCACCAGTCTGATTTAGGTGTCCTTCCTGTTTACTCGCAGGGCACACCTTTGCAGACCTCTCAGAGGCCTTGTCACTGTAAGTATCTGTTTATTTTGTCACTATCCTTCCCCCAGACTCTCAGTTCCAAGTGAGTGGGGACTGCTGGTCTCGTCTACCACCCATGGCACAGACAGCCGGTTCTTGCCCAAACTCTATAAACAGTAGCAGTACTTTTAGCTGCACATGGCCACCCAGAATAAAGATGAGATTTTCCAGCCACCTGCAGCCACGGGGTGATGTTCTAGCCAATGAGATGTAAGCAAAGTTATCTGGAGGCTGTTTCTGGGAACTTCCCATAAAAGAAAGCACCATCCGCGCTTCTACTTTCTGTTTCTTCTTACATCCTGCTGCTCGGAAGACTGAGGCCACACTAAGCCTGACAGACGTATGATGAGCAAGGAATTTACGCAGGGTCATACTAGCCCTGAACCATCCACCCTGCCTTTCATAAGAGATACACACTTCTACTTTGTTTTGGGATACCATTATTCAAACCACTATTATTTTGGCATGTCCATCGCTGCAGCTGAACCTAACTGCAACATACACAGCCATACCCGTAGTATAATAATAAACTACCTGTTGATTCGAGTATATACCTCATAATTCCTACTGAGTCTTTTTACTGGTAACTGTATTGTCACGTGTAGGGTCCACATTCCTTAGCAGAGGCTAACACAGACAAATGACCAACACTGAGTGGGTTTAAGTGATCAACAAATACTGACCAAGTGGCTACTGAGGCAGATAAGCTCTGTCCGACATGTATGGTGTACTTTAGCCTGGGCTCAATGTTGCTGCCAACCAAAACAAGGTTAAATAAGAGGGCCAGGCCAGGCACAATGGCTCACACCTGTAATCTCAGGATTTTGGGAGGCTGAAGCAGGCAGACTGCTTGAGCCTAGGAATTCAAGACCAGCCTGGGCAACACGGTGAAACCTTGTCTCTACCAAAAATATAAAAAATTAGCTGGGCATGGTGGTGCTTGCCTGTAGTCCCAGCTATGCAGGAGGCTGAAGTAGGAGGGACACCTGGGCCTGGGAAATTTGAGGCTGCAATGAGCTGAGATGGTGCCACTGCACTCCATCCTGGGCAATTGGAGTAAGACTGCCAGTTTCCATGATCATTTTATTATGGAGTATTTGAGTGCCTAGACATCAAAGTTCACCCTATTCCGTCCTTGGGAACAGTGCCACCAGACTGGTCTATCATTGGTATATTCTACCTGAAAGCCCTAACAGGTAATATGCAGGTAAGCAAGGCCCTTTAAAATAACAGCACATGTCATCTCTGCTTCTAGGGCAGCTGGGATGTCTAGCAATTTTTTTTAACCTTAAAGACCTTCAACCATTGTTTACTATAAAGGTAAACCTTGATCTTTTTGATGGGCTTACTGCTATGATTTCTGGTAGTGAGCACAGGCACCAGGGCCTGCAAATTTCTTGGATTCATAGCAACAGGGGTGAACCACCAGCAAGGTCTGGTGAGGGTGTCTTTGATCTCCTCGGAAGCCTCATCTACATATTTTGGGTAACAGGGTACCAGGGCTTTGGAGATGTACTGAAGGACAGCATAAATCTGAACCACATGACCACTACCCTTCACACGAACATGGATGTCCATTCCAGCAAGCTGTTCCTTGTCCAGAAGCAGACCTAATTCCAGTAGCTTGTATTGCAGTGTGAGCAGCTTGATCATCTCCAGGGGCCCCTCGTTCATCCTGATGAAGCCACTGCCACATCTGCAGAGCACCACAGCTATGGCCATCTCCTTGTATGTGAAGATCTGCACAGACTGCAGCCAACGAGTCCTTAGATGGCATGTCTCCAGGCATAGGTAAGAGCTCCTCATTGCACCATGCCACAACAGGAAAAGGTGTCTAGCAATTTGTATGGTCTGAGAGCTGCTGGTGTTCTACTCCTTCAGCTGGAAGCAAGGCAACTGGCCTTCTAAAGTCTCCTGCCCAGGTAAGCTCTTCATTTGTGAAACATTATGTATTCTCAGGCTATCAAGGCATACTCAGCTTCACACAGCCATTAGCACATATTATAGGACTGGTTATATTTGAAAGGTACATATGTATTTAGAGAAACATTCAGGCACGTAATTGCTAGATACCTACACTATGTGCCAGATAAACATGGCAGACACTATGCAAAGCACTATACAGGTACAACCTCATCTAATTTTTAGGAATCAAGAAAACAGAGGCAAGGAGCCAAGGAGAAATTGTAGTTGTCCAGGAAGGATCTGACATGCTATGGAAGGCTGGGGCAATGTGGGGAAGGGGAATAAGCTTAGAAGGACAGAGAGTATGAATGAGTAATACTTGGTGACTGACAGTTGAGCAAAGTTTGGTAAAAGCATGGTTGATGAGAGAGGAGAACACAAGCATTGCTTCCAGCTTAATGGCTTGGGCAAACTGGCGGAGGATGGTGCTCCTGACTACGTTGGCCAACAGGGGAGGTATGTGGGGCACCCAACGATGAAAAGTTATGAGTCTGGAGCTCAAAAGAAATAGATGGGCTAGAAATAAATATCTAAGGGTGGATGGTGGGTGGGTGGATGGATATTTGAATCCATGGGGCAAGTAGATCATGCAATGAGATTTGGTCTTCTGACAGTACTTTGCAACTGTTTGCCTACATTTTAAATTTAATACGCCAGTCCCATTTCTTAAAAAGATGGTAAGTTCAAGCCTGAACTCTGTACCAGGGGGTCAATGAAAAGTACTTACCTTACTGTCACTTGTCACATCCAACTTCCCTTGGGTCACACTGAGCCTATTCTAAGCCCTTGCAAAGGAAACAAAAAGAAGCTGCTTTTGTTCCTACTCCTTGCAAAAGGAAGAAAAGGCAGCTGCTCTGAAAATGAAACCATCACAATATTTATCACATTCTCCTAGAAACATGAGGTCCTGGGATAATGTCTTTATGGGTCTCTCTGGAGAAGCTCAAAGGGCACCTGTTTCAAAGGGCAACTTCCTTCTTGGATGAAGCATCTTGTAGAGAAGACAATCAATGGCCAAGGTAGGTAACAGACACCAAGATACTACACACGCCTCTAATGGTTCCCTTAAAGCCTGAGCTTAAGCAGTCTGGGCTCTACTTCAATCATATTCTAAACATCTAAACCAAAAGACTGCAATTGCAAATAACAGGGAGACAAATATTCAAAAGGCTTTTAAGCAACATTTTCTGCTACAGGCAACTGCTGATGGTTCTTATCTGAGTGCAGTCTCTTAACTGATGTGATTACTTGAATATTCAAAATAAATTATCATTTGAGGAAATTATCAATTGAGTTCTCCAACCTAATTTGTGCAAAGTATACAAAGGCAGTGATACCTTAAGCTGAAATTAAAAGACGGTGGAGAAACATAATAAAGATTAGTTATGCAACCCCCCAAACGAAAATGTCTTAAAAGATTTTAATTCAAGCCTGTGTAACATAAATAAGGCATATAACACAAAAACACATTTCTTTTTTAAAACTCAATCTACACGCCCACATTTTATAACTGTTGTTTGGGTGTGAGGGTGAGTGAGGAGAGGGAGAAGCAAAGTTAAATGTGTAAAAAATGGGGGAAAATCCTGCTACAATACAGCATTTTTCAAAGGGACACACAGTCTAGCAACTGTGTATTCATCTCCTCTATAGCATGTCTCTGAAACCAACAGTTGTTTTATCACCTGTTCAGATTCCATGTGAATATATAAGCCACCCCATGAATTTTGTGATTCTCTTATTTTAGGAATGCTGATACTTATAGCCATTACAATGTTGCCAAACCTAGTGTCCCACACCCAGAAAGAAAACTCAGTTCTGAAAGAGTCTAAGGATCCTAAGAGAACTGAAGGTGGTGGCAGACTTGTCTATAGCCTGAACACCATGGCCCAGCACAGTGGCCCTTAATGGGGCCTTGTATCAAAATGACTTAATGTCATTCTCTATCAGAATGTTTTCAAAATATAGTCACGCATCGCATAATGACCTTTAAATCAACAATGGACCACATATACAATGATACTCCTGTAACATTATAATGGAGCTGAAAAACTCCTATTGCCTAGTGACATCATAGCACAATAAAACATTTGTGGTGATGTTGGTGTAAATAAACCTACTGCATAGCTAGACCTGTAACAGTATCACACATAAAATTATGGACAGTACATAATGCTTGATGCTGATGATAAAGAACTATGTCATTGGTTTATGTATTTGGTATACTATACTTTTTTATCATTAATTGAGTGTACACCTTCTAATTACATATTTTAAAAAGTTAACTATGAAACAGCTTCAGATAGGTCCTTCAGGAGGTATTCCAGAAGAAGGCATTGTTGTCATAGGAAATGACAGCTCATGTGTGTTACTGCTCCTACAGACCTTTCAGTGGGACAAGATGTGGAGATGGAAGACGGTGACATTGATGATCCTGCCCCTGTACAGACCTAGGCTAATGTGTATGTTTGTTTTAGTTTTTAACAAAAAAGTTTAAAAAACTTTAAAAGGAGAAAAAAAGCTTGAAGAATAAGGATACGAAGAAATAAAATATTTTTTTTGCAGCCATACAGCCTGTGTTTTAAGCTAAGTATTATTACAAAAGAGTAAAAAAGTTTAAAAAATTTATAAAATAGAAATGTTACAATAAGCTACAGTTTATGTATTAAGGAAGAAAAATATATATTAAAATAATACATATTTTTAAAAAAACTTTTATTATAAATAAGTAGAGATGGAGTCTTGTGATATTGCCCAGGCTGGTCTTAAATGCCTGGTCCCACCTCAACCTCACAAAGTGCTGAGATTACAGACATGAGCCACCACACCTAATCAAAAAATATTTTTTATAAACCTAATGTAGCCTAAGTATACAGTGTTTATAAAGTCTAGAGTGTACAGTAAAGTCCTAGGCCTTCACATTCACTCCCCACTCACTGACTTACCCAGAGCAACTTCCAGTCCTGCAAGCTCCATTCATGGCAAGTGCCCTACATAGTTGTATCATTTTTTATCTTTTATATTTTTACTATATCTTTTCTTCATTTAGATATACAGATACTTGCCACTGTGTTACAGCTAGCTACAGTATTCAGTACAGTAACTTGCTGTACAGGTTTGTAGCCTAGGAGCAATGTGGTATATCATATGCCCTATGTATGTGGTAACCATCTAGGTTTGTCTAAGTACACTCTATGATGAACACACAACAACAAAATTGCCTAAGAGTACATTTCTCAAAAAGTATTCCCATTGTCAAGCTATACATGACTTGTACGACTTGTACACCTGACTTACATTTTCACCCAAGGGAGATCAGGCAATCTGGAGATAGAGGCTCCCTAAAGAATGTGAGTGTCTTTCCCTCCCGTCTGCATTTCTCTGAGCGTATATACCTTGTAAATCAAACCAGATGGGGCTAGGACCGGGTAAGGAAACCAATGCTGGATGCCCTTGGCCAGTCATACTAATCCAGCCACACTAGACCAGTCAGGCTAGTGAACACTGACTCAACTGGGCTTTTGAACACTGATTTCTTACACTAACAATTGTAAGCTATTCAGTGTGTACGCTTCTGATTTTCCCCAAAAAAGAGGTTTAAGTTCAAAATATCTAAAATAAGGAGTAATGGAAGAAACAAACGGTCACCCTTTCAAGTATTGATCATAAATGTTATTCCCTATTAGCTTTCTTTATCTAAACCTTTATTTAGTTACTGTCAACAGAAGCTATATGTTGATTATACCGTCAGCCTCCCAGAATGTAACGATGAATAAGAAACTCAACCTTGTTTCCTCTCATGTATCTAAAGCTGCAAATACAAAGATCACTACTTAGGTCTGACAGGTGTACAGCACAGCAGGGTGGCCAAGATTAGAGTCTTTAAGCCAATCTGCCTGGGTTTGAATCCTGCCTCTGCCACCTACTAGCTGTGGATATTTGGACAAGTGACTTAACCTTTATCTTAGTTTCCTCATCTGTAAAATTGGGGTCCCTACCTCGTGGGCTTTTGTGAAGCCACAATGAATTAATACATGTTGAACACTTCAGAAAAGTGCCTATTATGTGGTACCAAGCAGCTATATTCAGTACCCATAGAACAGCTTTGTTCTCTTTAAAATTTGCAGAATATTCCGTTGCCCAGCTGTAGCATGATTTATTCTTTTCAAGGACATTTAGTCTACTAACTCTTCCAATCTTTTGCTATTAGAAACAATGCTTCAATAAACATCCTATATAACAGAGAGACGTTTTTACTATGCTAATTAAATTAAGTCAGTGCCCCACCTAACTTTCATGTACAATACTGATAGTTTTAATACCCTCCAAAGTAGGCACAGGATTATCACCTTCCAAGTTCTACATAGATTCTAGGGTCTCAAGGAGGTAGAGTGACTTACCTGCTGAAGCCCACGCAGCTGTTAAGTGGCAGAGGTGGAACCCCGCATAGGTGCAGGCTGCCAACCCAATCTGCTTCCCACAGCTGTCCTTACTTAAAAGAAGTACAGGAGGTATTCTTTTAAATGCACCTCAGATCCATCACAGAGATTAATATGCAGAAGTTCGGACAGAAGCAAACTCAAATTTTCACACAGATGCTTCTAACAAATACAGCTGATGGAGGCGTCAACGACTTCTGTAAATATTGAAGTATTATTTCTTCTGCCAAAGACTGAAGCAGAAGTACCCTGAATACTACCCCTAGGGAGATACATCACATTTCAAACTCCCCTGGAAGCAAATGAATAATTACTGAATTTGGTATCATGAGAACTATTCTTCAGGGAAGGAGAAATTCATAACACTCACTTTGTTGTAGCATTTGCTGTGCCAAGACCAAAGAGGAACAAGTACTACTCTGGGGTTCAGAAACTCATAAAACACAGACCTGAGTGGCCAATTCGCCAGCATGGCTTCAATTAGGTCTGTTCAGCATGGGCTTATAAGAGATTAATTCTGACAGGATGAAATTGTTGACATGAGGAAAAGGATGGGGTAAATGTGGAACTTAACAGAGATGGAACCTGTGCTCGCAAGAGGGTGCCTACCTAATATAACCATAAAGATTACAGTTTAAAATCACAGGTATATTTCAATAAAATTGTTATTCTCCCAATTAGAGAAAGCATGCCAGTATCAGCACTAAAAATCTTAAAATAAATCAGAAATTTTTCCCTAAATCCCAGTCAGCCAGCAGACATCAAATAAAAGGTAAAAAAGTCCAATCTAATAATAAGGAATACTAAGACATACTCATGCCTGAATGCAATTACAACTGTACTTCACACAGAACTGGCAGAAGAGGATGGAGGAGCAAGAGTGGGAATTTAGTCTTTCTAAAAGGTCACCAAGTATGAATATTTTAAATCCAGAGACTACACAATTCTAAAAGTGAATGCCTACAAGTCCACTAAAAATGTTACCATGGAGCAAACACGCCAGTGGGAACCAAAAAGGCTGGTAATAACATTTACGGGTTGAAACTGGGGTTGGTGGTGAGGGTTCCTATTGCAGAAACTGAAAATCAGGTCAGGATAGGCCAGAACATCTCCAGCAGTGATGTTTTAATCTCATAAAGAGAAAACCAGCAGCTTGCTGCTGCTGCTGCAATCTCCATCAACTGTTCTGACATTTTCCCTCCCTCCCTCCCTCCTTTCCTTCTTTCTTTATTTATTTTGGGACAGAGTCTGGCTCTGTCACCCAGGCCGGAGTGCAGTGGTGTAATCACGGCTCACTGTAACCTCCGCCTCCTGGACTGAAGTCATCCTCCCACCTCAGCCTCCCAAGGAGCTGGGACTACAGGCATGTACCACCACATCCAGCTAATTTTTGTATTTTTTGTACAGATGGGGTCTTGCCATATTGCCCAGGCTGGTTGCAAACTCCTGAGCTCAAATGATCTGCCCACCATGGCTTCCCAAAGTGCTGGGATTACAGGTGTGAGCCACCGTGCCCAGCCAACATCTACCTTTCTAAGATCTAAATGATCTCACTTTCATTCTCTATCCCTGGCCAAACAGAAACAAAACAAAAATAAAAAATAAAATTTGCTCTAGGCAAAAATGAAAATAAAATTTAATCTTTCATTTTAAAGGAAAAGAGACCAATGCTCAGAGTTGATTTTCTTCAAGTTAGGACAAGAAACCAAGGCAGCCAGATTCTATACAAGAATGAGGCACCCTACTTAAACAATCATGCCTTCCAATCTTCTCAAATTACTTCAGTTTTAATAAACACACAAACATGTATGTACTTTACTATAAACCTGTAACGTGAAGCTACATGTGTTTTAATAACTATCATGGGAGCAGAGGTAACCCAGCTGGTGGAAGAAGCCCAGAAGCCTGGCTCTGCCAGCATCTGGCTGCACCACCTTTGGTAACATTGGGGCTTTCCTTTTCTCACCAGGGAAAAGTGTAGGAGGCATCCCAATTCTGTAATATTAAAATGTGGAAAGTTACCTGCAGTGATTTTAAGATGCCACTGATTATAAGCTCCATCTCTACCCAGATGTGAAATGTGAAAAGCTGACAATAGATGAAATGTGGTAGAAACATGTTCTTGCAGAAAGGCAACCAAAAAAATAGCTAAGACAAAGGTTGGCCGTGAAGAGGAGGAATTGGAAGAAACAGCTAGTCTGGATATCTATCTAGGCTGTGGGGCTATTTCCATCTGATCACAAAGCTCCCTCTTCTCTTTGGAAGAGTATCCCTCCTCTTGCTGGCCCTCAAATCCAACTGGTCTTCAAGTCTTATCCTGGACACAGTCTCTCACAATTACCTCTCTCAAGTCTGTGCTCATGGCTGTGGCTTCAGGTCAGGCCTTTTCACTGCCCTGGCCATCTCTAACAAACCCACAACAATCCACCCTACACTCTAACAAGACTGTCTTTCTGGAGCACAGCACTCATAATGTCCTCATTCTTATTCAAAAGCTTATTGGTGGTATTCTACCAAACACCTTAGGAGACGGAGCAGGCCAGGGTGTCAAGGTGATCTGAGCTGGAATGCTTTGTGACCCCAAATCAAGTGTCTAAACTCTGGGCCTTTTTCCACCTGTAAAATGGGAATGCTGTAGCATCCATTAATAATAGAAATAAGTCCTTGTGAGGGGCTCAGTGCAAGGTCTGACATACAATAGCTCAGTAAGAGTTAGCCATTATTATTACATCAATAACTTGCCTTTCTCACCTTTTCTTCCACTCCTGCCTTCTAAACCAGCTTCTGCCAATTGTGCTATTTGCTTTTTGCCCAATGATTCCACACTCGCTTACTCTCCAAACTCCCTCTTGCCTAGAACGCATGTCCTCCTATTCCTGCCTATCAACTAAGAGTCCTTTACAAAATGTAAGGCTAAATTCTAATTTTAATTCAAGTCAATTTAGTTTAATCCAATCATCCATTCGGTCCTTAAAACAGACGCTGTAGCTGACTTCCTGTGTTCTGCAGGCCCTTCTTAAAGGTGAAGCAGCTAGCTGAGGAGATTTAACTTCACTTCCCTGGTTCTGGGATGGGCCCCCAGCTTATCAAATGTCCACTGTTCCAGTTATTGCTTCAAGTAACCAAGGCCTAAGTCAATCACCTTAAGGTAAAGGACTCTTTGGAGGGTGGCAGGAAGTCAGGGAATCCCCATGTGAGATTATGGTGGCAGCTGCTGTCAGTCATCTTGGAAAATCAGTCTAGGACATAACAGACATCTGAGGGGACTTCAGAGAAATGGAGCAAAAGTCCTGCCCTCAGGACTTTTCAGGTCAGATGCACAGGTAGGTCTCAGTTGGGTTTTCTGTTTCTTGCACCAAAAGCATCCTGACCAATTCAGGAATGCTAGGCCCTTAACATGGATAGCTCTGCCATAAAGCTTTCTCAGATATAAAGATATAAGTGTCCCAGAAATCTGCTTCTGACTCTCTTTTGGTCCAAGGTGTAGATTAAGTATGTGTATACAGGCTTAAAGTATATACTAAATCAGGAAACCCTCTGGAATCAGGAACTGTTGTAATTCATTTTTGTATCCAGCCCCTCACACCCAAAATCAGTAACTGAGAAGTCAATGAATTAATTTAAAAAATGAATCAAGTGTGGGCTACAAGGAAGGGAACAGATTTTAGACAGATTTAAGAGACAATAAATTGTTAGTCTTGGATGGATTAACAAGAACCTTTAAACACAAGGTTAGATTTTTAAGTTGTGGAGTAACAGTGTTACATAATGGCACAGAGCCCACTGGGCAAATAATCCTGGCAGCACAGGGATATATGAAGGAGCAGAGATGTTGCAGGAGACAGAGCTATAGGAATTTGGACAAGTCACTTGTCATCTCTAGGCCTTAATCCTAGAGATTCTTTTTTATTTTTCTTCCACTTTAAGTTATGCGATACATGTGCTGAACGTGCATGTTTGTTACATAGGTATACATGTGCCATGCTGGTTTCCTGCACCTATCAACCCATCATCTAGGTTTTAAGCCCTGCGTGCATTAGGAATTTGTCCTAATGCTCTCCCTCCCCTTGCCCCCCACCACCCGATAGGCCCGGGTGTGTGATGTTTCCCTCCCTGTGTCCATGTGTTCTCACTGTTCGACTCCCACTTATGAGTGAGAATATGCAGTGTTTGGTTTTCTGTTCCTGTGTTAGTCTGCTGAGGATGATGGTTTCCAGCTTCATCCATGTCCCTGCAAAAGACACGAACTCATCTTTTTTATGGCTGCATAGTATTCCATGGTGTATATGTGCCACATTTTCTTTATCCAGTCTATCATTGATGGGCATTTGAGTTGGTTCCAAGTCTTTGCTATTGTAAATGGTGCTGCAATAAACATACGTGTGCATGTGTCTTCATAGTGCTCCTCAATTCTTAAAAAACAACTGGGGGATAAAACCTCACAGAGGTGTTATAAGAATTACGTGTGGAAAGCAACCGTTTATGTACATGTGCGTATTAATAAGTACCTGACACAGAAAGCATTCAAGGAAAGACTTATTTACAGGTAACTAATGAGAGGATTAGCCTTTTGATAACAGAAGAGCTGGTAGGCAAAGAGGAGGAATTAAAAAAAAAAATTACAAAATCTTTTAGGAGAGAAGAATGTAGCCAGGAAAGCAAGAGGTAAAACTCTCTCTTCACACTAACTACCCACCTAGGCACCAAAGTTACCCTCAAGAAAAGTAAACAGTTTTGCTTTGATTTGTGTAATTCAAGCTGGAAATAAGACACCCAAGGATGGATGCTCACCTCTAGAAGCAGGAAGACAAGCAACCATTATGCAGGGAGCAAAAGAAGAGGTAGTGGAAAAAAAGATTCTTGCAAACAGAACATCCAAAAATTAAGGTCTGTAACCAAGAAGAAGCTGTTGATTTCAGGGAATGGGAAGGAAACATTTTCAAACCACCATTTGGCAGACTCAATGCTGGGCTCTCATTTGCATTATCTCTTGAAATCCACAATGATCCTGCCACATAAAATCCCCATGTATAGACAAGGAAATTGAGTCAAGGAGGTGAGGTCAATATCTGAAGTTACAAGATATTTTTCTTGAAAAACATCAAATTTTAGTAAGCCTTCTACTGTCGCTTTTCAGCAAAGTTCTGTACTACATTCTGTAACATTACCTATCTGTAACTATCAATAAAAATTTCCCCTTTGTCTTCAATTAGAAATAGAAACGAAAATGCAAAAAGAGAAACAGTACAGAAAAAGTTCCTGGCAATAAGAAGTTAGAATCTAGGGTAAAAATCTAAAAGGAAAATGAGTAACATTTCCCTTTCAAGTGCAGAGCTTTCCTGGAGAATCCCAGGCAGTGTCTGAGCTACCAGAAAAGTAACCCACTTGTCCCCAATCACAGATGGAAGGCTAAAATGTTTGTCCACGGCCATCTAATGCAAAACCGCCTGTTTCTATCTGTAGATTCTGCACGAAATGCTTTTGGCTGAGACGTGCAAGCAAAACAAGTGCAGACCAACAGGTTATCTGCCAAGCGGTTAGGAGAATGAGTTACAAAACCTGACAAGCAACATCAGCTCTTCCGTACAATTCTATGAAGCACTTCCTGCCACGGGTCCCGCTATTTAAAACAAATTAGGCTGCTCGCTCCCCACAAATCCCATCTAGCACCTCTCGGTTCCTCAGTCTAGCTAATAAACCATGCACTGGATTCTTCCGAAAGAGACCCCCCGCCCCCGACCCCGCCACCTCCGCCACTTTGCATAACTGGCCAAATGCATTCTCCAAATTTGCAATCAAGGAGCTTAATTCACAATTGTGGATGGGGCGGGGGGAACCGCCAAGTGCAAGAACACGGAACGGTTGCAAGACGCAGTTCAGCAAGAACAACTCTTGCTCTAGGCATTGCTCCGTCGACCCGAGGTGGTGGGGTGGGAGAGTCTTACCGGCGTGGAAACAGTAAAAAGGCACTTTTCCTTACAACTCGCAAGACAACACACACTCTAGCTCCCCCGGCGCAGAGCACAACCGCCCCCCCGCCGCGCGCCTCCCTCGCAGCCAACCGCTCCCGCCTCTCCAGGGATCAGGCTCCCAGAAAGGGCCGCCCCGGTCGCCCCCGAGTCCCCGCCCTCTCGCTTTCCCACCAGCCTCATCCCTCCCTGAGTACCAAGGGCTGCCGTTGTCTGGTTTCAATAAAAACTGAAGCGGTCCCGAGCTAGCAGGCTTCCCTCCGAGGGGCGGACGGAAGGTCCGCAGGGTTAACGGAAGCGGAGAGAACAGGACAAAAAGGAAAGGCCGGAGAGTCCCCCCAGCGGCGCCCGGTGCCCGCAGACCCTCGCACAGGCTCTTCGAACTCACCCGGGTTTCGCCGACTCCAAAGAAAGCGCGCTCCCTCCGAGAGCGCTCCCCCGGCTCTCCCGCCGCGCGCTCCGGCCCGCAGGGCGGGAGGACCCAGGCGGACAGATCCATCCCTCCGCGTCTGGTGTGGGCACGGTGTCGTGCCCCGCGGCGCCTGTCAGCGCGCACAGGTGGGACCGCAGCACAGAGAACGCTCCCGAGCGCCCTGCCTCAGCCTCGGCGTGGGGCGAGCCGCCCGCGCCCGCACCCGCACCCCTTTCCCCGCGCCCGAGGAGCCGGGCTGTACCCCGGAGCCGGCGGAGCTGGAGGCCGCGGGCGGAGCGCGGGTTGCCCCGGCAGCTCTTTCTCGGCACCAGGTCCGAGACCTAACGGCAGTTCTCTCTGACCGCTTCCCGGCCGCGCGCTCGCGCGGGTGTCATGGCCGAGCGGCGGCCCCCGACGAAGTTTCCCGGAGCTGACGGCTTTACCTTTTAGCCCAAGGGGCGGCAGCAGCTTTGAGCAGCAGCAAGGCGGCGGCGGCGGAGGGAGCGCGGGTGGCAGCCGGCGCAGAGGCGGATGTAGAAGGAGACACCGGTGGCTAGGACCCGCGCGATGGGAAGAGGAAGGCGCCGGCTATCTACAATCAGAACGTGGGCTGACCGTGACGTCACAATGGCGCGGCCAGCCAATCGGGACCCGAAGGATGAATCAAGCGCTATGATGTCATGCGGCCCGGGAGCCAATCGCGGGACAATAGAACTTTCGTGATCGTAAATTCCAGAATCCGATGCGGTGGAGAGCCTAGGCCGGGGTTGGCCCCTCGGTTCCACGTGTCTCTGGGAAATTTTTTTCCCCTTTCTTCCTAATAAGCCTGCGTGGAACGCAGAGCCTGCGCAATAGCCCCGGTGAAGTTGTCGATGCCCTGAACTCTGGTTTTTTTACTGCCAGGCGTGGCAGGAGTCTGTGGCCGCATTTGGGTGGCAGAAGCCCACCCTCGTTACGGTCTCCTCTATGAGTTATGTCATGCTGAAGGGGATCCACTTCATCGTTAAAGCTGAAAGGGTTAAATGCCCACGGAGACCGCCGGAGTGAAGGTCTGCAGTTGAACAAGATAAAGGAACAAGAACAAAACGACTCAAAACTGTTGTAACCATAACTCCCTTGCAAAGGATTTACCGTGTATTTTTCTTAGGGATTCTGATTTTTCTTTGGAAGCCACTATCAACTCCATTTCTACTCTAGAAATTATTCTAAAGGATTGTTAAATGAGGAAAGATGGAATCAGTGTCTTTTCAGCTAAGCATATTTAAGCACTTAAGACAAAGGGGGTTCAGGGCATAAACGGAAGATCCTTGCTGTTTTTCACTGATATTTGGATAATTAAAGACCTTCATTAGCTTTGTATCCTACTGTTTCCCCATTCAAACCCCAGAGATTTAGCCTTTCTTCGTGTGCCCCTCTTGCTGTATTCTTACTCCTCTATGTGCATCCACCTAACAGTCGGCTATTTAATGTAGGCAAATTTATTCTTTTTTTTCTTTTTTTTTCTTTTTTGAGACAGAGTCTCGCTCTGTTGCCCAGGCTGGAGTGCAGTGGCGCGATCTCAGCTCACTGCAACCTCCACCTTCCGGGTTCAAGCGATTCTCCTGCCTCAGCCTCCCAAGTAGCTGGAATTACAGGCACGCGCCACCACACCCGACTAATTTTTGTATTTTTAGTAGAGATGAGGTTTCGCCATGTTGGCCAGGCTGGTCTCGAACTCCTGACCTCAGGTAATCCGCTCGCCTCAGCTTGCCAAAGTGCTGGGATTACAGACGTGAGTCACCGAGCCTGGCCGGCAAATTTATTCTTTTACATATTTACAATGTAATGCTTATCACGTGCCAGCTGTGTTCCAGGCAGTGGGCCATTGCAATAGGAATGCAAGTATACAAACCATGTACAAATTAAGTAAATTAAACATATACAAAGAATCGAGATTGTCAGTTGCCATTGAGCTCCACAAACACTGAATGACTTCAATTTGCTAGATACTATGTTAGGTATTCAAAATTTGAAACCTTCAAGGACTTCTTGGGCCTGGAAAATGATACAGTCAGGAAGCAACTACAATGCAGAGTGGTAAATGCTGCTATGGACATCAAGGGACATGAGAAAAGCATATGCTGGTGGCATAGACTATTTTTTTGAGATATCTCCTTCATTCTTCACGCTTCTGCCAGTAGTCCAAGGCCAGGGTTCATCTCTGTCATCCCATCTAAGTTTTGCCTTTCCAGGTTTTAAAAGTTTCTAATTTAACTTGAGATTCCAAAAGTCTTAAGTTTTACGCCGCACTTGTTTGAATTGTGCTTACCTATCAATAAAATGTTTTAAGCCCATTTGACCAAAATATCTTTAAGTTCAGGCTTATATAACTGTCAAGCTATGCATTAAATATCAAGTGATTTTTCTTATTGTATGATTAAGTATGACGTTTTGCTGTTTTTTCCCATCCCCCAAAGGCTGCGTTTTTACACAGTTCTTTGTTGATGTGTGTATCTTGGTTTCCATTATAGCATCACCACCCTGTATTGTAGTTGCTTTCTGATGGCATCATCTCACTCAATCCTTGGGGTATATGTACCCCACTTTAAAGACCACCGCTTTAGGTAGTAAACTCCGTTGAAGGGGAAAACATGTTGAATTTTGCTCCTTATTGATCTGTAGATCTTAGTACAATCCCTGGCATATAAGGGCTCAATAAATACGTGTTAGATGAGTGAATCTGTGAACAGTTACTCCCCCTCACCATCACCATCACTTTTCAGCTCCAGAGTTCCAATCCTCTGTCAGATAGTCACATCCCAGGATTATTAGATTATTAACTCCTCTCAAACATGTTGGTACGGTCATGTTCTCATTAGTTCTCCAGCCAGAGACTTAGAGTTCTCAGAACATATATATATATGCAAATGTATTATTTTACATATTACAATGTAATGTTTATCATGTGTCATATATCTCTGGGGGAAACTTCCTCCCACCCTAACAATTACTTCGTATTTCTGCATCATTGCACTCATGAGTAAAGCTGTAAGAAAAACAGTGGAGCCGAAACGACTCCCCAACTTAACTGTGGGATTTTTTCCAAATAAATCAAAAGAATACCTAGGATCCAATGCCAGGCTTACTAAATAACAGGGCTCAAGGAACCTGTTTTAGGTAGCATCAGAATCAGATTCCTGGCCAGCTGGGTTCTGGAAACTGTGCTGAAGCCATCCTTGCCCTTCTAACCCACCTATCCAACAATGTGAGCCCATGTAAGGTACAGTTAACAAAACCTTGTAACTATTACCTGTTTGTTCATAGCATCCACATGGTAGTCCCCCAAGAAATGATTGTTGAATTATCTTCATTCAATAGCTAACTATTAATATTTTCTTCTTTCTCCTTCATGTATTTATTTATTTATTTATTTATTTATTTTTGAGATGGAGTTTCGCTCTTGTTGCTCAGGCTGGGGTGCAATGGCACGATCTTGGCTCATTGCAACCTCCACCTCCCAGGTTCAAGCAATTCTCCTGCCTCAGCCTCCCAAGTAGCTGGGAGCGCCCGCCACCACACCTGGCTAATTTTTTTGTATTTTTAGTAGAGATGGAGTTTCGCCATGTTGGCCAGGCTGGTCTTGAACTCCCGAACTCAGGTGATCCACCCACCTCGGCCCCCTAAAGTGCTGGGATTACAGGCGTGAGCCACTGTGCCTGGCCTTCTATTTGTTTTTAAATTCTGGTAATATTTTTCCTTTTGCTCTTAGTTTTCATCATTGAGCTCAAATCTCCTCAAACCACACACTTCTAAGTGTATTAGAAGGTTGCTTCAGTATTGCTTTTGAAAAGGAAAGTACTTAACATCCTAGGCAATTTGTTTTATTGTTATAGCAGCTGCAGTTGAATTAAAAAATACAATTGGAACTTTCATTAGAATACAATTCTGATTAGTGAAACTTGTTTCATTAGGACGTATTTGCATGACATAATGAAACACATCCTTCCAGAAAAGATATAAGCCAATGTTTGCCTCTGGACATATCAAAGTTGACTAAAATATAGGTCAAGTAGCAGCTATTTTATGCTAAAGATGACACTGCAGTCTCTGTTGGTTCCTACGTTCTCCGCCTCCCCCCACAATCCTTTTTTCTTCTGTTCTAATTTGTGTTTTCTATTATCTTGCTGCCCAGAATTCCCACAGGCCACCTGGCTTGTCTTTGTCGGAGGCAGAGGTAGATTAAAGGCAGTTTCTTGTCCTCCTCAGACCTTGGAGTCAGTTCCATACTTCAATTGTTACTTTGCTATTCCTTTTCTTCATTGCTGTTCAACAATATGTCCTGCAGTTTATCTCTGTCCTTGTCCTTGAGTGTTCATCTTGATGAACATGAACTACTTGAAGACACTGCCCATGCCTGGTCTGCTATATTGTTTTCTTAATGACTAGCAGAATTTCTGGCAAATCACAAATGTTCATAAATATTCGATTAATGAATGAACAATTTGTACAATTTCTGGATTCTCTAGATTTTCTTCTCCACTTCCTTTTACACTCTTTAGTACTGTCTCCAGAAGTGACTGGGCAATGAAAGAGATCTGCATCCCAGTCTTCTGTATCCACATTTCCTTTGCAGGTGATATCATCCCCTTTCATGTGTTTGGATTTCATCTATGGTCGGCTGACTTCCAAGTGTATTTCTCCAGCCCACACATTTTCCCTGATTTCCAGACTTACGTACTTAACTACTTATTAATGACTTCTCTAAATGAGATATATTCATAAATGAGATATCCAAAAGACATCTCAAATTAAGCATAACAAAAAATGAACTCTTAACTGGCCTTCAAACCTGATCTTCCACAGTAGTCCCCAGATTTGTAAATGACAATTCTATGGACCCCGTTTCTCAGATCAGACACCTTGGAGTTACCTTTAGCTCCTCTTTTTTTCTCACCTACTACATCCAGTGCATCAGCAACACTCTACTACTTGACCTTTGAAACATATCCAGAATGTGTTTGCTTTTTACCATCTCCAACATGACCACCTGGTTTAAGTCACTATCAACCATTGCCTAGAATGTTGTAATGGTCTTCTAACCAGACCTCTACTTCTGTCTTTGCTGCCTACAGTCTATTCCCAAACCAGGTGCCAGAGTGATCCTTTTAAAACCAAAGCCAAATCACGTCACATGTCTGCTCAATGTCATCTAGCAATTTCTCATCTCCCTGATAGTAAAAGTCAAAATCTTTACAATGGCCTATAAGATCCTTCATGATTTTGCAACTTGCCATTTCTCTGACTTTAAACAGCTACTCTGTCTTCCACCCACAATGGCCCCAAGAAATATCTTGAGCACACCAAGTACTAGACTGCGTCAGGGCCTTTGCATTTACTCTTTACCTCATGCCTAGAATAATCTAACCCAGAAATCTCCAAGACTTACATCCTTGCTTCATGCTGGTTGCTACATCACTGTCATTTCCTTAGGGAGTTCCCCTGGATCACTCCCTTTAAATTTGCAACACCTCCCTCCCTGCCTTTCACACTCTGGAACACTTTATGTTTCTCCTTAGCACTTAACATTCTGGCATAGTATAGATTTACTTTTTAATATTTGTGTATTATCCCCACAGCCCCATAAGCTCATTGAGGACACAGACTTTGTTCTCTTCACCACTGTTTCCCCAGCACTTCGAACACTACCTGGCACTTGGTAGGAGCTCAACAAATATTTACTGAATTGGTAAAGGAACAAATGAATTAATGTAAAATTGAAATGCAAGTCAATAATATATGTTTTTACTAGGTATCATTTGACTAAAAATTAAGTCAAAGAGAAAGAAAACACTAACTACAATAGTTTTAAAAATATTATCTGAGTATAATTTTTCTGTTCCCTGTTACAGTAGATACAACAAATTTCTCCTTTTGCCTTTCTGAAATTTTAAAATGTGAAAAATTAACATGCTCCAAAGGAATATTTAACATTTTTAAAGTGCTATTAAAAAGACTGTAACTATACTTTTAATGAAAACAAAACATTATTTAGTCTGAAATTGCTATGAATTTGGGATATCTTACCCTTTCTATGCATGCATCAGTTATCTTGAATATCAAGCACTTTCTCTTGACATAAAAACTGTTATATTTATTTCAGTGATGAATCCAGGTTCGTAACAATTCTTTCCCTTATGCTTCCAACATTATAATGAGACAAACAAATTGAGCCACAGAAGAGTTAAATGACATGACCAAGGCTGCACAGCCAGTTAGTGCAGAATTAGAATTTAAATTCAAGTATCAGTTCTCCCTTTCCAACTTGGACGCGGCAGAACGGCTCCTGCAAAGAAGGGTGGCGAGAAGCAAAGGGTCATTCTGCCATCAATGAGGTGGTGATCCAAGAATACACCATCAACATTCACAAGCGCATCCATGGAGTGCGCTTCAAGAAGCGTGCCCCTCGGGCACTCAGAGAGATTCCGAAATTTGCCATCAAAGAGGTGGAAACTCTAAGTGTGCGCATTGATAGCAGGTTCAACAAAGCTCTCTGCGCCAAAGGAATAAGGAATGTCCCGTACCGAATCCGTGTGCAGTTGTCCAGAAAACGTAATGAGGATGAAGATTCACCAAATAAGCGCTATACTTTGGTTACCTATGTACCTGTTAGCACTTTCAAAAATGTGCAGACAGTCCATGTGCATGAGAACTAATTGCTGATCCTCAAATACATCAAATAAAGGTATAAAACTGCAAAAAAAAAAGTCTCGGTTCTCAACTTCTTCATATGCTAAGATATGCTGAAGATAAGATTTTAATCTAAGATAGATGGTCAATGTGTCTTTACTTTGCTGGTTATTAAAAGATACATTTCATAATTGATTTATTTTATTCTGTAACATATTAAATAGCTAAAGATTTCCAGGATGTGAACAAAAGCATAAGATAAATAAACTTTTAGCCAAAAAAGTACCTGTGAACAACTGACCAAGAACAGCGATGTGGTTTCTATTGTTAAGGAGTATGTTCTTGTTAAGTAGTATGTTCTGAAAGTGCTCTATGAGATTTTTTGGAGCCGGTGATACAGTACGGAATATGCTTTGTGCTAATTCTATCTTTTGTAAAACAAAAGTTTTTTAAAACTTAGCCATAAGTGAATTAGTCATTCCAAGTTGTGTGATGTTTTAGTTCTCAGTATAATGTGTCATAAAAGGCCATGCTTTTGTCCACCTGCAATATTAGACATGATTTTGCATGTCAAAAACTGGTAGTATAATTTATTTTCACAGTCTCAAATTCACTTTTTGCCAAGAGTGAATGTGGGATGTTAAGACTCAAATGAAATTCTACAAGTTTGTGTTGCAATTTAATTATTTTTGAAAACTATTTCTTGGCCTTTGATTGTAAAGCACTTTTTTCTTCCCAAATTCATATACCCCTTTGTGTCAAGTTCACTCAGTCAATTCTCTTTTGAGTTAAATAGCATTGCAGTGTTGCCTTCTAATCTGAATGGTTAAATGACATGCTTTGACTGTTACAGTCTTCTCTATAAGATGTATTTCAATAGAATGAATTAGGGTATAAAATGTAAAAGTTTTCAAATACCCTATGAGCATAAAATTGGGACAATTTTAGATGGTTTAAAGTCTAGAAAATACAGAATACAATATGTTAATACTTTTGCATCTTATTGATGCATAAGATTAACTACCTTTTTTTTTTTTTTTTTCTGAGACAGGTTGTCATTCTATCATCCAGGCTGTGGTGCAGTGGCACCATTTTGGCTCACTATAGCCTCCACCCTCCAGGCTCAAGTGATTCTCCCACCTCAGCCTCTTGTAGAGCTGGCACCACAGGTGTATTCCACTGTGCCCAACTTTTTTTTTTTTTTTTGTATTTTTAGTAGAAAACGTTGGCAAGGCTGGCCTCAAACTCCTGAGGTCAAGGGATCCACCTGCCTTATCCTCCCAAAGTGCTGGAATTACAGGCCTAGCTATGACGCCTGGCCAACTTCTACTGAATTTTGTTGTTGTTGTTGTTTGTTTGTTTGTTTGGAGACCGAGTCTCACTCTGTTGCCCAGGCTGGAGTGCAATGGTGTGATCTCAGCTCACTGCAACCCACACCTGCTGGGTTCAAGTGGTTCTTGTGCCTCAGCCTCCCGAGTAGCTGGGACTACAGGTGTGAGCTACCACGCCTGGCTAATTTTTGTATTTCTGGTAGAGATGGGGTTTCACCACGTTGGCCAGGCTGGTCTTGAACTCCTGACCTCAGGTAATCTGCCCACCTCGGCCTCCAAAAGTGCTGGGATTACAGACATAAGCCACCATACCTGGCCTTTACTGAGTCTTAATCTAAACATGATCTTTTTATTTTTCTCTTCACCTACCCTGACCTCTTTTACTTCCTTGAATGTGACTTAGAACAATATGTTCCTTCCTTCTTTCCCCATGACCAAAGCATTCTGTGCAGGCTTTTTATCATTTATAATATTAATATTGTAATTGTTTGCTTATTGCCTCTCCTCCCCAAGTCAAGTGAAGAATATGTGTCATTCATCTTTGCACCTCAAGCATGCTGTGACAGGTACATAGTAGGCATTCAATAAATGTTTATTGAGCTAGACTCCCAGAAAACCATTTACTTTCCTTATGATAAAGATAGCAAATAAGACACAGGCTGTTTCAGGATGTGCAAGAAAAAAATGTTGGAGCCCCCAATTCATATCACAGTTTATTGTACTTTAATGACAAGATAGGCAGATTCTGACGTGGCTCCAATAATCTTTGCCGCCTGATATTCATGCTGGTGGGTTGGACCTAGTAACTTGTTCATAACAGAACATGGCAAAAATGATGGAATGTCGCCTCCTAGATTGTTAGAAAAGAAGGTGTGACCTCTATCTTATTGGCACTCCCTCTGTAACTTCTTGGCTTTGTGTACTTTGATGAAGGAAGGTGCTATGGAACTGTCTACATGTCAAGGAACTAAGGTTGGTCTCCTGTCCACAGGGAGCTGGGAACTGAGGTTCTGAATCTAACAGCCCTTGAGGAACTAATCCTGCCAATCACCACATGAGTGAACTTGGAAGTGGATCCTTCCCCAGAAAAGTCTTGCGATTACTCCAGGCCCAGTGGATACCTTGACTGCGGTCTGTGAGAAATCCTGAGGTAGAGAACCCTGCTAAGGCAAACAATGCCCCAATTCCTCATCTGCAGAAACTTTGAGGCAAAAAATGTTGTTCCAAACCACTAGATTTTGGAATAATCTGTAATGTAGGGATAGTTAATACTTTTTACAACAGAATCAGACACAGACTAATTGAAATAAAGTTTATTTACTTTGCTTATCAAAACAATCAAGGTATGCCTAGTGTTTGATAACTATGTCAATATACCGGTCACAAGAATTTACCTTTCCCAAAATGGTTTTCTCATATCATGAAAAACATATACACATATGGGTATAGGTTGCCCAATTTCAAAAAGAAGAGGTCAAGGCAAGCGACTTTGAAAACAAATTAAGCTGCTGCTTCACTGATTAGGGAACTTACTGGTAAGGAACCCTCATTCCTCAACCCACTTCCCCCAGATATCAGTAAACATTTTCTCAACTCGGGGGTAGTCAAGTGCCTCAATTTCTCACTTCATTTATTATTTTGAATTAAGGTATTGCAGCTTACTATAACACAAACCAAAACACAGACATTATATGGGGAGGATAACGCATTGAACTTTCGTTCACTAATGAGTAGACCCAATTAGTTTATTAGATCAGCCAAGCAAGGAGAAACTAGACTGTGAAAGTCTGAAAGCCCAGAAAATTGTGTTGTGGTTAAGAAAAATTCACACGGAGTAGGGATAAAGGGGGGGCACAGTGGATGCATAGAACAGGCATAAAAAGACAGAATTACTTTTCAGAAAACATTCATTCATGAATGAATTCACTTGTTAAATTATCCTCCGCACATAGCAAGAAATCTAGAAGTCAGTGGATGCTGAGTACATATTTACTGACTATTCTTTGGGAACTTGGTATGTGCTAGGAATTGGGGTGATAAAACTTTTTACCAATATATGGCAAAAAGCGATGTGCCTTAGGAAGTGCAAAAAAAGTGCTGTGGGAATCCACATGTCAAAGAGGATGAGGAAAGGGCATTGTAGCAGTAGGGCCTTTGCAAAGGCTGTATACCCTCTTCTTAAAACTGCTCACCTCTCCTCTTCCCAGGTCTCAATTGAGAAGTCATCGTTTTAAAACGACAGGTCTTTCCCATACCTGGCTAAAATCAGTTTCTCCTCTACTTCCTCTTCCTCAGCCACTACTTTACTTTGTCCACAGCACTTAGCACAATCTGTAGTTGTTCTGTTTACTCATTTTTACCTCCTACCTTCCCTATTACACTTCAGGATGGCAGAAACAAGTCTACCTTGTTACTGGGGTGTGCCGGGCATAAAGTGTGCGCACACTTTTTTTTCTTCCTGTTTTTCGAGATAGGGTCTCGCTCTGTCGCCCAGGCTGGAGCGCAGTGGCGCGATCGCCGCTCACTGCAGCCTCGAAGTCCTGGGCTCAAGCGATTCTCCTCCTTGGCCTCCCAAAGCGCTGGAATCAGGGGTGTGAGCCACCTGGCCTGAGTGACTGAATCTAAAATATGGAGTCAAAAAGGGGTATTGGTGTAGGGACAGAAAAAAACTGGGTGTCCAGACATGAATTCCAATCAAAGGAGCCGGGCCTTCTTGGCACATCGCGCTCCGAGAACCCGGGAGGGATCCAGAGAGGCGGGGACGCCCTTTGTCACCGGCCTGAGGGGCGGGCGTGGCTTCCCTTTGCAACCCCTTCCCCCAGTCTTGACCGCAGGCCCTTGAGGGCCACCATCACTTCTGGGTTCCCGGAACGCGGTGGGCACACTCGCGCCAGGCGCGGGTACCAGGGCCTGCCTGGGGCCCCCTCCTCCACTCGCGCGGCGTGGACACCGTTAACTGCCTGTGGCTCAGGGCGGTGCCGCCGCCACCCCCGCGGCACTCGGCTCCTCTCGCCAGCCCTGCGCCACTCGGCTCCTTTCGCCCGCCCCGCGCCCTCGGCGGGCCCGCCCCGCTCCCCCGCGGCGGTCACCCCATTCATTCCGCGGCTGCACCCACCAATCACCGCTCACCAACAGCGCCGCATCTGGCGATGGGGCGGGGCCTCGCGAGGAGCACGCTCGCGCCCTCCCCGCCTTGAGCTCGCTCCCGGGCCGGGTAATTCCCGGGCAATGACCAGACCTCGTCCCCGCGCTGACCCTTCCTGGGGACATCGGGTGGGGGTGGAGGAGGCGCTGAGCTAGGGAGAGGAGGGTTGTGCGGCCCGGACCACGCAACCTTGGGATCGGAGGGTGGTTGAGGCCTTGAGGGAAGAATGGAAGGCGGCCTTGACTTCTGGTGCTTCCACGCCCTTCAGATCCAGAGCCCAGAGCGTCCAGGCTGGAGTTTAGGACGTTCATCAGAGTCCCGAGACGCGCGAGTGGGTGGAACCGCGTGGGGCGGGAGAAGAGGGGGAGATTAGGCAGCAAGAAAATGGTCCCCGTGGGCAGTTCAGCCTAAACCTGGAGCTGGGGAAGGGCCTCTGGAGAGAAGCCTTAAATCGTTACTCATCTTTCACAGTCTTTTATAATCGTGAATGAGCCCTCCGTTGTAGACTGTTAATGCGTGTCCAGGATGCCCGAGAGTGGGGGTAAAACAATAAAAGACTCCTCCTGTTGTGATTAAAATTATATTTGCTTTTTGTATCCTCCTAAGTTCCATGATATTGAAAATGTGTCTTGTTATATTTCATAAATGAGCTTTTAAAAAACTTCTGAGATATCTTCCAAAAAGTATCACTCACCAGGGAAGAAAAGAAGAGGAAACCTAGTGGCTTTTCTGTTGACGCCAAAGGTTACTCCCTCTGCCTCACCATAAAAAAAAAAAAAAAAAAAAAAAAAAACAAACCCCAAAAAAACAAAAAACAAGAAAAAGCACAGAAAGCAGTTTGGCTTGCTTGTAAAGTCTTGGTAGATATTTCTGCTTATCATTTAATCCTTTTAACAAGTCTGTAGGAATAGATGGGTATTACCACCAGTTGTAGATGTTGAAACAGGCTGAGATTCATCTGGCCAAGGTCATACATAGTTTGTAAGTGACAAAGTGTGGGCCTCTCACCGGTAGACGGTCGTGACTGCAATTGTCCAGGTTCTTGACATTTTGAACAAAGAATTGAACAAAAGGCCCAGCAAAGCAAAGAAAGAATGAAGCAACGAAAGAACGAAAGCAGGGATTTATTGAAAACGAAAGTACACTCCACAGTGTAGGAGCTACCAGGGCAGAGGCTCAAGGACCTGGATACAGAATCTGCCTGGGTTCAAATACCCTCTAGAGGTTTGTTTCCCTTTGGCCACTTCATGCTCACCTCATGTAAATGAAGTGGTAGCCCGCAATCAGTCTGATTGGTTGTAGACAACCATTCAGAGGCTGGAGTGAAATTACAAAGTTGCAAAGGAAGACTGGACCCGCAATCGGTCTGATTTGTTGCTAACTCCCAATTTTCCAACTGCCTGGCAGAAAATGTCAAGGGGAGTAGCCTCTGATCCTCTTGTTACTTCGGGGTGGAAAGTTAGGGTTTTCTTTTCTTTTCTTTCTTTTTTTTTTTTTTTTTTTTTTGGACGAAAGTCTTGGTCTGTCACCCAAGCTGGAGTGCAGTGGTACAATCCCAGCTCACTGCAACCTCCGCCTCCCAGGTTCCAGTGATTCTCCTGCCTCAGCCTCCCGAGCAGCTGGGACTACAGGCGCGCGCCACCACTCCATGCTAATTTTTGTATTTTCAGTAGAGACGGGGTTTCACTATGTTGGCCAGGATGGTCTCAAACTCCTGCCCTCGTGATGCACCCGCCTTGGCCTCCCAAAGTGCTGGGATTACAGGCGTGATCCACTGCGCCCCGCCTCCTAATTTAGTTCTAGGAAGTTGGTGTGAAACAGCTTTAGGTTCCCTGCCTCCAGATCCTATTCTCCTGCCTCAGGCCCTTTCCATACTTCTCTCCCTTACATCATGAAATTTCAATCCACAATAAATGGAAGGTGAAAAGGAATCTGATGATTTTGGAGTCCTTAGCTAAAAACTGCATCTAGCCGAGTACTAGCACCTCTTGGAGATGAGTTGTGTTTTTTGAGAACTCTGTTAAGTACATAGTTTTCATGCCAGTATTATGAAAGGTAGAAGGAGAGTTCCTTGAGATTCTGAAGTGCCAGGTCACGTGAGTTGATGACTTTTGTAACCCTGGGCTGACCTGAAACAAAACAAGACCTCTTTCGGTTGCTAGGTATTGCCTGCAAGGATGCTGGAGGGCTGCCCAGGTCTTGTTCAGGGACTTCAGTCTTTGTGGCAAGCAGAGTACAGAGCCGTTGGATTAAAGACTGAGTTAATTAGGTCACAGGATGCTCTTTGATGGGGGGAAAGCAGCAAACTATGATGGGACTTTTAGCGCAATCTGGTTTAACAGATTAGCCAAGTGTATCTGCTCCATGCTGTAGGCACACAACAATGACTGAGAAATCTTTTCTGCCCACAGGAAAAGGTTACAGTTGGGGTAGGGTGCATCAGTGAGTCAAGTCTATGAATAACTAGTAAAGGAAGGCAGCACATAAAGTAACAATGCAAGTAAATACAAAGCAAGAATTATGGTGTATGCAATGAGTTTTGGCAGAGCAATTGAGGTCAAAATTAAAAGCAAAGAAAGGAGATCCCTTTAGGTTGCAAGTTGAGAATTTAGAACTTTTCTGCATCAAGCTGCCAGAGTGGCCTTTAAAAAGAAATGCCAATCCCAAATCCTTAAACAACCTTTAATAGCTTTCCCATTGCACTTGGTACAAAATCCCAAATCATCGCTATGGCCGAAAGACCTGCCTGAGGTGGGTCCTTGCTTACCTGCCCAGCCTCACTGGCACCACTCTCTACACTTGCACCATACTGTTCCTCTCTGTGAGTTTCTCTCATCTAGGCCTTTTACGCGTGCTGTTCCCTCTGCCCACTTTACCACCCTGCCCCACTTTTGTACCCCTTTATCCAGTTCATCTGTCCCTCCCATCTTGCCTTCAAATTACTTCCTCTTGTGTCCGCAATTGGTGGGTTCTTGGTCTCCCTGACTTCAAGAATGAAGCCGCGGACCCTCAAGGTGAGTGTTAGAGTTCTTAAAGATGCCGTGTCTGGAGTTTGTGCCTTCAGATGTTCAGATGCATCTGGAGTTTCTTCCTTCTGGTGGGTTCGTGGTCTCGCTGACTTCAGGAGTGAAGCTGCAGACCTTCCCAGTGAGTGTTACAGCTCTTAAAGGCCTCACGTCCGGAGTTGTTCGTCCCATCTGGTGGGTTCGTGTTCTCGCTGGCTTCAGGAGTGAAGCTGCAGACCTTCGCGGTAAGTGTTACCGCTCATAAAGGCTGCTCAGACCCAAAGACTGAGCAGCTCCAAGATGTATCCCGAAGAGCGAAAGAACAAAGCTTCCACAGCCTGGAAGGGGACCTATCTGACCCCACACACATCTTGCTGATTGGTCCATTTTACAGAGAGCTGATTGGCCCATTTTGACAGGGTGCTGATTGGTGCATTTAGGAACCTTGAGCTAGACACAGAAGTTCTCCAAGTCCCCATTAGATTAGCTAGACACAGAGCACTGATTAGTGCATTTACAAACCTAATTTAGCAAGACATAGAGTGCTGATTGGTGCGCTTACAATCCCTGAGCTAGACACAGAGTGCTGATTGGTGCATTTGCAATTCTCTAGCTAGACATAAAAGTTCTCCAAGTCCCCACCAGATTAGCTAGATACAGAGTGCTGATTGGTGCATTTACAATCCTCTAGCTAGACATAAAAGTTCTCCAAGTCCCCACCAGATTAGCTAGACACAGAGTGCTGATTGGTGCATCCACAAACCCCGGAACTAGACACAGAGTGCTGACTGGCACATACAGAATCCTCCAGCTAGACATAAAAGTTCTCCAAGTCTCTACCCGACTCAGGAACCCAGCTGGCTTCCCCAGTGGATCCTGTGCCAGGGCCACGGGCAGAGCTGCCTGCCGGTCCTTTGCGGGGCGCCTGCACTCCTCAGCCCTTGGGCGGTCGATGGGACCGGGTACCACGGAGCAAGGGGCAGCGCTCATCAGGGAGGCTAAGGCCCAGTGGGAGCCCACCAGGCGGGCGGGGGGGCGTGGCTCCGCCATGGCGGGCTGCAGGTCCCCAACCCTGCCCCATGGGGAGGTGGCTGAGGCCTGGTGAGAATTCGAGCGTGGTGCCGGCGGGCCGGCAGTGCTGGGGGACCTGGTGCCCCCACCGCAGCTGCTGGCCAGGGTGCTAAGCCCCTCACTGCCAGGGCCTGCCGTGGCCGGCAGCTCCCAGTGTGGGGCGCACCCAGCCTGCGCCCACTGGGAACTCGCACTGGCCTGCGAGCGCTGTGCGCAGCCCTGGTTCCCGCCTGTGCCTCTCCCTCCACACCTCCCGGCAAGCAGAGGGAGTCAGCTCCGGCCTTGGCCGGCCTAGAGAGGGGCTCCCACAGTGCAGTGGCAGGCTGAAGGGCTCCTCAAGCATGGCCAGTGCTGACGCCAAGGCCGAGGAGGTGCTGAGAGCAAGCAAGGGCTGCTAGCACGTTGTCACCTTTCACTCTGAGAAGCTTCCCTTGGAAATAAGGTCCACTATCATCAGATTCTTTACTTTGTTCCCCATGTACTTATCGAAATTTTTAAGATACTGTTATTTGCGTGATTGTTGATTACCTCTTTAAATCCACCTGTTCCATAATGACACTCTTTCGCCATAGGGCATATAACAATTTGTAATATATATTTATTTATACAGTTGTCTGTGTTTATGTCTGCTGGCCCCACCTGTTTTTAGGCTCTATGCAGACATCATTTCATTTCCCATTATATCCAATGTTTAGCACAATGCTTGGCATATGGTCAATGCTTGATAAATACTTGTCAAATTAATGTTCCAGATCAGTCGGTCTAAGACACATGCTGAGGAATAGTGGGAAACAGGCTGGGTAAAGTAGGATGGAGTCAGATTGTGAGGGGCCAGAAGCTTTTCTCTTTTCCATTCTTTTGGGTTTTTTTTTGTTTGTTTGTTTGTTTTTGTAGGTATGGGGTCTCACCATGTTGCGTAGGCTAATCTCAAACTTCTTTCGGGCTCAAAATGTCCTCCTGCCTCAGCCTCTCAAAGGGCTGGGATTACAGGCGTAAGCCACTGCACCTGGCTCAGAGGATTTTCTACCCAATTGGTTAGACCTGTGCTGTACATACAGAAGCCACTGGCCCCACATGCAGCTATTGAGCACTTGAAATGTAGCTAAGGACTGAGGAATGGAATTTTACATTTTATTTAATTTTAATTAATTTACATGTTCTAACTTGGGTATGTGAATCTACTTTTTCAACTATAATTTTATGAAATCTAACTACAGATCAAGTGTTTCTGGTGAAAATTTAGTGTCTGAATTGAGAAGTACTACAAATACACTGAAATTTGAGACCTTAGAAAAAAATGTAAAACATCTTGTAATTGTTTCCTTTAATTATATGTTGACATGGTAATAGTTTTGATATATTTGGTTAAGTACAATATATTTTTAGATTAATTTTACTTATTCTAGGTGTATACCCAAAAGAATAGAAAGCAGGGACTCAAACAAATACTGGTACAGTAATGTTCATAGTAGCATTTTTGATAATATCCCAAAGGTGGTAATACTCAAATGTCCATTAATAGCTGAACAGATGTATTAGTCCATTTTCACACTGCTATAAAGAACTGCCTGAGACAGGGTAATCTGTAAAGGAAACAGGTTTAATTAACTCACAGTTCTGCATGGCTGGGGAGGCCTCAGGATACTTACAATCATGGCAGAAGGCAAAGAAGAAGCAAGCCACGTCTCACATGGCAGCAAGAGAGAGAGAGAGAGAGAGCAAAGGAGGGGAAGTGCCACACTTTAAAATCATCATATCTCATAAGAACTCACTATTGTGAGAACAGCATGGGAGAAACTGCCCCCATGGTACAATCACCTTCCATCAGGTCCCTCCCTTGACATATGGGGACTACAATTTGAGATGAGATTTGAGTGGAGACACAGAGCCAAACCATGTTATTCCATCCCTGGAATAACATCCCCTCCCAAATGTTATGTACTTTTCACATTTCAAAACCAATTATACCTTCCCAACAGCCCCTCAAAGTCTTAACTCATTCCAGCATTAACTCAAAAGTCCAAGTCCAAAGTCTCATCTGAGACAAGACAAGTGCCTTCTGCTTATGAGCCTGTGAAATTAAAAGCAAGTTAGTTACTTCCAAGATACAATAGGGGGTACACGCATTGGGTAAATGTTCCCATTCCAAATGGGAAAAAATTGGCAAAAACGAAGGGGCCACAGGCCCCATACAAGTCTGAAACCCAGCAGGACATTCATTAAATCTTAAAGTTCCAAAATAATCTCTTTTGACTCCATGACTTAGATCCAGGGCATGCTGATGCAAGGGGTGGGCACCCAAGGCCTTGGGCAACTCCACTCCTGTGGCTTTGCAGGGTACAGCCCTCCTTCTGACTGCTCTTACAGGCTGGCATTGAGTGCCTGTGGCTTTTCCAAGCACACGGTGCAGGCTACTGGTGGATCTACCATTCTGGATTCTGGAAGGTGGTGGCCCTTTTCTTACAGCTCCACTAGGCAGTTCCCCAGTGGAAATGGCGTGTGAGGTCTCCAACCCCACATTTCCTTTCTGCATTACCCTAGTAGAGGTTCTCCATGAGGGCTCTGCCCCTGCAACAGACTTCCACCTAGACATCCAGGCATTTCCATACATCCCCTGAAATCTAGGCGGAGGCCTCTAAAGCTCAATTCTTATCTTCTGCATGCCAGCAGACCCACCCAACTTCATGTGGAAGCTGCCAAGTCTTGGGACTTGCACCCTCTGAAGCAATGGCCCAAGCTGTACCTTGGCCCCTTGTAGCGATGGCTAGAGCTGGAGTAGCTGGGATGCAGAGCACCAAGTCCTGAGGCTGTACAGGGTGCGGAGTCCTGGGCTTGGCCCATGAAACCATTTTTCCGTCCTAGGCCTCTGGGCCTGTGATGGGAGGGGCTGCTGCAAAGATCTCTGACATGCCCTGGACACATTTTCCACATTGTCTTAGCTATTCATATTCAGCTCCTTGTTACTTATGCAAATTCTGTAGCTTGTTTGAATTTCTCCCCAGAAAATGGGTTTTTGTTTTCTACTGCATGGTAAGGCTGCAAATTTCCAAACTTTTATGCTCTGCTTCCCTCTTTTTTTTTTGAGATGGAGTTTCGCTCTTGTTGCCCAAGCTGGAGTGCAGTGGCGCAATCTCGGCTCACTGCAACCTCCACCTACCTACCAGGTTCAAGCGATTTTCCTGCCTCAGCCTCCCAAGTAGGTGGGATTACAGGTGTGCACCACCACGTCTGGCTAATTTTTTGTATTTTTAGTAGAAACGGGGTTTCACCATGTTAGCCAGGCAGGTCTCAAACTCCTGACCTCAGGTGATCTGCCTACCTCAGCCTCCCAAAGTGCTGGGATTACAGGCATGAGCCACTGTGCCTGGCCCCTGCTTCCCTTTTAAACAGAAGTTTCAGTTTCAGACAATCTCTTTGTGAATGTGTATGACTGAATGCTTTCAGAATCAGCCAGGTCACCTCTTGAATGCTTTGCTTAAAAATTTCTCCTGCCAGATACCCTAAATCATCTCTCTCAAGTTTAAAGTTCCACAGATCTCTAGGGCAGGAGCAAAATGCTACCAGTCTCTTCACTAAAGCATAGCAAGAGTGATCTTTACTCTAATTCCCAATCAGTTCCTAATCTCTATCTGAGACCACCTCAGCCTGGACTTCATTGTCCATATGAGTATCAGCATTTTGGTCAAAACCATTCAGAAAGTCTCCAAAAAGTTTCAAGCTTTTCTTCATATTCCTGTCTTCTTTTGAGCCCTCCAAACTGTCCCAACCTCTGACCATTACCCAGTTCCAAACTCACTTCCACATTTTGAGATATCTTTATAGCAGTACTCCACTCCTGATACAAATTTTCTGTATTAGTCTATTTTCTTTTCTTTTTTTTCTTTTTTCTTTCTTTTTGAGACAGAGTCTTGCTCTGTCACCCAGGCTGGAGTGCAGTGGCGTGATCTTGGCTCACTGCAAGCTCCACCTCCCAGGTTCATGCCATTCTCCTGCCTCAGCCTCCCGAGTAGCTGGGACTACAGGCACCCGCCACCACACCTGGCTAATTTTTTGTATTTTTGGTAGAGACAGGGTTTCACCACGTTAGTCAGGATGGTCTTGATCTCCTGACCTCATGATCTGCCCGCCTTGACCTCCCAAAGTGCTGGGATTACAGGCATGAGCCACTGCGCCTGGCCTGTATTAGTCTATTTTCATACTGCTATAAAGAACTGCCTGAGACTGGGTAATTTATAAAGGAAAGAGGCTTAATTGACTCATAGTTCTGTATGGCTGGGGAGCCCTCAGGAAACTTAAAATCATGGCAAAAGGTGAATAGGAAGCAAGGCACATCTTACATGGCAGCAGGAGTGAGAGAGAGAGAGAGTAAAGGGGGGACGTGCCACACTTTTAAACCATCAGATCTCATGAGAACTTACTCACTATCACAAGAAAGGCATGGGGGGAACCACCCCCATGATCCAGTCACCTCCTACTAGGTCCCTCCCTTGACACGTGGGGATTCGAGATGAGATTTGGGTAGCGACACAGAGCCAAACCATATCAGTGGATAAACAAAATGGGTGAATATACAATGGAATATTATTCAGCCTTAAAAAGGAATGCAATTCTGACACATGCTGCAACATGATGAACCTTGAAAACATTGTTAAGTGAAATAAGCCAGATGCTAAAGATCACATATTGTGATTCCACTTACATGAAAAACCTAGATAAGCAAATTTATAGAACCAGAAAGTATAGTGGTTACCAGGGGCTGGAGGGAGGAGGGAATGGGTAGTTATTTTTTAATGAGTATAGAATTTCTGTTAGGATGATGATAAAGTTCTGGAAATGAATAGTGGTGACAGTTGCATAACATTGTGAATGTAGTTAGTCCACTGAATTATACACTTTAAAATGGTTAAAATGGTAAATTTTATGTTATATACATTTTACCACAATGAACAAATTTTTTAATTAGTTTATTTCTTTTTATTTTTAGAAACTATAGCCACTGCCAAGGTACAGCTTGGGCCATTGCTTCAGAGGGTGCAAAATTTAAATTACATATGTGGCTTTCTACCTTGGGCCTGACAGGTAGCGAGAAGAAGAAGGTCCATTCTACCATCAATGAGGTGGTGACCCGAGAACACATCATCAACATTCACAAAGGTGCCTGTGGAGTGAACTTCAAAAAGCATGTGCCTCTAGAACTCAGAGAAATCTGGAAATTTGCCATGAAGCAGGTGAGAACTCCAGATGTGCATATTAGTATCAGGCTCCACAAAGCTGTCTGGCCCAAAAGATTAAGGAATGTCCCATACCATATCCATGTGCAGTTGTCCACAAAAAAGTAATGAGGATGAAGAATCACCAAATAAGCTCTGTATTTTGGTAGCTATGTACCTGTCACAACCTTTAAAAAATCTGCAGTCAATATGGATGAGAACTAACTGCTGATTGTCAAATAAAGTAGCACTGCAAAAATGAATAAATGAGTAATATGGCTCTCGCATTGTATTCTTTCTCTCTCTTTCTCTCTTTCTTCTTTTCTCTTTCTTTCCTTCTTTCTTTTCCTTCTTTCCTTCCTCTCTCTTCTTTCTTCTTTCTTTCCTTTCTTTCTTTCTTTCTCTTTCTTTCTTTCCTTTCTTTCTCCCTCTTTCTTTCTTTCTTTTCTTTCTTTCCTTCTTTTTTTCTCTCTCTCTCCCTCCCTCCCTCTCTCCTTCTCTCTCTTTCTCTCTTTCTTTCTTTTTTTTCTTTCTTTCTTGACACAGTCTCGCTGTGTCACCCAGGCTGGAGTGCAATGGCACCATCTCAGCTCACTGCAACCTCTGCCTCCCAGGTTCAAGGGATTTTCCTGTCTCAGCCTCCCAAGTAGTTGGGACTATGTGGGTGTGCCACCACGTTCCGCTAATTTTTGTATTTTTTTTGTAGAGAAGGGATTTTGCCATGTTGTCCAGGCTGGTCTTGAACTCCTGAGCTTAAGTGATTGGCCTGCCTCAGTCTCCCAAAGTGCTGGGATTATAGGTGTGAGCCACTGCGCCCCGCCTTCTCATTGTATTTCTATTGGCAGCACTGGGTTAGACAATGGGGAACTCTGGGAGAGGATGAGTGAATTTCTCTGATGAAGTTTTTCACTAATGTCTGTGGCACCAGGAGGGCAAGAAGGCAGAAGATAATTCTTGTAAGGAGGGCAAGAAGGCAGAAGATAATTCTTGTAAGGAGGGCAAGAAGGCAGAAGATAATGATAAACCCAAGAATTTAGGATTTGGTAAAATATGTCATGTATAAAAACGAACATGTGGAAAAACCTGGTGGGAAGGGGAAACACAGTAGGATTTCATCTGGGAAGGACTTTCCTTGTAGCTGTAATTAAAACCTTCTAGAGATAATGTTTTCTCTGCTGTAATGGGGTAACTTGGCAATAAGCCCAGTGCGATGTCCCTTATTTGTTGTGGGATCAAATGCGTTAATATGTATGAAAGGGCTCTTTAATCTGAGCTGAGAGGAAGAGATAAGGTGTCAGATAAGGTTAATCACAAGTACGAGATTTCTTCAGTTGTTTTCATAGTGATTCGTCCTGTCTGCTCTGGATTTTGCAGAGACACCTTAGCTTTTGGGGGATTTTCTGCCAGTGACATATTTTCTACTTTATATAAAACTGTTTGAAGGATTATCCATTATGACTGCATGTTACCTCAACTCCTCCAAAACTGCACCATCAACTATGTTAAGAATGTTGCCCTTGGAGAATGATTATCTTTGCATGTTCAACATTGACCTGCTATTTGTGAGATTTTCAACCACCCAGAAGCCAGGCAAGTACTGACCCAAACTCACAAATGTGCTCTGGGTCCAGGGACCGGCTGTGGGAGAAGGTGGACGGACAATGATTAGACACAAATTTGATTGTTCAACTTAGTCTGATGCTCAGGGAAGCCAGTGTGATACATGACCCAGGACTGTTATAGGGCTGATCTTGTGGGTTCTCAGAGGTTTGAACCACATTGGACCCTTGGCCCTGGCCCCTAAACATCCTTACAATCCTCCACACAGTTGAGGAAACAGTCCAGCTCTTCAGGCCTGCCCAGATTAAGGATGGCTTATGGTCAGAATGACTTATGCCTCTTCAGAATTAAAATTTCACTTGAGTGGGCTGAAACTGGCTCTTACTCTGGGAGTATCAGGGAAAAAAGTTTGCTGGAGAAAAATGATAATATAAGTTTAATACTCTACAAAATAATGCTGGGGTGTTCTCCACCTAAATGAAATTAAGAGCATAGGAAGTGCTGAAAAGTTTGCACCAAATAAGTTTTTATTTATCTTGATTGGTCTATCATTTATCTATTTAGATATTTACATTTATTACTGGTTTTGATTAATTTAGTGTAGCTTAGTTCTTTTCAAAGATCCCAGGCCAGGCGCAGTGGCTCACGCCTGTAATTCCAGCACTTTGGGAGGCCAAGGTGAGTGGATCACTTGATGTCAGGAGTTCAAGACCAGCCTGACCAACATGGTGAAACCCCATCTCTACTAAAAATACAAAATTAGCCGAACATGGTGGTGCACACCTGTAATCCCACCTACTCTGGAGGCTGAGGCAGGAGAATAGCTTGAACCCAGGAGGCAGAGGTTGCAGTGAGCCAAGATCATGCCATTGCACTCCAGCCTGGGGGACAAGAGCAAAACTCCATCTCAAAAAAAAAAAAAAAAAAAAAAAATCCTTGTAAGGCCCAAGATTGTGTCCTGGCCTTAGCACTCTAGTAATTATCAAAAGTTTGTTCTTGCACCCATGTCTTTATAGCATTGCTGCTGGTCTGGGATGAGGGATGTATATTTTTAAAACCATCTAAATTCCTACATCCTATCCCTGGATAGTTCAGTAGTGTCTCTGATGAGACTTTCTCTGTAGCTTCCACCGTGATGGCCTGATCATGGCGAGGACTTTGCATTATGTTCCTAGATATCACAGGTAATGGAGTTACTAGAGTAAATTATTCCTTTTTATTAGACTGAGAAGAAAGCGATTTCTGTGCTCCACTATATCTAAGGCATTCTGTGGCTATGTTTTTTCTTGACAAAGTAGGAATTAGAGATGGTTATCTACAAAAAAGGAGAAGGTCCATTTTGGCCTGAGTCTCTTAAGTAACCATTGGTTTAACTTAACCTGGTAATGATTCTAGCATCTGCCATCCTCTTCAATGAGAAATATGAGCATTACACAGTTTCCCAGGGAAATGAATGAGGCGTGGGGAAGAGGTGCTCACCCCTTAAACGCTTTAATTGTCTGAAAATAACTACTACAATTTGGCTTCTGCCAGCCACGGTGGCGTTCACCTGTAATCCCAGCTACTTGAGAGGCTGAGGCTGGAGGATCCCTTGAACCCAGGAGTTTGAGGCCAGCCTGGGCAATGTAGTGAGATCCTGTCTCAAAAAAAAAAAAAAAAAAAGATTTGGCTGGTCACAGTGGCTCACACCTGTAATCCCAGCACTTTGGGAGGCCGAGGCGGGTGGATCACGAGGTCAGCAGTTTGAGACCAGCCTGGCCAACATGGTGAAACCCAGTCTCTACTGAAAATACAAAAATTAGCCTGGTGTGGTGGCAGGCACCTGTAAACCCAGCTACTCGGGAGGCTGAGGCAGGAGAATCGCTTGAACCCGGGAGGTGGAGGTTGTGGTGAGCTGAGACTGCGCCATTGCACTCCAGCCTGGGTGACAGAGCAATACTCTGTCTCAAAAAAAAAAAAAAAAAAAAAAAAAAAATTTGCCTGCCAGCAGACTATTACTAGTCACTATTTGATAGGTTAGCAAGCTTGTTGATTCATTTTTTTCCTATGTGATGCCAGAGAATACATTTCAGCTAAAGGTGTTAAGGGATTAAAAGGTACCTAAATCTTTAATCTAGGAATATCTATTTTTCAATAGGTGTCAAAGCTCTTTATTCTTTTGGATTGTTCTAGGGGAGCCACAGCGGTATTTTATGTATGTGGCTGTAATGTCTGCACCCTAAATTGTCACGGTGTAAATATTTCTGGGTTCTAAATTTGTGGTAGCAGTTGCTATAGTTGTTGGTTTGTTTTTTTCTGACAGAGTTAAATTATGATTGTGAATTGTGTCCCACCTCCTTGTCTATGGGACAATACAAGGTATTTTCGTAAAGCCAAGTATTAATATTTACTCACTAACATTAAATGAATTATAGGAGGGGCAGAAACCACACTATTGGCTGTTTCTTTTTTCTAAAGTGTGCATAAAATCCCAAATCCACCTACTGCTTGGTCTGAATGAATGCAGATTTCAAAATCATCTAAGCAACGTTATAGCATTTAGCTCTCAAAATGAAAGGAAGGCAATTGACTCTAAGTATTCTAGATTAATAATTCAAACTGTTTTAAAAAATATATCCCATACATTTCTTGCCTACTTGAATATACATCTTTTCTGTGGTTGTGTAATTTTGTTTCTGCTTTTTTAACTTAATAGTTAATTATAATATTTTTCCATGTTGCTATATTATCTATCTTTTAAAAATGTCCACTAAATAATTATACTACAGCCATTGCTTTAGCCATTGGTGTTCAATTCAAATTTCTAGGCCTTGAATCAAACCTATTGAATCAAAAATACTGAGAGTAGACTCAAGAACCTCCATTAAATAAATTCTTCTGTTTTATCAGAGGTAAAGCCTGAGGTTCAGGGATAGGAGTGGCCTCAGGAGTGCCTGTACTGCTGAATAGGAAAGTCATCATTTCCACCATTGTAAATAATATTGCAATGAATATTGTTGTGAACATATCTTCTTCCTTCTTTGAATAATGTCCTTTTTTGGGCTATGCCATATTTCTTCCTAAATAGGAAGAACCATAAGTATGCAGAATTTTAATCTACTTTTCCTGACTTTCTTATATTCTTTTCCCTGATTAATTTATCCACAAATATCTCCAACAATGGTAAATCTGATTTTAGCTACATTTTAAACTGTGAATATGAGACAGTCAATAGTTTAAATTTGACAAAGTTAACAGAAAAGATCAAATTCTTCCATACTTTACCTAGCAGACTAACCAGAACAGGAAAGAAGGCAGCGAAGGTGCAGTGGATCTGCAGCCACTGCTGAGGAACTGATAAGTGGTCGTACTGTAGCATTAACTAACGTTCGTGAATGTTCTTTATACTTAGAGAGCCATTTCACATTCATTACCTGATAAGGTTCTCCCCACTCTGTGAGTAGGTATGATTATTCCCTTTGTGTTTATGAGGAAACCAAGGCTCAAGATTGCTCAACAATTTGCCCTGAACAACTAGTAATTGTTTGAATGTGGAAGATTTTCTGCCTCACATCATACTCAAGTAGCTGTTTATTGGGGATGCCCTTTTCTTAATATAATATCCAGAGAGCTTTTCTTCTTTATATCTAATTTTACTGTTGTTTTAAAAATTAGGCAATTACAGTTCCATCAGCTCAATTCAAAACCTAGATAATAAGCAACATTTAGTTGCAAGGTACTCTAGGGAATACAAAAATGAGAGGGCACAACCCTGGGCTTTTGGGAACTTTGATCTGGGAATTGTAAACAGCATGTTTAAAACAAGACAGAACCAAGGACTGTAGAGGATTTTCTAATTTCTTCCTTTACAGTTGAGGAAACAGGTCTGGCATCAAGGATTCCCCACTTGAGTTACTGCAAATAATCCTTCGGTGCTGGTCTCCTGCTCCGGGCTGCAAGTTCCTCTAGGACAGGGCATGGCTTCCTTACGCCCATTGCTACACCCCGGTGTTTGTGCATGGGCAGGTACAGAGTGGGCACACATTTGATGCATCTTCACCTCAATTTCTTCCAAATGGAATATGCCTCCTGATATTTTTCTTTATGCAACAGGTATTTTCTTAGTTTCCATTATGTGGCATGCACTTTTTAGGCACTTGGGAGACCAGGGAACAAAACAGAAAATACTCCCTGCTCTTCTGGGGTCAAAAGATATAATCAAACTTTTGCCTTGCAGGAGTTTGCTACCTATGGGATATACTATATCATAGGAGTAATGGTCAGAGTGTCTCTGCTTCTAGCTTTAGCTCTATACACTTAGTGCTAAAGAGGCACATGACTTCTAACAGCTGAAGAAGTTTCAGGAATATATCCTTTACCTCCTTCTCTTAATCTCAACTCTACATAAATCTGAGCTTCATGTAAAATTTTTGAAATTTTAGGGAGCTATCAAGGCAAAGACATAGAGTGGTGAAAGTGTGTAAAATGTTCGGAGCTGGTAAATGAACCACGTGGCCAGAGTGTAGGGCTCATAGAGCCTTTAGTTGGAGATGAGGTTGGAGAGTTAGCTTGACACCACAGTAGAGGGTCTTGGAAGAAGCCATTTAGATTTTGGGTAACTGAGAGTGTTTTGTGGTTTTTGATAAAGAAAACAAATACGAACTTACCTGTGTTTAGGAAGGTTACTGTGGCAGGGGTGAGAAGGATGCACCAGGTAGGGCAAAACAAATTAGGAGGGTTTTACACAAGCGTGTTATGAGATAATGGAGTTATAGCAAGACAATAGGAAGGACAGGAGAGATGAGAGACTGCAGAAGTAGAAACGACATGAGTTCATGATGGCTGATGGGCTAGAGGAGAAAATTCTTGAAGGTGATAGAGAAGTTGTTGATGATAGAGAGGTTGTCGATGACATCAACCATTAAAAATGTAAGGCAATGAGGAGGTTTTTGATTGATGGATGTGAGTGATACTATAAATGCAATTTGGATATCTTGTACCAACTATCCAGGACAGGATAATTTACATCATTTATATCAAGTAATTCAATTCAACTCAACACATATTTCTGGTGTCCTTACCACCTGCTAAGTGGTAGAAATGATTTAAGTATGAGAAGAGAAATCCTGCTGTAAATGGCCTTCGGTATAATGAAGGAAGTAAATATAAGCATGAACAATAACAAAAGGTGAAATACCGTATGATATGTTATGAGAGGTATAAGAGCCATTGAGACCTGAAGAAGGAAAAGAATATAGTTATTTAGGGGCAAGCTGTAATGCTTAGAACAGGATAGGATAGAAAATACATTTTTTAAAATTGAAAAGCAATATTATCAATAAACATATAATAAATATTTTTTAAAAAAATCTATTAAAATATCAAATTCAGAGAAATCAAATAAAAGTGGACTCAGTGTGCAACCAAATGTAATGGATATACTGTGATAATCTTAGTGAATTCCTTCTAAGGGGCTGGTACAAGATGTGCAAGTGAAAATCTATGCCTATAAACAGCTAAGAAAAAGAGATAGGCAAAGATGATTTGGGATATTTTAACTTACTGTAGATTATCATTATAGACTTGAGCTCTACACACTTTGACAATCTGTTGATTCTATGCCTGAACACTTTGAAATACCACAGCCTAGGATTTTGATGGGCTGGTCAGTTCCCAGGCAACTTGGCTAATGAGAGCAACTTCTGTGGCACTGCAGTAGACCTTGTAAGCATAAGCAGCTGGACAAACCTCTTTGTGAGATTGTGAAACTCATGATTTTTTCAGCACTACTTTCCTGAGTTGATTTGATAATAACTGTTCTTCCAAACCATCAGTAGTAAGTTCTTTTAGTTAAGTGATAAATCATAGCCAGATTGTACTGCAAACTGGTTGATGTTTAACTTCTTCAGCATTCATAGATGTCTCTGAAAATTCATGTTTGGTTAGGTCCAGTATAGCATAATTTATTTTTCCTTAAAATTTCCAACCATTGCCTCAAAAGAGACAAACACTTTGGCCTGAGCATCAAGTATCATATTCGCCCGTTTTTTCTGACCAGGAAAATGTTTCAATCTATGTGTCTTCACTTCTCATTCATTTTTTTAAGTTTCCCATTTTCTCTGCATAAGTAGTTGCTTCCTGTCTTCCAGCTGGGCAAAAATTTCTAGTATCAGAAGTTAGGAGTATTGTGCATGATTATATTGGCTCTTTTGCTTTGTTGTAAACAATACACTTAGTTTTATCATACTATTTGTGAAGTTTTATTGAATAATTGTGAGGCAGGTTTCCAAAGGCACATTGATTATTGACTGCAGATTGAGATAGATCAGGAGGTTCAGTTCTGTGTCCTCTTAATAGAGTTGATAAATCATCATTTTCAATTGGAATGACATCTGACCACCAAACAGGAACACCTTGTACTCTCTTGCCTTTTGTCTCAGGATTAGGAGGGCAATTGGAACCACCAGCCAAAGCAGACGTCTCAGCATCTCTTAGCCTTTGCCCCATTCCAGACAGGATGCTAGAGGTAGACTCAGCTAAGAATTATTATCTGGTCTCCTTAGCAGAGGGTGTTGATTTTAAGTACCTTGGTTTTTTTTTGGAAACAGAGTTTTGCTCTGACGCCCAGGCAGGAGTGAAGTGGCGTGATCTTGGCTCACTGCAACCTCTGCCTCCTGGGTTCAAGAGGTTCTTATTCCACAGCCTCCTGAGTAGCTGGGACTACAGGCACGGGTCACCACACCTAGCAATTTTAAGTATACCTTAAAGTATGCTCTGATTCCAGATGTTTGCACTGAGAGTCTGTTAGTTTTTTTAAAAACCTATTTTTTTGTGTTTCTGTTTTATGAAAGTAATACGGCTTGTAGAAAATTTGAAAATACCAAGTTTGAAGAAAATAGCCCATCATATCACAACTCACTCACTGTTAATGTCTTATTGCCATCTTGTCTTTGTAAAACACAATTTATAGATACATCTTAGTTATTATACATATATAAACATTATATATGTATATTCCTAGTTTTTTACTTTAATTTTGCTAGCAAATTTTGTGTGTTTTATGTTTGAACAACAAATCACTTTGCGCTCTAGTAACCTCTGGACTTGTCTTGTTTCTCTCTGTTACACATTTACTTGACAAAAAGTACCTTTGTGTCAGGTCAGCATGGGACCTTTGGTTATATTTCATTTATACTGCAGATGTCCAGGAAGGGGGATTATACCATGTTTCCAGTATGTACTAGGTTAGAATATCCTAGGGGATATGTTTTCATTTTAAGAGCCTAATGTATAGTCTGATTACTGTTACCCAAGATAAGATAGAAAGTAGCAATTCTAATTTGTGCCAGAGGCTGTGAGTTTCTTAAAAGACCTGAACCTGATCTGGGGTCATTCCATTAAAGATACTCATAGAATGGTCTATATGCAGTCCTTAAACATGATTTTCAGAGAATTTACGATCATTTGGTCAAATGCTCAGAATCCCCCATTGATGTGGCCATATTTATATAAATCGATGGCCTGGTGGTCTTTAGGGCTTTAGGGTTGGCTGCAGTTATGGGTGGAGACTAGTTCATTCAGGGAGCTGGCAGTTAGGAGAATTAGCCACCATCTCCTCCACATTCTTTCCTTTTTTGGAACTTTGCTCATGTCTGCGTCAGTGGAGCCTAGACCTGGAATCTCAATTGTGTGATTTTGTTTCCAGAAATAAGTAAGTGGGCACTAGAGTAAGTTGTTATCAGGCTAAGCTGGAAAGAAATAAATAACATTTCTGAGCCTCACTGATTTAAATGGAATTCACTAGAATTCCAAGGTCTGTCAGTAATTAAAGACAACTCTGAAAATTCAGAGAAGATTCTATTTTTGTCTCAGTCACTTAAAGAACAGTCAGGTTAGCAGAAACTGACTGTGATGTCAGCTACCACTATTGCCAAATTCATACCTCATGTCAATTAAATTGCCAGTTACAGGCATTATGTACTTTCACAGTTTGTAAGACATTTCATTTTTCAATGATTTTTGTCTGACTGTATAGTCTTGGATTAAAGACTTCTGACAGAGGAAGGCACTGTAATAGAGCACAGCAGATACAGACACCCACGTGACGCATACTTTCAGTCATCAAGTCAGTTTCTCCACAGCAGCAGTCTTGGACTGTAGTCATGGTAGACGTAATGGAGTTGCCCAGGTCGTGCATCAACGCCGGCATGCTACTTGGTTCATCGACCAGCCCATCTGCTTCACAGGGAGGCTGGAAAAGACTCATCCCACTGGAAAAATGTTTATTCTTTCAGATGAAGAAGGAAAAAATGGAATCATTGAGTTAATGGAGCCCCTTCATGAAGAAATCTCTGGAATCTTGGAAGTGTTGGAAGAGTAAGCACCAAGGCAACCATCATGTGTGCATCTTATGTCCAGTTTAAAGAAGATAACCATCCTTTTGATCTTGGACTTTACAATGAAGCTGTGAAAATTATCCATGAGTTCCCTCAGTTTTATCCTTTAGGGATTGTGCAACATGATTTGATCTTGATGAATTTTCATATGATTGCAAATGAGCTACATTAAATACTATTAGAGGAGACCCTTCTTGTTTGAGGGAGATATTTCTGTGCTTTCTCATATTTAATTTTTTTGGTTTTTTTTTTTTTTGAGACAGTGTCTCACCCTATTGCCCAGGCTGGAGTGCAGTGGCTCAATCTTGGCTCACTGCAACCTCCATCTCCTGGGTTCAAGCGATTCTCATGCCTCAGCCTCCCAAGTAGCTGGAATTACAGGCACCTGCCTGCATGTCTGGCTAATTTTTGTATTTTCAGTAGAGACAGGGTTTCGCCATGTTGGCCAGGCTGGTTTCAAACTCCTGGCCTCAAGCGATCCACCCACCTTGGCCTCCCAAAGGGCTGGGATTACAGGCGTGAGCCACTGCACCTGATCAATTTGCTCTTTTTAAAATTTTATTTGTCTGGCTTTAGATATTCCAATCTAGAGTTTTTGGCCAAACTGATGTATTGACAGCTCTCACCTAAGTCCCATTATAAAGAATTGCTTCTACAATATATGGTCAGATTAGATGCAAGAATAAAGCAGTTGTCTGAGTTTAGGTTTCTATTTTATTAGTAAAAACTAAAATAGTACACAGTAAAAAATACAGCATAGTAAATATCAACATTCTCTAAATTTATAAACTTTAAAATCAGAACCTTTTACCGAAGTTGTGATGCACTGCTCAAGATATTGTTAACCAAGGAGGGTCAGAGGATGAGGGCATTTTCAGTTTAGGAGCAGCTACAGCATAGGGACTTCAGAGCCCTTTACCTTAACTTTAGAAGGTCTAAGAGAAGAATGGCAATAATAAACAGTAATCATAGCTAAATTGATTAAACATGGTCAACATACTGGGTACCGTGTTGACCACTTTAACGTGTTGTCGTCTTTCATCTTCATCACAACCTTACAAGGTAGTTAGAGTGATAATTCTCATTTTGTAGAACACAGAGAGGTTAGAGGCTTTTCCGAGGTTATGGAGCTACTAATGCCAGAGCCAAAACTTGAACTCAGGTCCGCTCAAATACAAACGCATGCTCTTCAAACACATGCTCTTAAACTGTAAGCTTTGTGCATTTCTTGTTGGTGATTAGCCCTTACATCTTGGCAAATCAAAGGCAAGGCCATTTTACCATGCTCAGATTCATTGACGTTCTCATAAAGCAACAGAAGTCAAAATTTAAAGTAGAGGGTGTGAGCCTTCTCCTGCTATTATTCTTGTTTTCTTTTCAATTCAGGATTCTGTAGGCACAAAAACACAAAATGATATACCTTTTAGTCACAGGGTGTGCATGTTTTTCTGATCATTTAAATAATTTTAAAACACTGCAGACAAGTCTCACTTATGCTTAAATCCTGAATAAAATATTAGCAAATAAAATAAAGGAATACATTAAAATGGGATTTGAAATATTGGTAAATGGAATCCAGCAGCACATTTCAACGAAACAAGTTTTTTTTGTGAAAAAGCAAAAATATCTTTAAAATGGGATTAGTAATATGTAGTCAGCCAAACAAATAGATTTAAAAACCCATTTTCATCCTAATAAATGGTAAAAAGGTATTTGACAAAATTCAACATCAATTTTTAAAAAAGTTCTCATAGTAAAAGAGGCCTAGATTAATATTCTTCACTTGATAAAAAATATGTATGTTTCAAAGCAAATACTAGTATCCCTTTTTTTAAAATTTATTTTTATTTTTTGAGACAGAGTCTCACTCTTTTGCCCAGGCTGGAGTGCAGTGCTGCAATCTTAGCTAAACATAACCTCTGCCTCTCGGGTTCGAGCAATTCTCTTGCTTCAGCCTCTTGAGTAGCTGGGATTACAGGCGTGCACCACCAGGCTTTCCTAATTTTTGTATTTTTAGTAGAGACAGGGTTTCACCATGTTGGCCAGGCTGGTCTCAAACTCCTGACCTCAAGTGATCCTCCCGCCTCGGCCTCCTAAAGTGTTGGGATTACAGGTGTGAGCCATTGTGCCAGGCCTTAGTATTGCATTTAATAATGAAACACTGCCGGGTGAACGCCTGTAATCCCATCACTTCGGGAGGCCATGGCGGGCAGATCACCTGAGGGTGGGAGTTTGAGACCAGCCTGACCAACATGGAGAAACCCTGTCTCTACTAAAAATACAAAATTAGCCGGGCATGGTGGTGCATGCCTGTAATCCCAGCTCCTCAGGAGGCTGAGGCAGGAGAATTGCTTGAACCTGGGAAGTGGAGGTTGCAGTGAGCTGAGATCGAATCATTGCACTCCAGCATGGGCAACAAGAGCAAAACTCCATCTCAAAAAAAAAATAATAATAATGAAACACAATAACACTAGTTTTTCTATAAAAATTAAGCAAGAAAGACAAAGATGTGTATTATTGCACTGTACAGAGAACACAGTTCTCAATATAGTATTCAAATTTCTTAGATTTAGGGCTTAGCAAAGTGCCTGGCACACAATAGAAACTCAATTATTTGTTAAATGAATTAGTGACATTGAAACAAGAGGAATAAATTCTGGAATAGCGGAGGCATAATCATTATTTGCAGATAATATAGTTTTGTTTCAATAGAATTAACTAAAAAATGACTAGAAATAATAGGAACATTCAGAATAGTGGCTAGGTTCAAAATTAATATACCACCACCTGCTCCACCTCTGTGGCCTCCTGGACCACCTATGGGTCTTCCTCCTGGACCACCCCCAGGAGTTCCTCCAGGCATTCCTGAGACCACCTGGAATGCCAGGCCTCTGAGGGCTTTTACCCCAACATTTACCTCCAGGACCACCAGTAGGCTGACTCCCGGCCCCTCTCCCAGGCCCTCTCCCACCTCCAGGTCTTTCTCCTGGGAACAACCACCAAAGCGACCTCCCCCTGCACCTTCAGGTATCCCTCTTTCTCATCCTGGCAGGATGATCCACCTTTGGTGCCTCCACATAGACTTGCCCCTATCCACCCTTGGTTTTTTCCACCAGCTCCCTTGCTAAACCCTGCGATTTTCAGTGCACCACCCACCTTGATTCGGCAACCCAAGGTGGATGATATGAGTGTGGCCACCATTGAGAAGAAAGCCACAACAACCACCAGTGCCAAGCCACAGATCACTGCTAATTCCAAGGCAGAGCTTACTTGATTTGTGCCCATGGCATTGAGAGTAGATCGGGAAAATGAAAGGGCTACTGCCACTCCTCCAAGAAAAGTCAGTGGATGATTCTGCTGTGCCTCTTGCCAAAGCAGCTCTCAAATCTGGTTCTTCCATTCCTGTCTCAGTACAGACCAAGGATGATGTTTTGGGACTTTCATGAAAGCTGGAAGGGTTACTGTGACACCTTATTTCAGTTCAAGGGCTATCCTAAAGTTTAGCCTTGTTCAGAATTTACTACATATAAGAGAGGGTATCTCATTCAGAATCGATTGGCTATTGAAACAGTGCTGCCACATCCATTCCTTTTTGTACCACCATTTTCATCCTGTTTCTTCCCCTTTTCCAGTTCTTTGGAGATTTGTGATCGAGGATCTCAGTTACTTATTTGTTTTGACTCTCTTTTTGTGTGCTGTGGGCACTGGAGCGAGAGATTTCTGAAAAACGAGTTTATTTTACCTTGCCTTTTGTTTTTGAGTTATTTTTTGATATTTTCCTATAAATATTTTGTAATATTCTACTTGTAGTGAAATGAATCACAATGTCATTTCCTGATACAAAGCAGGATCTGTGGGAAGAAAACATACAGTTCTCTGATTAAAATTATTTCCCAAGCAGAGCCTGAGGCAAGAACAAAGTGCTGATACTATCTTCGGGCTAAACTTTGAGTGTTTTATGGGAAAAATAAGTAAATGTTCTAAATCAAGACAAAAAAGAAGATGGCCAAATAGGAGCAGCTCCGGTCTGCAGCTCCCAGTGTGATTGACGCAGAAGACAGGTGATTTCTGCATTTCCAACTGAGGTACCTGGTTCATCTCACTGGGACTGGTTGGACAGTGGGTGCAGCCCATGGAGGGCGAGCCAAAGCAGGGTTGGGCATTGCCTCACCTGAGAAGCACAAGGTGTCAGGGGATTTCCCTTTCCTAGCCAAGGGAAGCCGTGACAGACTGTACCAGGAAAATAGGGACACTGCCACCTACATACTGGGCTTTTCCAATGGTATTAGCAAACGGCACACCAGGATATTATATCCTATGCCTGGCTCAGCAGTTCCCACACCCACGGGGCCTTGCTCACTGCTAGTGCAGCAGTCTGAGATGGAACTGCAAGGGGGCAAGCCTGGCTGGGGGAGGGGCATCTGCCATTGCTGAGGGTTGAGTAGGTAAACAAAGTGGCCGGGGAAGCTCGAAACGGGTGGAGCCCACCATAGCTCAACAAGGCCTGCCTGCCTCTGTAGACTCCACCTCTGGGGGCAGGGCATAGCTGAACAAAAGGCAGCACAAATTTCTTCAGACTTCAACGTCCCTGTCTGACAGCTCTGAAGAGAGCAGTGGTTCTCCCAGCACGGTGTTTGGGCTCTGAGAACAGACAGACTGCCTCCTCAAGTGGGTCCCTGACCCCCATGTAGCCTAACTTGGAGACATCTCTCAGTAGGGGCCGACTGACACTTCACACAGCTGGGTGTCCCTCTGAGATGAAGCTTCCAGAGGAAGGATAAGGCAGCAATATTTGCTGTTCTGCAACATTTGGTGTTCTGCAGCCTCCGCTGGTGATACCCAGGCAAACAGGGTCTGTAGTGGATCTCCAGCAAACTCCAACAGACCTGCAGCTGAGGGATCTGACTGTTAGAAGGAAAACTAACAAACAGAAAGGAATAGCATCAACATCAACAAAAAGGACATTCACACCAAAACCCCATCTGTAGGTCACCATCATCAAAGACCGAAGGTAGATAAAACCACAAAGACGGGGAGAAACAAGAGCAGAAAAGCTGAAAATTCTAAAAACCAGAGTGCCCCTTCTCCTCCAAAGGATCACAGCTCCTCTCCAGCAATGGAACAAAGCTGGACAGAGAATGACTTTGACGAGTTCACAGAAGTAGGCTTCAGAACGTCAGTAATAAACTTCTCCGTGCTAAAGGAGCATGTTCGAACCCATTGCAAGGAAGCTAAAAACCTTGAAAAGAGATTAGACAAATGGCTAACTAGAATAAACAGTGTAGAGAAGACCTTAAATGACCTGATGGAGCCGAAAACCATGGTGAGAACTACGTGACACATGCACAAGCTTCAGTAGCCGATTCGATCAAGTGGAAGAAAGGGTATCAGTGATTGAAGATCAAATTAATGAAATGAAGCGAGAAGAGAAGTTTAGAGAAAAAAGAGTGAAAAGAAATGAACAAAGCCTCCAAGAAATATGGGAGTATGTGAAAAGACCAAATCTACGTTTGATTGGTGTACCTGAAAGTGACGGGGAGAATGGAACCAAGTCGGAAAACACTTCAGGATATCATCCAGGAGAACTTCCCCAGTCTAGCAAGGCAGGCCAACATTCAGATTCAGGAAATACAGAGAACGCCACAAAGATACTCCTCGAGAAGAGCAACCCCAAGACATATAATTATCAGATTCACCAAGGTTGAAATGAAGGAAAGAATGTCAAGGGCAGCCAGAGAGAAAGGTCAGGTTACCCACAAAGGGAAGCCCATCAGACTAACAGCGGATCCCTTGGCAGAAACTCTACAAACCAGAGAGAGTGGGGGCCAATATTCAACATTGTTAAAGAAAAGAATTTTCAACCCAGAATTTCTAGCCAGCCAAACTAAGCTTCATAAGTCAAGGGAAATAAAATCCTTTATAGACAAGCAAATGCTGAGAGATTTTGTCACCACCAGGCCTGCCTTACAAGAGCTCCTGAAGGAAGTACGAAACATGGAAAGGAATAACTGGCACCAGCCACTGCAAAAACATGCCAAATTGTAAAGACCATCGATGCTAGGAAAAAACTGCATCAACTAACGGGCAAAATAACCAGCTAACATCATAATGACAGGATCAAATTCACACATAACAATATTAACCTTAAATGTAAATGGACTAAATGCCCCCAATTAAAAGACACAGACTGGCAAATTGGATAGAGTCAAGACCCGTCAGTGTGCTGTGTTTAGGAGACCCATCTCACGTGCAGAGACACATATAGGCTCAAAATAAAGGGATGGAGGAAGATCTACCAAGCAAATGGAAAACAAAAAAAAGCAAAGGTTGCAATCCTAGTCTCTGATAAAACAGACTTAAAACCAACAAAGATCAAAGGAGACAAAGAAGGCCATTACATAATGGTAAAGGGATCAATTCAACAAGAAGAGCTAACTATTCTAAATACATATGCACCCAATACAGGAGCACCCAGATTCATAAGGCAAGTCCTTAGAGACCTACAAAGAGACTTAGACACCCACACAATAATAATGGGAGACTTTAACACCCCACTATCAACATTAGACAGATCGAAGAGACAGAAGGTTAACAAAGATATCCAGGACTTGAACTCAGCTCTGCACCAAGCAGACCTAATAGACATCTACAGAACTCTCCACCTCAAATAAACAGAATATACATTCTTCTCAGCAGCATATCCCACTTATTCCAAAATTGACCACATAGTTGGAAGTAAAGCACCCCTCAGCAAATGTAAAAGAACAGAAATCACAATAAACTATGTCTCAGACCACAGTGCAATCAAATTAGAACTCAGGATTAAGAAACTCACTCAAAACCGCTCAACTACATGGAAACTGAACAACCTGCTCCTGAATGACTACTGGGTAAATAACAAAATAAAGGCAGAAATAAAGATGTTCTTTGAAACCAATGAAAACAAAGACACAATGTACTGGGATCTCTGGGACACATTTTTTTTTTTTTTTTTTTTTGAGACGGAGTCTCGCTCTGTCGCCCAGGCTGGAGTGCAGTGGCACGATCTTGGCTCACTGCAACCTCTGCCTCCCAGGTTCACACCATTCCCCTGCCTCAGCCTCCGAAGTAGCTGGGACTACAGGCACCTGCCACCACGCCCGGCTAATTGCTTGTATTTTTAGTACAGACGGGGTTTCACCATGTTAGCCAGGATGGTCTCGATCTCCTGACCTCGTGATCCACCCGCCTCGGCCTCCAAAAGTACTGGGATTACAGGCGTGAGCCACCGTGCCCGGCCATCTCTGGGACACATTTAAAGCAGTGTGTAGAGGGAAATTTATAGCACTAAATGCCCACAAGAGAAAGCAGGAAAGATCTAAAATTGACACCCTAACATCACAATTAAAAGTACTAGAGAAGCAAGAGCAAACAAATTCAAAAGCTAGCAGAAGGCAAGAAATAACTAAGAGCAGAACTGAAGGAGACAGAAACACAAAAAAACCCTTCAAAAAATCAATGAATCCAGGAGCTGGTTTTTTGAAAAGATCAACAGAATTGATAGACTGCTAGCAAGACTAATAAAGAAGAAAAGAGAGAAGAATCAAATAGACTCAATAAAAAATGATAAAGGGGATATCACCACCGATCCCATAGAAATAGAAACTACCATCACAGAATACTACAAACACCTCTATGCAAATAAACTAGAAAATCTAGAAGAAATGGATAAATTCCTCGACACATACTCCCTCCCAAGACTAAACCAGGAAGAAGTTTAATCGATGAACAGAACAATAACAGGCTCTGAGATTGAGGCAATAATTAATAGCCTACCAACCAAAAAAAGTCCAGGACCAGACGGATTCACAGCTGAATTCCACCAGAGGTACAAGGAGGAGCTGGTAACATTCCTTCTGAAACTATTCCAATCAATAGAAAAAGAGGGAATCCTCCCTAACTCATTTTATGAGACCAGGATCATCCTGATACCAAAGCCTGGCAGAGACACAACAAAAAAAGAGAATTTTAGACCAATATCCCTGATGAACATCGAAGAGAAAATCCTCAATAAAATACTGGAAAACCGAATCCAGCAGCACATCAAAAAGCTTATCCACCACAATCAAGTTGGCTTCATCCCTGGGATGCAAGGCTGGTTCAACATATGCAAATCAATAAACGTAATCCCTCACATAAACAGAACCAAAGACAAAAACCACATGATTATCTCAATAGATGCAGAAATGGCCTTTGACAAAATTCAACAGCACTTCATGCTAAAAACTCTCAATAAACTAGGTATTGATGGAACGTATTTCAAAATAATAAGAACCATTTATGACAAGCCCACAGCCAGTATCATACTGAATGCGCAAAAACTGGAAGCATTCCCTTAGAAAACTGGCACAAGACAGGGATGCCCTCTCTCACCACTCCTATTCAACGTAGTGTTGGAAGTTGTGGCCAGGGCAATCAGGCAGGAGAAAGAAATAAAGGGTATTCAAATAGGAAAAGAGGAAGTCAAATTGTCCCTGTTTGCAGATGACATGATTGTATATTTAGAAAACCCCATCATCGCAGCCCAAAATCTCCTTAAGTGATAAGCAACTTCAGCAAAGTCTCAGGATACAAAATCAATGTACAAAAATCACAAGCATTCTTATACACCAATAACAGACAGAGAGCCGAATCATGAGTGAATTCCCATTCACAATTGCTACAAAGAGAATAAAATACCTAGGAATCCAACTTACAAGGGAGGTGAAGGACCTCTTCAAGGAGAATTACAAAACATTTCTGCTCAATGAAATAAAAGAGGACACAAACAAATGGAAGAACATTCCACGCTTATGGATAGGAAGAATCAGTATTGTGAAAATGGCCATACTGCCCAAGGTAATTTATCGATTCAATGCCATCCCCATCAAGCTGCCAATGACTTTCTTCACAGAACTGGAAAAAACTACTTTAAAGTTCATATGGAACCAAAAAAGAGCCTGCATTGCCAAGACAATCCTAAGCAAAAAGAACAAAGCTGGAGGCATCACACTACCTGATTTCAAACTATACTACAAGGCTACAGTAACCAAAACAGCATGGTACTGGTACCAAAACAGAGATATAGACCAATGGAATAGAGGCTCAGAAATAACACCACACATCTACAACCATCTGATCTTTGACAAATCTGACAAAAACAAGAAATGGGGAAAGGATTGCCTATTTAATAAATGGTGCTGGGAAAACTGGCTAGCCATATGTAGAAAGCTGAAACTGAATCCCCTTCTTACACCTTATACAAAAATTAATTCAAGATGGATTAAAGACTTAAATGTTAGACCTAAAACCATGAAAACTCTAGAAGAAAACCTAGGCAATACCATTCAGGACATAGGCATGGGCAAGGACTTCATGACTAAAACACCAAAAGCAATGGCAACAAAAGCCAAAATTGACAAATGGGATCTAATTAAACTAAAGAGCTTCTGCACAGCAAAAGAAACTACCATCAGAGTGAACAGGCAACCTACAGAATGGGAGAAAATTTTTGCAATCTACCCATCTGACAAAGGGCTAATATCCAGAATCCACAAAGAGCTTAAACAAATGTACAAGAAAAAAATCAAACAGCCCCATTAAAAAGTGGGCAAAGGATATGAACAGACACTATTCAAAAGAAGACATTTATGCAGCCAACAGACACATGAAAAAATGCTCATCGTCACTGGTCATCAGAGAAATGCAAATCAAAACCACAATGAGATACCATCTCATGCCGGTTAGAATGGCGATCATTAAAAATTCATGAAACAACAGATGCTGGAGAGGATGTGGAGAAATAGGAACACTTTTACACTGTTGGTGGGACTGTAAACTAGTTCAATCATTGTGGAAGACAACGTGGTGATTCCTCAAGGATCTAGAACTAGAAATACCATTTCACCCAGTGATCCCATTACTGGGTATATACCTAAAGGATTATAAATCATGCTACTGTAAAGACACAAGCACATGTATGTTTATTGCGGCACTATTCACAATAGCAAAGACTTGGAACCAAGCCAAATGTCCAACAATGATAGACTGGATTAAGAAAATGTGGCACATATACACCATGGAATACTATGCAACCATAAAAAAGGATGAGTTCATATCCTTTGTAGGGACATGGATGAAGCTAGAAACCATCATTCTGAGCAAACGATTGCAAGGACAGAAAAACAAACACCACCTGTTCTCACTCATATGTGGGAATTGAACAATGAGAACACTTGGACACAGGATGGGGAACATCAAACACGAGGGCCTGTTGTGGGGTGGGGGGATTGGGGAGGGATAGCATTAGGAGAAATACCTAATGTAAATGACGAGTTAATGGGTGCAGCAAACCAATATGGCACATGTATACATATGTAACAAACCTGCACGTTGTGCACATGTACCCTAGAACTTAAAGTATAATTAAAAAAATAGAAAAAAAAAACCTAGACAGTGTAATGGAAGAAATGATCCCTTTTTTCTAACCACAGAACTAACTGCAATAGTAAGAAGTACACCTGCCTTATATGAAGAAAACCTGAAAATTCTGCCAAAGATATCCAAACGCGCACCCTCTGTCCTTTGCAATTGTTACAACGTCAGTTCTAAACCTACACATTAATAGATGCTAATAGAAATGCCAATAGGAAATTTCAAAACCACCCAACTGATTAAAAAGTTTAATAAGGGATTCGGGAACCATGCCCTCTGTGGCAAAAGGTTAATTATGTGAAAAATTTAAAGGCCAATTTGGCAATACCTATCAAAATAAAATTGACCTCATATTTTCACTTTTAGAAATTCATCTTCCAGATAATTCTCTAAGTGTGCAAATTTAAATAGGTATATAACTACACATATACATTCATAAGATAATGTATATATGTATGTACAAGGGGTTATTTTTGTAGCATTGATTTTTTTATTGCTTGAACGATCACAAATGGCATTTATTAGGGTTTTTGTTTATTTGTTTGTTCATTTGTTTTTAGACAGGGTTTTATTCCCGTCACCCAGGCTGCAATGGTGTGATCTCGGCCCACTGCAACCTCTGCCTCCTGGGCTCAATGACTCTCCTGCCTCAGCCTTCGGAGTAGCTGGGACCATAGGAGTGCACTACTACACCTGGCTGATTTTTGTATTTTTAGTAGAGACAGGGTTTCATCATGTTGCACAGCCTGGTGATCTGCCTGCCTCAGGCTTCAAAAGTGCTGGGATTACAGGCATAAGCCACCGCGCCCAGCCTCATTTATTACATTTTAATGAAAAAAAGGCATAAAAATCTGTCACAAACACACATACATACACATACACATACACATACACAAGACTTTCTCTATTTCTGAGCATTCTTCCTAAGAAACAACTTACAGGGCAGTTTTTTGTTTTTAAAGACAGGCTGGAGTGCACTGGCTATTCACAGGCTCAAGTGGTCCTCCTTCCTTAGCCCCCTGTAGTTGGGACTGCAGGCGCACATCATCGCACCTGGTATTTTTCCTGTTAAAGTATGTCTGAACCCAGGTTTTCTAGAAGGCAGAGCCTGAGGCAAGAACCAAGTGCTAATACTTTCTTTGGAATGTCCAAGTCTAAGGATTTGAGGGTGAGCAATGAAAAGAAATAAGGCAAAAAATATTGTGACGCAAAGCAGTGTTTCCTCACTGGCTACTGCTTTACAACAAAATGCAGAGACTCAGCAGGTGCCTGGGCAAGCACTTTCACCCAGCATGCAAGATTTCTCTGAAGGAGTTAGAAGGAAGAATTGCATCTCCAAGTAGTCCACAAAAGAGAGAAAATCAGGAATTTTCTCCCAAATTTTCAAGAATTTTCAAAATCCAAGAGAATTTCCTTCCCAGCTGTCCTTTGTCTCTCATTTCTCATTTCTCATCGGTGAAGGTTTACTCTGCCAGGACTCCCCCACACTTCTGGTTTGTGTCATCTGGCTCTTCAGTGGCTCCTCAAGAAGCCAAATCCCATGCCCCAGGGTGTGACTTTTCAAGTCTGAAAGTGGAGGCCAACCTGGTGGTTGGTTTCAACCTAGAGAAAGAAGGAGGCTATTAAGAGGCTCCAAGAAGGCAAACGAGGTCTGTTTCCAATGCAGGCTAGAATACACCTGTCTTGGGCATGCACGTGTTGCTCCTGAAAATAGCGAACCCTCTGGCCTATCTCAGAAATGGCTCTGTAGCTGAAGGGCTCTGAGAAATAATCTGTCTCTCTCTTTTTATTTTTTTGAGACGGAGTCTCACTCTGTCACCCAGACTGGAGTGCAAAGGCGTGATCTCAGCTCACTGCAACCTCTGCCTTCCAGGTTCAAGTGATTCTCCTTCTCAGCCTCCTGAGTAGCTGGGATTACAGGCATGCACCACCAGGCCTGGCTAATTTTTTAATTTTTAGTAGAGATGGAGTTTCACCATGTTGCTCAGGCTGGTCTAGAACTCCTGACCTCAGGTGATTCACCCGCCTCACCCTCCTAAAGTGCTGGGATTAAAGGCATGAACCACCGTGCCTGGCCTGAGAAATAATCTCTTAACCTAGAAATCAGTGGAGAAGCCAAGCTATAAAGACACTTTCAGTTAGGAGTATTTGGCCTCAGTGAATGTAGGTCAGCATGCAGCTAATGAACTGGTTTCCTTTCTGATGTCCAGCACATCCGCCAACTCTGCTGGCTGTAGAGAGGCTTGTAGAGCTGCTGTTTGCAGCCCTGTTTGCAATAGCAAAAAGTTGGAAACAATCTTTTTAAATCAATTATAGAATATCCAAACAAGAACATTCTACCTAGTGGTTGAAAAAGAATGAGGTATTTATGTTCTGACACAGGAATATAGTTGTCTTTTTAAAATACATTTAAAAAAATCAGATTACGTAATGATTCTAATTGTGGAGGGAAAAGATAATATTATATATGCTTGTACATGCATTAAAAAAATTATCTAAGGGTACAGAAAAACATGTTGGAAAATATCATTAGCATGAAAGGTCTGAGGAAACCAGGGGACAAGGGTAGAGGAGATCTTTTTACCTTATGGACATCTATACAATTTGAGTTATTTTTAATGCACACATATTATTTTAAAAATGAAAATAAGAAGCAAAATGAAAAAGTATAACTGAAACATACTTAAAATAGAAACTCTTAAAATATCTTTAAAAGTCTAAGGGGGAGAATAAAATCCACCTGAGATTCTACTAACTAGAGACGACTATTAATATTTTGTGATGTTCTCCATTGAAGATACACAAATGGCTAACAGGTATATGAAAAGATGTTCAGCATCAACAATCATTAGGAAAATGCAAATCAAAACCACAATGAGATATCACCTCACACTTGTTAGGGTGGCTACAGTAAAAAGAAAGACACAAAAGGTAGCAAGTGTTGGTGAGGCTATGGAGAAATTGAAACCCTATGCATTATTGGTGGGGGTGTAAAATGGTGCAGCTAATGCGGAAAACAGTATGGAAGTTTATTTGTGGAAAAACCAACTCAAACTCTGTATTTTTCTGTTCTTATACCACAACAATCAACACAGAAGACTTCTGTGACCAAATACATGGGGGTTTATTCCCAGACACCAAGCAAGCAATCAATTCTGCAGCAGACACCAGCTGGGTGTCCTCCAATTCAAACCTGACACTACCTACCTGGAGATAACATCAGATCCTGCAGGTGGATGGCTCCATCCCCAAGGTTCCCTCCCCTTCAGACACCAGTCGCAAGTCTGTGCCTCCAGAACTTCTGACTGACTGGCTTCAAGTTGGGGCTCCCAGGACTTCCTCTCTGGGTTTTATTAATTTGCTAGAGTGGCTTACAGAACTCAGGGAAACACGTAGATTTGCTGGCTTATTATAAAGGATATTACAAAGGATACAGATAAAGAGATGTGTAAGCCGACGTATGAGGAAAGGGCGTGGAGCTTCCATGCCCTCCCTGGGTGCACCACTCTCCACAAACCTCCACGTGTTCAGCTATCCAGAATTTCTCCAAACCCTATCCTCTTGAGCCTTTAATGGAGTCTTAATTGGATACGCATAATTGAAGCATGGACAATGGTGCCAAAATGTGACTGGAAAAAAGGATGTGATCTGGTGTTAGTTTGAGTGAGGAAACCCAGCAAGGCTTGTCTGTTTAGATTCTTCTTGGCTTCTTTGCAGCATTTTTTCCACCAGGGTAGGGGGCAGGATCCCTTCTGGAATGAGGTTATTATGATTCACGATCAGAAAGGCAGTGAAGATTAGAGTCCTGCTTTGGGCAGGTAAAGGAGGTTCTGGAGAAATTCAGAGACAGAGAGAGAGAGAGAGAGAGAGAGAGAGAGAGAGAGATTCTGTTTTCTGAGGCCTAAAGCACTCTGATATTATAATAAGGGCTGTGAAAGTTATGAGCTGGGAACTATGGATGAAAACCTCTCTCTCTCTCTGTCTCTCTCTCTCTCTCTCTCTCTCTCATAAAATCACAGTGTTTCTCAAAAAATTAAAAATTGAATTTCCTTTTGGTCCAGCAATCCCACTTCTGGATATATATCCAAAAGAACTGAAATCAGGATTTCAAAGCAACATTTGCATTCCCATAGTCATTGCAGCATTACTCACAATAGTCAAAATATGGAAACACACAAATGTCCATCAATGGATGGATAAAGAAAATATGGCACATACATACAATGGAATATTGTTCAGCATTTAAAAAGAAAGAAATCTTACTATTTGTGACAACATGAATGTAACTGGAAGACATTATGGTAAGTGAAGTAAACCAGGCACAGGAGGACAAATACTGCATGAGTCCTCTTATTAAAGCATCTGAAACAGTCAAATCTAAAGAAACAGACAATAGAATAGTGATTACCAGGGGATGTGAGGAGGGGGATATGTGGAGTTGTTGTTCATTGTGTATAAAGTTATAGATATACAAGATGAGTAAGTTCCAGGGATCTACTGTGTAACTTAGTGCCTACAGTTAACAACACAATATTGTGCAAATTTGTTAAGAGGGTAGATCTCATGTTAAATCTTAACACACACACCCCAAACAAACAAATAAAAGCCAAAAACTATATATATATATAAAAAGGAAACTTTTGGAGGTGATGGGTATATTTATTACCTTGATTTTGGTAATGGTAACTTACGTGTATACATATGTCCAAACATGAAGACTTTAATTATATTCCTTGTTTTTTGTATGCCAATTATACCTCAGTAAAACTGGGAAAAATAAGAAAGCCTGGCCGGGTGCAGTGGCTCATGCCTGTAATCCTAGTACTTTGGGAGGCCGAGGTGGGCGGATCACTTGAGGTCAGGAGTTTGAGACCAGCCTGACCAGCATGGTGAAACCCCGTCTCTACTAAAAATATAAAAAAATTAGCCAGGCATGGTGGCACGTGCCTGTAATCCCAGCTACTGGGGAGGCTGAGGCAGAAGAATTGCTTGAAGCCAGGAGGTGGACGCTGCAGTGAGAAGAGATCATGGCATTGCACTCCAGCCTGTGTGAAGGAGCGAGACTCCATCTCAAAAAAAAAAAAAAAAAAAAAGCTTTAAAATGTTTCATGATGTTCCCTCTAGTGTACTTTTTGTACACATAAAGATATACTTTAAATTTAGATGAGATCATATATATGTATAGTTTGTCACTCAATATTTTATTGAGTCAGCATTTTCCCATTTTGGTGGGGGCAGCAGCTAACTCTTATAATCCCAGCACTTTGGGAGGCTGAGGTGGGACAATTGCTTGAGGCCAGGAGTTGGAGACCAGCCTAGGCAACACAGTGAGACCCCATCTCTACAAAAAGTTTTAAAAACTAGCTGGACATGGTGGGTAGTCCTAGCTAATTGGGAGGCTGAGGTGGCAGAATCCCTGCAGACCCAGGACTTTGGAGTTACAGTGAGCTATGATCACACCACTGCATTCCAGTCTGGGTGACAGAGCAGGACCTTGTCTCTAGAAAAAAACAAGAGCAAAGTAAAATATCATTTTTGGTGACTACATAACATTCTGTTCTGTAGCTATATCATAATTTGTTTGCACATTTATCTATTTCTTTTGCTTATCTTCTGAAGCTCTTTTCCTTCATTGGTTAATCAAGCATACTGTCCTTGGCAAAACACTGGGCTCTGATGTCTTCCTAAGATCATGATGAGGATGACCTTGGAGACTGCCTGGCAGGCAGCTGTACCTGCCATGATAGTATCCCTTTAGCGTGACCTCCCCTGATGGCTATTTCTAAAATAGCATTGCCCTTCATTACTCTAGCTCTTTACTCAGCTTCGTATTATTCTTGCTACTGTTGTTAATAGTAGCAGTGGCAATGTAGTCATTGTCTTCTACACTGGTTTACCTGATCATGCCGTCTACATCTTCATTTATCATCTGTCTTCCCACCTGGATTGTAAGCTCCATGACAGCAGGGCCGTGGTGTGATTTTGTTCTCTACTGTATACCCTGTGCCTAGATCAGTGTCAAGTTCACAGTAGATGGTCAATAAATATAAGCATAAAGGATGGAGGATCTTCATTGCTTCTATTCCGCTTTTCTATTAAAAAAGGGAATTGCTACTCAATTCCTAAGTCTAAATACTGTTTAAGCAGCCCTTGTGAAACCAGTATGAAGTATTTCTTGGGTCCCAGCTGTTTGCTGTTAGAATTACCAAATGGTAGACCTAGATATGGGACCCAGTAGGTGATCTAATCCATCCTTTTATAGATGCTATGACAATTTAGGCTCAGCACAATAGTGATGGTTGCAGAAACGAGGGTAGGGAAGAATAAAAGTATTTAACTTCTCAAGAAATTGACAACCTAGATGGAAAGAGAAGATTAAGACACTTGAGAAAATGATAATTTGAGGCCACATATCTCTGTGTCGAATTGTGTGTGTGACTCTATTTCTACCTTCAAAAATTTTATAATCTTGTAAAATACTATTTAAACAAAGGATATATTTACAAAGTTAAATAAAGACAGAAGCAATAAAAATTACTATAAAGGGAGAATTGCAAAGCCAAGGGATTTGGGAACAGACCAGAGGAATCTCATTTTGTCTGGAGGACTTGAGATGGTTTCATGGAGGAAGGGACATTTAAGCTGGTGTCGAGGAGTCTGTAAATAGTGCTGGTTAGAGGTAGGGGTGTGAGGATGAAGGCGTTAAAGGCAGAGGGAACTATGAAAGTAAAGGCATGGCCAATGAAAATATTTGGCATTTTTGAAAAATGGCAACTGTCCTGCACCTAGAAGACAGGGGGTGAGGGATATAGGGGATGTGAAAGGATGAGGAGGGCTGGCCAGAGAGGCAAGGAGGTGTTGGGCCAGAGTGTAACTGTGCTGATGGTTTGGACTGTATCAGCTGAGTAACAGGGAGACACTGAAGGTGTTTTATTAGGGATGTGACAAGATCAGATCTGTGTCTTAGATGATTCTGACAGCAAGGTGAATGACATATTGGGATGGAGTGGGAGGACAGCTAGAAAGAGTGAAATGCTTAGGAAACTTCTGCAGTTGATGGTTACAGAGTGAGCTAGTGAAGATCTAAATTAGAGAGCTCCCTGAAAATGAAGAGATGGTTGTAGAGATAATTCAGAAGTAAACTGATTGGAAGAACTTGGGGACTAGTGAAAGTGCTAGGAATGTTTTCAAGTAAGATGAGTACTAACTATGCCATCAGGTCACAAGAATCCCTAACACATTTCTAGGACCCCAAAACAAAAGCTGCACTTTGAAATGCCCAGATCTGCTAATTCATTTTTTCCTGAACTCCCTTGTCCTCATCCCCTGGCTCCCTTCTCAGAATTTACTCTGAAAAGTCTCTGCCTGAATCCGAAAGGCCTTTCCCAGTTTGCACATAATCCTCCAGTGGACTGGGCAAAGACTTTTCATGGCCATGTTGGGAAAGAGGCCGTTGCAGTTTAGGATGGCAATCCTTAAGGGATGTTCTGGCATTCCCTGGGTTACAGACTTTCTCACAGCCTTGGGTGTGCTCCCACTATTCCCTCTTTTCTTTATAGCTGTCACCCTGTCACTCTCACTAAACTTGTCTGCTGCTCAAACCATACCTATGCACACCATTGGTTTCCATTGCTGATAAGGCTGAGACTAGTTGGATGTGACCTTTTGCTCTTTTCTAAACTGTATGTGCCCTCTTGTTGTTTTCTCAAAATTTCTCCTTTCCAAAAGACTTTCAAAATCTCTTGCCTACCTCTTGTTTGTATGCTGTAGTAGGTGTTTATATTTACTGTATGTGTGCCCTGTGATTTGATTGTAAGCCTCTTGCAGGCTCCGCTCTGCTCAATTCCTTTTTGGTGACTACTAAATGTGTCAAAGATAAACAAAGCTAAATACTAGTTAAAGTGGTAAAGACAGATTTTAATCAGTAATATACTATTGCAATAGGAATAACAGTACAGTGTGAATTGAACTGAACTTTGATTTGTCCAGAGGTGACTGGGTAATTTAAATGGAGAATAAGGAAATAGGGAGTGAGTGAGCAGGGGGTCAGTAGAATGTGGGAAGTGGAGAAACTTACAAAAAGCAGGAAAGGGAGGTTGTCCACGTGAAATTCATCTGGGTTTTCTAACTGGTGCTTACTGAAGTTAGGTCCCTACCCTCCCACAATGACTGGTGGACAGAGGCCCTATCTTCAGGTGTTGACTGGAACAAACAGTAGATTTTTCGCAAATCTTGAGTTTTCTCAGCAGGCACTTTAAGGAAAGCTGGAGCTGTTAGAAGCTATGTTAGTGTTTGTTCAAGTCTTTATAGGTCAAAGTTGGGCCTTAGTCAAGAGGAAGGCTCAAAGGATCCTGGCTCAAGTTTGAGCAAGAAGAGAATCCATGCCACAGTGGGTTATGAAAATCAAGAACAACTGGGAAAATATCCACTGTGGTCTCAATAGAAGATCCTGATAAAAGGAAAGGAACATTACAAGGAAACGAGTTAAGGAATACTTTTAAATACTCTGCCCACTGACAAGGCTGCTAAATTCCATCCACCAAAAACTAGGTGCACCTTCCATACTATATGCTGCTAAAATCTAAACAAAAAACTATGTACCTTATACATATGTGGTCTCTCAGGATAAACAAAAATTGATGTTGTACATTGAATTTTTGTTTAAATATCTTGTACATTAAATTAACTGGCTCCTAATGAAGCATAGAAGTAGTGATTCAGATTGACTTGTCATTTAATACATTGTTTCCTTAGAATGAAAAAAAGAGACTGTTTCTTCCAAATATTTAGCTTTATCATTTAAAAATAGTTATATAATAGTCCATTAGCCTTTATTATTTGCACTTTGTAAATGTAGTAGGTTCCCTTTTGATTTTCTGCCTCTATTTGAAATTGGTCATTTGACTTATTTACTTGGTATTCTGGTTGGCTGTTATTTATGACTAGTGACATAGTGACCCTCTTTTCTCATACGATGTTCATCGTTAACTCTTTCCATGGTCCAAAAGGCCAAAAGAGGAGGTAGATAAGTATGGGATAAACTTCAAGGCTTAATGTACTTTTTAATGAAAACATAAGGATAAAAGAAGTAGATAATGTGTGATATTGTGGTTTGTAGGAAATGAGTGTTTTTTAAAAAATTAAGATATAATTTAAAGACAGTGAAATAAAGAGATCTTAGGTGTGTAGTTAAACCAGTGTTAACAAATGCACATGTCCATACAGCTCACACCCCTCTCAAGATACGGATGTATTTCATCAACTAAGAAGTTCTCTCACGCCCTTCCCAGTCAATCCCTGTCACTTCTGGAAGCCACCACTATTCTGATTTCATCATGATGTTTTTTTTCTGCTATAGAACTTCATATATCTGAAATCACACAGTATTACTGTTTTGTATCTGACTTTTTTCACTCAGTATAAAATTTCGGAGATTCATTCAGATTTTTACATGTATCAGTAGTTTGTCTCTTTTCATTATTGAATAGTATTGCATTGTATGAAAATACCACAGTTTATTCTATTCATGGACACCTGGGCTGTTTCCAGTCTTTGGCTCTGATGAGTAAGACTGCTATGAGCGTTCTCATGCAGAGCTTATTTGGACAAATGTTTTCATTTCTTTTGAAATGAATGAATGTTTTCATTTCTTTTGAAATGAATGAATGTTTTCATTTCTTCGGAAACTAGGATTAGAATTGTTGGGTCATAGGACAGATATACCTTTAACTCTTTAAGAATGTGCCAAACAGTTTACATTTCCACCAGTAATGGCAAAATTTCTGTTTGCTCCACATCCTCCTGAACATTGGTGTTTTTAATCTTTTATGTTTTAACCGTTCTAGTGAGTTTGCAATGACATCTTACTGCAGTTTTAATTTACCTTTCCCCAGTGACTAATACTCTTAAGCACTTTTCCATGTGCTCACTGGTTTTCATGTATCTTCTTTTGTGAAGTGCCCTTTCAAATATTTGCTCATTTAAAAGCTGAGCTGTCTTTTTATTGCTGCATTATAGGGGTTCTTTATATATTCCAGTCAAAAGTCCTTTGTCAGATTTATATGTTGTAAATACTTTCTCCTGAACTTTGACTTGTCTATTAATCTTAATAGTGTCTTTTGATGAATAAAAGTTTTAAATTTTGATGAAGTCACAATTTATTATTTCCCTTTATGGTTAATACTTGCATTCTCTCTAAAGAAACCATTGCCTACACAAGGTTGTGAAGATTTTTAAAATATTATCTTCTAGAAGCTTTATAGTTTTAGCTCTTATATTTACGTTTATGATACATCCAGAATTAATTTTTGCATGTGGCTTAATATAGAGGTAAAGTTCTCCCCCCGACCGCCACCAGGGCCCTAATTTTGATACTTATTTCAGTACCATATATTGAAAAGATTTTCCTTTCTCCATTGAGTGTCTTAATATCTTTTTAAAAATCATTCGACTCCGGCATACGTGTAGCTCTACATCTAGGCTCTATTCTGTCCTATTGGATGTACTGTTTATCCCTTTGCCAATAATATACTAACTGTAGCTTTGTGGTAAGTCTTAAAGTCAGGTAGTGCAATTCCTTTAACTTGATTTTGTTTTGGCTATTCTAGGTCCTTTGCATTTCTATATAACTTTTAGACTCAGTTTATCAATATCTACAAAAAAGCATGAAGTCTTGATAGACTTCAAAGCAACAATTCACCCTCCTTGGAAATATTTAAAGATGTCTATATTAAGCTGTTGGGAAAACAGATGGGGAAAAGATTGTGGAAGTACAGAATGAAGCAGCTGATGAGCACTGAACTTCTTTTAGGGGATGAGAGTGTTTTGTGGGCTCAATCTCCCAGTTCCTGCTTTTTCTTTTCTTTTCTTTTTTTATTATACTTTAAGTTTTAGGGTACATGTGCATAACGTGCAGGTTTGTTACATATGTATACATGTGCCATGTTGGTGTGCTGCACCCATTAACTCGTCATTTAGCATTAGGTATATCTCCTAATGCTATCCCTCCCCCTTCCCCCCACCCCACAACAGTCCCCGGTGTGTGATGTTCCCCTTCCTGTGTCCATGTGTTCTCATTGTTCAATTCCCACCTACGACTGAGAACATGCGGTGTTTGGTTTTTTGTCCTTGCGATAGTTTGCTGAGAATGATGGTTCCCAGCTTCATCCATGTCCCTACAAAGGACATGGACTCATCGTTTTTTATGGCTGCATAGTATTCCATGGTGTATATGTGCCACATTTTCTTAATCCAGTCTATCATTGTTGGACATTTGGCTTGGTTCCAAGTCTTTGCTATTGTGAATAGTGCTGCAATAAACATATGTGTGCATGTGTCTTTACAGCACCATGATTTATAATCCTTTGGGTATATACCCAGTAATGGGATCGCTGGGTGAAATGGTATTTCTAGTTCTAGATCCTTGAGGAATCGCCACAGTGACATCCACAATGGTTGAACTAGTTTACAGTCCCACCAACAGTGTAAAAGTGTTCCTATTTCTCCACATCCCCTCCAGCACCTGTTGTTTCCTGACTTTTTAATGATCACCATTCTAACTGGAGTGAGATGGTATCTCATTGTGGTTTTGATTTGCATTTCTCTGATGGCCAGTGATGATGAGCTTTTTTTCATGTGTTTTTTGGCTGTATGAATGTCTTCTTTTGAGAGTGTCTGTTCATATCCTTTGCCCACTTTGCCCACTTTTTGATGGGGTTGTTTGTTTTTTTCTTGTAAATTTCTTTGAGTTCATTGTAGATTCTGGGTATTAGCCCTTTGTCAGATGAGTAGGTTGCAAAAATTTTCTCCCATTCTGTAGGTTGCCTGTTCACTCTGATGGTAGTTTCTTTTGCTGTGCAGAAGCTCTTTAGTTTAATTAGATCCCATTTGTCAATTTTGGCTTTTGTTGCCATTGCTTTTGGTGTTTTAGACATGAAGTCCTTGCCCATGCCTATGTCCTGAATGGTATTGCCTAGGTTTTCTTCTAGGGTTTTTATGGTTTTAGGTCTAACATGTAAGTCTTTAATCCATCTTGAATTAATTTTTGTATAAGGTGTAAGGAAGGGATCCAGTTTCAGCTTTCTACATATGGCTAGCCAGCTTTCCCAGCACCATTTATTAAATAGGGAATCCTTTCCCCATTTCTTGTTTTTCTCAGGTTTGTCAAAGATCAGATAGTTGTAGATATGTGGCATTATTTCTGAGGGCTCTGTTCTGTTCCATTGGTCTATATCTCTGTTTTGGTACCAGTACCATGCTGTTTTGGTTACTGTAGCCTTGTAGTATAGTTTGAAGTCAGGTAGCATGATGCCTCCAGCTTTGTTCTTTTGGCTTAGGATTGACTTGGTGATGTGGGCTCTTTTTTGGTTCCATATGAACTTTAAAGTAGTTTTTTCCAATTCTGTGAAGAAAGTCATTGGTAGCTTGATAGGGATGGCATTGAATCAATAAATTACTTTGGGCAGTATGGCCGTTTTCACGATATTGATTCTTCCTACCCATGAGCATGGAATGTTCTTCCATTTCTTTGTATCCTCTTTTATTTCCTTGAGCAGTGGTTTGTAGTTCTCCTTGAAGAGGTCCTTCACATCCCTTGTAAGTTGGATTCCTAGGTATTTTATTCTCTTTGAAGCAATTGTGAATGGGAGTTCACTCATGATTTGGCTCTCTGTTTGTCTGTTATTGGTTTATAAGAATGCTTGTGATTTTTGTACATTGATTTTGTATCCTGAGACTTTGCTGAAGTTGCTTATCAGCTTAAGGAGATTTTGGGCTGAGACAATGGGGTTTTCTAAATATACAATCATGTCATCTGCAAACAGGGACAATTTGACTTCCTCTTTTCCTAATTGAATACCCTTTATTTCCTTCTCCTGCCTAATTGCCCTGGCCAGAATTTCCAACACTATGTTGAATAGGAGTGGTGAGAGAGGGCATCCCTGTCTTGTGCCACTTTTCAAAGGGAATGCTTCCAGTTTTTGCGCATTCAGTATAATATTGGCTGTGGGTTTGTCATAGATAGCTCTTACTATTTTGAGATACGTCCCATCAATACCTAATTTATTGAGAGTTTTTAGCATGAAGGGCTGTTGAATTTTGTCAAAGGCCTTTTCTGGAACTATTGAGATAATCATGTGGTTTTTGTCTTTGGTTCTGTTTATATGCTGGATTACATTTTTTGATTTGCATATGTTGAACCAGCCATGCATCCCAGGTATGAAGCCCACTTGATCATGGTGGATAGGCTTTCTGATGTGCTGCTGGATTCAGTTTCCCAGTATTTTATAGAGGATTTTTGCATCAATGTTCATCAGGGATATTGGTCTATTGGTCTAAAATTCTCTTTTTTTGTTGTGTCTCTGCCAGGCTTTGGTGTAAAGATGATGCTGGCCTCATGAAATGAGTTTGGGAGGATTCTCTCTCTTTCTGCTGATTGGAATAGTTTCAGAAGGAATGGTACGAGCCCCTCCTTCTACCTTTGGTAGAATTCAGCTGGAATCCGTCTGGTCCTGGACTTTTTTTGGTTGGTAGGATATTAATTATTGCCTCAATTTCCGAGCCTGTAATTGGTCTATTCAGGGTTTCAACTTCTTCCTGGTTTAGTCTTGGGAGGGTGTATGTGTTCAGGAATTTATCCATTTCTTCTAGATTTTCTAGTTTATTTGCATAGAGGTGTTTACAGTATTCTCTGATGGTAGTTTCTGTTTTTGTGGGATCGGTGGTGATATCCCCTTTATCATTTTTTATTGCATCTATTTGATTCTTCCCTCTTTTCTTCTTTATTAGTCTTGCTAGTGGTCTATCAATTTTGTTGATCTTCTCAAACAACCAGCTGCTGGTTTCATTGATTTTTTGAAGGGGTTTTTGTGCCTCTATCTCCTTCAGTTCTGCTCTGCTCTTAGTTATTTCTTGCCTTCTGCTAGCTTTTGAATGTGTTTGCTCTTGCTTCTCTAGATCTTTTAATTGTGATGTTAGGGTGCCAATTTTAGATGTTTCCTGCTTTCTCTTGTGGGCATTTAGTGCTATAAATTTCCCTCTACACACTGCTTTAAGTGTGTCTCAGAGATTCTGGTATGATGTTTCTTTGTTCTCATTGGTTTCAAAGAACATCTTTATTTCTGCCTTCATTTCGTTATGTACCCAGTAGTCATTCAGGAGCAGGTTGTTCAGTTTCCATGTAGTTGAGCGGTTTTGAGTGAGTTTCTGAATCCTGAGTTCTAGTTTGATTGCACTGTGGTGTGAGAGACAGTTTGTTATAATTTCTGATCTTTTACGTTTGCTGAGGAGAGCTTTACTTCCAACTATGTGGTCAATTTTGGAATAGGTGTGGTGTGGTGCTGAAAAGAATGTATATTCTGTTGATTTGGGCTGGAGAGTTCTGTAGATGTCTATTAGGTCCGCTTGGTGCAGAGCTGAGTTCAATTCCTGGGTATCCTTGTTAACTTTCTGTCTCATTGATCTGTCTAATGTTGACACTGGGGCGTTAAAGTCTCCCATTATTATTGTGTGGGAGTCTAAGTCTCTTTGTAGGTCACTCAGGACTTGCTTTATGAATCTGGGTGCTCCTGTTTTGGGTGCATATATATTTAGGATAGTTAGCTGTTCTTGTTGAATGGATCCCTTTACCATTATGTAATGGCCTTCTTTGTCTCTTTTGATCTTTGTTGGTTTAAAGTCTGTTTTATCAGAGACTAGGATTGCAACCCCTACCTTTTTTTGTTTTCCATTTGCTTTGTAGATCTTCCTCCATCCTTTTATTTTGAGCCTATGTGTGTCTCTGCACGTGAGATGGGTTTCCTGAATACAGCACACTGATGGGTCTTGACTCTTTATCCAGTTTTCCAGTCTGTGTCTTTTAATTGGAGCATTTAGTCCATTTACATTTAAAGTCAATATTGTTATGTGCGAATTTGATCCTGTCATTGTGATGTTAACTGGTTATTTTGCTCGTTAGTTGATGCAGTTTCTTCCTAGTCTCAATGGTCTTTACAATCTGGCATGATTTTGCAGTGGCTGGTACCGGTTGTTCCTTTCCATGTTTAGTGCTTCCTTCAGGAACTCTTGTAGGGCAGGCCTGGTGGTGACAAAATCTCTCAGCATTTGCTTGTCTGTAAAGGATTTTATCTCTCCTTCACTTATGAAGCTTAGTTTGACTGGATAGGAAATTCTGGGTTGAAAATTCTTTTCTTTAAGAATGTTGAATATTGGCCCCCACTCTCTTCTGGCTTGTAGAGTTTCTGCCGAGAGATCCGCTGTTAGTCTGATGGGCTTCCCTTTGTGGGTAACCCGACCTTTCTCTCTGCCTGCCCTTAACATTTTTTCCTTCATTTCAACTTTGGTGAATCTGACAATTATGTGTCTTGGAGTTGCTCTTCTCGAGGAGTATCTTTGTGGCATTCTCTGTATTTCCTGAATCTGAATGTTGGCCTGCCTTGCTAGATTGGGGAAGTTCTCTTGGATAGTATCCTGCAGAGTGTTTTCCAACTTGGTTCCATTCTCCCCATCACTTTCAGGTACACCAATCAGACGTAGATTTGGTCTTTTCACATAGTCCCATATTTCTTGGAGGCTTTGTTCATTTCTTTTTATTCTTTTTTCTCTAAACTTCCCTTCTCGCTTCATTTCATTCATTTCATCTTCCATCACTGATACCCTTTCTTCCAGTTGATCGCATCGGTTCCTGAGGCTTCTGCATTCTTCACGTAGTTCTCGAGCCTTGGCTTTCAGCTCCCTCAGCTCCTTTAAGCACTGCTCTGTATTGGTTATTCTAGTTATACATTCGTCTAAATTTTTTTCAAAGTTTTCAACTTCTTTGCCTTTGGTTTGACTTTCCTCCTGTAGCTCGGAGTAGTTTGATCATCTGAAACCTTCTTCTCTCAACTCGTCAAAGTCATTCTCCGTCCAGCTTTGTTCCGTTGCTGGTGAGGAGCTGTGTTCCTTTGGAGGAGGAGGGGCGCTCTGCTTTTTAGAGCTTCCAGTTTTTCTGCTCTGTTTTTTCCCCATCTTTGTGGTTTTATCTACTTTTGGTCTTTGATGATGGTGATGTACAGATGGGTTTTTGGTGTGGATGTCCTTTCTGTTTGTTAGTTTTCCTTCTAACAGACAGGACCCTCAGCTGCAGGTCTGTTGAAGTTTGCTAGAGGTCCACTCCAGACCCTGTTTGCCTGGGTACCAGCAGCGGTGGCTGCAGAACAGCGGATTTTCGTGAACCGCGAATGCTGCTGTCTGATCGTTCCTCTGGAAGTTTTGTCTCAGAGGAGTACCCGGCCGTGTGAGGTGTCAGTCTGCCCCTACTGGGGGGTACCTCCTAGTTAGGCTGCTCGGGGGTCAGGCGTCAGGGACCCACTAGAGGAGGCAGTCTGCCCATTCTCAGATCTCCAGCTGCGTGCTGGGAGAACCACTGCTCTCTTCAAAGCTGTCAGACAGGGACATTTAAGTCTGCAGAGGTTACTGCTGTCTTTTTGTTTGTCTGTGCCCTGCCCCCAGAGGTGGAGCCTATAGAGGCAGGCAGGCCTCCTTGAGCTGTGGTGGGCTCCACCCAGTTGGAGCTTCTGGGCTGCTTTGTTTACCTAAGCAAGCCTGGGCAATGGTGGGCTCCCCTCCCCCAGCCTCGCTGCTGCCTTGCAGTTTGATCTCAGACTGCTGTGCTAGCAATCAGGGAGACTCCGTGGGCGTAGGACCCTCTGAGCCAGGTGTGGGATATAATCTCCTAGTGTGCCGTTTTTTAAGCCCGTTGGAAAAGCGCAGTATTGGGGTGGGAGTGACCCGATTTTCCAGGTGCCGTCTGTCACCCCTTTCTTTGACTAGGAAAGGGAACTCCCTGACCCCTTGCGCTTCCCGAGTGAGGAAATGCCTCGCCCTGCTTGGGCTCGTGCACAGTGTGCTGCACCCACTGGCCTGCGCCCACTGTCTGGCACTCCCTAGTGAGATGAACCCGGTATCTCAGATGGAAATGCAGAAATCACCCATCTTCTGCGTCGCTCACACTGGGAGCTGTAGACTGGAGCTGTTCCTATTCGGCCTTCTTGGCTCCTGTCCCCGAATAATTATTGTTTTTAATTTCAGGACTCTTAATATCAGCCATCCAAGATAATGTCTGTAAAGGACTACCTGTCTTCCTTTGCAAACACAAAGTTCTGCTGTCTGATCTCATTCTTGAAACATTTGTCTCAGGAGATGTCCCTTTGTTAAACTATCCCTGGTGAATACAGATAGGCAAATCACACTGAATTCTTCTTCCTTCTAGTACACATCAGTTTTGGTACAAATGAAATCAGATTAAAATGAATATCAAGGAGAACATTAAAAGTGGGGAGAACAGAAGATTTAAAATGAAGATCAAAAACAACTGATGGTCTTTTATCCTCAGTCTTTATACTTTTTCTGGGCAAACTAATTCATGTTCACGGCTTCAATACCATTCAATATTGACAACTCCCATCTCTCAGACTAGCTGTTTCTCAGATATCTCAGATTAAACATGTTCAAAACAGAGCTCACTGTTTTGTCCCCACTCCCCCAAAATCCATCTCTTTCCGTATTTCCATCTCCCCAGCCACCAATGAAAGACACCATTTGATCTCTTCCTCTGCTACAGAGTCTATTGAGTTGATTCCTAAATTCACCTAGTCTTTTCTCTTTGTCTCCTTTCCTGTTTCTCCTGCATTAATCCAGGGTTTCATCATTCAGTTGCAATACTTTCCTCACTGGCATGCATACTTTGCCCTAATCCTACCCACCTTCATTCATTCAGAACAAAAATGTGGTGCTTGTTGGATGCCAAGAAGTGGGGCAGGCCCTGGAGATATCAGGAGCACTAAGACACAGCCCTGGCCCTCAAAGGGCTCCTCATCTAATGCAAAGGGTAGATGTACAAACAAATGACTGGAGAATCAATTGAATTATCATAATTGCAGTGATAGAAATATGCCCAGCGTATTATGGAAACATCTGGAAGGACACAGGACCCAGCTTGGGTGATATATATGTATATCTATGTGTGTGTGTTCTGATGAGCAAAGACTTTCTATAAGGTGGCTGGGCTGGGATTTACGGGAGGAGGAAGGTGTGGGTGAGGTCGTGAAGATTGAGGAGAGGAAGAGAGATCAGAGGGGAAGGACATTACAGGCTGAGGAACCATTCTATCAAAACCACAAGAGCAAGGAACAACATGATGTGTATGAGGATCTGCAAATATTTTTATATTCTGGCATGTAAAGTGCCTAGTAGAAGTGGTGAGAGATGAGACTGTGTAAGTAGGCAAAGACCAGATCACAGAGAGCCTTGCGTTAAGAAGTTTATACTTAATCTGGAGAATACAGGAGTTCCACTGAAGGATCTATGCAAGGAAGTAACACGGACACGTTATCATTTTAGGTAGATTATTCTGGTAATAATGTGGAGGACAGATTTGCAGAAACATCTGCAAATAGATGTAGAATAAAACCTGAACTAAAATAGAAGTGGGCATGGAGTTGGGAAATATACAGGCAATAAAACCAGCAGGACCTGACAATTGATTCAGTGTCTTGTTTTGAGGAAGGGAGAGGAGTGAGGGTAACATGGTTTTCTGGGTTGGGTGTGTGGAGGTGCCATCTTAGAGCTAGATAATGTGAGAAGATGTGCAGATTTGGTGGAAAAAATGATGAAGTCACTTTTGGATGAGTCTGAAATGGTTGTGGGATGTCCAGCAGGCAGCTGGAAAAAAAAACTATCTGAAAAGGAAGGGACCTGGCTTCAGATGTCCCTGCCAGCAGTCATTAGTCACCTGCATCTGGCTGTCCCCCTAAGGTGCCAAGTGGTAGCAGATGCAGCCCTGGATGGACAGGTGCAAAGTGAAAGAAATGCCAGTTCTCTGGAAAGGCTTCTGTGGGTTTAAAGCCTAGCTCCATAATTCTTGCTCTTCAGTCTACTCCTGCAAAAATGACAGATCTGTTGGCTAGTTAACAGTGAATTTCGTTGATTCTGGTACCTTGGACTCTAGGAAGACAGTAAGTTAAAAATAGAAAAGATGTCTTAAGACCTTTTTTCATATAACAGACTTATTTCTGATGCTTTTTGCCCCTGAAACTTGTTTATTAGAATTTATCCAGCCTGTCTGGAGGGTGAATAAAGTAGACCTAAAATAAAGACAATTTCTCCCTTGATTGAAGGAGGAGATTGGGCAGCACAGAGAGAGGGGAGAGAAGGTGGTGCAGAGAGCCTTCAGGCAGGCCACAGATTCTCAATTTGTTTAACCTGGTCTTCATTTGAGGCCATAATTTTTCTTCAGTCTTTTTCTCATTGTCCTGGAGTTCTGTCCTTACAATTTCATTAAACATTCAACTTTACTGGGACCTTACTATGTGCCTAGTACTGTTGAATGTGCTTGAGATGTAAAAATGACCAAGATACAGCTCTTGTTCTTAAGAAATTCAGCTTGGAATAGCAGTTCTCAATGCCAGCTGCACTCTAGAATCACCTGGAACTTTAAAAACATCCTAGTGCCTGGGCCCCACGCTAGACCTATTAAATCCAAATCCCTGGAGTAGAGTTTCAACACTAGAAGTTTTTAAAGACCTTTTTACTAAAATTCAAGTGTATATAAAGATAAAACAGTATAATGATGGCCTCTCCCCCATGTACATGTCACCCAGATGAAACAATTATCAAATCATGACCAATCTTATTTCTTTTATAACTTCCCTCCCTCACTCCAACTATTAAATTATTTTATGGAATAAAATAATTTAAAAAGTATATAATCTCATTTTTTATTTCTTTGATATATAGCTTTAGAAATTGTTTTCAAAACACAATATCTTGATCATACCTAAAACAATAAATAAAATTGCTTACATCATCAATAACCTGCCAGTTGTCAAATTTCCTCAATAGTCTTTTTTTTTTTTTTTTTTTTTGAGACCAAGTCTTGCTCTGTGGCCCAGCTGGAGTGCAGTGGTGTGATCTCTGCTCATTGCAACCTCTGCCTCCTGGGTTCAAGTGATTTTCCTGCCTCAGCCTCCTGAGTAGCTGGGATTACAGGGGTGTGCCATCACACCTGGCTAATTTTTGTATTTTTAGTAGAGATGGAGTTTCACCATGTTGGCCAGGCTGGTCTCCAACTCCTGACCTCAAATGATCCGCCTGCCTCAGCCTCCCAAAGTGTTGGGATTACAGGTGCGAGCCACCGCACCCAGACTTCAATTATCTTATGAAAAGTTTTTGCTGCCGTTTTATTTGAATTAGGTCTAAGTAGTATCCATACACTGCATTTCGTTAACACGCCTCTTACATTTCTTTTAATCTAGAGATTCCTCCTTACTCATTTTTCTCTTCTTCACAAGTTTTTTTTTTTTTTTTTTTTTTTTTTTTTTTTTTTAAAGAAAACCGGTCATCCAGGCTTTCTTTAATGATGAGAAGAAATGGAAGTATTTGCCTGTTCACATTCTTGAATGCTATAGGGTTCTCCAAGTTGTAGATTAGAAAATGCTTTAATTTGAACTCTGAAACATTTCCAGGCAAAAGCAGCATTACATGGTCTTTGTATGCCTTGAATCTTGGCATTGTCTTGGATGTGCGATGAATGTATGTATGCTCCAGCATACAAACATTCTGTTTCTGAAACAAACTTCAGAAAAAGTTTGTTTCATTGGCATTAAACATTTGTTCTGGTAAATATTTCTCATCCACAATTATCCTATGCAGCTCTTTTTTTCTTTTCTTTTCTTTTTTAAAGCTTTAAGACATTCAATATGGCATTTGCTGCCTCACTGCTGATCTTCACATTATGAAAATTATGAGCCATTTGAAGCACTGGAACAGCCCATGACTTGCTATAAATATTTGCATATAGGTGGGATCATCAGAATGTTTTTTAGTGTATAAAAAAGAGTAGAGGCCGGGTGCGGTGGCTCACCCCTGTAATCCCAGCACTTTGGGAAGCTGAGGCGGGTGGATCACGAGGTCAGGAGATCGAGACCATCCTGGCTAAAATGGTGAAATCCCATGTCTGCTAAAAATACAAAAATTAGCTGGGCATGGTGGTGGGCACCTGTAATCCTAGCTACTCGGGAGGCTGAGGCAGGAGAATGGCTTGAACCTGGGAGGCAGAGGTTGCAGTGAGCTGAGATCGCGCCACTTCACTCCAGCCTGGTGACAGAGCAAGACTCTGTCTCAAAAAAAAATAAATAAATAAAAAAATTCTTGCCTTAGCCTGGATTGTCTGCGGTTTAAGTGGTACTTAAACTATATCTGATACTTCTGTATCTGGTCTTCCATCCATGTGACAAGTATTTTTTCATATCATCAGTTGGCGCAGCTCTTTTCTTCCTAACAACAGTGAATTTAACCAATATGGATGATTTCACTGCATCACTGATTCACTTCTTATCCTTTGAGATGGTTGAGATTGTGGATGTGAAAGTCCTAATTCAAATGCAGTGGCTATTACTGGCTTGTCACGTTCATGCTGGGCAATTACTCTTGAGTTTTATCTTGAGAAACTCAGAAGTAATTTGCCTTCCTCTTCTTATCAGAAGCAGGAGAACACGGATGGGCATTTTGTAGACATGGTAAGATGTGGAAACACAAGACTCAATATTCAAAAAATGCTGGCAACACAGTAGTACACTGTAGAGTATCGGCTGTTTACCCCTGTGACCATGTGGTTGGCTGGGAGCTGTGGCTCACTGCCGCCACCCAGCATTGCGAGTGAGAATTGTACTACATATTGCTCGCAGGAAAAAGATCAAAATTCAAAATTCAAAGACAGTTCCTACTGAATGCGTATAGCATTTGCACCATTGTAAAGCTGAGAACCAAGTCGGGGACTGTCTGCATTTTCTCCTCTAAAAAACTTCATATTTCTTAACTGTTCACAGAAAAGGCTTATACAAAATAATCAATTTGGGAGCAATGGCACCTTTAAGCCCAGACTGTAGTCTCTAAACATTGCTTCTCACCAAAAAAATCCCCAAGCTCCTTGGAGAAATGAACAGTCCAAGTCTGGAGCAGGAAAGGAGATAAGCCTAGAATTTCTCTGTCTTTCTCGTATGAACTGTACCTCAAGATATACAAGGAGTGGATGAAGAAAAGTTCTTTATAGAAAAATTCTAACTAATAAATGAAAAAGGAATAAAATAATTCGATTATAGCCATTTTGTAACTTTTAATGAGATAATGGATCTAAGTAAAATATGTTTAGCTTCATTTGTTTCATCTTACCTATTTTACAATTTTATTCTAAAAGTAGTAAAAATTTTGGGATCTGCCTTATCTCAGTCTTTAGGATGTTCTTTGCCTGCCTCTAACATTCCTGTATCTTGAGTAGCAAGTGGTCAGGCTGAAGTGAAAATTCTTTAGTCATCACAAGGAGGTTGTACTGTTATCATGGGTGCCGGTTCAGCCTTCTCGTCAATGAAGCTACCCCTTCCTGGGAAACTCCTGCCAGGTCATTAATAACAACAAAGGAATTCTATTCCAGGAGGCCTTACTCCCTGGGTCTCTTGCTGCTGAAGACTTTATGGGATTTCCATGAGCAATTAGTGATTAACTATCCCAACAGCTGGCCATGTTGCTCCAAGAGGATTTGTCCTGCTACCTAGTTGGACTTTGATCTCTGATCTGTTGATTACTACTTTAATCCATTTTGTGCTGCTCTATTAGGATACTGAGACTGGATAACTTATAAAGAACAGAGGTTTATTTCCTTCTTATAGTTGTGGAGGCTGGAATGTCCAAGATAGAGAAGACTGCAATTGGCCAGGGCCTTCTTGTTGTGTCATCCTATGGTGGAAGGCAGAAAGGTGAGAGGGAGAGAAGGAAGAGGGGAAGGGGAGCTGAATTTATTCTTTTATTAGGAACCCTCTCCCACAATAACAATAGTCCGTTCATGAGGGTAGAGCCCTCATGACCCTAATAACCTCTTAAAGCTCCCACCTCTCAACACTGTTGCATTGGGGATTAAGTTTCCAAAACACAAACTTTGCAGGGGACACATTCAAACTGTGGCGATTTCCTTCCAGAAACGTATGGTGGCTGCTTGGCCAGATGCCCAGCTCACTGCACTAGTTGAGTGCAAAAATGGATAAATTGGCTACGTAGAGTTATGTCAGGCTTACTAGCACAAGATCCATGAGAAAACATTCATGGACACAGGGTTGGTGTCCCATTGTCCATCCTAGACAGAACTAAACACAAGACATCCTCATCCTTGTGTTGTGAGGCATTTAAGATGAAGTATTGGCCCATCCCCCATGATCACACCTGGGTGCCACAGCAATGTGGGGTGGTATCACCTGGTCTCTGGTCCTATCCTGTCAGATCAGTTTCCAGGTTGGGAGAATCACCACCCCCTCTCATAGTGCAATCAGAGGGCTGGCGTCCAAGCCTAACAATTTCAGCTCTTTTATTAGGTAGCATATGAGTGGCAAGATTTTCCATGTGCATTTTCAGGACTGAAGGACTTCCAGCCCCAGCACTAGCATCATGGGGGTGAGGGAGATTCTGGAATCTAAGTCAACCAGAATTGATTGTCTTAAGCACAGGGTCACAGTGGTTTCCAGGGAGCTTCACAAGAGGCCCTTTCCTTTTCTGGGAGACTAGCCTGCACAGGGTTTGTCTTGGGCAAATTAATTCTTTCCTCTCTGGATACTTGGGTTGTTTCTGGGCATTTACTGTTGGAAATAGCACAGCAATAAATAGCCTTGTGCTCACTTCCCTTGGGAAATGTACCATCGTATCTCTGATATTGAGTTCTGGAAGTGGGATTGCTAGGTCAAAAGTCTTGTGCAAATTTTCTAGATATTGCCCAATCCCCTGAGTTGGGGTTGTGCTATTTCATCTGAATTTTAAAAAGTTCTCTATGTAAATCCAACATGCAGCCAATATTGAGAAACACTTTTCTAGAATAGGTTTTCAAACATTTCTTATATCACTTGAAAACTACTTGGGCTGTTTGGTTTCTTGGTAAATCTCTGATTAGGTCTTCAGTTAAAACGATTCCCTCTAAGGCATGAGCACTGACATTATAGGCCCTTAAACCCTGTCTGAATTTAACAGTAATGCCCTCCATTCATATAGCAGTTTCACCAATGCCATCTCCTTTCATCTTCACAGAATTTCAATGACATAAAGAAAACTGATCTTATTCTCTCCATGTTATGGTTTTGGTGCATAGAGGGGAGCCAATGAACTATACTGCAGAGCTTATTATTCTGGGATGCTTGGACAGGGTTTGGACGGGGACCTCTGAGCCCCGTGGAATTATGTACAGTAGGCTTGTGAGTATATTGTGGTGGTAGTGGTAACGGGTGGAGGATTTATTCATAGTTTTCATCAGGTTCTCACAGGGGGCTATTGTTCAAAACAGGATAAGTGGAAAGAACAAGTGATTTGGAATCAGAACAAAAATTATCCACATATTTTCTGGCTATGTGATTTGTTGTGAGGGCGACTTGGCAGGGACACATGTTGCCTGGGCTGCTCAGCCAAGTTGATGAAGCTGACTTGGCTTTCACTGGTCTAGGACTTCTACTCCTTGCAAGGGTTGGGGACAGGTAACCTAAGACCAGGCTGACAAACTCCTGCTCAAGGTCAAAAACAACACAGGCCCTCACTTTGTTGTCTTTTGTAGTGTTGACACATTTCGAATTTAAATAATTTTAGTGGGATGCACTCTGTAGTTCTCTGGAGGCTCCACTATTCCCTATTGTCTCATGAACCATGATTCACAATTATTATTAGGCCAATTTCCCCTGTGATTCCTTCTTCCTGGAGAACTCTTCTCTCAGATCTTCTTATAGTTAACATCCATCTCATCATTCAGGTCTCAACTCAAATGTCACCTCTTCTGAGAAGCTCTCCTTGCTCACCCTAGATAAGTGCCACCCAAAAACCATATCATATGAATCACAAATGTGAGCCACTATGAAGGTTTAAATTTTCTGGTAGCCACATTAAGAAAAGGCAAAAGGAAACATGAAAAATTGATTTTATTTATCCATTTTATTTAATCCATTATGTCTAAAATGTTATTTCAACACGTAATCAATAAAAAAGTTATAATTGGGATATCTTACATTCTTGTTTTTGTATACTAAATCTTGAAAAATCTTCAAAATCCAACACGGTTTTTTTTTTGTTTGTTTGTTTTGTTTTGTTTTTTTGAGATGGAGTTTCACTGTATCACTCAGGCTTGGGTGCAGTGGTGCAATCTCAGCTCACTGCAACCTCCACCTCCTGAGTTCAAGTAATTCTCCTGTCTCAGCCTCCTGAGTAGCTGGGAATACAGGTGCATGCCAACACACCTGGATAATTTTTGTATTTTTAGTAGAGACAGGGTTTCACCATATTTGTCGGGCTGGTCTTGAACTCCTGACCTTAGGTGATCCACCCGCCTTGACCTCCCAAAGTGCTGGGATTACAGGCCACCACGCCTGGCCTCCAACGTGTATTTTATGCTTAACAACACATCTTCTCTTGGACCGGCCACATTTCAAATGCTCCATAGACAGATGTAGGTGAATGGCTACCATGCTGGACAACCCTCAAGCAAGGCAGCCCCCTTCTCTACTCAGAAGGCCTGTTTGATTGCTTTCAGAGCACTTATCACAATCTAAAGTTATCTTATCTATTTCTTCCTTATGCACTTACTGTTTGTCTTCCTTTCTGGAATGTAAACTCCACGAGTGCAAAGAGATTTTATTCCATTCACTGTTGTGTCCCTAGCCATCAATAAATACCTTTTAGATGGATGAATGAATGAATGCTTAATTGTTGAATAGATAAATGAGTGAATCAACGATTGAAAATGGATGAAATGGACTGATCTCTATAGGTATTTGAATATGTGACCCCTGCCTTAAGCAAACCACTGGACTTTTTGGAGCCTTTACAAAATGGGAGCAATTCCATCAACTTCATAGGGTCACAAGATTTAAACAGTGATGTGTATACAATTGTTTCATAAACTGTAAAGTCCTCTGTAAATGGCAGTTATTATTACTAAATTACTTGCCCAAAATATGTAGTTTGTAAGTAGTGTAAGAGAGGGATTTTGGAATCACATGGGCCTGGCTCTGCCATTAGCCAGTTGCATGACTTGAACACATTGTTTACCCTCTGTGACCGACTAATGCAGAATCTCCTGGAAGGTGGCCTGGCAAGCTGGATTTTTAACAAACATCCCAAGTAATTCTTATTATCAAGAAAGTTTTGGAAACATGGGATATGAAATTACTGCTCTACCAGGGCTGTCTGTGATCGCAGTTAAGATGTGGTTATCCTGTCAAGGTTAACTCCTCTTCAACTGAATGTACAGCTTCAGAAAGATGATGAGTGGTGATGAGAAAGATGATAGCACCTCATCAGCCAGATGGGCAGTATCAATTCTGGTGATCAATGGAATGACAGATGCTGCTGTCAAATCACACTCCTTCCCTCACCTGAAGGCTGATGTCAGCTTTAGCATCAATAAACTGGGTTGCCATGTGTTTTTCTGGTCAGAAATGAAAATCAAGACAAAGGACCTTAGGAAGAGAGGAACAGAATAACTCGGTCATCTAAAAGAGGGATCCTACCCCAGCGGCTACTGAGAAGGCACTGACTGGCTACCTATTGACAGGCCCCCAGGCAGAAAGTCGGGGACCCCAGTGAGGGTCAAGCACATTGTACCAGCCCTTTTGAACTCCTGGCCTCAAGCAATCCTCCCACCTCAGCCTCCCAAGTAGTTGGGATTACAGGTATGAGCCACCATGTCCGGTGGAATTAGATACTCTTACGCTTTGCTAATATGAGTGTAAACTAGTCCTTATCCTTCAATGGGATGGGAAGGTATGCAATATGGTGATAGACATAGAAATTACAGATATATGTGTCCTTGAATCTAGTAATTCCATTTCTATTATACAGTATGTTAACATATAGGAAAATACCCTGAATGCATACATACACAGGAATATTACTCAACTTTGAAAAGGAATGAAATTTTGATACATAGTACAACATGGATAAATTTTGACTGAGTGAAATAAGCTATAAATGGTTTATAAATAAGTGACTAAGTGTAATAAGCCAACACAAACAAAAATATTGTATTCTCTCACTTATATGAAGTATCTAGAGTAGTTAAATTCATAGAGGCAGAAAGTAGGATTCTCACTGCGAGGAGCTGTAGGGAGGAAAAATGGGGAGGTATTGTATAATTGGCATACACTTTCATCTTGGGGTGAAAAAGAGTCTGAAGATGGATGGGGTGGTGGTTGCATGACAATGTGAATGTACTTAACCACTGAATGCACACTTAAACATGATTAAAATGCACATTTTATTATATATATATTTTACCACGATAAAAGCAATCACATGTGCAAGTTTATTCATTACAGTGCTATTCATAATGACGAGATTGGAAACAACCTCAATATCCATCAGCAGAGGACTGGTTACATGTCAATCATAGTATGTCCATACAATACAATTCTATGCAGCTGGGAGAAAAGGGAAATTTTTTATACATTGACATGTATGTTGGATATTGTTGTTTTTCCCTCCAAATTCACTGTTTGCCATCTCTGCCTTATTTTGTTTGCTAGAAGGCTACCCACTAACGAATGAATCAACTGGGCTCCATTTTCCTCTGCCTTCCATTGGTAAGGCAGGGAGTTCCCTGGCTCTTTCTCGCCTAAGCCTCAGACTGGTGCTGGCTTTGTTTCTTTCCCAAAGGCCACAGCTCCTATTGGGCAGGGTTCTGGCAATATCTGCAACCCTACCTCACCTCTTCAAGTCTGGGCTCAATGGTGACATGCAATCACTGAGGTTGATATACTGGAATGTCCTTGGAATACTGTATAGGTAGCAGACCAAAGCCTTAGGAAGAGAGAAATGCTGAGATAGACTGCATGCAAGCTGCTAAGCCACCTGATACCAGTACATCAGGGAGGTCTGGAGGTCTTTCATCCTAAGACATTAGGAAATACATTAGTGAAAGGAAAAGAGCACCAGCATCCTTGAAAAGTTCTGTGACTGTTTTCTCTGGGCTGGAATGAAGGTAGGAGACTCTGCAGTGGAGTTAGTTTCCTGATTTGATTTCAGTGGCAATAATAGAATCCTGGAGTGGTGGAAGCCAGGCGGCAGCAAGACAAGGAGAGTGCATTTCTCTAATAAGCCACAAGGACTCCTGAGTAGAAATAAGAAGTTTTGACCTGCAGGAATCTGTGAAGGTGGCCTATTGATCATGGGGTCCTTAGAAATAAGAAATAGGCAGATTTTTAAGGTACTGCTTGATCTGATAAGTAGGAAAAACTCTAGGAAAGGTAGGCAAAAATCTGACCTGGTCTCTTGTGCATTTCCCAGATCTAAGACAGTACATTGGCTTGGGAGCCCCTTGATTGAGGAGGAGGAAGGGCCTATTGAGGAAGGACTCTGCAATGGGACAACAAACCTTCCGTAGAGGAACTTAAAATCCTTTACCAGGGTGACTATACAATGGAAAAAGTTTATACCCATACTCTCCTGGAATTACTAGATATTGGCTCTAAAGTTACGTTAGCTGTGTGCAGTACCTCATGCATGTAATCCCAGGACTTTGGTAGGCCGAGGCTAGAGGACTACCTGAGCACAGGAGTTTGAGGTTACAGTGAGCTATGCTCATGCCACTGCACTCCAGCTGGGACAACAGAGTGAAATCCTCTCACAAATAAATAAAAAATTTAAAAAAAATGATGTTAAGGTCTAGAGACCCAAATACTGTTATTGTCCACCTGCAAATAAAGGATGTATGGAAGTTGGGTGATAGATGAAGTCTTGTTTTAAGTCCATCATAGAGCGGGTCTAGTAAGATCCCTGTGCTAGTTTCTCTTGTCTCAGATTGTAGAGTGGTAACAGGTATACTCAGTAAATCAATGAACCCCTATAACGGCTCCCTGACCCATGGAGGGATGCTATTATGTTGGATGGGTTAAATACAAGCTCCTGGAACTGCCCCCATCCTGACCTCCAAGCCAAGATAGGAAACCAAAATCAACACCATACTCCTGGGGGAATTACAAAGATCAATGACTCAATCAAAGACAAAAAAATATGTAGTGGGTGATTTCTATCATGTCCTCCTTTAACTCATCTGTTTGGATAACGTGACAGCCACAAGATTTGGAGAATGACTGTAGATTATTTCAAATCTATTCAGGAGGTAATGCCATCTCAGCTGACAGTCTGGATGTAGCAAATTTACTGGCTCCAGTTAGCATTGCCTCTCCTCACCCATGACCAGTATTCTGTTATTTATTTATGACTGGATTCCAGGTCTGGTTGCTACATGTTGGATTGCTCCAGATCTTGTTGCTCCACATTGGAAGGTTCTCAGTCGTGTTCACCAAGCATCAGTAGGAATAGTAGAGGTAAGTAGGTGCTGAGGCCTTCTGAGTCACACCATTGCTACCCTTTGGCTGGTTGTTTTCCTGACACCTCTTAGATTTCATTCTCTGGTTCTGGAACCAGGTCTTAACCTGTTTGTAGCTAAGGCTCAGGATATTGGAAAGTTCTTGCATCTGCTGGAGGCTGAGATATTTCTGTTATTATTGGGAAAGAGGAGGAAAACTGGACTATTAAAGACTGACTCCCTGAGCGTGTTATGGAGCACAGCACTTGCCCTCAGCCTTGGACTGCCAGCTCCAGACATTTACAGAGAGAAATAGCCTGTAATCGCAGCACTTTAGGAGGCCAAAGTGGGCAGATCACTTGAGCTCAGGAGTTCAAGACCAGCCTGGGCAATATGGCGAGACCCCGTCTCTACAAAAAAAATACAAAAATTAGCCATGTATGGTGGCACTTGCCTGTAGTCCCAGCTACTCAGAAAGATGAGCTGGACTATTAAAGAGCTGGACTATTAAAAAAAAGTCTAAGGCTTTAGGACTTTTTTTCTGGAAGATCTGAGAGAAATATGACCTCCTGAAGTAAAAGTATCAAGAAGTTGGGATGAAGTGAGTTGCCTCTGTAATGGGAGGCAATCAGTTCAGTCCAGCTGGTATTCCTTATGAACAGTTAACAGAGGAAAAAAAGCTGCACGCCTGGTTATATATGGGCCTTTTTGGTGTGCAGGCACCAGCAGATGCAGATGGCTGTTGCATTTCAGCCTCACTTACAGATGGCCAAGAAAGTGTAGTGAAGGGATATTTTCCCAAAGGACAAAACTTCAGGTGGCACATTTAGTTGTCCACTTTGCATGGAAAAAGAAATGGCCTGATGTATGGATCAGTGCTAATTTTTGGGTAATGGCTAATGTACTGGCCCACTTTTCAGAGAAAGAATGAGACTGGAAGACTAGGAGCAAAGAAACCTGGGGGAGAGGTATGTAGATTGAATGGGCACAGAGTGTGTTTTTTGATCCCTGTGAGTGCTCACCAAAGGTCAAGCACTGCAGAGGAGTTTCCCAGTAATCAGATGGACAAGACAATCCCCATCATGCATGTCAGTTAGCTTCTCTTTCCAGTTATTCTGGTGCTTGCCCAGTGGGAAAGGGTGCCATGCGACCATGGCAACGGGGATGGAGGCCGTGGACGTCCCCTCACTCAGGTGATCTGGCCACCACAGCTTGAGTGCTTAACCTACCAATAGCAGAGGCCAAAGGTGATCTTGTAATGTTGCATTATTCCCTGGAGGGATCACCCAGGCCCCTACGTCAGGTTGATTACATCAGAATCCTCTTATCATGGAGGTGGCATCAACTGGTTCTTAATGAATACACACATATTCAGATTATGGATTTACTTTCTGTTCTTATGACGCTTCTTCCAGCATTTGTTGACTTAAAGGTTTATCTTTTATTGTGGTGTCCCACTCAGCATTTGCCTTGACCAGAGGCACATTTCATGGCCAAGATGTGCAACAATGGGCTTACGCTCTCAGAACATGTTGGTCTAACTGCATGTCTCATCCCTCAGAAGTAGCTAGCTTGAAAGAATGATGGAAAGACCTACTAAAATTTGAGGTGCTGTTCTAGAGGATGCAGTACATACACGCCTTAATTCTACAGTGGTGACTGCCTTATAGTCAGGATCCAAGGGTTCGAGAACAAAAAGGTAAGGTAGGAAGGGCCCCTTTCATTATTATTCCTTTCAATACACTTCCAGAACTTCTCCCTTTAATCTTCATAACCATGGATTTGGTGGGTTTGGGGGTCCAAGTGCCCAAGGAAGGAATGCTTTTCCATGCTTAACAGTCAGGCAGTCCTGTTAAATGGAAAATTGAGCCCCGCTGTTTGGCCGTTTTTGGCTCTTGTGCTACTTAACCTAGAGGGAGCTAAAGGGGTGACTCTTACGGACGCATGATAGAAACCAATTAATAATGAGAAAATGAGTTGTTACCTTACCAGGTAAGGTGTTTGAAACCCAGGGGATTCACTATAGCAATCAGTAAACGCCCCAAAGACTGAGGTATGACAGGAAGGGGGTTTGGGTCACCCTATCAGGTAAAGAACCCCATCCAGCTAAGGTTTTAGCAGAGGATAAGGGGAACGTGGAATGGGTAGTGGAAGAAAAAAGTCATGATTCTCAAATTAGAATTTGTAACTGGTTAGAGAATTAAGGAATGTAGCAGCTGTTTTGTGTTAATTGTCTCCCCTACCCCCTTCTCTGTTAATTTTTTTTGCAATGTTTTAATAAAATATAATTTATATAACATACAGTTCACCATTTGAAAGTACATAATTTAATGTTTTTTTCTATATTCATAGCACCACCATCTAATTCCTGCACATTTCCATCATCTCAAGAAGAAACCTCTGTCAGCAGTTATTCTCTATCACCTCTTCCCCCATCTATTGGCTAATGGATTAATCACTAATCTACTTTTTGTCTGTATGGATTTGCCTATTCTGGACATTTCATATAAATGGAATCATACAATATGTGGCCTTTTGTGTCTGCTGTACTTTAGAACAATGTTTTCAAGGTTTATCCGTATTGTAGCATGTATTAGTACTTCATGCCTTCTTATGGCTAATATTCCCTTGTATGAATATACCATATCTCGTTTATCAATTTACCAACTGATAAACATTAGGGTTGCTTCTACTTTTTCCTATTATAAATAATGCTGCTATAAACATTCATGTACAAGTTAGACTTGTCCTACAAAAACTTGTACAAAACTTTGTACAAAAACCTGTACAAAACCATGTACAAAAACTTGTAGAAAAACTTCTTGTACATGTACAAGTTTCTGTTGACATATGTTTTCTTTTCTTTTGATTATATACCTAGAAGTAAAATTTCTGGGTCATGTATTAAGTAGTAATATGTTTAGCGTTTTGAGGAACTCCCAAACAGTTTTCCACAGTTCTACACCACTTTACATTCCCACCAACAATATACGAGGGTTCCATTTTCTCCACATACTTGTCATCAAAAATTATTATTATTTTTATTATAGCCATCCCAGTGGGTATGAAGTGACTTCTCATTGTGGTTTTGATTTGCATTTTCCTAACGACTAATGATGTGGAACATCTTTTCATGAGTCTTTTGGCCATTTGTATGTCTTCTTTGAAGAATTCCTGTCAAATCCTTTGCCCACTTTTTAATTGGGTTGTCTTTTTTTTTTTTTTTTTTTTTTTGAGACAGAGTCTCGCTCTGTCACCCAGGCTGGAGTGCAATGGCATGATCTCGGCTTACTGCAACCTCTGCCTCTTGAGTTCAAGTGATTCTCCTGTCTCAGATTCTTGAATAGCTGGGATTACAGGCACCCACCACCACATCCTACTATTTTTAGTAGAGATGGGGTTTCACCATGTTGGCCAGGCTGGTCTCAAACTCCTGACCTCAGGTGATCTGCGTGCCTTAGCCTCCCAAAGTGCTAGGATTACAGGCATAAGCCACCATGCCTGGTGGGTTGTCTTTTAAATATTGCATTGTAAGAGGTTTTTTTGTCATGAATTTTGGATACACTAGACCCTTAGCAGAGACATGATTTGCAAATATTTGTCTTCTATTCTGTTGGTTGTTTTTTCACTTTCTTGATGGTGTCCTTTGATACTCAGAAGTTTTAAATTTTGATAAATTCCAGCCAATTTGTCTATTTCTTCTTTGGTTGCTTGTACTTTTAGTATCATATCTAAGAAACCATTGCTTAATCCAAAGTCATAAAGATTTACACTTAAGTTTTTTTTAAGAGTTTTATAGTTTTTGCTTTTGATTTAGGTCTTTGATCTATTTTGAGTTAATTCTTGCATATGCTGTGAGATAGGGGTACAAATTCATTCTTTTAATGTGGATATCCAGTAGTCCCAGCACTATATGTTCAAAAGATAATTCTTCTTTCCCTATTCAATGGTCTTGGGACCCTTGCTGAGAGTCAGTTAAATATAAATGTATGAGTTTATTTCTGGACTCTCAATTCAATTCCATTGATGTCTATCCTTATGCCAGTACCACAATGTCTTGATTACTGTTGCTTTGCAGTAAGTTTTAAATTTGGGAAACGTGAGTTCTCCAACTTTGTTTTACTTTCTAAGAATTACTATTACTATTTGGCTACTTCTGTTTTTTTTTTATTTCTACATGAATTTTAGGATCAGCTTGTCCAGTTTTGCAAAAAAGGCAGTTGGAATTTTGATAGAAATTGCATTGAATTTGTAGATGTTCCTGCTCTTTTAAACAAAAAGCAATGTAGTGGCTAAAGTTTAATGGTTTTGGAATATGCCTGAATGACATTACCCTACAGTGATATGTAGCTGATGGGATTTTGTATGTTCCCTGTGTTGGGGATACAAATTTCTCATCTAAATAAAGGATAAAAGCAGATGTTAAGAAGTAAGCAGGTGGACAGTCCTGGGTATTTTCTACTTTTCACTCTATATGCAGGCTGCACCTTTCTCCATCCTGCTCTGGGCCCCAGGAGGCTGACCTTTGTGGACCGCATCAACCAAGCCCCCTTGCTCTCCAGCTTTTGGTTGGATTCAGCCAATAGGAGGCACCAGGAAGAGACTGGAAAGTAGGAAGAAAGAGAGGTTAAGACATTGCACAAGCTCCCTCTCTGCTGAGGTGAAGTTTGGCAGTGGCTGTGTTTTTCTCTCAGTAGCACCATTCCTATTGGATCACCCTGTCCTGAAGCAAAAGATCTCTCTGGGTTCTGGTAAACAGTCCATCGACTTAAAATTTCAGGTGTAAGGGTGCTGGTGGCTTCCTATGGCTAGCCCTGGGGTGCATCATCATCCTTTATCGGTTTCTCCTAACCTTGCCAAAATCTTCATAAATAGTCTGTTATTAAACTCCCTTTAATCAGCTGTTTCTAGTGTGCCATCTGCTTCCTATCATCCCTGATAGTCAAAATGGAAAGATCTGTAAGATATCTTAAGTCAAAGAGGCAATATGCAGAGCAGTGTAATATGAAATCTGTAATACTCTATTATTTGTAAGAGAAGGAGTAAGGAGAATATATCTTATTTTCTTAAATATTGTGTTAGGTAGGAATTAGGCTTAGCATTAAATGATAATATCCAAAAAGAACAGTGGCTTTTAAAAGATCTTTCTTTCTTTTCTCCCTTCCTTCCTTCCTTCCTCTCTTTCTCTCTCTTTCTTTCTTTCTTTCTTTTCTCCCTTCCTTCCTTCCTTCCTCTCTTTCTCTCTCTCTCTCTTTCTTTCTTTCTTTCTTCTCCTTCCTTCCTTCCTTCATTTCTTTCTTTCTTTTTTTCTTCTCAGGATCTTGCTCTGTTGCCCAGGCTGGAGTACAGTGGTGTGATCTTGGCTCACTGCAACTTCTGCCTCCTGGGCTCCAGTGATCCTCTCACCTCATCTTTCTGAGTAGCTGGGACTACAGGCAAGTGCCACCATACATGGCTAATTTTTGTATTTTTTTTGTAGAGACGGGGTCTCGCCATATTGCCCAGGCTGGTCTTGAACTCCTGAGCTCAAGTGATCTGCCCACTTTGGCCTCCTAAAGTGCTGCGATTACAGGCTATTTCTCTCTGTAAATGTCTGGAGCTGGCAGTCCAAGGCTGAGGGCAAGTGCTGTGCTCCATAACACGCTCAGGGAGTCAGTTTCTTTCTAGTTCACCAGCCCTCCTTCCTTAGGGCAGGTTCTTGTCCTCCAATGTAATGTTACATCCACTCTTCAGGAAGCAGGATGGAATGGAGAAGAAGGGGCAAAGGGCATGTCCCAAGGAAGGTTCCTGGAAGTTGCCTCATAGCCTGTTTGTCTGTATCCCATCTGGTCACATCTAACTATAAGGGAGCCTGGGGAACATATTTTTAATTCCTGGCAGCCAGGTGTCCAGCTAAAAATTCTAACACTATTTAAGAAGAGAAGAATGAAAATGGGAAGTAATTAACAGTCTTTGTCACATATGTGCATTTAAAAGTAACTTGAGAAGAATATCAGGAAACTGTTCTCAGTGGTTATCTGGTGAGGGGGGGAGGAGGTGGCAGGTGAGAACAAGACAGATGAGGAAGAATAGTTGCAGAGAGAGTCTTCACTATATCTCTTGCAACATATTTTGACTATGAACCATGGATAGGTATTACCTATTTCTAAACTTAGATTAATTTAAAATTCTTTCCTAAAGATAAGTAAATAAGATAAGAGAAAATAAAGAAAAAAATATTCCAGCCAGTCTAAACTTTGGTAAGAATAAAAGAGCCATGGAGTTCAGTGAGCTAATGGCCCCCAACTCTAGGGCCGTTAATGACCTAATCAGAGGAAGAAGGTATAACCAGGGTATATTAGTTTTCTATTGCTGTGTAACAAATACCACAACCTTAGCAGCTCAAAATAACACAAATTTATTATCTCACAGTTTTTGTGTTGGGAGTCTGGTTTTAACTGGGTCCTCTACTCAAGGTCTCATAAGGCTTAAATTAAGATGTTGTATAGCTGTGCCATCATCAGGAGGTTCAACTAGGGAAAGAGCCACTTCCAAACTCACTTAAATTGTTGGCAGAATACATTTCCTTGTTGTTGTCAGCTGTAGTCTGGGGACACTCCCAACTGCTAGAGGCTGCCCTCAGGTCCTAGCCACACGGTCCCTCCATTTCAGCAACACGCCTTTGTCAAATTTTGCTCATACTTTAAATCTCTGTTTTTCCTTCTGTGACCAGCCAAAGAAAACTCACTGCTCTTAAGTGGCTAATATGATTAAGATAGGTACACATACATAGTCTTCCTTTCTTAAAGTTAACTGCGCCCATAAAGATCAATGGAATAGAATAGACAGCTCAGAAACAAACCCTCACATATGCAGCCAAATGATCTTCAACAGGGGTGCCAAGATCACTCAGTGGGAGAAAGGACAGTCTCTTCAACAAATGGTTCAAAGAAGTTGAACTCCTGACCTCAGGTGATCCGCCCGCCTCATCCTCCCAAAGAGCTGGGATGAGAGGTGTGAGCCGCCGTGCCAGGCCCAGCCCCACATTATTTACATTCAAATTTCCCACGGACATTGTTTAATCATTAAGATCTGGGACAAAGTTAAAAATGCTAGCAACAGCGATTTCAAGTCCTTACCTCTCCCAATTTCCTATGTGTGTTCAAATGATTAACTCTTTAAGATATATTTTGGCCTGGCGCAGTGGCTCATGCCTGTAATTCCAGCACTTTGGGAGGCCAAGGAGGGCGGATCATGAGGTCAAGAGATAGAGACCATCCTGGCCAACAGAGTGAAACTCCGTCTCTACTAAAAATACAAAAAATTAGCCGGCGTGGTGGTGGGCGCCTGTAGTCCCAGCTACTCAGGAGGCTGAGGCAGGAGAATCACTTGAACCCAGGAGGCGAAGGTTGCAGTGAGCCAAGATTGCGCCACTGCACTCCAGCCTGGTGACAGAAACCCACATAAAAGGAAGGAGGCTGGAATTAAATTTTAAATTAAATTAAATTTTCTTTTACTATAAAAATGTTAATGTGCAGAAAAGTAGAGAAAGTCATGTACTGAACCACCAAGTATACATTACCCAGTAGTTCCAGCATTTATTGAGTGCCTGTGCAAATCATTGTACAAAATATTTGTGAAACACTGTTTTCACTTTATTCTCTCAACAACCTTTTAAAATAAATGTCATCTTACTTAACGATAAGATAAATATTATACCTTATGTATGCAGAACATTGAGACTCAAGTTGGGTAAAAAATTGCTCGAGGTTACGCAACTCATAATTTGTAGAGCTAGAATTTAATTTTATTTATTTGTTTTCTCTCTTTTTTTCTATCCCATTATTACTCATTTTCCTCCCTAGTCCATTATGCTATTATTGCCCAATTACATCTTTATATGTTATAAATCCATCAATAGTTTTATAAGTATTACTTTATGCAGTTGTCTTAAATCAGAAAAATTACAAGCAAACACACATTTATGCTTTTATAAGTCACCTGTGTAGTTACCCTTATTGCTGCTTTTTATTTCTTTGTGAGGATTCGAGTTACTGTTTAGCATCCTTTCATCTCACTTGTAGGGCAGTTCTGCCAGCACAGAGCTAGGATTAGAACCAAGGTCTTCTAACTCCAAGTTAAAGGCTATTTCTACCACATCTCAGGGGCATGAGAGCCTGTGAGTTCCAGGACTATCTTTCCATGAGGAGCTCAATTTCATCATTCTGGATATTGGTCCCGCCAGAATTTCTCATCACTCTTATGAATCCTTTTCACCCTTCATTGCCACAGAAGTTTTAATGAGCAAGCGAGTCGTACTGTTTTCTTGGTTTCTTTTCCGGTATCATATGACTACAGGTGAATGAGATATGGTTAGCAGCAAGCCAGATGTTAAGAAGCAGTGATCTCATTGTTCAATTCCCACCTATAACTAACCTGCACATTGTGCACATGTACCCTAAAACTTAAAGTACAATTAAAAAAAAAAAAGAAGCAGTGAGGCAGGGGAGAGGTGGGAATTGAAACCCACAGTTATGATGTGAGTTCAGGTAGCCAAAGACAAATGGATAATCTAATTATGAATCTAGTTGTGAGAAAAGCAGTATTTGCTAAACTCAGTAGTGAGATTAGGAACTGAGTCATCAGATCAGAGAGAAGGCAGACCAAAGTGAGCCAAATATAAGCAAGTAAAAATCTCTGAGCATTATAATTCAAAGAGATCTGTGTGTTGGATGACTAGGGCTAGTTCCAGAAATGGCGCATAAAAATTAGTTGCCTTTTGTTCAATGCTTGCAGCTGTAGGTGGAAGTGTCAGGGCTACGTGTTCACCTGGTAGAAAGTTCTAAACTGGGCATGATCTAGGAAGGGGAAGGAAGCCTCTAGGATCCTTCCTCTGAGCCATATCCTTCCCAATGTATTAAATCATTATTTATTTAATTTTGAATAATATATGCAGGGCTTCTCAAGAAGAATGGACATCTTGAAGTTCCAGCTATAATTTTAAAAAGAAGAAAACTCCCTATAATTTAAGTGTTTAATCCTATTAGTATATTTCAATTACAGCATGTATGAACTCATTTGGAGAGGACATAAAAAATCTAAGTTTATGGTCTTTATGAGTATGAGACCCATGGTTAATGGGCCTTCTGGTAAAATTCCCTCTCCTCAGCCATACCCTGCAATAGCTCAGATGTCAGGGACCTATTCAAAACGTATTGGTTTTATAAAACTGATACATGCTTATCACAAAAAGGGCTACGGAAGAGTATATAGAAGAAAGTTAAAAAACAAAACCAACAAGCAAAACCCCCACTATCAACTACCCAGAAATAATTGTCATAACATTTGGCAACATCATCCTAGTTCCTAGTGATCTCTCTATGTATGTACCCATATTCACACATAGACATAATTCTACAAAAATGGGACCTACTGTAAATGCTTTTTTTAAAAAACAAAAAGCATTAAATTTGTCTTTACTTGAACTAAACTGGAGAAAAGCTAGTGAAATTGGTAGAATTGCTCAATCTCAGATTAATAAGTTTCTTCACATCAAGCAATTTTATTTTCCTAGAAGATAACTCTAAAATTTCAAAAGATTTTTTTACTTAAAAAAAAAAAACCCAATCACCAAAATGCTTCAATTCAAGCAGTATCTATGGATCTGCCTGCACTGAAGGTAAGCAACATGGCACCATCTTTCTAACCTACCCCTACAACACCATATTTCTGTTAAGTGTATTATTATTTTTTCATTATCAAGATTCATAAATTTACTCTGTCCTGTAGCCATAATTCTCAGCTTTGCTTTTTCTTTAAGCCATTGAATGTGTTTAATGACCAACCTTCCACTTCCGGGTTTTTAATTTTTCACTTAACAATTGGCTTGCTGGGTTTTGTTGTTGGATGGCTTTTTCAAAAATAATTCATGAGCACTAAATTTCATGAATTGCTGCTTATTTTAAAGTTTGTTTCCTGCCTTTATGTTTCAAGCACAATTAGATGGACACAAAGTTACCCTTTCCTTTCCTCAGAACTTTGTAAGCAGAGCTCCATTGTCTTCTGGCATTGAATGCTGCTGCTGAGGTTTTGGAGGTCAGGCTCATCTGCACCTCCCTCACAGCCCTTACACTTAGAGGAGCTTTTCTTTTTCTACATGGATGTCCTTAAAGCTTTTAGTTTATTTCAAGATATGTGTAAGCATTAAATATTCTTTATCAGATTTTCCTGGGAAATTTTTTCTAGTGCTTTGTGTTCTCTTTTTGTTATTAAATCTTTAAGTACATTTTCTTTCACTATTTGCTTTTTAAAATTTAAGAATACCCATTATTTTTATATTAGATCGCCTTTGTCTAGATTCCATATTAGTAGTCATCTGTCTAGTAATTTTCATCTTTTTTCCATTTCATATTTTAATGTTTGCTCAAGGCTGTCTTTTATCAACTCAATGGTTTTTTGTCATACATATTTTACTTTTGATTACTTCTGTGGTCTTTAGCTATGAAAAGACTGATGAGCCTCCTGGACTGGCCTCTCAATACGGTGGATATTATCACCATGGGTTCATAGTTTTTGGCTTTGCTCATTTTTTTTCTTCCTTAGATCAGCCTCCTTGCTCCATTTCTTGAATGAGTCAACTCATCTCTTACCTCTTCAACAGTGGCAGAAAATTTGGATAGATGTTTGTAATCCATTACTGATTTCTTGGAAACTTAAGGAATGGGAGAAGTTGCAAGATAGTAGATGAACTGGGGAAGAGAATTCCAAGAAGGAACAGCATGTGACGGATACCTGGAGTAGAAAAAAAATAGTGGAGCTTTTGAGGCAATGAGAAAAGGATTATGTGGGTCAGGAAGCACAAGCTTGAAAGACAGCAGTGCTAGGTAAAGTGAGGGAGGCCAGATAATATAAAAGGCATTTTAGACTATGAAGTTTGGATTACATCCTTAGAGTACTGGGCTGGGGCAAGGTAGAGGAAGTGGTGGTTACTAAAGAACTTTAAACAAAAAAGGACAAACATTAATGTTTTTTAAAAAAATGATAGCTATGGTTGTAGGGTAGAATGAAGAATAGAAAGTAGAAGATCAGTCAAGAAACCCTTAACACCTACTCACAGATGGTGGTTGGTTAGCAAAGGTGTTAAAAACAGGAGGAAGAAACATAGAACTTTTTTAAATGTAGGAAACTGGATGTATTAAATATATGTTTGCATCCATACCAGTTTGACTTATAATAGAGAAAACATGAAAGGAATTCAAATGTTTATCAATAGGTGAATTTAAACAAATTATGATATTTCCATGCAATGGAATACTACTCAGTCACAAAAGGAATGAACTAATAATATACAAAACATAGATGAATCTGAAAATAATTATGGTAAGTGAAAGAAGAATGAAAAGAAGAGTTTATACTGTAAGATTCTATTTATATAAAATTCTAGAAAATACACACTAAGCTGTCATGATGGAAAGCATATCAGTGGCTAGTTTGGGGAGTAGGGAGAGGTGGGCCAGAGGGATTACAAAGGAGCATTAGGAAACTTTCGGGGATGATGGAGATGTTTATTATCTTGATTATGGTGGTAGTTTTGAATGTATACTTGTGTCAAAGCTTATCAAATAATGTACTACAATTATGTACAGTTTATTTCAGTTATACATGAATAAAGCTGTTTTACTATTAAAATGTAATTTTGAGGTAGTTTAATAGCATTTAGTGAAGAGAACGAGGGATAGGAAGACAAAAAAGATTATTATAAGGTTTCTGGAATGAGATAATTTCTGTGAAGATATTTAAAGCCCTGGCAATGGATGAGACCACCAAGAGTAGGAATGGAAGAAGGTCTAGGACTGAGTGTGGAGGACAGCTGATATTTACAGGCTGTGTGGAGAAGGAGCAGAGGTCTTACTTCTTTGTGGGGTGTGCCATTGTTGATTTATCTCTTATTGAGAGAGATCATGTTTATTGCTAATATTTTTCATTTCTGAGCTGCAACGAATAACCTTATACATTTTGGAAGTGTGTGTACATGTAATCTGTAAGATAAATTTTTAGATGTAGAATTTTCTGGATCAGAGGGTAGGAGTAGTTGTGATTTTGGTAAATAATGCTAAATTCCTCTTCATAGAAGTTGTACCTATTACATTCCCATCAGCAATATGAAAATGCCTCTTTCCCCACAACCTCATCAGCACAGAAGATTATCAAATTTTTGACCTTTCCTAATTTCACAAGTGAAAATTGGTAGCTCAGTATTATTTTAATTTGCATTCTTTAGCTATGAGTGAGATTAAACATGTTTTATTGGTTAAGAGTCATTGGGAGGATTGTTGTACCTTTAAAAAAATTGAGTTATTGATTTTTTTTAACACGTTATACATGCTTTCTTTATATAAGGAAAAGTAGCCCTTTGCTTCCAATATATCTTGCATATATATTTTCCCAGTTTGCTGTTTGTCTTTGAAATTTGTTTATGGTAGCTTCGGCCTTGTAGAAATGGTTGATTTTCGTATTGTCAAATTTATAAATCTTTTTGTTTATGGTTCTTGAGTTTTGTGTCATAGAGAGGTTTTTCCAACTCTCGAAGAATTCTCTCGAGATTTCTTAGAACTGATTTATAATTTCATTATTTACTCTGAAATCTTTGATTCAATTGTATATTTTCCTGGTGCAAGTGGGAGGGGTTAAGACAATTTTAGTTTTATTTTTAGATGGCTACCTGGTTTCCCAAAATCATTTATAAAATAACTGTCTTCTCACCATTGACTGGAAGATTTCACCTTTATCTTTGTTAAGTAAAAGAGAAGGCTTTATAAATGAGGGTTTTAGAATATATTTGAATGCTGACACTTAATCCCAGTGCAACACTGTTGGGAGTTGCGGCCTTTGGGGTATTTAGGTCATAAGGGCTCCACCTTCATGAATGGATTAATGTTGTTATAAAAGCCCTTTATGAAGGAGTTTGGTCCTCTGTCCCTTCTGTCTTCTGCCATGTGAGGACACAGTGTTTCTCTTCTTTGGATGACACAGTGTTCAAAATGCCATTGTGGAAGCCAAGAGCAGCCCTCACCAGATGCTGGTGCCTTGATCTTGGACTTCTCAGCCTTCAGAATGGTAAGAAATAGATTTCTGTTCTTTATAAGTTCTGTTCTTTATAGGTCTGTGCTATTATACTAGCACAAAATGGACTAAGACAATGAACATGTATGCAGATATGTTTAAATTTCATGGTGGAAAGAAAGATGACTTCTATTTTCCTGTTGTAGTAGAGGGTGTTGATGGATACAAGGCAGCAAAGTCCATTTCTGCTATAACAAAACACCATAGACTGATGGCGTAAACAATCAATATTTGTTGCTCACAGTTCAGAAGGCTGGAAGTGCAAGATCAAGCTGTCAGCAGATTTGGTGTCTGGTGAGAACCTGCTTCCTTGTTCATAGACAGCTGTCTGCTTCCTGTGTCTTCACCTGGCAGGAGGGTTAAGGGAACTCGCGGGAGCCTCTTTCATAAGGGCATGAATCTCATTCTTGAGGGCTCCACACTTACGACCTAATCACCCCCTAAAGTCCCCATCTCTTAATTCTATCACCCGGGGGGTCAGGATCTCAGCATTCAAATTTAAGTTGGGGGACACGAACATTCAGATCATGGCATAAACCAACCGTTCTAATTGCATTATTTTCTCTAGAAATGATCGGCTGCCTCTGTGTGGGCAAAGAAAAGGCCTATCTACCTTGGAAACAAAGCTTTGGAAAACTCATTGCTGGTCTAAAGAAACAGACAATTGAGGCCAGGCGCTGTGGCTCATGCCTATGCTCCCAGCACTTTGGGGAGCCGAGGTGAGAGGATCTCTTGAGCCCAGGAGTTCAAGACCAGCTTGGGTAACATAGTGAGACCCCACGTCTACCAAAAAAACATTAATAAATTAGCCAGGCATGGTGGCTTGTGTCTGTGGTCACAGCTACTCAGGAGGCTGAGGTGGGAGGACTGCTTGAGCCTGGGAGGTCGAGGATACTGTGAACCATGATCGCACCACTGTGCTCCACCCTAGTCAACAGAGCAAAGCCCCATTTAAAAAAAAAAAAGGAAAAAGAAAAGAAAAAGAAAAAATGAAATACACAATTGGACAGTAAAAGAGCCTCTAAAGGGGAAGCAAACAAGAGGTTAATAGGGCATTGATGACTAAGAACCCATTTTGCAATATTCTCTGGAGCTGGCCTTGCATTTAGAATGAATGTGAACCTGAAACTCTTCAGGATTCAGGGCAGGGGATGGCATATGATCTATTTGCCTACACTTTGCTTCAGCTGACAGCAGCCGGCAGGTCATGATCCCTGTTTTCTCCCATGATTTGTTGTCTCAGCTGCCAGATGACAGTGCTATTGGGCTGCTCCTAACTATGATCACTCCTTAGCCTGTCCTCGGGTAGCTCTTGCTTCCAGATTTTATTAACCCACACATCCCAGCTGGGTTTCTGGAAACCCCCACCCACCCACCCTGTGAACTGCTGACGTTGCTGATGACTGTGGGCAGTGAGAGCAGCAAGTGGGAAACAATCTTATGAAAGAGAGAAGAATGTGAGTCAGCTGGATAGATGGTATTATGTGAAAGAAAGAAGATGCATTGGGAAAGTAGGATAAGCCTCATTCTTTTAATAAATACTCATCAAAAGCTGATTACAGAATAGTACTGGATTATAAGATTGAAGTTCCTCCTAAGCCTTTCCCATAAAGATAGGAAGCATGATTTCATCTTTCATTTCATCTTTGAAGATATTGGTTACTGGTCTTCATATGAGCTAAGTGCTCATTAAATGGTTGCTGAATGGATTAATAAAGGAGGGACTATTTTAGTGTCTTTGCTTGTGCCATTCTCTCCCTGGAACACTTTCCCTTTTCTAATATAACTCCAGAAATTCCACTTTCGTCTGAAGGCTCCCCCCTCCTCCATGAAGCCTTATGTGACTAACTTCTGCCTAAAGTTAGCTTCCCCTTTCTAAAGTCTATGGTACAGATAGTTGAATCTATGTCAATAACACATTCTGTCCAATATTTTGCTTCCATATTCCTCTCTCCCACTGTGGATCTTTTTAATGCTGTGTAGATACAGAAATATACATTCTTACTCTCCAACAAGTGTGTGCATTTCCTAAATGCAGGGATGACATCTTTGACTTCTTTCCGAATGTCCATGGTTCCTGATAGCGTACTGGGCACAAAGTACTGCCCTCGAAGTACTTATTTATTTGACTACCTATTATCTCTATCTAAAGCAAATATTGTTAGAAAAAGGCTGAGGCTTATTGTTAACCCATACAGGACAGAGAATTGTAATGATCTTTCTTCCTAATCCTTAGCTTAATCCTCCTAATCCTGTAGCTTAAACCCTGAAAATGTTTGCATCCTTGATCTATAAGGAATGTTATAGCATGTGACTCTATTAAGTGTGGAAAATTGAAAGGCAAATTAAAATATTTTTATTTGGCAGCATCATGAAACTGTTGAGGTCTATAGACATAATCTTCATATGAATGCTAAACGTAGTACTTACTATCAATAGATGTTCAAGTCCAATGTTACTGAGCTGTGACTGTAGCAATTCGCTAATCTTCCTTTGAACATACACTATTTACTTTTTAAAGTCTTAGTTAAAAAATCAATTTTTTTCTCTCTAGTGAATTTTATGATGCTTTTGTTTTATATTATTCAACCTAAAACTTCTGAGATTTTTAAAAGGCTAACAGCAGGTTGTGAATGTTCAAATAGACAAAATTACAAAGTACACATTCATTACTGACTTAGCTCAGCTTCCTGAGATAATCAGAAGTTAAATTTCATCAGCTCTCTCTACCCGAAGGCTATGGCACTACCACAAAGATAAATTCTTTTTTTTTGAGATGGAGTCTCGCTCTGTCTCCCAGGCTGGAGTGCACTGGCGTGATCTCAGCTCACTGCAAGCTCCGCCTCCTGGGTTCACGCCATTCTCCTGCCTCAGCCTCCCCAGTAGCTGGGACTATTAGGTGTCTGCCACCACTCCCAGTTAATTTTTTGTATTTTTAGTAGAGATGGTGTTTCACCTTGTTAGCCAGGATGGTCTCGATCTCCTGACCTTGTGATCCGCCCGCCTCGGCCTCCCAAAGTGCTGGGATTATAGGCGTGAGCCACCGCGCCTGGCCCCACAAAGATAAATTCTTTGAATCAGAGAGAATGAATACTAATATTAGAGTTGAGACGGGTAAAAGGGCAACAGAAGGATTATGGGGTGCATAGAAGAGGAGGCTTTGACAATCTAGATACTTTCTCTCCCAAGCCCAAGTATGTATTATTTTGTATTGTTATTACCCCTTAGTCATAGACTGGAGACTTATGCCAGGATTTATTGACTCTTCAAGTCTCATTATCAATCTGCATTTAAGATTTAACAGCAAAGTTTGAGATTGAAAGATTACTTGTTCAGACACAAAATAACTTGATCTTCTTGTGGAAACTCAGCTTTAAATAAATAAATAAATAAAATAACAATAGATTTCAACAGTAAAGTCTTTGTTTGGCTGGGCGCAGTGGCTCACACCTGTAATGCCAGCACTTTGGGAGGCTGAGGTGGGCAGATAACCTGAGGTCAGGAGTTTGAGACCAGCCTGGCCAAGATAGTGAAACCCTTTCTCTACTAAAAATACAAAAATTAGCCAGATGTGGTGGTGTGCACCTGTAATCCCAGCTACTCAGGAGGCTGGGGCAGGAGAATCACTTGAGCCCAGGAGGCGGAGGTTGCAGTGAGCCGAGATTACACCACTGCAGTCCAGCCTGGGCCACAGAGTGAGACTCCATCTAAAAAAAAAAAAAAAAAAAAAAAAAAAAAGGCTGAGAAAATGGTAAACATGTAAGTCTTAATACATTGTTTTTATATAATGATTACAACAATAAGTCTATTCTGTACAGTTAGATATAAGGATATAACTAGACTTTTTCTTACAGTAGCATGTACGTCATGAGGGAGGATGTGATAGGAGTCAAAGTGCTCTAAGATTGGGATGATTATATGTCCCAATTTGCCCAGGAGAGTTCATGCTTGTGCCTGTTTTCCCAGTGTAATAGTTAATACTACCCCCTTATCTCAACAGCATCCTAACTTAGATGATAAATTACTTGGCTACTTTACACATATAGGACTTAGTGACCTGGTGAACTTGGGGAACAAGCAACAGAGCAGAGGCAAAGATAAAGTTAAGATCTCATTCCTGGTTGTCTCATCGTGTGGTAGGGCCACTGACATAAACACTGGGTGAGCTTGTGAATACTTGTCTCAGATCTGGAACTTCTAGTAGGATGTTTCCTAAGACCGAGAAGATGGTTGGTTCCACCCATTCCAATTATTTGGGTTATTAATTGTTCTGAGGCATTTCAGTTAGTTAAATCTAACCTGTCATCCCTCAGTTCTTCTTTGAGTATATGAGAAAACCTAAGAGGCTCCCAAGTTGACTGTACAGCTGAGAGTTTTCCACTGAGAAGTCCAAAAAGGCCCCGTTGTCATCAACCTCACATTTACCATGATAGGGTCTATAATTCCAAGTTAACTGGGTGAGGAAGGGGCTCAGGTTTCTATTTGCATTAAGCTATAGAGAATAGGAGGAATAGTTTCCTATTTAAAAAATAAATTTTTTAAAGTGTGAATATTCCATAAACCAACAAACAGAAAGAAATTTAGAATGTGCTCACTGAATTAGTCAGTTCAGTAATAATTATGGTGGTGATTCTGGAGAAGGGCGTGGAAGAGACAGCTTGGGGAAGAGAACAGTGCTAAGACAAGAACCAGAAGGCCTGGATTCTGGGTTTGATTATGCCCCTTCTGGCAATGGGATCTTGAATAAGTCATTTATCTTCTTTAAATTGCAGTTTCTTCTGTAAAATGAATTAAGAGAAAAATTAAGAATATTTGTAAGCACTAGCCATGTGCCAGGCACTACTCTAAGCACTTTATGAATCTCTAAAACAAACCAATGTATTATTGGCATTATTTCCATTCTAAAGATGAGGAAATTGAAGCATGGAGAGATGAGTTAACCTTCCTAAGACCACGCCCCTTCTCAGTGGCACCTCTAAGATTTGAAACTGGGCACTATGCTTTAACTCTCCTGACTACCATCGGGTATGCCCGTTCACCATTTTACATTCTGCTATATGTCTTGGGAAAATGACCCATGTGGGTGTCCTTGCTCTCTGGCTTCCAGTTGGGTTCCAACAGTGACAAGAGATTGGAGAGTGGGAGGACAGATTGGTTTCTTTCTCTTCCCAGTTGCCTCCCTAAGAGGCCATCACAGATTGGCTGATTCTTTTATCAAACGTGGTGTCTCTTGTCGAGTGCCCTCTCCATACAGTTAACCTATACCAGTTCTAAAAACTGCTTTTTTTTCCCCCTCCATTCTCTTTTAGGCTAGGAATAGTAACAGCTCTTTGATCTTGCCAGTCTGGGATACTGCACCACCCTTTGCTGTCAGAATCCTTTCTGATTACACATTGCAACTTTAAAGTTGCACATGATGTACTCTACCAGAAGGAAGCTGATTTCGTGGTCACAATACTATCTGTCTGGAGTGGTGGGGGTTCTGCTTAGCAAGGACTCCCCTAGTTGGGCCTCTTAGAATGGAGAAAGTTGACAGTTTCAGGACTGAGATATTTGAGAAAATCAGGAGGGTGCTGAACAGCTTTGTTTCTTAACTTCCTGGCCAGAATGTGTAGATTTTCAGTACCTCCCAACGTTTCCAGATGTATTTAGCTCCTACACACTAACCTTCTTTCATTACTGAATGTGTCATGGAGTTAACACATATTCTTGCTTCTGCCTGAAACCTTCTTTCTTCTTTTTGCATAGAAAACTCAGATATCAGCATGAATGTTACTTGCTTAGGGAAGCCTTCCCTGGAACAAACCCCTCATTTCTGCCAGGATGGATGAGTATCCTCATATATGCTCTAACAGCTTTCTGAGCCTTTCCTTCACAACACTTAACATAGTTTCTAATTATGCATTTGGTGGTTATTGGATCCATATCTCCCCTCTCCCTAGAAAGGAAGTTCCAAAAGGTCTGAGGTTGGTTTTGACTTTGCTCGACATTAAATTTCCAGGACTGAGCACAGTTACTGACTCTGGTGGTCACTGAAAAATGCTATTATGTATCCATGGACAGATGTATGACTAAGCATCATGTAAACTGGTGACGATGGTAGACTGGGAAGAATAAAATGAGAGCGCTATCTAGTGGCACCAGGTGCAACAAGCAAAATGGGGCCAAGTTTTTGCCTGAGGCCTTACAAAAGTGTTGAAATCCTTGTGGAGAAAATTTTCTTTTTCTCAGGAGGGCAGTAGAATATCCTTAGAAGTGACTAGACTTATGACAGTAATGACATGAGGAAGAATATGTCACAAAGTTAACAGGAAGATTGACTCCAATCACAAGAAGTGAGGGCTGCAGAGGCCATGAAGGGATGGAAAACTTTTTCTTAGTTTTATCACTACTGGGTAATGGGCAGAGCCTGGGAGACAGAGAAGAGAACAGGCCGTATGGAGCACGCATCAACAACCCTGAGCTTCAGAGCACTTAGTACTGCAAGAAGAATGTGTAAGAAACTCTGGAACCCAGTTCCTGGGAGAGTGAGGGAACACCAGTGATTTCATTGGTATTAGGCTTGAAATATTGATTATTTTCTTTATTCCATATTTCACATTGTTATCCACATACCCCTTCTGACTACATACAGCACCAGGTGTAGGAAATGTGTGTTAGAAGATGATGTTTTTTGCCTTAACCATTGATTTTAATGATCATTTCATCCTCTCTGCTCTACCCTAAGTGGCCTTTCAGAGTCAATTGTGGCTTATTTCATAATTATCTTTTTCAGACTACTTCTGTACATTGGTACCACATCTGTAATGAACCATCGACTCATCTATTTCCCAATTCATTTGAATCTAGAATTTGGCAAGCCTTTCTTTTTTAGTGTGTTTTTTAATTTGACTCCGCATTTTTCTGTTTAGGTTGCACACTTGAAAAAAAGCTTTACCCCTTTTTTGAAAAGTTGGCAGACGTCTTTTTTTTTGAGACAGGGTCTCACTCTGTTGCTCAGGCTGGAGTGCAGTGGCGCGACCTTGGCTCACTGCAACCTCCACCTCCCGGGCTCAAGTGATCTTCCCACTTAGCCTTCTGGGTAGCTGGGACTACAGGCACGTGCCACCAGGCCCAGATAATTTTTTGTATTTTCTAGAGACAGGATTTCGCCATATTGTCCAGGCTGGTCTTAAACTCTTGAGCTCAAGCGATCCATCCGCCTCAGCCTCTTGAAGTACTGGGATTGCAGGTATGTGCCACCGTGCCCAGCCACAGACGTCTTAATGAAAATGAACCATTACAGTAATATACTAGGGCAAGGGCAATTTGTTCATTATCGACAAGCAAATCACTAAATTATGTAAATTACTGGATTAGACAGGCAGAATTACTTTTCTTTCAGAGAATAATCAAATATTACTTTAAAATGTTCATTTGTTTAAGTTTTTGGCTTTAGATCCAGAAAATCCAAATATTTGAATTTACATCTATTAAAAACCAAATTCAACCTCGAGACCGAAGTCCATCATTCATAGTCCACAGTAGAATATATGAAACCACGAAGATTTTTAATTTCCCTTAATAAACCTGTTTATTGAGCACTTCTATTTCCCCTCCTTCCCCCTATTTTTGTTTTAAAACATCCTTTCATGAAAGAACAATATTTAAATAAACCTTTGAGGAACAGATAGAGCTATTTAACAAGTGAGGTAATTATATATTATCATTCCCACATGATGGGGGTTTATAAAGGATTTAAAAGTTTGTTTCTGCATTTGTTTTCAAGGACTTGCCCAAGCACGGAAACTCCATATATATCAGCGACTAGGGAAAATTGATTCTAATAGATTTTTCTTCCAAGAACAGGAATCTTTCTATTTCATATTGCACATGAATATTAAGTAAACTACCTGCTGGAAACAGAAAAAAAAGCTTTACTCAAATATAAGTTGCTGATTTAAATAAACTGTTGTACTTTAAATAGAAAAAAACTCTAAATATAAATAATAAAGTAGCATTTCTAAGTGTAGCTACTAGGTTTATTACTGAGTTCTGCAGGGAACTGAATGACCTAACCCCAAATACCATCCTTTTATGACCAATTTGTGTGGACAGTTATAAATAGTGCAGTGAACTCTGCCTACAAGGCTGTAAGCCAAAAATTTTTGAGTGAATAAAGGGACTGCTGTTCTTTGTGAATAAGCAATTATTAAATGTTGTTTCTGAAACTGGAAGCTGAGTAAAGCAGTTTGTCAGTAGACAGTCTAATATAAAAGAAATTAATTTGATAAAAGTTCCCTCAAAAATGGCTTATGTACTTTGTACACTATGTATGGATCTATTTACACATGTAAAAATTACTTCCATGTAGACATAGCATTGATATATTTATTTATTAAAATTTCTTCATTAGAATAAATTATATAGCGTCAAAACTTTGGCAACATTTTAGTGTAAGAACTGTTTGTGCTCTTAAAAAACTATTCTGTTTATAACTATAATACATATTCACTGGAGAACGTGCAACAATAAATGCATACTGACTAAAAGAAGAATGAAAACTATTCAAACTCTTACCTTCTAGAAGCAATCAAGTGTAACTTACCTCCAAAGTTATGACTCGCAGCTCTTTCCTAGTTAGTGAATATAGGTGTACATCACCATTTTAAATTGCTGCTGTTGGCATAATTGATTTTTAAAACCAACTTTCAAAACCAACTTGTATAAGCCCAGATTTTAACTGGGACATGCAATTCTAGGGCAGCAAGAGTGGAGGAAAAGATACAGGGAATAGTGGCAGAGAAGGAGCAACACCATGCAATGTGTTTTGCTTCCTGATGACACTCTCAGAGGCAAAGTCTGTTAGCGGGGGCACTTCCTGGATCAGGCACTATGTGCTCAGAAAGGCCGTATGGAGAAATCCTATCTTGGAACAGTCTTTTAAAGGAAAGAAGGGGAAGGTATTTATCTGCTGCCTCCTTTTGACTTCTTTCTTCCACTGGTCAAATTTTGTCTCATGAGGAAGTTTACTCCCTCACATCACTCAGCATCTTTGGGAGTCACTTGCCAAACCACATCCCATGTCCTGAAATGAGATTCTCTATCTAAATTTGGAAGTGACAGGAAGGACCAGAGACTGTAAATGTGTAGCTGACGGCCCCAGGAGGTAGATTTTTATAGGTCTACACCTAGCAGGTCAGTCATAGCAAGTGCTTAGGTAAAACAAAGCAAACCAGGGTCAATGAGACAGCTAAGAAAACCTGTGGAGGCAAATAAGATATGTACTGAAGAAATAATTTAGGTTATTTTCCACAATAACTAAGGCTGCAGTGAGAATCTTTTTGCATATATCTTGTGTACTTCTATGTGTATGGTCTTAGAATAAATTTCCAGGAGATATATTACTGAGTCAAAAGTTACAATTACTGTAACTGTGATACACTTGAAAAATTGCCCTCTAGAAAGGTTAGACCAATTTTATTCCATCCAACAGTCACAAGAATACTCATTTCCTCATGAACTTGCCAACGCTGTAATTTGTGTCAGTCAGTGTTTGTGAGATTATGCTGCAGTAACTAATGACCTGGCAAATGGCAGTGGCTTACAACCAACATTTTTTTCCTTTTCACATATGTTAGCTGCAGATTGACTTAAGCTCTTCTCCATGTGCCATTGATCTCAGGGCTCAGACTAAAGGAGCAGCCCCATCTCAGTCTGATGCCAAAGGAAGCAGAGGGATAATGAAACTCCAGAATGACTCTTAAAAATTCTCTGCTCAGAAATGACACATATCACACTTGCTTACATTTCACTGGTCAGAGCAAGTCATACTGCAAAGGCTGATTTCAGTGAAGCAGAGAGTTATAATCCTTGAAAAGGAAGAGGCAGTGAATAACTGGTAAAAAATATAATCTACCACATTATCTTTGCCAATGAAATGTGGGAATGGAATAATATAATTATTTTAAATGTACACTTCTTTGATTACTAGTTAGGTTGAAACATTTTTGTATGCTTATTGGCAATTCATTTTTCTTCTTTTGGAAATTGTTCTTGCCTTTTGCCCATTTTCTGACTGAATGCTTTCTTATTAATTTGTAAGACTTTTTGCATATGAAAGATGTATATATTTCCTTCATTCAATTTAAATAATGATGTTTTTCCAAAGACAAATTTTTAAATGCATGTGGTCAAATACATGTTTTTTTTTTTAAAAAATGGTTTTCTATTTCATTTCTTGCCTTAGTGTAGAAGAATGTTACATTAATGTTTCCCAATGAATCATGCCTCCAAGCATCCATGCCCTTTTGTGGTCCCCTCCCACTGCAACTTGGCCATGAAGCTTTCTTTGGCCAAAGAGAAATTAGCAAAGCATGATGCAAGGAAAAAGCTTGATAAGCACTTACACGTTGAAACTTACACACTGAAACTTACACCTTGAAACGTCTCCTCTTGGAATGCTCTATCACCGAGACTTGAGCCAACATCTAAAGAGGTCCAGACATGTTGAGACTCCATGCTATGAGAGAAAGAGGGGCATATCTGACTAGGTCGCAGCTTTTCCAGCCCTCCTCGTGGAGGCACCAGACATGTGAATGAAACCATTGAGATTTCCACACCTGAGTTGAGTGACCACTGGCAACACCAGCAAAGTGCTTCCCACTAGAGGCCAGTCCAGTTGCAGAATCGTGGTTACAAATATGGTGGTTGTTTTGAGCCATGAAGTTTTTGCTTAATCAATAGCTGAAATGCTTAGTGTCCTCCTTTTCTCAAGAATTTAAAATGTTCACCTGTAGTTACTTTGCTGGTTTTATAGTTGTTTTGGGTAAACATTCAGCTTTGTCCATTTGAAATAAATTCTTGGGTAAGGAGTGGAGTGAGAATTTAATGACAGTTACTGTTATTACTTCCATTTCGCAAATGAAGAAACTAAGGCTTAGGCTTAGTGAAGTTAAGTGACTTGTCTAAAACCAGACAATAAGAAGCAGATCAAGATTCTTACAGTCTGACCCCAGAGCTCGAGCTCTTACCCCTATACTGTGGACCTGGAGCCCAGGCAAGGGCAAGGGGTCTGCCCTGCCCCTCATCAATAGCTGCACATCACTTCACAAACAAGCATCTTCACACTTGCTCTGTGTCTTTTATAAAATATGGTAATTAGAAAGATTGCTTTTAAATATTTTTACCCTGATTTATTTTTATCCTAAAAATAGGATCTATTTTTACCCTACTTTCAAAAACAGGCTATACTTCTATTGGAATTTAGCGCATGTGGTAGAGACACTGCCAGATTAGAAGGAACCTGATTTAGCATTTGGGTTCAAGGTGAAGACTTGGTTTGGGATGAGTGAGTGTTTGAACAAGAGGAAAGAAGGAACTACTCCCAGTGATTTCTCCAGGTTTTTGTGTCAAAGGAGCATCTAGGATATGGGATTCTGTCCTTTCAGTGATGTTGTTGGTGGAGGAGGAAAGTTTGATGGGGAAAGTTAGCTTTAAGCATATGTGCCATCTCCAGCAGGTGTTGGTATTCATACCATACACTCCTGACTCCCACCAGGAGGCTTGTGGTGACAGGCTGCAAGCTACATGATTCCCGGGGTGGTCAGAGGTGTCAGGGAGTCTCCTTCCAATAGTCAGTTCTTGAGATCATTGGTATTGAAATCCAGCTTGAGGTCAAGAAAGAAGGTGTGTCGCAGGCTCAATTAGTCCCTAAAACATAATCACGGAAATACAGATCCTGAGGGGGTTGCTTCTTAATGAAAGATAGCTAGAGAGGCTGGATTAAGACACAGATTGAGGCTGGGCATGGTGGCTCACGCCTGTAATCCCAGCACTTTGGGAGGCCGAGCAGGCGGATCACCTGAGGTTGGGAGTTCGAGACCAGCCTGACCAATATGGAGAAACCCCATCTCTACTAAAAACACAGAATTAGCCAGGCATGGTGGCGCATGCCTGTAATCCCAGATATTTGGGAGTCTGAGCAGGAGAATCACTTGAAGCCGGGAGGCGGAGGTTGCGGTGAGCCGAGATTGCGCCATTGCACTCCAGCCTGGGCAAAAAGAGTGAAACTCCATCTAAAAAAAAAAAAAAAAAAAAAAAAGACACAGATTGAACGTACATGAGTTTCCCCTTGGGTTCATTCTATGAAGTCACAGGGGAAAGTGTATCTATATCTACATCTACAATGTCTATAGATATCTCCATCAAATGCCGGAAACCAAAAGAACACCGTGAACAGACCCACAGTTCTGAAGAATTATCAAATGTGTAAACCAGAGGGAAATGCTTTCAATTCAGGTGGTTAATTAAGCACAAACATTTATCTACTCTTCCTACTGAGACTCCCATTAAAATGATGATAAACAAAATTTTTTTAAAAAGTATAAGCCCACAACAAGATAGGGCACACCCAGAAAGCAAATATTTAATAATAAAGATGAGTCAAGGAAATTAACACTAACATAAATACAAGAGGCAGTTGATCTACCCAGCAGACTACATAGAACTTCCAGATTCAAAAGTCTGAGTTGACAGGTGGGGTGGAAATCAATGGGACTGATTGAAGATTCAGATACAGATTATGTGGCTCCACATACCTACCCTTTCTCCTTCATCAACCTCAACAGCAACTGGGTATTCATTCCTTGGTCAAAAGTGGACTGGAAGGATTTTTCCTTAAGTAATAGAACAAATCAACGGGGATAAACTGGGGCAGCTAGTGTGGACTTGATATTCCCGATAAAGTCCTTCTCATTCTGGCATTCAGGGTACCCCAGGCTCTCATCCACTCACTTTAAAGTGAAGCCAATGGGAATAGGCTGTTTCACTCCTTCCCACTCTGCAGGTGAAAGAGTCTTGTAATAGGACAGTCACCTATATCCCAGAAGAGGAGGTGGAACCCAGATACTATAACAACTGTAAAAAAATCTCAGGTGAGAACAATTGTCCTTCACTACCCCAAATATCATTCTTTAGATGATAGAAAATGAGAGTGGGCTATCAATATGTAGATTCAGGGAAGCAAAATACTGTTAAATATAGTGAAAAGAACATAAAGAAATCACATATATTATGTAAGAACAAATGGAATTATCTAGCAGAGCTTCCAAGCATTAGCAAAATGAAAGAAAATACATGGAAATTTTGCAAGACATATAGACACACACACTTACATCTATATGTGTATACATTACTATAGTTTGGATGTTTTTCCCCTCCAGATCTCATGTTGAAATTAGATCCCCAGTGTTGGAGGTGGGACCTAATGGTAGGTGTTTTGGTCATGGGGGTGGACCCCTCATGAACAGGTTAATGATTTCTCTGGCAGCAGGGGAATGATTGAGTGAGTTCTTACAATATTGGTTCCCACAAGAGATGGTTGTTAAAGAGAGCATGGCACCTCTCCCCATCTCTCTTTGCTTCTTCTCTTGCCATGTGATCTCTGCAAACATTGGCTGCCCTTTGCTTTCCACCACGAATGGACGCAGCCTGAGGTCCTCACCAGATGCAGATGCCAGAGCCATGCTTCTTGTATAGCCTACAGAACTATGAGTCAAATAAACCTCTTTTCTTTATAAATTACCCAGCCTCAAGTATTCCTTTATAGCAACACAAAACAGACATACATATACATACATACATGTATACACACACATGTATATACAAATATAGGAATACATCCATACAAATATATATGGTGAAAAGGAATATAGCAGGCAAAGGACAAAACCCAACTTAGGAAAAATGACTCAGAACATTCCCTACAATTACTTACCATGATATTGCAGAGCTAGAGGAACAAATCTAGAAACAGATCAATGTATTAATGGAAAATTCATCTGTGATAAAAATCAGTGGGGTTTGGATTCAGTAAACGGTACAGTGGCAAGTAGCTATCCATGGAGAAAAATAGAAAGTTATATCCTTGATTCATACAATATACAAAAGTTCATATGGCTTAAAGAGCTAAACATAAAAAATGGTAAGAACTCAAAGAAAACAGTAGAAGCATATTGTTTCTGCCAAGACAGCATTAATAATCAGCAACTGACATTCAGGATAGGATTTTGCCACAAGGAACAAGGATACCAAGGGACAGGAATCAGAGACAGATGATAGCATGTTACCTTAGAGAACTCCCAGCCAGACAGAAGGAGAACCAGGGTAAATTCACTCTTTCCAGTCCTGGGAGACTGTGGGAAGAAGAACTGGGCAACATAGTAGAAGAGTAAATCACTGGACACATGTCCTAAGAGAGGAAGACATGTCAGATCAATTGAGGAGAATAAGGGCAGAAGAGCTCTTGCTTTACTTCCTACATGGGTTGTGGAGGACATGGCTGTGCCCGGGTTGTGTGCCCGGGCTGCACACCTAACATGGTGGTGTGCAGCAACGTTAGGAGAGGGACAGATTGGGTAGAGGTCATTGTATTTCTGAATTCCTGTGCTTCTCCAAGTGGATACACCAAGTTAAGAGCCATCGGAGCCTGTTATAAAGTGGGTGGGTTGGCCCTGCACCAAACACTTAAGTGTTGGTCACCTAGGCCGGAGGGCCATATATATTTGTATGGATGTATTCCTATATTTGTATATATGTGTGTTTATGTGTATATAAATATATATATATGTGTTTGTGTTGCAATAAGGAAATACTTGAGGTTGGGTAATTTATAAAGAAAATTTATAAAGAGGAAATATGTGGCAGATGCTCAGTGGAGTCTGCAATCCAGCAAAGACCAGAGGAAGCCAAGGGAGTGGGGAGGCTGCTATGGTTCTTACCAGGCTGAGAAGAAATAGACTTTGGTGTCACCAGCTGCAGAATGCCAGTGGTAGATGCTTACTGAATACATGTGGCTTGGATGGAGCCAACGGTCACCCAGTGAGCACCAGGACAGCTGTTTTACAGATGGTGCTAGTGAGGACCTGGAGCACTGTGCACATTCCTGAGCACTCCTTCACTCTGTCTCCTGAGCTCACATTAGCCCACCTCTTTCATCTACCAAATCTGATCTTGGGAGAAGCAGTGGTGAAAGTGGAGAAAGTGGTGGTGGGGTGCATACAAGATTGACTAAACAATTATCCCCTAAAAATGAGCATTACCTAAAAGGCCTGTTTAAATTGTTAAATCAGGCTAAGGGGTAAATTGGCTTGACATTTAGTTAGTTTTCTCTTCAGCAGGTAGGCCTCATGAAGATGATGGACAAGGGACAAAATGAAGAAACTACATTCTCTCTGGACATTAAAGTGTACAACACATTCATATCAGCAACAGGCTATGGGAAAAACTTTCCAAAAATATATAACACAGAACTAATGTCCTTAATAAGAAGACAGAAGTGTAGAAAAACAGACAAAGGATTCAAATAGGCAATTCAAATGACACAATTAAAATGGCCCATAACTATATGAAAAAATACTCAATGTCTTTTAAGGAACTGTAAAGTAAAACAAAAATAAGATTCTTTTTTTCTCGGTATATTGGCAAACAAGAAAAAAGCTGATTATCCCCTAGCTTGTTTTTTAATATAAACATTTGCCGAGTCTTGTGATACTCTGGTTGACCAGATTCCTCCTGATTGAAACTCCACATGAATTCTCTTATTTAAGGGTATCAGCACAATCTAACAGGAAGTCCTTTGGAAGAGATCTCCAGAGGCACAGAATCTAGTGGCAGCTCTGAAACAGATTTCTTCAGCGACCTTGGGTGTAGACTTTCAGTGCCTTATTCATCTAAAACTTAAGGCGGACGAGACCTACTTTTTCCATGTCTCATTGAAATGTGATCAAGATTAATGGCCTAACATAGAAAACGTTTCCAGCACCTTGAAAGACCAGGCACATTATTCAATGCCTGCCTCTATAAATCTGGCAAAAATCAGTCTAATTCACTTGTCAGGAAAAATGTTCACTTAAAACCATATAATTTTAGAACTTGATGTTTAGAAAATGATCGAATCCAGTGTTTTTCAAAATGTCCTTCAGACCGATAGTGTTATCTGAGACTTAGGGAATAGTTGACTCTTAGAGAGTATAGATTTAGAAGCTATATACCACATGAACTTGATGTACACAGCTACTGCACTTGTCTCACAGGTGTACATACCCTCCTCCACCCTAAGGCTACACTATAATTATTAGATTTGTGTAATCTGGCATTAAAATATGACAAAGATGCTTTCCTGCTCCAATTTTTAGCCTTTTACAGTGCATCACATGTTATTTTTCTAAAGTAAACTAAATGCAAATTTCTCCATGTTTTTGCTGCCTGCCTTACAGCATTTGAGGGAGGATCCTTCATACATTTGTAATAGACAAAAAGAAAAAAAAATCCAGATTGTGAGTCTTGTGGTTTTTTTCTGTTTAAAATTTAAACCATGTACAATTTTTTTTTTTTCCTGAGACAGGGTCTTGCTCTGTCACTCAGCCGGAGTATAGTGATGTAATCACAGCTCACTGCAGCCTTAAACTCTGAGCTCAGGCAATCCTCAGCCCAGCCTTCTGAGCTGCTGGGACTACAGGTGCACACCACCATGCCCAGATGATTTTTAAAATTTTTTTTAACTTTTTGTAGAGACGGGGTCTTATGATGTTGCCCAGTCTGGCATCAAACCCCTGAGCTCAAGCAATCCTCCCACCTCAGCCTCCCAAAATGCATGTACAACTTTTTGGTCCAAATTGCTTTGGATAAGTCAAATTAATATACACTTTGCTAACCAATATGAGTACATTCCTGTAAGCATAGTTATGTTGAAATACATGTGTTAAGATGAAAAAAAAAAAAGCCTCAGAGATCAAGTATTCCATCCTGGAGGGTGGAGCTTCTGCCCTGCCCCTCCTAATAATATAATAATAAACATAAAAACATCTTCTATATAATGGGTGCTTACTATATGGCAAGTGTTATACTTTCTTTAGCTTATTTCACCCTCATGATTCTAATTCCACTTTATAGATGAGACAGCTGAGGCTTGGAGAAGTTTAGTAATTTACCTAAGGTCTCACAGATGCTAGAGTCTACAAGCTGAATTACCATATAATAGTAATTCCTTGTTACTTCCTTCTGGAAACAGAACAGCTATACTTTTTTCCTATTTTAAATATTGAGCTTTTGCTTCTGACACCTTTGCATGTTTCCCACATAGCCTTTAGGTAATTTATTAAAGTGTAGTTCCAACAGTGTTAATTCTCAGCTTGAAACTCTTGAATAGCTTTTCATCACCTAGAACAACAATAAGAATGGTGGTTCTCAAAGTGTGGTCCCTGGACCAGCAGTAGCAGCATCACCTGGCAATTGATAGAAATGCAAATTCTCAGGCCACACCTCAGCCTCACTGAATCTGAAACAGGGTGGGGCTCAGCAGTCTAGGTGTGTATAATTTCTTGGGGGTGATTCTGATGCAGCACTCTCAAGCTGGATCTTTAGATGACAGTGAGATCCCATGGTCTGCTCCTGCTGACCCTTGTAGCCTGTTCTTGCTGCTCACTGCTTCACTCCCAAACCTCATGTGTATCCCCTACACATACTACAGCTGCTTCCTGTCCAAAGCCAGTGTTACCCGGTGGTTAAGCACAAGGATTCTGCAGCTGGTCTGCCTGGCCTTGAATGCCACCTATAGCATTTACTAGCAGTGGTGACCTGAGTCAAATTACCTAACTTCTCTGAGCCTTGGTTTTTCCATATACAGAATGAGGATGAGGATAATAACAGTATCTACTTCATTTGTTGTTACAAGAATTAAATGAATCACTACATGCGGAGCACTTAGAATAGCATCTGGCAGACCGGGTGCGGTGGCTAACACCTGTAATCCCAGCACTTTGGGAAGCCAAGGCGGGTGGATCACTTGAGGTCAGGAGTTCAAGACTAGCCTGACCAACATGGCGAAACCCCATCTCTACTAAAAATACAAAAATTAGCTGGGAGTGGTGGTGGGCGCTTGTAATCCCAGCTACTCAGGAGGCTGAGACAGGAGAATTGCTTGAACCCGGGAGGCAGAAGTTGCAGTGAGCCGAGGTCATGCCACTGCACCCCAGCCTGGGTGACAGAGTGAGACTCTGTCTCAAAAAAAGAAAAAAAAAAGCATCTGACATGCAATACGTGCTCTAGAAATATATTATTGCATTTGCTTGTTGTATTAGTTTCCTGTGACTGCCATAAATTATCACAAACTTGGTGGCTTATAAACAGCAGATATTTACCTTTCACAGTTCTGGCAGCCCGAAGTTCAATGTCATTTTCACTTGGCTGAAATCAAGGTATCAGCAGAGCTACCCTCCCTCCAGAGGCTTCTGGTGGCAGCCAGCATTCCTTGGCTTGTGGTTGCATCATGCCAATCTCTGCCTCCATTTCCACATCACCTTCTCCTCCACGTGTCTAATTTCCCTCTGCTTCTCTCTTTAAGGACACTTGTGATTAGATTTAAAGCTCACCTGGATAGACCAAAATAATCTCATCTCAAGATCCTTAACTTAATTGTGCCTCTTATACAAAGATGTTTTTCCTTATATTACAACATTTGCGGGTTCCATGGATTAAGACTTGGTATCTCTGGGGTGTGGGTGTGGTGGCTCATGCCTATAATCACAGCTCTTTGGGAAGCCAAGGCAGGAGGATCACTTGAGCCCAGGAGTTCAAGACCAGCCTGGGTAACATAGTGAGACCCTGTCTCTAAAAAAAAAATAATTTTTTAAAGACTTGATATCTTTGGGAAGCCATTATTCAGCCTTTTACACTTGTAATAACCTGTATTCCCATAGTCCCCTTTTCTCTATGTTTCCTCCTCTTCCTCCTCTTTAGAACTCACTGCAGGGTTTGCCTCCTCCAGGAAGCCTTCCCTGACTTCCCCAGAGACAGATTTAGTCTAGCTCCTCTGTGGAGCCACATACACACACACACACATGTATATATATACACACACACAAACACACACACATATATTTTTAAGAGCACATTTAGGTTTACAGAAAAACTGCATAGAAAGTACCGAGAGTTCCATATACTTCCTCTCCTCACCACCTCCCTCTGCTTAATTTCTCCTATTAACATCTTGCAGTAGTGTGGTGTATTAATTACAACTAGTTTATCAAAGAATTACAACCAGTTAACCACTATTGGTTCATACTATGAGCCAAAAGTCCATGGTTTACATTAGGGTTCATTCTTTCTATTGTATAGTTCTATGGGTTTTGACAAATTCACGATGTCCTATATCCACCATTATCATACAGTTTCACTGTCCTAAAAATGTCCTGCATTCTGCATATTCATCCATCTCCCCACCCTCCTGAACTCTTGGCAGGCACTGATGTTTTTACTGTCTCCACAGTTTTATCTTTTCCAGAATGTTATATAGTTCAAATTATACAGTATGGAGCCTTTCAGATTGGCTTCTTTCACTTAGCAATATGCATTTAACTTTCCTTCTTGTCTTTTCATGGCTTGATAGCTTGTTTCTTTTTAGGGCTGAATAATATTCTATTGTCTGGATGTACCACAGTTTATCCATTCACTGAAGAATATCTTGGTTGCCTTCAAGTTTTATAAATGAAGCCGCTATAAACACCCATGTGCAAATTTTTGTGTGGACATAGTTTTAAAATCCTTTAGGTAAATACCAAGGAGTGAGATTGCTGAATCATAAGGTCAGATGATGTTTAGCTTTGTAAGAAACTGCAAAAATACCTTCCAAAGTGCATGTATCATTTTGCATTCCACCAGCAATGAATGAAAGTACCTGTTTCTCCACATCCTTGCCAGCATTTGGTGTTGTCAGCCTTTTGGACTTTAGCCATTCTAATAGGCATGCTGTGGTATCTCATTTTATTCTAATTTGCAATTCCCTAATGACATATGATGTGGAGCAATTTTCGTGTGCTTATTTGCCATCTGTATATCTTTTTCGGTGGTATCTGTTCAGATCTTTGGCCCACTTTTTAATTGGGTTGTTTTCTTATTGTTGAGTTTTAATTGTTCTTTGTATATTTTGAAAACAAGTCCTTCATCAGAGATATGTTTTTGCAAATATTTTCTCCCAGTCTGTGGCTTGTCTTTTCGTTCTCTTAACAGTGACTTCTGCAGAGCAGTTTTTAATTTTAATGAAGTCTAGCTTATCAATTTTTTCTTCTATAGATCATGCTTTTAGTGCTATATCTAAAAAGTCATTGCTAAACCAAAGGTCTCCTAGATTTATTTAGGTAAATATGTAAATATTTATTTAGATAAGAATAAATTTATCTAGATTTATTGCCTATGTGATCTTTAAGAAGTTTTACAGTTTTACGTTTTACATTTAAGTTTATGGTCCATTTTGAATTGTCGCACTATCTTTTTATTATATTTATCATATCTTACTTGTACTAGTAATTGTGGCACTATCTTTATTATATTTATTGTATCTTACTTGTACTAGTAATCCATAATCTCAAGGAAAACTCACAGACAGATACAGTAAAGCTTTACTTTACTGTACCTGTCTTTACTTGTACCTGTCTTTACTGTACCTGTCTATGAGCTTTCCTGGAGATCATGGGTTATATCTACTAGTAATCTCATTACTAAGTAGGCCTCAAAAAATTAGTGAGTAATATCATCCCACTCTGCAACTCAACCATTCATAAAAGCATCACGGAGGCTGGAGGCTTACCAGCCTAAAGAAAAGATGCAGAACTTTTTGGTTTAAACCTTTGCTTCCATGCTTTCATAAACATGGAACAGCTATTTCCTCTAAGTTGCTGCATGAAGGTCTCTGAGTGTCAACAATGCTGTCCCCTTAAAAGACTAAGAATAGATGAGGCTTTTATTTTCATTGGAACTGGATTTACTTCCAGTGCCATCCTGGCAAGGGGTCAGGGTGGTGGGGAGAGTCAAAAGTTTGAGGATTATATGGCCACTCTCCCATCAATTCAATTCAATATGACTCACAGTTTCCTGGGTAAAATATTCTTTTTTTCTATTTATATGCTTATTGATTTAGAAATAAAAGCAAGCTCTGTAAGGAAAGAATATAGAATACTTTTTCTATTTCCAAAGCAAAGAAATATGTCTTCACTCTTCTTTTTCCGTGGAGAGATACACACAAAAATAAAATGTTCAGATCTATTTTTTGTACAGTGATCCAATGGTATAGTTTTTCTGTGATCATCGCAATTTCACATAAATGTAATTTAACTTACATCTTTCAAAATTTTGTTTATATAAATAAATTCACAAATTAGGAAAATTCTTTGTTGGTCTGTATTGGAAGGTGTCCCTGGGACATTCTCCTTTTGGGGCTGGAGGCCACTAAGCAAATGTCAGTTTGGTTACAGACTCTTCTCTAAAGTGGTAGTGCCTAGGCCTTCAATGTAAGTTGGACACTACAACTTAATTGTAACAGCAGGTTTTGTTTAACACCAATGTGATCTTTGCAATGAAAGCATGTGGTTGTTGATTGGGTACATATTTTTAAAGGATTGGTGGGATGTTTGTCGTTGGTGGACAATTTAACCATGTAGTAAAAGTTGAAACTACTCCAGCAGGCCCTAAATAGGGAAGGCCTAATGGCCAGCATTTCATGGGCAGTGTCTTGAGACTACAGGCATTTGAAGCAGGTTAGCTCTGCCCTCAACTTTCTAATATAGCTAAGGATGAAAACCCTGAGGACCTCGGGTTGCTCAGAACTCAGATACCAGTTCTCTCCTTGATAACTACTAAGACTCGCAGTTTCTTAATCTACCATCTGTCTTAATAGTATTGAAACTTCGAGCCTTTTTCAGCTTCCTTGGTGGAGTGATGAATTCCAGCTCTAGTAGTAATGGCCATTAAAAGGGTTTGCAGGAGGGGTGGCTCACGCCTGTAATCCCATCACTTTGGGAGGCTGAGGCAAGTGGATTACCTGAGGCTGTGAGTTCAAGATCAGCCTGACCAACACAGCTAAACCTCATCTCTACTAAAAAAATACAAAAATTAGCTGGGTGTGGTGGTGTATGCTTGTAATCCGAGCTACTTGGGGGGCTGAGGCAGGAGAATCACTTGAGCCCGGGAGGCGGAGGTTGCAGTGAGCCAAGATCACGCCACCGCACTCCAGCCTGGGCAACAGAGTGAGACTGTGTCTCAAAAAAAAAAAAAAAAAAAAAAAAAACCAGTGCTTACAAGAGGAAAATACATTCAGAAAATTTGCCCCCTCCCACTGCTTCTTTTTTTTTTTTTTTTTCCTGAGACAGAGTCTCGCTCTGTTACCCAGGCTGGAGTGCAATGGCGCAGGCTCGGCTCACTGCAACCTCCGCCTCTCGGGTTCAAGCAATTTTCCTGCCTCAGCCTCCTGAGCAGCTGCGATTACAAGTGTGTGCCATCACTCCCAGCTTATTTATGTATTTTTAGTAGAGACAGGGTTTCACCATGTTGGCCAGGCTGGTCTCGAACTCCTGACCTCAGGTGATCTGCCCACCTTGGGCTCCCACAGTGTTGGGATTAGAGGTGTGAGCCACCGTGCCCGGTCACTCCCACTGTTTTTTGAAGCACATAAAGAAGCTAAGCAAAAATTGTGAATTGTGAATTAGCTTTCCTATAACTCCTAATAAGTCTTTATAGATCAAGCCAAGAGAGCTTGGTAGGTAAGTCAGGCAGCTGCATCCATTTCTCGATTGACTTACATAACCCTTTAGGTGGGTTCTTCTTCAACAGAAGGGCAGTTAGAAGGGTGAGACTCCAAGCACACACTAACGATTTCTAGCTGCTGAGATTGGCATGCAATCTTATTACTCTTTGGACAAAGGAATAAGGGGAATTATGAGCACAGAAGTCAACAGATACTCAAGGAAACAGTTTAAAATTTATCTGTTGTGTGCCACAGAAAAACATAAGTATTATTTCTAGTAATTGAAAATCTTAGGTTGAAGGATATAAGACAAAATATCAGTAGATATAGAGTTATCCATACACAATAGATATTGAATTCTCATTTTTATAGATTTTTTCATTTATAAAGTTTCACACACACACACACACACACATACACCTTCCTTTGCAGAGTTAATGGTTCATGCAGGAAAGCCACTTCTGGCCTGAAGTGAGGGACAGCTTCAGATCTTTAAGGTGACATAGGTAGGATGTTCCCATGAACTTTCCATTCTCCAGGCTTTTTTTGTAAAAGTTTGGGTACCTTGATCTGACCTCTCTGCTTACCACATATCTTTCTAGCCAGTCAGTGTTCAGTAACTTTGGGACATATTTGATGTCGGGTCTTGAGATCCCTTGAAGTCTAACCCTGCAGTCCAGGTTATTGTACATGAAATTACACAGTCAATCATTAAACATTGAGAGTATAGGGTTAACACTTCCATTATGGCCCTCCCCAGACCACTGGACCAGATCCAGAATGCTTAGATGCCAAGCTCAACCCTGGACTTATTGAAGAATGACTTACTGAAGGAGGAGCAGAGTCTGAGGTGAGGCGGAGTGAACATAAATGGTGTTCCCAATTGTCTGGCCTTTTTGGGTTTCACAGATGCATATTGGTGCAAATTGTATGTATTTCTTTTCTTCTGTGGGTGGACGCTGTGAAAAAGAGTGGGTGGTACAAAGGGAAGTGAATATGGAGAATATAACCATTTTATGTTTCTGTTTAATCGCAGTTTTGAGAAGGATGCAGAAAGTCACCTGAAAGGGAGTTTTAGGTTAATTATGGATTTCAATTTTTTATGTCTAGTCATGTTCCCTGTTACCAGGAATAATCAAGAATCAGCTTGCCTCCAGGGGAATAGGCCTTGTGTCTTGGCGTCTGCTTCAGAGTGAGTGGTCACTCTGTCTATGTGGCCAAGTGGATGCCATTTAAAGGGGTACTGGCCTCACCATAATGAGTTCAGAAGTAAATAAATGTGGGATTGTAGAGTTACTTAACATATACTGCAATTTTCATTGCAAATAACTTTTTTATTATTGAGGTGAAATTTATAAAACAAAATGAGCCATTTTAAGGTGAACAATTCACTGGCATTAGTGCATTCACAATGTTGTGCAACCACTGCCTTTATCTAGTTCCAAAACATTTTTTTACTCCAAAATAAGATTTTGTACCTGTTAATGCTGTTGTTTTACTCCCTATTCCCTCCTTCCTCCAGCCCCTAGAAACCATCAATCTGCTTTCTGTTCACCTATTTTGGATATTTCTTATAAATGGAATCATAAACATGTGGCATTAGGCTTTTAAGGTTCACCCATGCTGCAGTATGTATCAGTATTTCACTCCTTTTTATGGCTGAATAATATTCCATTATATGGATATACCACATTTTCTTTGTTCATTCATCCATCAGTGGTCATTTGGGTTGTTTCAACTTTTAGCTATTGTGAATAATGCTGCCATGAGCATTCATGTTGGATAGCAAATAACTGTTGCTCTTCTCTTTTTTGAGCCCCTTCAAAAGATGCGGGTTGGAGGAGTTTTACCTGACTTCATTTTCAGTTCTTCTGGTGAACCTCTTCAATTTTATTCTTATCCCAAATTCCAGCTTGGTTCCTCACTGAGTGATAACTAAGTACCTGGTTACATGACCTGTTTTGTATGTCATAGTATGTTGTATGTATGTATATAATAGTATGTCCTGACCAATAAGTTTGGTATTGACCCTGGACATAGCCAAGAAGTGTTGGAAAGATGATTCCTGCACTGTGGCCAGTTATATGAATCCTAACTCAGGGAATTTCCATGATCATAAATGATTTGTTCAAAGCCTGGAAGATGTCAGCTCTCTGTGGTGGTATGCCAGATTCCCTGGCCCTCAATCCTCCTCTTCCCTTCAGCCTACCATGGATCTCTGCCTCATGTCCCACTTTATGTAAAACTATTAGATTGGTGCAAAAGTAATTGCAGTTTTTGCCTTTAAAAGCAAGGGCAAAAACCACAATTACTTTTGCACCACCTTAATAAAAGTTCATCTGTCTCTACTTCAGCCCTACAGGGCACTAAGTTCTGCTCCCCAGCATGAGTTCATCAGGTGTGTCCTGTCCTTGAGACCTAATGAGATCATAACCTAAGACTCTCCATCATCACACTTCTTCTTGGCACAATACTAACTTCTCTGATCTATACTAATCTTCCACTATTTCCATAAACATTACCCCCATTTGTGCAAAATGGGGATCTCAAATCTTACTATTTAGTGTTGTTATTGAATAAAATAAGAGAAGCAAAATAGCTAGCACAGTTTGTGGCACATGAAAGGTCCACACTAAATGTAATCTCCCTGCCTCTTACCTCTCACTGAAGCTCTCTGAATTCAGCCCTGTGTCTGGTCCTTTCTGACCAATTATTCTCTGCCTGTGTTCTTGATTTCAGCCCCATTCCCTTGCCCACAACTGGGATGACTCCAAGAATGCATTCTGACCTCTCCAGTTAGGGTGAGGTGCTCAGTGAGTACAACTGTGGAAGGAACAAAGGGCTTCTCAGGTATAACCAGCTTACTTGAGAGGTTAAAAGTGTAATAAAGTAAGCCAACTCTCGTGTTGAATGCCTTCTCATGATCATTTAGAAGTGAATTGATCTCCTGTGAGGACAGATTCACACACCATGGTAAATGAGCAAATGCTCCATAATATCTGGGACAAATCTTCCTTCCACAAAGGCAATCTGAGGAGAGCTCAGAAGAGATGATATTTCACTTAGCATCGTTTATCAAGTGTAGAAAATGATTTCAATAGTTGTGTTAAGGGTGGAAATGGGCCTTATAATCAATATAAGATGAGCTGCTTTCTGCCACTCTTTTGAATAACTGTAATCAAAACTGACAAAAAACAGGTTAGGCTTTTAATATCTCTCAATTATATGAGGAGGAACTGGGATGACTTGAACACTGCAATTAAGTCTCTGAGGCCAAAGGTCTGTGGTGAAAACAGGCATAATTTTACAGTCCTTTCTATTGGACAATGAACTCAGCATTTCATCCTCACAGTACCTAAGAGTGTCATAGCCTACATTTGCACCTGAACTAGTAATGGAATATGTGAAAATTTGCCTGGCACATAGCTATTGCTTAATCAACAGTAGCGAGCAGTATGTGTGTGTGTGTGTTTGGTGGGGGGAGTGAAGATTTCTCTCTCAAACATATGAGCAGAAACTCAATAAAGAATTAATTTTCATGGGAAATAGAAAAGGTTCCACCCAGCATACTTTGAAGAGCTATTATTATTCATTCATCTTTAGTGCACAAGAGAAAAAGAGCAAAGTGGGGCAGGTAAGGGGAGATAAGAGATCTGTTTAGGTTTACTGCCTTAAGTAAAACGTAAGTCTATTGCACAGTATTTCTATCAGGTTAGCCTTAACAGGCCTTTCATACATTGCCTTCACATAGCACTAAAGCTGGTTAGGAACAAAACTGTTCTCCAGGATTTCATGCACCTGAATCATTGCCTTTCCTACCACCCTCGTACTTAGTCTCTTTCAGAAATCTTACTCTTTGTCTCATCATTTTTCCCCACTTTGAGTTAGATGTGGATTCACATCCTGACTCTACCTATCCATGTGACCTGAGTGAACCCCAGTGTCATCAGCTGGAACATGGGAACAATACAATACCTACCTTCTAAAGTTAATGTGAGGATGAAATGAGATAATGCATGAACAAGAAGTGCATTACAAGGGGCTCCTTAAATGGTTCTTTCATTTCCTCTCTGGCTCTACCTACTTCTCTTCCTTTCTAGCATCGGTTAGGTCATCCTTCTGTAGAGACCGTGGGCAAAGAGACAAAGGCATCAGGCCTCCTGGATGCCTCCTCCATCCCAGCCTGGCTCCCTATTTGTCTAAGAGAAGGAAACCAAGCCAAGGCACAAAGGCACAGAAGCAAGCATTGGCTGGGCACCTGAAGTTGGTCATATAGAGGAGAAAAGATTTTCAGCTTCCCCTTAAGGCCTACCCTAATGTAGCGTTAACCTAAGCCTTTAAATGTACCTCCCATCATCCCCACCATGTACCTTGACAATTTTCTGACCCAGGAACAGATATCTACCCCATTCCACTCTACCTCTCTCTCTGGCCCCACACTGTGCTTTTGCTATTGTGATTTCCTCTGCATAGAGCTCTGTTTACTCACTTCTCCTTTGAAAGTGCACAACTTGGTGAAACACACCTTTCCTGAGAAGCCTGTCTGCCCATTTATCAACCCTTCTTACACTGCCACAAGTCAAGGAATGCCAAGGATTGCCAGCAACCACCAGAAACTAGAAGGAGCAAGGAAGAATTTTTCCATAGAGCATTCAGCAGGAGCATGGCCCTGCTAACACCTTGATTTTGGACTTCTAACTGCTGGAACTGTGAGAGAATAAATTTCTGTTGCTTTAGGCTACCCAGCTTATTATATTATATTTCATTACAGCAGATCCAGGAAACTAACACAACCAGGAAAAGCTGAAACTTATTGATTACTGGCTTAAACAGTCCTCTTCCTATTTCAAAGTCTATTCACCTTTTGGGATACCAGTTACAAACTTACCTATTTCTCTTACTCTGAGCCCCCAGTGGATTGGCAAGTCAGAAGTTATTGAAGGAAGGTAGAGCAAGATGGTTGGATAGGAGCTGCCACCAATTGTCCTCCCCACAGGAATACCAAATTGAACACATATCCACATAAAAAGCACCTTCATAAGAACCAAAATTCAGATGAGAGATTGCAGTACTTTCAAATTCATTTTACAATGTTAATATTTCCCTGATACCAAAACCAGACAAACACACTGAAAAAAAAAAGCAACCTATAGGTCAATATCCCTAATGAACATTAATGCAAAAACCCTCAACCAAATACTAGCAAACCAAATTCAAATATACATTAAAAAGATAATTCATCATGACCAAGTGGGATTTATTCCAGAAATACAAGGATGTTTCAACATATGCAAATTAATCAATGTGATATATATCCTATCATTAGAATGAAGGACAAAAATGATCATTTCAATTGATGCTGAAAAAACATTTGATAAAATTCAACATCCTTTCATAATAAAAACCCTCAGAAAACTAGGTATTCAAGGAACATACTACAACACAGTAAGAGCCATATATGACAGACCCACAGCTAATATCATGCTGAACGGGGAAAAACTTACAGCCTTTCCTTTAAGACCTGAAATATGACAAGGATGCTCATTTTCACCACCGTTATTCAACATAGTACTGGAAGTCCTAGCTGGAGTAATCAGACTAGAGAAAGAAATAAAGGTATCCAAATTGGAAAGGAAAAAGGCAAATTATCCTTCTTTGCAGGTGATAGGATCTCATATTTGGGAAAACCTAAAAACTCCACGCAAAAACTGTTAGAACTGATAAACAAATTCAGTAAGGTTGGAGGATACAAAATCAACATACATAAATCAGTAGCATGTCTATATGCCAACAGTAAACAATCTGAAAAAGAAATCAAGAAAGTAATCTTATTTATAGTAGCTACAAATAATATAAAATACCTAGGGATAAACTTAACAAAAGAAGTCAAAGATCTCTGCAATGAAAACTATAAAACACTGATGCAAGAAACTGAAGAAGACACAAAAAATGAAAAGATATTTGGTGTTCATGGCTTGGAAGAATCAGTATTGTTAAAATGTCCATGCAAGGGCTGGGCATGGTGGCTCATGCCTGTAATACCAGCATTTTGGGAGGCCTAGGTAGGAGGATCGCTTGAGGCCAAGAGTTTGAGGCCAGCCTGGCCAACATGCGAAAACTCTGTCTCTACTATAAAAAAGTACAAAATTAGCCAGGCATGGTGGCACATGCCTATAGTCTCCAGCTACTCAGGAGACTAAGCCATGAGAATTTCTTGAATCCCGAAGGCGGGGGTTGCAGTGAGCTGAGATTGCTGCTCCACTGCACTCCAGCCTGGGTGACAGAGCAAGACTCTGTTTAAATAAAATAAAAATAAAAATAAAATGTCCATACTACCCAAAGCAACCTACACATTCAGTATAACCTCTATCAAAATACTAATGACATTCTTCACAGGAATAGAAAAAAAAATCCTAAAATTGATATAGAACCACAAAAGACCCCAAATAGCCAAAGCTATCCTGAGCAAAAAGAATGAAACTGGAGGAATCACATTACCTGACTTCAAATTACACTACAGAGATATAGTAACCAAAGCAGCATGGTACAGGCATATAAACAGACATATAGGATGACTACAGTCAACAATAATTTATTGCACATTTAAAAATCACTAGAAGAATATTATTAGATTGTTTGTAACACAAAGAAAGGATAAATGCATAGGGTGATGGATACTCTACTTGCCCTGATATGATTATTATGCATTGTATGCCTATATCAAAATATCTTATACATTCCATAAATATATACACCTACTATGAACCCACAAAAATTAAAAGTTGAAAAATGAAAAAAAAAACCTTTCTCTTGTTTTTCTAAAACTCTAACTGGATACCCTGCATTTTTCTTTGCTAAATTTGGTAACCCTAATTGGGAAATATGTTGCAAAAGGCAAAGATGGGGAAATACACTATATTCATTTGAAGTATGCTGGGGGGGTAGACTATGAAAGTGAATGCAATTTTTTGACACTCTCCTGAGAGAACTGCCACAACTTTCATTACTAGTATTCACTTCTTCCACCATGGGATTGTCACTCATTAGAGACATGTAGTTGCTGTGCCCCTTAAGGAAGCCCCTTATGGCTGAAAGCAGGTGGTTCCAAAGCCTGTCCTACACTTGCTTCTCCCTCACATCTTATGAGCCAGACCACTAGATCCCACAGAAGAAAAGGATCAGGGAGGTAATTTTTCTACAGAAAAGCACTGGATTCGCATAAGTGATATATCAAGCTTCTAATGTCCTTTTTATCTTTTATTTGAATAATCATTTGTATAACTTTCCCATCTGTGTGTACATTTTAAACAAATGAAGCAGCTTCCTCTCACTAACATGTTTTCTCTTCCTTAAAATGACATCCTCTTCTAATTTACTCAACCCTAAAAACCCCCTCTTCAAATACATTTTCTCTGTTGGTTTCATGCATCTCAGAGAAAGGAAAAAAGGGTTCATTTTAGTAAATAAGCCCTGGCTTTAAAAATGCTCTTACCATTTCACACTCCAGAAAATAAGGAGATGAACACACACACACACACACACACAAACTAATTAGAATTAACTAAATTTTATAATATATTAAGTAATAAAATTACAATGCAAAACCATTGCAGCGTCCTTTTGATTGCTCTGAACTCCACCCCTCCCTGTCAAACAATAGAAAGGGGAAAGTGCTTTAAACTCTCACTAGGGTGGGGCTGCTGCCTGCCGCCTGCTCTCCGAACTGTCTTGCAGCTGGAGAAGAGCAGCCAAAGCTCCTGCAGACTTCATGTTGGAACTTCACACATTCATTCCAACAAAGAACACAGCACGTAGCAGGAGAACATACTGCGCTTATTCTTCTTAGTATAAGGGCAGATAACCTCTCTATTTTTATCTTTACCTTCATTGAAACAAAAACAAGTAAATGGAAGAGCAGACGCCTCTTCATAAAGCTAGTCATTGTCCTATTCCTCTGTTCTATTCACTCTCAAACGATTCCATTGGGGACCCCTGAGCTGTGAAGAAGGACAGGGCCCTGCCTCCACTTTTTCATCTTTCTCCTTAACTCGGGGAAGTCTGGCTTTTACTTCCAACCGCTCAACTGACACTGTCTTTCAAAGTTTACCAATATCTAGGGTGGCCAAATGGGGATGCTTCTGAGGGTGAAAAAAAGATGCTACTAATAATTATCCTGGGACAACAGGCGTAAATGCAAACAGTCTCATCAAGAACCTCCCATCTGTATCCAAACCTCTCTTCCCAGCATCTTTCTGGAGCTTCCACAGCATTTAACACGGTCCCCATCCCTGCTTTTTGGAATCTTTGTTTCCACTAATCTTTAACACTTCAACTGTCCTTCTTTACTCGAAGGCCAGCTCAGAGCTTCTTTGCTGGTTCCTATCTCCTCCATTGATTGAAAAAGTTCCCAGATTGATTGCTTGGTTCTCCTGTTTGTCTCTAGATTTCTCCTCACAGACCTGCATTCTCATGACTTCAGCTCTCCCTGCATCATGACTCCCAAGTCATTTCAAAGTGAAATTATTGTCCAGGTCGGTGGCTTATGCCTGTAATCCCAGAACTTTGGGAGGCTGAGGCCAGCAGATCACTTGAGCTCAGGAGTTTGAGACCAGCCTGGGCAGCATAGCCAGAACTTGTCTCTGGTAAAACAAACAAACAAAGAAATAAACAAAAACGAAATTATTAGGAACTCTAAGACAGCAACAGCAGATTATTAAATCCCAAACCTGGGCCTCCTTCTGATCACAGAGCCCTGCACCTGGCCACATGCCCATGTAACCGACTCTGCCATTAGTTAAATGACTAAATAAGTATATAGTACATTCTTTCAAAAAGCAGTAAAAGGAAATAAGAAAATGGCATAAAAGAGAGAGAAAGTAGGCCAGACATAGTGGCTCACACCTGTAATCCCAGCACTTTGGGAGGCCAAGGCAGGCAGATCACGAGGTCAGGAGTTCGAGACCAGCCTGGCCAACATAGTGAAACCCCATCTCTACTAAAAACACACACAAAAAAATTAGCCAAGTGTGGTGGCACATGCCTATAGTCCCAGCTATTCTGGAGGCTGAGGTGGGAGGATCGCTTGAACCCAGGAGGCAAAGGTTGCAGTGAGCCGAGATCGCGCCATTGCACTCCAGCCTGGGTGACAGAGTGAGACTCTGTCTCAAAAACAATAAAAATAAAAATAAAAAAATAAAAAGGGAGAAAGAGAAAGGAGTAGGGTGAAGCAAAGGGGTTTCAGGGTCTGGGATTACAGAGGGGAGGGGTCTTGAAAGGAAGAGTCCTTGAAAAGACTGGTTGGTGGGAAAAGGCCTAAGGCAGGCGCTCAGGTAAAGGGTCTAATCTCAGAGAAGAGCCACACTTCTTCACGAAGGCTAGAGAATGGAGACAATGAGCATAGAAGCAGCATGGTGAGAGCTACGAGACTTCATCATGGATAGCAGAGGGATATCAGCAGAAGCATTTGTTGTTTTTTGTTTTTTTTTGTTTTTGTTTTCGTTTTTTGAGACCAACTCTCACTCTGTTGCCCAGGCTGGAGTGCAGTGGTGTGATCTCAGCTCACTGCATCCTCTGCCTCCTGGGTTCAAGCGATTCTCCTGCCTCAGCCTCCTGAGTAGCTGGAACTATAGGCACGCACCACCACGCCCGGCTAATTTTTGTATTTTTAGTAGAGATAGGGTTTCACCATGTTGGCAGGCTGTTATTGAACTCCCAACCTCAAATGGTCCTCCCACTTTGGCCTCCCAAAGTGCTAGAATTATAGGCGCGAGCCACCACGCCAGGCCTGAAGTATTTAAGACACAATGAGATGTTGCTTCGTCTCTTTATCTAATTACTGTGGTGCACAATAAAGTGAATCAGACCTGTCAGTGTCTCCAGAAAGCTTACAGTTCCAGAAGAGACAAAACACCAATATGAAATTTAGGACAAAATATGATGAGTGAGTTGGAAAACCTCATTTAGTTAAACTAAGCTTCCTAGAAATATCTTCCTGCTAAATATTTGTTAACTTGGCTTAATACAGAAGGAAAACACAAAATAATATAAATAGCATGGTAGAAATGACATGGTACATTGCATTAGGCATTATAAGTAATCTAGAGATGAATTAAAGTATATAGGAGGATGTGCAAAGCTTATATGCAAATACTACACCATTTTATACCAGGGACTTGAACATCTGTGGATTTTGGTATCTGCAGATGATCCTGGAGCCAATCCCCAATGAATACTGAGGGACAACTCTGTATACACACATACAAATACATGCACATGTGCATATATACACATTTATACATACACACACACGCATGCACACTCACACATATAGACATGCACATATCATTTGAGTCAAATCTACATGAACCTTACCTAGAGTTTTCTGTTTATTCACAGAACTGCCTAGAGGCAATAGAATACCAAGTTAGAAATCAAGTTGAAGCAACATTTACTCAGCCGCTATTTACTAGGGAGTGCTGTCTGCCAGGAATTGTTCCAGGGGCTTACGATGTTGTGATGAACACAAAATCTCCTGCAGCCACAGGACTTACATCCCACTGGGGAGGCAGAGAGTGAACATTACATATAAATATCTAACATAAAATCAGATCATGGTGTGCGCAATGAAAGAAGATAGAGGAGGTGGGGGTGTAGAGAGACAGTGCGTGTGTAGGAGTGGGCTCACACTATTTTAATCAGGGATCAGTGAAGGCTTCCTGAGATGGTGGCATTTATGTAGGAAAAGGAATGAAAAGAGGGGTGAGTCACGTGAAGAGTGGGGAGAAGAGCACTCCAGGATGAGGAAATCACAAGGGGAAAGGCCATGGGCAGGGTGTGCTTGGAAGCTCAAGGGATGGCAAGGAGCCCAGTGTGACCTGAGCAGTGAGATGAGAGGGTATTGGGAAATTAGGTCAGAGGGGTAGCTCTGGCCAGGACACTGTGACATTTGCAAGTGAAAGTAAAGATTCTGGACTTTAAGAGATACTTATCTCAGTTTTGAAAAATGAGAAGAGTCATCCCCCAGATAAGGAGGAAGAAAAATTCTAGGCTGAGGAAACAGCATGTGCTATGGTACGAAGGAGTGGCTGGCTTTGCGTCTTCCGTTGAGTTTCTGAGAGTTGATATCAGTGGAATCAAGGCTAAGAGGTGGTGAGCCTGTGCGTAGTTCGAGGCCAGGCTAAAATGTGCCCAATGCACAACTCACCATCAGACCAGCCCCGCTGGGTTCTCCTGGGTGGGAGGTGAGCCCAGTGTGCCAGCAGGTTGTGGGAGGAGAGGTCAGTTCAGAGACACACTATCATTGACAGAGAGAAGAGTTAGTCCAGACCCATGCTTTCTTCTGCAGCCATTATATTCTCTTTCCTGGGCTCAGAAGCAGAAGGCTCAGGAAGCTACTGCTCCTGAAGATGGGATCAATTACACGCAAAAGTGGACGCCTGTGCTCCTGGATTGGGAAGGTTGAAGGAAGAGAAGGAGGCTCATGAACAAATGGGCAGTTTGCACAAGGAAGTAGGGACAAAAGAGTGAAATCGCCACAAAGCGTGAAGCTCCTTGCCGTGAGCAAGGCTGGGACACATGGGACAGAGTCTCTGACAAATGCTCCCTTCTCTCTGAGAAGGGCCTGTTCCTGCAGGCCCAATTCAATCTTATCTCTGTTAAGTATCTGATCACTGCTTACCCATCAGCACACCGTGAAACAAAACAGGCCAGGCATCTCAGAGTGACCTCCTAAGCATGGAACAGGGAATTCTATGTTCTGAACTAATATGGCCCTTGGCAAAATTGTGCAACAGTTGAGGCTGCTGTTTACTAACTCCCACATCCACTTGCAGCCCAGGACTTTGCTTTGGTCCCAGCAAGGGTGTTAGCTGATGAGGCTGGATGTGTTACGCCATAACACAGCATGTTGGAAGGGGCCTTCATATAGAACGTTTGAAAGTTTCTGCTTCAGGGACCTTGTTTCTAAAGGGCTGAGGTGTGGCATGAGACAGGAAGAGATCTGCCTTACTCCTGAGAGAGGCGACTGGAACACTGCCTCTGTTCTCTTTATCTACAGAGAAAGAAAGTGATTTTGGAAGATTGGTCTGACTGAAAGAAGTTTCTGGAGTGATGAGAAAGGGGTGTGATTGGATAGTGCTTGCCTTACACTGTGAGAATTATGTGTTCCTTCATTCTTTGACCAAAATTTATTGAGTGCCTCCTATAGGCTGGGCATTGTTCAAGGTGCCATGGTTATAGCAGTAAACATATTTCTGTTGTTTCATATTTCAAATATTTTAAAGAGTAAGAACAGAATCAAAAGACGTTGGGAAAAATCCTTCCCCTCCCCTGGTGTACCTTAATAATGAGTCACCACAGAACATTCTACAGCAAGCTTGTCCAACCCCCAGCCTGCAGGCTGCATGCAGCCCAGGACAGCTTTGAATGTAGCCCAACAAATTCATAAACTTTCTTAAAACATTATGAAATTTTTTTTGCAAAATATTTTTTTTTAGCTCATCAGCTATCATTAGTGTTATATTTTATGTATGGCCTAAGACAATGCTTCCAGTGTGGCCCAGGGAAGCCAAAAGATTGGACACCCCTGATCTAGAGCAATAGAAGGGTCTGGTAGCTGGCTAGATTATTTGGGGAATTCAGGAGATGTCAATCATTTTTTTTAAAAAAAGCTTATGTTTAATGTTTTAAAAACTTATTTTTAATTTTTAATTTTTGTGGGTACATAGTAGGTGTATATATTTATGTGGTACACAGAATATTTTGATACAGGTATATAATGTGTAATGACCACATCAGGGTGTATGAGGTATCCATTACCCCACGCATTTATCCTTTCTTTGCATTATAAACAATCCAATTATACTCTTTTAGTTATTTTTAAATGTGCAATAAATTACTGTTGACTGTAGTCATCCTGTTGTGCTATCACATACTAGATCTTACTCATTCGATCTAACTATATTTTTGTACCCATTAACCATCCCTATTTCCACCACTGCCCCTCCATTCCCAGCCTCTGGTAACCAGCCTTCTACTCTATCTCTGTGAGTTCAATTGTTTTAATTTTTAGTTCCCACAAATAAGCAAGAACATGTGAAGTTTGTCTTTCTGTGCTTGGTTTATTCTTAACATAATGTCTTCCAGTTCCACCCATGTTGTTGCAAATGACTGGATCTCATTCTTTTTTATGGCTGATAAGTACTCCATTGTGTACAAGTACCACATTTTCTTTATCCATTCATCTGTTGATGGACACTTAGGTTGTTTCAAGTCTTAGCTATTGTGAATAGTGCTGCAACAAACATGGGAGTGCAGATATCTCTTGGACATAGTGATTTTCTTTCTTTTGAGTATATATCTAGCCATGGAGTTACTGGATTATCTGGTAGCTCTATTTTTAGATTTTTTTTTGAGGAACCTCCAAACTCTTCTCCATAGTGGTTGTACTAACTTACATTTCCACCAACAGTGCATGAAGGTGGCCTTTTTTCCACGTGTTCTCCAGCATTCATTATTGTCTGTCTTTTGAATAAAAGTCATTCTTACTGGGGTGAGCTAATATCTCATTGTAGTTTTCATTTGCATTGCTCTGATGACCAATGATGTTGAGCACCTTTTCATATGCCTGTTTGCCATTTGTATGTCTTCTTTTGAAAAATGTCTATTCAGATCTTTTTCCCATTTTTAAATTGGATTATTAGATTTTTTTTCCCTATTGAGTTGTTTGAGTTCATTATAAGACTGGTTATTAATCCCTGGTCAGATGGATAGTTTGCAAATATTTTCACCCATTCTGTGGGTTGTCTCTTCACTTTGTTGATTGTTTCCTTTGCTGTGCAGAAGGTTTTAAACTTGATGTGATCCCAATGGTCCATTTTTGCTTTGATTGCCTGTGCTTGTGGGGTATTACTCAAGAAATCTTTGCCCAGATTAATGTCCTGGAGAGTTTCCCCAATGTTTTCTTGTAGTAGTTTCATAGTTTGAGGTCTTAGGTTTAAGTCATTAATTCATTTTGATTTGATTTTTGTATGTAGTAAGAGATAGGGATCTAGTTTCATTCTTCTGCATATGGATATCCAGTTTTCCTAGCAGCATTTATTGAAGAGACTGTCCTTTGAGCAAACTGTGTTCCTGTGACTTTTGTCAAAAATGAGTTTACTCTAGGTGTATGGATTTGTTTCTGGGTTCTCCACTCTGTTTCATTGGTCTGTTGGTCTGTTTTTATGCCAGTACCATGCGTTTTGGTTACTATATCTCTGTACTATAATTTGAAGTCAGGTAATGTGAGTCCTCTAGCTTTGTTCTTTTTGCTCAGGATAGCTTTGGCTATTCTGGGTCTTTTGGGGTTCCATGTCAATTTTAGGATTTTTTTTCTATTTCTGTGAAGAATATCATTGGTATTTTGATAGGGATTGCATTGAATCTGTAGATTGCATTGGCTAGGATGGACATTTTAACGTTGATTTTTCCAGTTTTTTATGTCCTCTTCAATTTCTTGAATCAATGTTTTATAGTTTCCATTGTAGAGATCTTTTAGTTCTTTGGTTAAGTTTATTCCTACCTATTTTATATTATTTGTAGCTACTGTAAATAAGATTATTTTCGTGATTTCCCTTTCAGAATGTTTGCTGTTGACATGTAGAAATACTACTGATTGGCTGGGCTCAGTGGCTCACCCTGTAATCCCAGAACTTTGGGAGGCCAAGGTGGGAGGGTCATTTGAGACCAAGCGTTCGAGATCAGCCTGGCTAACATGGCAAAACCCTGTCTCTACAAAAAATACAAAAATTAGCCAGGCGTGGTTGTGCACACCTGTAATCCTAACTACTCAGGAGGCTGGCACATGAGAATAGCTTGAACCCATGAGGTGGAGGTTGCAGTAAGCTGAGATCACACCACTGCACTCCAGCCTGGGTGACAGAGTGAGACTCCTTTTCAAAAAAAAAAATCTACTGATTTATGCATGTTGATTTTGTATCCTGCAACTTCACTGAATTTGTTTACCAATTCTAATATACTTTTTATGGAATCTTTAGTTTTTTTGAAATATAAGATCATATCGTCTGCAAACAAGGATAATTTGACTTCTTCCTTTCCAATTTGGATGACCTTTTATTTCATTCTTTTGTTTGATTGCTTTAGCTAGGACTTCCAGTACTATGTTGAATAACAGTGGTGAAAGTAAGCATCCTTATCTTGTTCCAGATCTCAGAGGAAAGGCATTCAGTTTTTTTGTGTTTAGTATGATAATAATTGTGGGTCTGTCATATATAGCTTTTACTGTGTTGTGGTATGTTCCATGAACACCCAGTTTTTTAGTGATTTTTTTTTTAATCATGAAGGGATGTTGAATTTTATCAAATGCTTTTTTAGTATCAGTTGAAATGATCATGTGGTTTTTGTCCTTCATTCTATTGGTATGATGTATCACATTGATTGATTTGTGCATGTTGAGCCATCCTTGCATCTCTGGGATAAATCCCACTTGGCCATGATAAATGATGTTTTTAATCTGTTGTTGAATTTGGTTTGCTAGTATTTGGTTGAGGATTTTTGCATTAATGTTCATCAGGGAAATTGGACTTTAGTTTGATTTTTTGTGTGTCTTTGGTTTTAGTATCAGGGTAATACTGGCCTCATAGAATGAGTTAGGAAGTTTTCCCTTCTCTCCTATTTTTTGGAGTAGTTTCAGTAGGATTGACATTAGTTGTTCTTTAAATATTTGGTACAACTCAGCAGTGAAGCCATCAGGTCCTGGGCTTTTCTTTACTGGAGATTTTTCTTGTTTCAGTTTTGATCTCATTACTTTTTATTGGTCTGTGCAGGTTTTGGATTTCTTCATTGTTCAATCTTGGTAGGTTTTTTATGTCTAGGAATTTATCCATTTCTTCTAGATTTTCCAATGTACTGGCTTATAGTTGTTCCTAATAGCCTCTGATAATCTTTTGAAGTTCTACAGTATCAGTTATAATGTATCCTTTTTCATCTTCAGTATTATTTATTTGGGTATTCTCTCTTTCTTTCTTAGTATGGCTAAAGCTTTGTCTATTTTGTTTATCTTTTCAAAAACCCAACTTTTCATTTCATTGATTTTTGTATTGTTTTCTTTGTTTAAATTTCATTTATTTCTGCTCTGATCTTTATTATTTCTTTTCTTCTACTGATTTTGGGTTTGGTTTACTCTGGCTTTCATAGTTCTTTAAGATGCATTGTTAGTTTGTTTATGTGAAGTTCTTCTACTTTTTTTGATATAGATGCTTATAGCTGTACACTTTCCTCTTAGTACTGCTTTCACTGTATCCCATAGGTTCTGTTAGGTTGTGTTTCCATGTTCATTTGTTTCAAGAAATTTTTAAATTTCCTTCTTCATTTCTTCATTGACTCACTGATCATTCAGGAGCACATTGTTTAATTTTCATGGTTTTTTTTTGTAGTTTCCAAATTTCTCTTGTTATTGATTTCTAGTTTTATTTCACTGTGGTCAGAGATGATATTTGATATAATTTCATTTTTTTGAATCTTTAAAGACTTCTTTTGTGGCCTATCATAAGGTCTATTCTTGAGAATGATCCATGGGCTGAAGAGAAGAATGCATATTCTGCAGCTATTGCATAAAATGTTCTGTAAATATCTATTAGGTTCATTTGGTCTGTAGCGCAGGTTAAGTCCAATGTTTCTTTGTCAATTTTCTGTCTGGATGATGTGTCCAATGCTGAAAGTAGGGTGTTGAAGTGTCCTGGTATCATTGTATTGGGGTCTATGTCTCTCTTTAGCTTTAATATTTGCTTTGTATATCTGGGTGCTCCAGTGTGGGTGCACACATATTTACAACATATATTTGCAGCTCATTATATAACGTTAAAAGGTTCAAGTCAGCAAGAGGATATAAACATAGACCCCAATACAATGATAAGGGGACATTTCATATTTATAAGTGTATATCATATCTTCATATTTATAATTATAATATAGATATATATTTATATTATATTTACATATAAATATATCCTGTTCATATGTTTATATCCTCTTGCTGACTTGAGCCCTTTATCATTATATAATGACATTCTTTGCCTCTTTTTATAGTTTTGTCTTGAATTCTATTTTATCTGATATAGGTATAGCTATTTCTGCTCTTTTGTTGGTTTCCATCTGAATGAAATATCTGTTTCCATTCCTCAATTTTCAGTTTCTGTGTGTCTTTATAGGTAAAGTGTGTTTCTTGTAGGCCACAGATCATTGGCTCTTGTTTTTGTTGTTGTTGTTGTTTGTTTGTTTTAAATCCATTCAGCCACTCTGTGATTGGAGAGTTTAGTCCATTTACATTAAATGGTATTATTGATCAGTAAGGACTTGCTCTTGCCATTTTGCTATTTGTTTTCCGGTTGTTTTGTGGTCTTCTCTTCCTTCTTTCCTTCCTTCCTGTCTTCCTTTCCAGTCAAGGTGACCTTCTCTGTTGGTATGTTTTAATTTCTTGCTATTTATTTTTTGTGTATCTGTTGTATGATTTTTGATTTGAGGTTACCGTGAGACTTGCAAATAATATAATCCATTATTTTAAACCGGTAACAACTTAGCACTGATTGTGTAAACAAAATAACAAGCAAGCAAAGAAAACTAATACACAAGCAAAGAGAAACAAGCAGAGAAACAAACGAGCAAAGAGAAAACTAACGAATGCTCTACATTTTAACTGCATCCCCCCGCTTTTTAACTTTCTGTTGATTTATGTCTTATTATACTCTCTGTGTCTCAAATAGTTGTTGTAGTCACTATTTTTTATTGGTTCATCTTTTAGTCTTTCTACTCAAGATCTGAGGAGTTTACACACCACAGCTACAGTGTTACAATATTCTGTGTTTTTCTGTGTGCTTACTATTACCAGTGAGTTTTGTACCTTCAAATGATTTCTTGTTGCTCATTAATTTTATATTCTTTCAAATTGAATAACTCTCTTTAGCATTTTTTGTAGGACAGGTCTGGAGTTAATGAAATCCCTCAGCTTTTGTTTGTCTAAGAAAGTCTTTCTTTCTCCTTCGTGTTTGAAGGATACTGTCACTGGATATACTAGTCCAGGATAAAATTTCTTTTTCTTCAGCACTTGAAATACATCACGCTACTCTCTCCTGGCCTGTAAGGTTTCTGCTGAGAAGTCTGCTGTCAGATATATTAGAGCTTTATTGTAGGTTATTTGTTTCTTTTCTCTTGTTGCTTGCAGATCCTTTCTTTATCCTCAACCTTTGGGAGATTGACTATTAAATGTCTTGAGGCAGTCTAATTTGTTTTAATTCTGCTTGCTATTCTATAACATTCTTGTACCTGAATAGGGATATCTTTCTCTAGGTTTGGGAAGTTCTCTGTTATTATTCCCTTTGAATAAACTTTCTACCCCTATCTCTCTCTCTACTTCTTCTTTAAGGCCAATCACGGTTAGATTTGCCCTTTTCAGATTATTTTCTAGATCATGTAGATGTGCTTCATTCTTTTTTATTCATTTTCTTTTGTCTCCTCTGACTGTGTATTTTCAAATAGCCTATCTTCAAGCTCACTAATTCTTTCTTCTGCTTGATCAATTCTGCTGTTATCACCCTGATTCATTCTTTGGTATGTCAATCGCACTTTTCAACTCTAGAATTTTTGCTTGTTTCTTTTTTAAATATTTCACTCCTTTTGTTACATTTACGCGATAGGATTCTAAATCCCTTCTCTGTGTTATCTTGAGTTTCAGTGAGTTTCTTCAAAACAGCTATTTTGAGTTCTCTATCTGAAAGGTCACATATCCCTATCTCTCTATGATTGGTCCCTGGTGCCTTATTTTGTTTGTTTGGTGAAATTATGTTTTTCTGGATGGTCTTGATGCTTGTTGATATTCATCAGTGTCTGGTCATTGAAGAGTTAGGTATTTACCATAGTCTTCACAGTCTGGGCTTGTTTGTACTTGTCCTTTTTAGGAAAGAGTTTCAGGTATTTGAAGGGACTTGGTGTTGTTATCTAAGTTTTTGATCATTGCACCAGTATCTGCATTTGTGGGCCCCCCAAGCTCAGCAACGGTGTGTCTCTTGTAGACTCACAGAGGCACCACCTAGGTGGTCTTGGATAAGATCCATAAGAATCCCCTGGATTATGAGGCAGATAAATTTTTGTTCTCTTCCTTTACTTTCTCCCCAACGAACAGCATCTCTCTCTCTCTCTCTCATTCTCTGCAAAGCTGCCTGTTCTGGGGGGAGGCCTGACACAAACACCTCTGAGGCCACCATCACTGGCACTGCTCTGTGTTAGACTTAGAACTAGCACAGCAATGGGTCTTGCGGAAGGTCCGCAGTAACCACTGTCTGGCTACCGCCTATGTTTGCTCAAAGGCCCAAGGGCTCTACAATCAGCAGATGATTAAGCCAGTCAGGCTTGTGTCTTTCTGTTCAGGGTTATGAGTTCCCCAGTCCTGGGTGGGTCCATAGATGCTGTTTGGGAGCCAGGAACTGGAGTTAGAAGCCATAGAAATCTAACTGGTACTCTCTTCCACTGCAGCTGAGCTGGCACCCAAGCAGGAAAACAAAGTTCTTCTCACTCTTCTCTCCCTTTTCCACAACCAGAGCAGTCTCCCTCCATGGCCACTACCACCCCAGGCTTGTGGCGAGTACTGCCTGGCTACCACCGATGTTCACTCAAGGCCCAAGGAGTCCTCAGTCAGTTTGTCGTGAGTGCTTCCAGGCCTGGGACTCTCTTTTCAGGGAAGTGGGCTTTCCTCTGCCCCAGGGCAGGTCTAGAAATGTCATCCAAGAGCCAAGGCCTGGAATCAGGGACACCAAAAGTCCACTTGATCCTCTACCCCACTGTAGCTGATGTGGTACCTAGGCTGCAAGACAAAATCCCCTTTACTTTTATCTCTCCTTTTCTCAAGCAGAAGCAGTCCCTCATAATCACCACACCTGGGAATGTGCCAAGTCTCATCTGAAGTAAGCGCAGCTCTGAGTCTCACCCAACGCTCATGGTGAGTACTGCCTGGGTACTGTTGCTGACTATTCAGCACCCAAGGGCTCTTTGTTCAGCAGGTGATAAATCTTGCCAGGACTAGCTGCTTCCCTTCAAGGCAATAGGATCCCTTCTTGCCCAAGCTGTATCTAGAAATGTCTGGGTACTAGGGCCTGGAATGGGAGCCTCAGGACTCTGCCTAGTACTCTATACTGCTGTGGTTGAGTTGGTATGCAAGTTGCAAGACAAAGTCCTATTTAGTCTTCCTTCTCTTCTTAAGCAGAAGGAAGGAGTCTCTTCTGAAGCTGTGAGCTGCTCTGCCCGGGGTTCAGAGAGGGGCAGCTCAAGCACTCCCTTGGATACCCTGGCTGGTGTCTCACTACGTTACATGCTCCGCAAATCCACTGGCTCTGAGCCTATCATAGCACCTTGACTTGCCCAGGAATTGCAGTTCTTGTGGCCTAGGCTGTTTTTCAGGTTTATTTAGAACCCCAGAGCATTTTAACTCACAGCATCAAGGCTTGCTGGAACTCAGGTTTCGACTGCTAGGATGGCTGATTCTCCTCTGGCTAAGGCTAGTCTAGATGCTCCCTCCATGGGCACTGGCTGAGTTCTGCCTGGTGTTGCTTTCTGCTGTGACAGGGCAGCACTGGGTGCCTCTTTCAGTTATACGAAGTTCAACCCAGGTACTGTAATCTCTCACCTAAATTTTGGTTCTTATGAAGGTGTTTTTATGTGGATATGTGTTCAATTTGGTGTCCCTGTGGAGAGGACAATTGGTGGCAGCTTCTATCCAGCCATCTTGCTCTACCTCCCTTCAATCATTTCTGAGTGACCAATCAACTGGGGGCTCAGAATAGGAGAAATAGGTAAGTCTGTAATTAGTATCCCAAACGGTGAATAGACTTTAAATAGGAAGAGGACTGTTTAAGTCAGTAATCAATAAGTTTCAGCTTTTCCTGATTGTGTTAGTTTCCTGGATTGGCTGTAATGAAGTATAATATAATAAGCTGGGCAATTTAAAACAACAGAAATTTATTCTCTCACAGTGCCAGCAGCTAGAAGTCCAAAATCAAGGTGTCAGCAGGGCCATGCTCCCTCTGAAGGCTCTATGGAAAAATTATTTCTTGCTTCTTCTAGTTTCTGGTGGTTGCTGGCAATCCTTGGCGTTCCTGGATTTGCAGCAGTGTAACTCCAATCTCTGCCTCCATCTTCACACGGCCTTTGTCCCTGTGTGTCTGTGTGTCTCCAAATATCTCTTTTTATAAGGACATTGATCAGTGGATTTAGGGCCCACCATGATCCAATAAGACCTCATCTTGACTTGATTACATCTGCAAAAGCCTTTTTCCAAATAAGGTCAAGTTCACAGGTACTGGGGGTTAGGACTTCAACATGTCTTTTGTGGGGATACAATTCAACCAACAACACTGATTGACATTAATGGTGTGCCAAGAGGATTGGTGAAGGTGGCAGCAAGGAGACACACTGTCTGTGGAAAATTTAAAAGCAATAATAAAACCAACTGAAAAATCAGTCTTTGTTATTAACACCATGCTCCCAGAATTCTAAACAATATTGACAGTCAAATACTCCTATCAGGGCCCTCCCACCTGGCCTGTACAGGGATGTTTGTGTTTGTACACCATTTACATGAGTTTTCTAGAGCTGCCATAACAAAGCACCACAGATTGGGTGGCTTAAACAATAGAAATTTATTTGCTCACAATTCTGGAGACAAGGAACCCTAGATCAAAGTGTCAGCTGGATTGGTTTCTCCCAAGGCCTCTCTCCTTGGCTTGTAGATGGCCATCTTCTCCCTGTGGTTTCACATAATCTTTCTTCTCTGTGAGTCTGTGTTCAAATTTCTTATTCTTATAAAGACACCAATCATGTTGTATTAGGGCCCACTCTGATGGCCTCATTTTTAACTTAGTTACCACTTTAAATTCCTTATCTCCAAAGAAAGTCACATTCTGAGATACTGGGAGTTAAGAGAGTTCAAAAATGAATTTTGAGGGAGACACAGTTCAGTCCATAACATTCTTGAACCCATCTATAAAGTATTTTAGGTATGATTACAGTAGAAACAAAAATCCTACATTTTCCAGAAAATACATTCTCCTATTCACTAGCATTCTGTTACCATACATATTACTGCAGCATTCACAAATGGGTTCCTAGGAAACACAGTTTCATGGGATGTTTTTAAAAGACACTGCTTGATAAAAGTGGTCCATGGTCAAATAAGTTTGGGAAACAAAAAAAAAAGAGCAGGTTTTCTCAAACTTGGCTTACCTGGTAACACCTTTTAGAAAGGTGCTCTGTAGAACAAAGTTGAAAGAAGCTGGCTTATGGCAAATTTTAAGACTATAAAAATTGTAGTGGTATTGTTAGGAGCACATATATATATAAAATTGCCCTTAATGGCGTGAACCCGGGAGGTGGAGCTTGCAGTGAGCCGAGATCGCGCCACTGCACTCCAGCCTGGGCAACAGAGCGAGACTCCATCTCAAACAAACAAACAAACAAACAAACAAAAAATAATGCCATTAGTCACTGAAAAGTTATAATAATACTCTTGTATATGTATTTTACTACCACAGAGCAACAAAAAGCTAGTAACTAAAAACTTGGTAATGTTATTATTTTTTATTTTTAATTTATTTTTATATATTTTTTCCTCAATCTCACATCATTGACATGTAGTAATATTTTAAGGCTATCTTTTATGACTGGAGTCTAGAACACAAACAAACATAAATTTGAGAATTGAAGAAGAGTTAATTGATGTTAACCCTAATGTCCATTAGTTGAGAGCCATTGGCTAACAGATCTGGCATGAGATTGAAAGTAAAGACAGCATCTTCCATGGAGGCCTTGCAGTGTTCCTAGATCCACTTTACGTAAAAGAATGAAAATGACAGAAAAGTATAAAGAAACAATTAAAACCATCCAAAATCTGACCAGCTAAAGGAAATCACTGTGCATATTTCAAATTGCTTCCATTCTTTTTAGTATGCTTACTTGTATTTGTTGCATAGTTGTTATTTTATTGCATATCAGGCTCCATGATCTGTGTCATGTACTAAAACCACATGATGATTATTTTATCATGTCATTAAAAATTATTCATAAATACCTTTTCTAGCAGTTGCAAATGCTACATACCATTCATTCCAAAACATAACATTTATAACTGTTTCTGTATCAGTAGACTTACTTTGGGTTGTCTAATTTTTTAAAATTATAAGTAGCACTATGAAGAGATATTGTTATACTGATATACATGAATATATATATATAATATGCACTTTGCATTTCTGATCATCTTCTTATGATAGATTCCTAGAAATAGACTATCTCAGTAAAAATATGAATATTTTAAAGCTCTTAGGTTAGTGTTATCGAAGTGTGGGAAAGTGCCCATTTTGCTTTATCTCTGCCAGTGTTGTGTATTATACTCTTAAAAAAACCCGACTCTACCAATTTTGTTAGCAAAAATTAATTCCATTTCCCGTTTCATTTCCTTGATTACAAGTAGGTTTGTTTATTTTTCTATTCATTCATTAGCTTTCCCTTTTTCTTTTCTTTTCTTTTTTTTTTTTTCAGATGAATTCTTTCTCTGTCGCCCAGGCTGGAGTGCAGTGGTGCAATCTCAGCTCGCTGCAACCTCCGCTTCCCAAGTTCAAGCAATTCTCCTGCCTCAGCCTCCCAAGTAGCTGGGATTACAGACACGTGCCACCACATCCAGCTGATTTTTGTATTTTTAGTAGAGGCGGGGTTTCACTATGTTGGCCAGGATGCTCTCAATCTCATGACCTCAGGTGATCCACCCGCCTTGGCCTCCCAAAGTGCTGGGATTACTGGCGTGAGCCACCATGCCCGGCCTAGCCTTCCCTTTTTTCTTAATTTTTATTTTTAAAATTTTAATTGTGGTTAAAATACATATAGCATAAAATTTACCAGTTAACCATTTTTTAAGTGTACAGTTCTGTAGTTAAGTAAATCCATGTTCAACCAATCTCCAGAACCCATTTCATCTTGCAAATTGAAACTATACATTCATTAAACAACAATATCCCATTCCCTCTCCTTATAGTTCCCAGCAATCATGATTTACCTTCTGTCTCTGAATTTGACTACTCTAAACACCCCATATGATTAGAAAAATACAATACTTGTCCTTTTGTGACTGGTTTATTGAACTTAGCATGTCCTCAAGGTCCATTTATGTTGTAGCATGTGTCAGAATTTCCTTTTTTTAAAGGCTAAATATTTTATTGCATGTATATACCAACCACATTTTCCCACCTTTGGTTTTGTTAAATCTTTATTTGTTTTTATTTTGTTAACCTTTATTTTCAGTCCAGGGGTACACGTGCAGGTTTGTTACTTAGGTAAATTGTGTGTCACAGGGGTTTGGTGTACAGAGTATTTTGCCACCTAGGTAATAAGCATAGTACCTGATAGGCAGGTAGCTTCTCAATCCTCACCCTCCTCCCACCCTTCACCCTCAAGTAGGTGCTGGTGTCTGTTGTTTACTTCTTTATGTCCTTGTGTACTCAATGCTTAGCTTCCACTTATAAGTGAGAAGATGTGGTGTTTGGTTTTCTGTTTCTGCACTAGTTTGCTCAGGATAATGGCCCCCAACTCCATCCCTGTTGCTGCAGAGGACATGATCTTGTTCTTTTCCATGGCTGTGTGGTATTCCATAATGTATATGTACCATATTTTCTTCATCCAACCTACCATTGATGGGCATTTAGGTTGGTTCCATGTCTTTGCTATTGTAAATAGTGCTGCAATGAACATACACACGCACGTGTCTTTATCCTAGAATGATTTTTATTCCTTTGTGTATATACCCAATAATGGGATTGCTGGGTTGAATGGTAGTTCTAAATTCTTTGAGAATCACCAAGCTGCCTTCCACAAGGCTGAACTAATTTACTTTCCCATCAGCAGTGTGTAAGAATTCCCTTTTCTCCACAACCTTGGCAGCATCTGTTGTTTTTTGACTTTTTAATGACAGCCATTCTGACTGGTGTGAAATGTATATGTCACATTTCGTTTAAGTCTGCATTAAATCTGTAGATCACTTTCAGTAGTACTCAATCATAACGGTATTAAGTTTTCCAATCCATTAACACAAGACGGCTTTTCAAGCTTTCCCTTTTTTGTGAATTTTTTTTCATATCCTTTGCCTTTTCTAGGCAGTCTTAATATCTTTAATTGTCAATGTTTACCAACTCTTTATATATTAAGGACATTCACCTTTTGTTATATTGTGTCACATATTTTCCCCAGCTAGCTATTCAGCTTTCCATTTTAATTTTTTTTGGGGGTGGGTGGGGGCGGGTCGAATCTCACTCTGTGGCCCGGGCTGGAGTGCAGTGGCATGATCTCGGCTCACTGTGACCTCCACCTCCTGGGTTCAAGTGATTCTCTGCCTCAGCCTCCTGAGTAGCTGGGATTACAGGCACTCGCCACCACATCCAGCTAATTTTTGTATTTTTAGTAGAGACGGGGTTTCACCACGTTGGCCAGGCTGGTCTTGAACTCCTGACCTCAAGTGATCCTCCTGCTTCGACCTCTCAAAGTGCTGGGATTACAGGCATGAGCCATCGTGCCCGGCTTAGCTTTCCATTTTCTTGATGATGTTTTGCTATGAGTTTTATATCAACTTAAAGTTTACAGTAGTCTTTTGAATTTTTTTTAAGGATAATTTTTTAAAACTGCACTCAGCTAGAAAAATAGCTAGCATTTATTGAGTGCTTACTATTCTATAAGCACTATCTTAAATGCTTGACTTGTACTAGTTCTTTTATCCTCACAACTCTGTAAGTGCTATTATTACCATCCCTACTTTGCATACGAAGAAACTAAGGCATAAGCAGGTTAGGTAACTTCCCCAAGGTCACATAGTTAAAGTCAAGCAATCAGATGCCAGAGACCTTGTTCCTTGAGCTCTATGTTCTACTGCCTCCTGTCCTTATTTGTGCCTTTTTCTCTCTATTCATGATCAATCATTTTATATGTTTATCAGGGAAAATGACTAAGAAGCAGGGAGTCTTTTTTTACTATACTTTAAGTTCTGGGGTACATGTGCAGAACGTGCAGGTTTGTTACATAGGTATACACGTGCCATGGTAGTTTGCTGCACCCATCAACCCATCACCTACATTAGGTATTTCTCCTAATACTATCCCTCCCCTGGTCCGCCCAACCCCTGACAGGCCCCAGTGTGTGATGTTCCCCTCCCTGTGTCCATGTATTCTCATTGTTCAGCTCCCACTTATGAGTGAGAACATGTGGTGTTTGGTTTTCTGTTCTTGTGTTAGTTTGCTGAGAATGATGGTTTCCAGCTTTATCCATGTCCCTGCAAAGGACATGAACTCATCCTTTTTATGGTTGCATAGTATTCCATGGTGTATATGTGCCACATTTTCTTTATCCAGTCTATCGTTGATGGGCATTTGGGTTTGTTCCATGTCTTTGCTATTGTGAATAGTGCCGCAATAAACATGTGTGCATGTGTCTTTATAGTAGAATGATTTATAATCCTTGGGGTATATACCCAGTAATGGGATCGCTGGGTCAAATGGTATTTCTCGTTCTAGATCCTTGAGGAATCGCCACACTGTCTTCCACATGGTTGAACTAATTTACACCCCCACCAACAGTGTAAAAGCAGTCCTATTTCTCCATATCCTCTCCAGCATCTGTGGTGTCCTGACTTTAATGATCACCATTCTAACTGGCGTGAGATGGTATCTCATTGTGGTTTTGATTTGCATTTCTCTAATGACCAGTGATGATGAGCTTTTTTTCATATGTTCGTTGGCTGCATAAATGTCTTCTTTTGAGAAGTGTCTGTTCATATCCTTTGCACACTTTTTGATGGGGTTTTTTTCTTGTAAATTTGTTTCAGTTCTTTGTAGATTCTAGATACTAGCCCTTTGTCAAGTGAGTAGGTTGCAAAAATTTTCTCCCATTCTGTAGGTTGCCTGTTCACTGTGATGATAGTTTCTTTTGCTGTGCAGAAGCTCTTTAGTTTAATTAGATCTCATTTATCAATTTTGGCTTTTGTTGCCGTTGCTTTTGGTGTTTTAGTCATGAAGTCTTTGCCCATGCCTATGTCCTGAATGGTATTGCCTAGGTTTTCTTCCAGGGTTTTTATGGTTTTAGGTCTTACATTTAAGTCTTTAATCTATCTTGAATTAATTTTTGTATAAAGTGTAAGGAAGGGGTCCAGTTTCAGTTTTAAGAAGCAGGGAGTCTTTGCAAGCTCAAGGTAGGATCTTTGTCAAACAGGAAATATGGTATTATGCAGCAGTGAAACGAGGTCAGTTCTGAGTCCTCAGTCTAGGTTACAGGAACAAAGTTAAGAGTTTGTTCTTATGAGGAATAGAACTGAGTATGTCTCTAGGTCAAGAAAAACACTGTGGCAAAAATGAGAACATTGAGCAACTAATTCAAAATTTCATATGGAACAGTTTCAATAACCATCGGGTAAATGACTTCTTATGGTGAGTGTGCTCAGAAGTGCTCACTAATACTGGTTGATTGAGAGTGATATTTACAATACCAAACAGTCATGTCATTAATAGTATAACAACTTTTTCTTACCAGGGGCTTTTTTGAGCCAGTAAAGGAGAGGATCTTCCCTAGGATTTTTGTTTGTTTTTAAGACTAGCAATGTGCTAACTGCATCCCTTCTACATCCATGAAAGAGAATGCACCCTAGGCTCTCTAGACCAAACTCAGGCATGCTTTACTTGTGGCGTGCATTCAAAAGGAGGAGAACATGGTGAAAATGTCTTGAACATCATTCTAGTAACCATAGTGATACCAAAGCAAACCTGGATCCTTATCTCATATCTTGTTTATTTTTCAGAAAGAATTTATTTACACATAGACCTTTAATTTTGAAAAAGATGCCCCTCTTTGTTATTTGATTGTGTAAGTGATGTTTTGTTGGCCTTGCTTCACAGCAAGTCTCTGTAATACCTCGGTATGTTGCCAGTGGCTGTCTCTGTCCTCACAAACAAATGTTCCATACTTGTCTGACCTGGGCAGCCAGGCTATGGGGTCCAAGGAAGGATAGAACACCTGGAAAGTGACAGCAATGTTTTTGGGGTCAGAACTCTCAAAGTGGAAAAGTTATTCAAGATCCAGCTGCAGAATGAATGAGCACGTTCTCTGCTTTTAAAAAAAAGTTTTATTTTTTAAAAAGAAGTAATAAAGCTGGGCATGGTGGTGCTCTCCTGTAGTCCCAGTTGCTCAGGAGGCTGAGATGGGAGGATTGCTTAAGCCCAGGAGTTTGAGACTAGCCTAAGCAATACAGTGAGACTCCATCTCTAAAAAAACAAAACAAAACAAAAAACAAAAACAAAAAAAGAAAGAAAGAAAAGAAAAAGGAGTAATAAAGAGAGATATTGGTGCCTCACTGCTCTAAAGGGCTTTGAGGAAACAGTTCTAGGCTCTCCACAGAATTTGGAAATGCATCCTGGGGGGGTGGACTGTGAAAAACATCTGAGACATAAGCTCTATGTGACACTTGGTGGGTACTCATGAACATTCAGGGTTCTTGAGGGCCTGAACTGCTTGTTTTGGTAGCCTTGCATTTTCAGGGCAACAATCCCTGGCATCGAGTGGACCCTCAAGAAATATTTGTTAGCTGCCAGATGCAACTTTCCGCTGTATTGTCAACACTTTTTCAAAACACGTCACTGAGGATTTCAGTAACTTCCCAGCAGCTACAAGGAATCTTGGGAACCTTTTCTCTAGGCAGAGCAGGCTATTTAATACCCCATTTGTAATAGGGTGATTTAAAGATACTTTGAAAGCCAATCTAAGAAAAGACATTTCTCCGATGGTGCCTGAAGTTCGATGCATAGAGGTTTTTCTTTCTGTTACCCTCACTAAGTTCTTTGAAAATGCCTACAGAAGGGGTGTTCATATCAGGCCCTTGTGCTTCACGAGAATAAGTTGATCGGGTAAAAATTTTCTCCATAAGAGAGACCACTATTGGGAGGGGGCAGCTGCCCAGTTAGGAGGGTTAGACTTGTCCTGCACCAATATTGTCAAGCAAGTGGGCTCAAGGGTCCCTCTGGACTCTCCTACTTAACCTTCACTATTGGCTTAAATATAGGAGTGACCATCCCCTCTCCAGAAACTGGCCTCAGTCCTGTAGCTTATTTCTTGGGATCAGTGACCCACCTCCACTTTCCACCACCTCCAGAGGCTCGAGAGAACCTGTCCCTGTCTAAACAGCCATTATTAAATGTGACTGTATTTTTTTCTCTATAGGAATGATGTATTTTCTATTTAAAAAAAAAAAAAAAAAACTCCCACAATCTTTGTGTGACTTGCATTTGAGAGCGGCCAAAGGACCTACTTGCAAAGCAGTGCAGAGGCTGACATTTACTGATAATCTGCCATGCACGAGGCACCCGGCCAGAGGGACGCTTCCTGTTCAAAATGACTGTTAGGCAGATGCTATCATTTCCATGTTACTGAGAACAAAGTTGAATCTCTGAGAGAGAAAAAAAGGAACATTCACAGGGTCACAAAGGTGGGTTGAATTCCAGAGACCCTGTTCTCTCTACAGCAAGGAAAATTACCCATACCCAGGAGAGCAGGGAAATGTCATAAATTCTTTGTATGCCCTCACTGCACTTTGCACAGGGCTTGGAGTCTTTGATGGAGAATGCATGTAACATAACCCACTGAAATTAAGCTTAAACAAAAATGATACTTTGCTGGGAGGGATCCTGGTCACCCCCTAAAATCCGAGGAAAGTTGAACAACCAGGCCTCAGTACCAAGAGTTCTTGGGTTTTATATCTGTCTAATGCTACACCCGCAACTGGACTAAATAACCTGCATCTCTGTCTCTTAGTCAGAGTTCTCAAGAGAGAGACCCTAATTGGCTCCTGGTCAGCCAATGAACTTCCTCCTCCTGAGTCAGGTGTTCACTTCTAGTCCAATCAGCTATGACCAAGAGTCAAGCAAAAGCAAAACTTCCGGGGGCTAATTCTGAAGTCTGCCCAATGGTGTCTACTGTACCCAGATATAATTCAATACATGTTTATTGTCTGGTGTTTTTTGTGTTCATTCGTTGCAACCAAGTTCTTTAAGAACCTTGGATACATCGTCCTTCATTTAATCATCAGGCGGGGGTTGATAGGCCATAGTGATCAAGAAAAATATGTGAAATTTCTATATGCCAGTTATCGCTGTGTTAAAAACCTTCAGAGCAAATTAAGAAAGGAGAAATAAACTATTTGTTCTCAAAAGCTTGGTTTCAAGGGGACCGAGGAAATGGGAAAAGCATCTGTGGACAAGGCTATTGTGCTTGCTGCTGGAAGACTACCAAGGCCAGTTACTAAACGGGTGGGCAGCAACAAGTAGTTGCTTTGTTTTTTTTTCCCCCATAGGAAGTTGTTGTCTCTGTTTTGCAAGTTTGTCAAATTTCTTTTGTTTCTGGGGTCAATAACCTAGATACTTGAGACTCTTTTTTTCCCCTTCCGAGGGTCCTAATTTTGCATTTTACGTAACACCAATCTTGACCAAAAGCTGATTTATTAAGGAGGTTTCTTCTGGGTTAGTTGTTGGTGCTGGAGGCTGCGTGTACATGACTTAGTCTTCTACTGCCACCATGAGGGAGATGCTGGAATTGCAAGGCTCTTTTAGTTATCAAATGTAAATTTTCATAAATGAAAGTGAGCACGTTTAAAATTATCTCTATCTATTTATCTATCTATCTGTCTGTCTATCATGTTCATATATATATAAAATGGAACAATCCACCTCCTAAAACATATCCTCTGAAAGGCTTAAAGAGATATATAGTATTGCCAAGTGTGTCTGAGTTAGGTAGGCGAGGGTTTGAGACCTGCCTCTGCCTACCACTACAACCGCCCTTACACTAGACATTTAAGTCTTCTAAGCCACAGGTGTAAAAATGGTCTGATAGTACCCATTTCACAGGGCTTGGTATTGAAAAAATGACATAGCCTGTGTCAGTCTCTAGCATTTGGTAAGTACTCAATAAATGATTACCATTGCTATCACCTGAAATTGACCACGGCTGAAAGTATTAGAAAAGCTTTCTGCAGGGAGAAAGAGGGGTGAGGGTGGAGGGTACCAGTAACCCCGTGAAAACAAACACCAGTGCACAACTGGAGTGGATGCTCAATAAACATATGAAAGGTTCAGGGGAAAGGGGTAAAGTCACCAGGGATGGCTCTAACAGCCAAAAGAGGGATGGAAAACACTCTTTTAAGCTGACCATTTTAGAGTCAAAGAACCAAAAATATAGAATGTTCGTGTGGTAAGGATTCTAGATATGTACTCCAGCTTTTTTTTTTTTTCAAGTGGGGCAACCGAGTGATTGAATCACTCTTCAAGTTAAAATGTTAATCAGCAGTAAAGTGGGACTAGAACCCAAGACTTTTGTTTTCTTTTCTTTTCTTTTTTTTTTTTTTTTGAGACAGGATCTAACTCTATTGCCCGGGCTGGAGTGCGATGGCACATTTGTAGCTCACTGTAACCTTGAAGCCCTGGGTTCAAACAATCCTTCCGCCTCAGCCTCCTGAGTAGCTGGGACTACACTCACACACCACTGTGCCCAGCTAATTTTTATTTTTTTGGGCAGAGACAGGAATCTCACTATATTGCCCAAGCTGGTCTGAAACTTCTGGCTTCAAGTGATCCTCCCGCCTTGGTCTCCTAAGGTGCTGGGATTACAGGCATGAGCCACTGTGCCCACCCCCTCAAGACTTTTGACAAATAATCCAGAGCTCTTTATATATAAGCACCAAAATATCAGTCAAGATTAGCCAAATCAGGATTGTCTTGGATTGAAAAAAAAAATGGGCAAGTTGCTTAACCTGATTATGCTTTAGTTTCATTACTGGCAAAATGGCAATCATAATATCCTACTGCAGGGGTTCTAGTAAAGACTGAGATGCCACATGGAAAGCATTTAGATTTGTGCAATAAATGTCCACTGGTATGATTATATGAGTACAGACTTCATCTGGTACAATTACACCGTCTCCTGAATGTGATCAACAAAACTTTGCCATCTCTAAAACCACTGGCTTCCTAACCCTGCCTCCATGATAAACTCTTTAATGGTGGGAACATTTGTACCTCTTTATACGTTCTCGTGCCTGTATAATTACCTTTTTAAAATTAAACTTTTAATTTTGAGGTAATTCTAGGTTTATATACAGTTATAAGAAATAATACAGAATGATCCCATGTACTCTTCACCCAATTTTTTTCCAGTGGAAACAGTTTGAAGAACTGTAGTACAGTATCACAACCAAGATATTGGCATTGACAAGATCGACCCATCTTATTCAGTTTCTCCTGTTTTACTTGTATGCATTTGTGTGTGTGTGTGTGTATTTAGTTCTATACAATTTTATCACCATTGTAGGTTCATGTTTCCACTTGACAGTCAAGACACCAAACAGTTCTATCTTTCATGAGGATCCCTTGAACTGGCCTTTTATAACCACACCAACCTCTCTCCTGTATCCCCCTGCCCCATCCTGAAACTCTAGCAACCAATTTGTATTGGGCTTTTTTTTTTCTTGATTATAATTCACTGGAGACTCATCCAGATTGCTGCCGATATCACTAGTTTATTCCCTTTTGTTGCTGAGTAGTATTCGATGAGATAGGTGAGTAGTATTAGATGAGATAGATGTACTGCAATTTGCTCAGCCATTCACTTCTTGAAGGACATCTGGGTTGTTTCCTGTGTTGGGCTAGTAGGAATAAAGCTGTTGTGAACATTTGTATACAGCTTTTGTGTAAATATAAGCTTTCATTTCTCTGGGATAAATGCCTAAGAGTGCAACTGCTGGGTCGAATGGTAATCACACATTTAGTTTTATAAGAAATTGCCTAACTGTTTCTTAGAGTGGCTGTACTATTTTATATCCCCACCAGCAACACACGAGTAATCAGGTGTCCTGTGTCCTTCCCAGCATTTGGTATTATCACTAGTTTTTTATTTTAACTCTTTAAATAGGCAAGTAGTAATACTCATTGTGGTTTTAATTTGCATTTCCCTAGTGGCTAATGATGTCAAACATCTTTTCACGTGCTTATTTGCCATCTGCCTCACCTCTTTGGTGAAATAGTTCTTTTATGACTTTTGCCCGTTTTATGATTAGATTGTTTGCTTTTCTCTGTTGAGTTTTGAGAGTTCTTCCCATATTTTAGATATAAAGCCTTGACATATTTTACTTTTAAAGTACACATCAACACTGGATTGTGAGCAGCATAACATACGTGGTACATAGTTGGAAGTAAAGCTCTCCTCAGCAAATGTAAAAGAACAGAAATTATAACAAACTGTCTCTCAGACCACAGTGCAATCAAACTAGAACTCAGGATTCAGAAACTCACTCAAAACCGCTCAACTACATGGAAACTGAACAACCTGCTCCTGAATGACTACTGGGTACATAACGAAATGAAGGCAGAAATAAAGATGTTCTTTGAAACCAATGAGAACAAAGACACAACATACCAGAATCTCTGGGACACATTCCAAGCAGTGTGTAGAGGGAAATTTATAGCACTAAATGCCCACAAAAGAAAGCAGGAAAGATCTAAAATTCACACCCTAACATCACAATTAAAAGAACTAGAGAAGCAAAAGCAAACACATTCAAAAGCTAGCAGAAGGCAAGAAATAACTAAGATCAGAGCAGAACTGAAGTAAATAGAGACATAAAAAACCCTTCAAAAAATCAGTGAATCCAGGAGCTGGTTTTTTTGAAAAGATCAACAAAATTGATAGACCGCTAGCAAAACTAATAAAGAAGAAAAGAGAGAAGAATCAAATAGACGCAATAAAAAATGACAAAGGGGCTATGACCACCGATCCCACAGAAATACAAACTACCATCAGAGGATACTATAAACACCTCTATGCAAATAAACTAGAAAATCTAGAAGAAATGGATAAATTCCTTGACACATACACCCTCCCAAGACTAAACCAGGAAGAAGTTGAATCTCTGAATAGACCAATAACAGGCTCTGAAATTGAGGCAATAATTAATAGCTTACCAACCAAAAAAAGTCCAGGACCAGATGGATTCACAGCCAAATTCTACCAGAGGTACAAGGAGGAACTGGTACCATTCCTTCTGAAACTATTCCAATCAATAGAAAAAGAGGGAATCCTCCCTAACTCATTTTATGAGGCCAGCATCATCCTGATACCAAAGGCTGGCAGAGACACAACAAACAAAGAGAATTTTAGATCAATATCCTTGATGAACATTGATGCAAAAATCCTCAATAAAATACTGGCAAACCGAATCCAGCAGCACATCAAAAAGCTTATCCAGCATGATCAAGTGGGCTTCATCCCTGGGATGCAAGGCTGGTTCAATATATGCAAATCAATAAATGTAATCCAGCATATAAACAGAACCAAAGACAAAAACCACATGATTATCTCAATAGATGCAGAAAAGGCCTTTGACAAAATTCAACAACGCTTCATGCTAAAAACTCTCAATAAATCAGGTATTGATGGGACGTATCTCAAAATAATAAGAGCTACCTATGACAAACCCACAGCCAATATCATAGTGAATGGACAAAAACTGGAAGCATTCCCTTTGAAAACTGGCACAAGACAGGGATGCCCTCTCTCACCACTCCTATGCAACATAGTGTTGGAAGCTCTGGCAGGGGTAATCAGGCAGGAGAAGGAAATAAAGGGCATTCAATTAGGAAAAGAGGAAGTCAAATTGTCCTTGTTTGCGGATGACATGATTGTATATCTAGAAAACCCCATCGTTTCAGCCCAAAATCTCCTTAAGTTGATAAGCAACTTCAGCAAAGTCTCAGGATACAAAATCAATGTGCAAGAATCACAAGCATTCTTATACACCAATAACAGACAAACAGCCAAATCATGAGTGAATTCCCATTCACAATTGCTTCAAAGAGAATAAAATACCTAGGAATCCAACTTACAAGGGATGTGAAGGACCTCTTCAAGGAGAACTACAAACCACTGCTCAATGAAATAAAAGAGGATACAAACAAATGGAAGAACATTCCATGCTCATGGGTAGGAAGAATCAATATCGTGAAAATGGCCATACTGCCCAAGGTAATTTACAGTTTCAATGCCATCCCCATCAAGCTACCAATGACTTTCTTCACGGAATTAGAAAAAACTACTTTAAAGTTCATATGGAACCAAAAAAGAGCCCACATTTCTAAGTCAATCCTAAGCCAAAAGAACAAAGCTGGAGGCATCATGCTACCTGACTTCAAACTATACTACAAGGCTACAGTAACCAAAACAGCATGGTACGGGTACCAAAACAGAGATATAGACCAATGGAACAGAACAGAGCCCTCAGAAATAATGCCACATATCTACAACTATCTGATCTTTGACAAACGTGACAACAACAAGAAATGGGGAAAGAATTCCCTATTTAATAAATGGTGCTGGGAAAACTGGCTAGCCACATGTAGAAAGCTGAAACTGGATCCCTTCCTTACACCTTATACAAAAATTAATTCAAGATGGATTAAAGACTTACATGTTAGACCTAAAACCATAAAAACCCTAGAAGAAAACCTAGGCAATACCATTCAGGACATAGGCATGGGCAAGGACTTCATGACCAAAACACCAAAAGTAATGGCAACAAAAGACAAAATTGACAAATGGGATCTAATTAAACTAAAGAGCTTCTGCACAGCAAAAGAAACTACCATCAGAGTGAACAGGCAACCTACAGAATGGGAGAAAATTTTTGCAACCTACTCACTTGACAAAGGGCTAATATCCAGAATCTACAATGAACTCAAACAAATTTACAAGAAAAAAAACAAACAACCCCATCAAAAAGTGGGCGAAGGATATGAACAGATACTTCTCAAAAGAAGACATTTATGCAGCCAAAAAACACATGAAAAAATGCTCATCATCACTGGCCATTAGAGAAATGCAAATCAAAACCGCAATGAGATACCATCTCACACCAGTTAGAATGGCAGTCATTAAAAAGTCAGGAAACAACAGGTGCTGGAGAGGATGTGGAGAAATAGGAAGACTTTTACACTGTTGGTGGGACTGTAAACTAGTTCAACCATGTGGAAGTCAGTGTGGCGATTCCTCAGGGATCTAGAAGTAGAAATACCATTTGACCCAGCCATCCCATTACTGGGTATACACCCAAAGGATTATAAACCGTGCTGCTATAAAGACACATGCACATGTATGTTTATTGCAGCACTATTCACAATAGCAAACACTTGGAATCAACCCAAATGTCCAACAATGATAGACTGGATTAAGAAAATGTGGCACATATACACCATGGAATACTATGCAGCCATAAAAAATGATGAGTTCATGTCCTTTGTAGGGACATGGATGAAGCTGGAAATCATCATTCTCAGCAAACTATCCCAAGGACAAAAAACCAAACACCGCATGTTCTCACTTATAGGTGGGAATTGAACAATGAGAACACATGGACACAGGAAGGGGAATATCACACACTGGGGCCTGTTGTGGGGTGAGGGGACGGGGGAGGGATAGCATTAGGAGATATACCTAATGCTAAATGACGAGGTAATGGGTGCAACACACCAACATGGCACATGTATACATATGTAACAAACCTGCACGTTGTGCACATGTACCCTAAAACTTAAAGTATAATAATAATAAAATTAAAAAAAAATGTGGTAGTAAAATATATGACAACAGTAGCGCAGAGAATGGGAGGTGGTGGGTGAACGTGTACTCCTCTATGGTGTTTCCTTGTATATGAACTGATTTAGTGTTAGTCTATGCTTAATTGTAGTAAGTTAGAGATGAATATTATAATCATTTAAAAATATGCAAAGAGATACCTTATTTATTTATTTATTTATTATACTTTAAGTTCTGGAATACATGTGCAGAACGTGCAGGTTTGTTACATAGGTATACACGTGCCATGGTGGTTTGCTGCACCCATCAACCCATCACCTACATTAGGTATTTCTCCTAATGCTATCCCTCCCCTAGCCCACCCACCCCCTGACAGGCCCCAGTGTGTGATGTTCCCCTCCCTGTGTCCATGTATTCTCACTGTTCAACTCCCATTTATGAGTGAGAACATGTGGTGTTTCGTTTTCTGTTCTTGTGTTAGTTTGCTGAGAATGGTGGTTTCCAGCTTCATCCATGTCCCTGCAAAGGACATGAACTCATCCTTTTTTATGGCTGCATAGTATTCCATGGTGTATATGTGCCACATTTTCTTTATCCAGTCTACCACTGATGGGCATTTGGGTTGGTTCCAAGTCTTTGCTATTGTGAATAGTGCTGCAATAAACATACGTGTGCATGAGTCTTTATAGTAGAATGATTTACGATCCTTTGGGTATATATCTAGTAATGGGATCACTGCGTCAAATGGTATTTCTGGTTCTAGATCCTTGAGGAATCACCACACTGTGTTCCACAATGGTTGAACTAATTTGCACTCCCACCAACAGTGTAAAAGCATTCCTATTTCTCCACATCCTCTCCAGCATCTGTTGTTTCCTGACTTTTTAATGATCACCATTTTAACTGGTGTGAGATGCTATCTCATTTTGGTTTTGACTTGCATTTCTGTATTGACCAGTAATGATGAGCTTTTTCCCCATGTTTTTTGGCCCCATAAATGTCTTCTTTTGAGAAGTGTCTCTTCATATCCTTTGCACAGTTTTTGATGGGGTTGTTTGGAGAAATCATTTTTAAATACAAGATATTATTAATAGAGGACATAAAATAGGATACCAAAAGATGACAGGAAAAGTGCATTAAAGGAAAGAGAACATTAGAAACAAATAGGAAACTAACAAGATGGTAGACTTAAACTCAACCATATCAATTATTACAGTAAATGTTAATGAACTAAGCACTTCCATTAAAAAGGATAAAAAAAGAAAGACCCAACTAGAAGCTGTTTAAAGGGAAACACTTTAATTCTAAAATCATAGCTAGTTTGCAAGTAAAAAGATAGAAAATATTTATTATGTAAGCACTAATTGTAAGAAAGTTGACATGGAGTATTAATATCAGACAAAGTAAAGTTCAAAACAAGAGTATTCCTAGAGATTAAAAAGGGATACTTTATTATGATAGAAGGATCAATTCATCAAGAAGACATACAATTCCTAAGTGTGAAGATACCTAACAGAGCTTCATAGTGTATGAGGCAAAAACTGACAAAACTATAGAGAAACAGACAAATCCACAATCAAATTTTGGGATTTTAACATTCCACTCTCAGTAATTGAAAAAAAAGTAGGCAAAGAAAAGCAGCAAGGATACAGATGATTTGAAGAACATTATCAAAAATTCAACTACTAAAGAAAACTACACACTATACACACCAATTATATATTATTCTGAAGTGTACATGGAATATTCATCAAGAAAGACTGTACCCTGGGCTATTAAAAGGTCAAACATTCAACACATTGAAATAACAGAATATTCTATGATCAAAATGAAACTATACTAGACATCAATAATAAAAAAGACATCTAGAAAATTCCCAAAGGTTTTGAAATGAAGCCACATTCTACTAAGTAACCCATGGCCAAAGAAGAAATCACAAGGGATAGTAGAAAACACGTACGAAGAACAACAATGAAAGTACAATATAACCGAACGACCAAGATGCAGCTAAAACAGTAATAAATGTGAAATCCACAGTTTTAGCTACTTATTTTGGAGCACAAGCATATTTCTATTTTAAAATGAGAATGGAAAAATATATTTCGATGTGGAATTTCGTTTTATAGCAAATGCGCTCTGAATGTCTCTGTGAATTGAGGAATATTTGTACACCAAATGAAATAAAAAGGCACCTACTGAAAAGATCGCTAGAGGGCACTATTATCAAACTTCCAGAGGAAACAGTTTTTAGTGTGGATAACTTAAGAAATGTTGTTAGCTCTAAAACTGACTCAAGATGGCATTGAGATTTTATTCCTCTGTTTTATAGATGAGACAATTGAGGTCCAAAGAAAGGAAATGACTTGCTTAATATCATACAAACACTAGTTGTAGAGTCAGAACTAGAACCCCAGTCTCCTGACTCATTAGAGAATCACATCATGATTCTGCACAAACTCAGACAGACCCAGACTTTCCTATACACTTGTGGCAAATGAGAGGCTCTTTTCCACTGGGGTTGCCCAGCTACTGTAATGCATGCCTGGCGTTGCTGGAGCTGCTGGATAGGGCTGGGCACTGGGGGAGTGTGCTCTATGGAGAAAGCCTGCCTGAGAGTGAAACCGTTATAGTGGAAGGTGTAAGCCAGGAATCGGGAGACGGGACTTGAGAGCATTTGAGCCAATAACCTGTGCCTGAAGCTAGTGCCACCTCTTGGACGTTTCTGTGATATTAGCTGGTAGGTTTTCTTTTTTTCTAAAGCTGGTGGGTGTGGGGGTTTTCTGTCACTTGCATCCAAAATTTCTGAATATGCCAAGCGTCTCTACTTTGCAGAAAGACCAATAGTATTCAAAACACATGGCTTTATTTTGGACAAAGCCAAAAAAGGTTCTGGGAAACTCACCAGGACTGTTTGAGAGGTGATAAAAACATATGAAGAGCTTCTCATGTTTCATTTTCTAGAAATTTTAGATCCTAAGTCATCAGTATGATTGTTTTTCTCTGCTGACTTCATTGCATTCTTGGAAGGCTAAATTATTTCAAAGGAGACTATTAAGAAAATGTGTGTTATATACTGGTAGAAAGTAGATGCAGGTTGTGTCGTCTTTAATATAATAGTGTTGTCACACTCTCCAGGGGCAGAGTAGGGAGCAAACATGGCTTGCCTGAACAGTTTATGTCCTTTGCTTTTATGTACATTGCCTTATTTCCACCACATAGCAAATCGGCGAAGTGTTCTCATGTCTATTTCACAGATGATATATAGACAAAGTCTAAAGTCACCCAGCTAGTATGTATAAATATTAAGATTGGAACTCAGTTCTATACTTTTGCTTTTATGCTAGAAGTACTTGTATCCTGTCCCAACACAATGCTGATAAACTTCCTAGGAACTTCAGAATGAATCACTTTTGATTGAGATGTTGGCTTTTAAACTGCTTTCATTTGCCATGATGAAAGTGTAATGTATTAAAAGGGCATAAAAATGCAGTTTTTCAACACATTCGCCACGCTATGATACAGTTTGGCTGTGTCTTCACCCAAATCTCATCTTGAATTGTAGCTCCCATAATTCCCACGTATTGTGGGTGGGACCTGGTGGGAGATAATTGAATCATGGGGGGCGGTTTCCCCCATACTGTTCTCATGTTAGTAAGTCTCACGAGATCTAATGATTTTATAAGGGGTTTCCCCTTTGGCTTGATTCTCATTCTCTTCGCCTGCTGCCATGAATGACGTGCCTTTTGCCTTCTGCCATGATTGTGAAGTCTCCCCAGCTGCGTGGAACTGTGAGTCCATTAAACCCCTTTTTCTTTATAAATTACCCAGTCTCAGGTATGTCTTTATCAGCAGTGTGAAAACGGACTAATACACTAGTTTTTGCTCAGAAAAGTTTCTTTTCTCCTTCCTCCTTTCTGAACCAGTTTAACCCACATTTTGCTTCTGTTTGAGGCATAACAAACCCAAAATGTGTAAACTGCCCTCATCTTAAGTGTACAGCCAGTCATTTTTAAACATCTTGATATCCATGAATCGTCACCCAGATTGAGATATAAAACATGTCTAGCAACCTAGAAGTTTGTCTCTTTGGTACTTGTTCATTTCCATCCAGAGGTAACAGGCTGGAGTCCAGTGGCATGATCACAGCTCACTGCAGCCTCGATTTCCTGGGCTCAAGTGATCCTCCCACCTCAGTCTCCTGAGTAGCTAGGACTGCAGGTGCACACCACCACATCCAGCTAATTTTGTTTTGTAAACATGGGGGTCTCATTATGTTGCCCAGGCTGCACCCAGCTCACGGTTCTCTTTAATGCATCTTCCATACTTAGATTTGTAATGTTTCATTTTATAGAATATTGAGAATGAAAAGGGGCTTGCTTTAGGGATTATCTAGCTTATCTCAGCCTCTGCTTACCAGGAAAGCACAATAGTGAGGAATATATGTTTCCCAGCCAAGGTTGCCCACCAAGGCCTCTTCACTTACAGTAGTCCTTTCCCATTCCCTTCTGTTATGGACTGAATGTCTCCCCCAGATCCCTGTGTTGAAGCCTAACCCCTAGTATGAGGGTATTTGGAGTTGGGGCCATTGGGAGGTAATTAGGTCATAGGGTGGAACCCTCATGAATGGGATTAGTGTCCTTAGATAAGGAGAGATACAAGAGAAATGATCTCTCCAACACATGGGACGCAGCAAGACAACCATCTGCAAACCATGAAGAGCGCTCACCAGGAGCTGAATCCGCCAGTGCCTTGCTCTTGCACTTCCAGCCTCCCTAACAGTAACAAATGTCAGTTGTGTAAGTCACTCAGTCTGTGGTAGTTATAGCAGCCTGAACTGAAACATCTTCTTACACTTCCATAAGTATCACTTGGCATGTACTTCCAGAATTGTTTATAGGAAATGTTAAATATTTATACGAAAGCATAATGGAGAGAAGACAGCAGCTGATAGAACTCAGTGGCTTATCTTCAGGGAAAGCAGGGGAGGCTTAACCCAAACAAAAAGCTCATTAGCAGGGCCTCTGAAAATCATGCAACTGAGCAGCTTATTTACAGTTCTGAGAAGGACCCCCTCATCTAGCCAAGCTCTGAAAGGCCCTGGCACCACAGGTCCCCCTCCCCCTGGCCTCTTTCCCCCATGTCAAGCACTACAATGGCTTGAAGGACACTTATTTCCACATTTTCTCTTCACGAGACTTCAGGTCCCCAAGAAACCTTCCAACTCCTCAGAATATGGCCTAACCCACAACACATCCTGGATTTCTACGTCTCCTAATTTTTGTTTTGGGTGGTGATTTGGAAGGAGACATCCAAGGCAATGGATTTTCCCTCAATTTCTGAACTGAAGGCTCACAGACAGCCTCAGAGATGAGCTGAGCAGCAGAGGCATCCTGGGACCAGGAGGAAACCTCTTATTCACACAGGGGACTAGATGAGCAGAAAACTAGTCTTTAGGTTAGCAGCAGGTTAAGTAACAATCAGTTGTATCCCAAGTTAGGATCTGAAGGTCTGGGCTTGGCCACAGGTATTTCTACCAAGGAGAAAGCACTTTTTGCTTGTTTTAAGATTTACAGTTCTGTTCCTAAAATCCCAAATTCTTAGCTGTGTTCAGATGGTAAAGCTCATGAGAGCTGTGAGGCTTACATTCTCTGTCCTGGAGAAAGAAGACCACTATCTGGTCTTTAATAAGAGAAAATGTAGACATATCACATTAGACTTAAAAGCAAGTGTTATTTGAGACTTGATATTGATGTGTCCATAACTCAGGTAGAGAAAGTCCTTATTATTCATGGGGCCAGCAAATCCACAGCATCAGCATCACCTGGGAGCTTGTTAAGAAATGTGGGCCCCACCCCAGACTTACCAAGCCAGAATGACACCCCAAAGAGATTTGTATGTAGACTACAGTTTGATAAGCACTGCCCTAGGAACATTCAAATAAAGAAATTAGAGCTCTGAGAAAAGTGTGTTTCTCAGATGAACATTATTTCACGAACTCTGTGTGTGTGTGGGTGAATACTGATCCAAAGACAGGAGTCGAAAACAGCTCTCTGCAGGACTTGCTGACTCACAGTCTAAGTATCTCCTGCTTAGAAAAGTATCTCCTGCTTAGACTGCAGTGTGCACAGCACCCAGGTTACTCAACATTCATTCACCATGTACCCACTGACCCAGCACAACAGCAGTTGGGAGTAAAAAAGAAAAAAAAAATCTTCCAGTGGCACAGCAGTCAATTCAGTCACACTTCAAGTTCTTTCTCCCCACCGGGGTTGATAGCTACTAGGGGAGATACGGCATCTGTTTGTCTTCATCACTATGCTTCTTTCTAGAAACATCTGAGGTCGCAATGATGAAAAAATAATTTCATGGTATTTGGGTTAATTACAAAAACCAAACTCTTCTACTATTTGTTTAGCTGTGGAACTCACACACACTCAAAGGTTTCTGAATGAAAGCTAATTCCATTCTTTTATTTCCTCATACCACAAACATTTCAATTTATCTGCCTTTTTACAACCTGATTTACACAAGCAAATTGCAAACGAAAACCAGGCATTCTTTAATCATCCAAAATGCATGTATAAAATATAGAACAAACCCTAGTATTTAAACATAAACAGGGTTAGCTGAAGCAGCTTTATTGCAATCTCTTCAAGTTAGCATATTACAGTTTAAATATTTATGCCTGTAAAGATCTGCATAATCTACAATACAGAGTTATTTCAGAAGCAGTTGACTTAACTAGTTGAGAAAAAAAACAACAAACTTCAACGCAAAGCTATAATAATTATCTGAAACTTATTTACAATTAAACATTTAGGGTCCTGATTTACAAAACTCAGTGCCTTTCATGATTTATTGATGAGTTTTATAGAGAAAGTAAGCAGTATGTAGAATATTCCCCAGGTAAAATCTGGAGTGAATGGCTTTTAGAGGAAAGTCTATCAGTATGCTTAACTAAAAACTAAAGAGTGACAAAACTGTATACAGCAGCAATCAGAATAACAGGCCACAAGAGAAGAACGCCATTTTTGACAATATCCTTTGTATGTATAGGAAGAAAAATGATTGCCACCCCCCACCCCTGCCGCCAACTTTTTTAGTTAAAAAAAAAAATTGTCCTTAATAATCACTACATGTGAATTCTGGGTAATAATCTCCTTTCTTTCTATAGAGTTGTGTTTAAACTTAATTCCTGCATCAGCAAATTTAAACAAAGAAAAGTTCCTTTGATAACAGCCATCAGAGTTCAATGGGTATTTATTCAGAGGGGAAAGCTTGGGGCAAGGTGACCAAGTGATTATTCCAATTGCAAAAGAAACATCATAGATAAGGTGCTAGAAACCCAAGATTACCCTTGAAGCACTTTCAATGGATTCAAGTGATTTAATGTAGACAACAAAGGAAATGACAAAGGAAAATTAACGAGAGAAAATGTTTTTAAAGAGAAAAATTTCAATAAATCAGGTCCCAGGTAGTCTTTAAAAGAACAAAAATTTACAGTAAACATTTTAACTCTGGAATGCAAGTATTGTACAATTACCAGTACATTTACAAAACTGCTTAGACAGTAGGTTGCTCCAGAGTAAGAATTTAAAAATGTACAAGCCAGTTCATGATGACTTTAGATATGTTATTAAAATACATTGTTAATCAAAAATACTTTACTATGTACATGTACACTGTATAAACTCTAGATTTACCTACCAAAGAAAGCCTTAATCAATTTCTGGCTCACTGGCCCAGAAAACAGTACAGTTCTATCATTTGGTCTTCATATTATACACACGGGCTGGCTGAGAGGCATGGTACTGTAGCCAGTTCGTCAATAATGCATTTTTCTTTCTGTAGAATGTCTAGTTGGATGAGTCAGTTTTACTTCCACTATATTTTACTTTCCTAAATGCTGATCCAAGTAACTCTGGGCATTCACATAATTCATTTGCAATTTGGTTACACTTCAAAATAAGGCTATAATTCATTTCATCAGTTATGACACTGTCTTGCTTGTAGTCAGGATGGTTTGCGATAAACTCCCTCATCCATCTGGCAACTGTCATTAGTTCTCCTGTGGGCGAGGGGGGAGCGAAAAAAAAATTAAAACCACGTAAGTTTTTTTTTTAATAAGTTGATATTTAGTGGTCAGCATAAACACAATTCTGGAGAGAAATCAATATGTCCTTTTAGTGTAGCTGCATGGCAGGGGGTGGGAACATCTTTCATAGCGTTTGAAGAACTCCTCCTGGGCAGGAATTCTAGGTTGCAGGCAGGCAATGAGAACACATACATCCAGTTTCTATGGTACCTGTTAGATGCCACCCATATGCTGACACTGCCAGCTCTTAAGGAACAGGAGCCAGCACATGTGTACAAGAACATGTGCCCTCCCATTTGGCCAGAGGGCTAGGACTACAAATGCCAGTGTCATGAGACTGCCTCAGAGGACTGTAGGGTCCTTGAGCGATCTTTGATCAAAGAGGTGGAGAGAATAAAGAACAGTAAGTAGAGTGAATGAAGTGGGAAATTGGCAGTATACCATTTGAGGGGTGAGGTAGGGTTCTACGGCTATCCTTTGTGACTCCAGAAAGTTTACAGAAGCCTTGAGTTAAATACAGATGCCATTACCATTATTGCTGTCACTTTATTAACAGCTGACAGCTCCCTTGTGCCAAGTACTGTGTTAGCAGTACTTGGTTACTGTACTGTATTGTAAATGTAACCTCCTCAAAACTAACAAAGAAAGGGGATTCTCAGGAGCCTCACTGTATGTACAAAGGCAGGCTAAAGAACTGTTCAGCTTATTTAACTTACAGAGTTCCTTAGCCCTATAAAAGGGCCCATGATGATGTAAGATCAACACAGTTGGACGTAAATGATAAGTAAGCAATCCAGATGCCATTTCATCATCTAAGATGCCAGTGATTTTCAGATGCACCCCTATTTTATGAACTGATAAGAAAAAAAGCACTACTAATCTAAATTATGAGTGTCAAAGATTATAAGGTGAATACAATTGCAGAAATATAAAAATGTGAAACTGTGCATGAATACAGCATTATTTTAAAAGACTACTTTAAGAAATTGAACATTCTAAGATTATACCATGCTGTCTATATTATGAGATTAAGAAAAATAGATATCATACCAGATGCTCTCTTCTTAATTAGCTTTAGGTAGTTCAGAATACTACATCTGGTGTCCACATCCACTTCCATGTTTTCAAGGTAAGAGTTCAGAATTGGGATCAGTCCAGGAAACACACCTTCCTACAAGAAGCAGGACACTTTATGAACTCCCTGCCGGGGGATGTGCACAGTGAGGGGTACTGTACAGGGCCACCCTCCTACCTTCCCATTGATGATGGTGTCTATGCTCATGAGGGTGTACTCCTCTGCAGCGAGCTCCGTGCTGTTCTGGGCCTTGCCACAACCATCCACCACTGCATTGCCACCTGCCGGAGAAGAGGGTCAGGGGAGCTTTAGCAGCTTGTTGCAGCATAAGCTGACATTAGAAATCTAAGATAATGTAATACCTTTGCAAATATCTTTCCTGAAATAAAACATTCCCTGCAAGACAGCATCTCTTTTCTGTGCTACCTTCATGTTCTCATCAACCTAAGGGAAAAAAAGAATCACGACTAAGTCAAAATATTCTTGATCAGACATACAAGTTGCAGCACCTTCCTCACCTTTGCAATTAGGACTCATTCCCTTAGGGATTCTACTTTCTGCTCAAATGCTTCCCAGTGGGAGGAACAGGCTTTTTATTTATGTGAGGACTGTATCACTCAATCATGGATTGGTATGTGATTTTTCAACCAATCAGGGAATTTTAAGAGAAACTTAAAACCCAAAACTTATATTCATGTGGAACGTCTGCATTTCAAAGCACCTCTGTGACTGAGCCTTGCAACAGATATACAGTGTTGGGAGGGCAGGTGGCTGGTTCCCTTTATATAGCAGTGTCTCACCAGGAGTCCCAGGGTAACGAAGGCAGAAGGCAGGACTAGAACCCAGTTCTTCTTCTGTTTTTTTGAGATGGAGTCTCGCTCTGTTGCCCAGGTTGGAGTGCAGTGGTGCAATCTCATCTCACCCCAACCTCTGTCTCCTGGGTTCAAGCAATTCTTTGTGCCTCAGCCTCCCAAGCAGCTGGGATTACAGGCCTGCACCACCACACTCGGCTAATTTTTTTGTATTTTTAGTAGAGACGGGGTTTCACCATGTTGGCCAGGCTGGTTTCGAACTCCTGACCTCAAGTGATCTGCCCGCTTCAGACTCCCAAAGTGCTGGGATTACAGGCGTGAGCCACCGCGCCCGGCCTATAACCCGGTTCTTCTAAGTTGAGTGCTCTTCCCCTGCTGCCTCGCCATTGGGGTTTTGCCTCCCCACTTTAGTGAGGAAAGGCAAAGACAGTTCATAGGTTGTCATATCTGGAATAAGGTTACAGCCCTCCCAAGGGCAGAAGATCACTGCTGTTTTACCCATCTGGTGCCTCCGGACATGTAGACTCACTCATGAAACCGAAAACTGTTTTATTTGTGAATTCTCTGTATCTCCAATGACTTTTTAAGACTCTCAAAGCAGAATTTAAAAAACGTTTTAGTAGTAATCCCTTATTTTCTATAATGAAATCTTATGTGGGACCTCAATATATACAACAGTGACCAGTTAGAGGGCCAGGCTGACATGGGACAGATGGTACATAAGCTCTCTTGATTACCAAGTCTCCTCCCATATTCATTATGCAGGGAGTGCGATTGTTATGGTTTCATTTTTTAAGAGACACACAGGACCTTCTGAAGAATCTAGATACTCTAGGAGCATACTCAAATAAATAGTATACATTCCACCATGGCTGTGAACATCTGCTTTCATTATTAATATTTGTTTCTTTTTTCCTTAGTCTTGAAAAAAGTTCATAACGACCACTTATAATTTGTGCTTTGATGACTTCCTTTCAAAGTATATTTTACTTTGCTCTTTAGATACTCAATGACTTAGATTTAAAATCTTTTTGTTAAGACATTTAAAGCTATAATTTTTCCTTAGACATCAGCTCTGCCAGCATGTCTTTCACTTTCCTACACAATCTGTAATTCTAGTTTTGGTTAATCTAAAATCTACTTGGAAAGACATTTTTAATTTCCAATGTTAAATTTCTCCAGAGTATCTCTTTCGTTGAATTTTAGCGGGAACGCATGCTGTATTATGTCTACTTTTGAGAAGTGAAGATTTTCTTTAATTTTTGTAAATCTTACTCATGGCATTTGAAAAAAGATGTGGTATGAGATACGTAATATACGCATACAACCAAGCTTATTAACCATGCCTTTAATTCCCCCATGGCCTTTCCCATCCTTTGATTATATGGCCTGTCAGTTACTGAGTAACATGCAAGGTACTCTGTTAAGTGGTTTACCTCCATTAATCCCCACACGGGCTTACAACAGCCTACTTATTCCCCTCTGGGATACATGTGGGAAACTGAGGCACTGAGAATAAGTCACTTGTCCAGGTTAAAAGCCTAGTAAATAGTACCAGGGATTTATGCATTTAGTTCTCACATCAAAGCCATGTATTACCCATCACACTAAACTCTTTTCATGTTACATTTCATGGTACAAAAAGGACCACAGCTTTCACATCATCTTGGAAGAATATATAAAACTGCTTTCTCTATCCCATTTAATAATTTCTACCTCACATTTTGCCTGATATTGCTTTGCCATTCCTGCTATCATTCCAAAAGGTCACTATGCAGCTCTTGTCGGCATCTGTCCTTGTTCTACGTACATCTTATGCAAACTGTGTTGCTATTTTATATTATCTGTTTCAGCTGTTTAATAGGATAGAGTTTAGTCTATTCAAATTTGTTTTCATTTTATTTTCACCACTTTATGTTCTATGGGCTATTGTTTCATCACTCCCCTGGCCCCACACCCAATTTTGTGGCACTGAAATGTATTTGTGGTTCATTTTGCCACCCTTTCGCCAGCAAGTTTAAAAGTAATAAATCCTGTTTCTATACTATTAATAGTTTTCCTTAAAGAGGTAGTTTTGAAATTATAACTCTCTAAGTGTCAAGCACTAATGAGTATCTACCATTCATCTCCTTCCATATCCCCTTACAAGGTGCTATGGTCTGAATGTCTGTGTTCCCTTAAATTCATACACTGACGCCTAATGCCCATTGTGACAGTATTAGAAAGTAGGGCCTTTGGGAGGCAATTGGGAGGACCTCCTTTGGGAGGTCATGAAGGCCCTACCCTCATAACTGGTATTACGAAGAGACATCTGAAGAGCTAGTTAGCTCCTTCCACCATGTAAGAACACAGCAAGAAGGCACCATGTATGAACCAGAGAGCAAAAGCTCTCACCACACACCGAAACTGCCGGTGACTTGATCGTGAACTTCCCAGCCTCCAGAACTGTGAGCAATACATTCCTGTTGTTTATAAGCCACCCACTGTAAGGTATTTTTGTTACAGCAGCCCAAACAAACCAAGACACTAGATAAGACTTCTGGCATACTTTTAGCCCTAACTTGATCCATTCAGTTTTGTTAGAATCACCTGAAATTTAAAGAATAATTTGGCTGAGAAGATAATTCTGTGGTTGTTAATTCTTTACCTCTCGAGATTCTGAAAACTTCTTTCCATCTAGCATTTAATGTTGCAAATGAAAAGTAATATCAGTTGATTTTCCCCCCTTTTCATGTCTCCTAATTTTTTCTCCTGTCCGGACAGTTAATTTTCTCTTTGAGATTAATAAATGCCTACATTTGAGTTAAATATTTGTCTCATCCTTAAGGAAGACTTATTAAGGAAAAATTCTATTATTTCTTTGATTATTGTATATCTTTCCTATATAAACTATTCTCCTCTTCTAAATTATTACACAAACATTGAATTTTCCAGAGCTTTCCATGCTTCAGGATTTCCATAATTTCCATTTCTTCACCATCCTGCTGGGATTAATCTTCATTTGGTCTTTTAAATCACTACCTTGGATATTCAACATCTGCTCTACTGGTGAGAATACTCACCATTAAATAAGCACAATCTATAATACTTGTTTTATGGATGTGACTGAACCTCTCTAGAATTTGTCTGAGGCCACTAATTAGAATTCCTTTAAGAACTCTTTCCAAAGCTGAGCATGGTGGTTTGTGTCTGTAATTCCAGCTACCTGGAAGGCTGAGGCAGCAGGAGGACGATCATTTCAGCCCAGGAGTTCGAGACCAGCCTGAGCAACATAGTGAGACCCTGTCTCTAAAAAAGGTTTAAAAGTATTTTTTAAAAAATAGTAATTCTTTCCAGTTGCTTTTTTTTTTCAAGAGATGGGATCTGGCAATGTTGTCGGGGCTGCACTAGAATTCCTGGATTCAAGCAATCCTCCTGCCTCAGCCTCCTGAGGAGCAGAGATTATAGATTTGCGCTGGGCCCAGCTTACTTCCTTGAAGTAACTAAGTTTGACTTTACAGAGTATGCCCTTGCAAGACCAGTAGGCCCTTCTCTTTAAGGCTGTTAATTGTTCTCAATTTTCTGTTGCCTTCCAAGCATCTATTCTTATTTATAAGCAAAGGCTTAGACTGGTAGCTTACATGGAATCTCTCTTAGATGGATTTGGTCTCCCCAGTAGGTAGGCATGAGGGCAATGTGGGCCCACAGAGTTCTGTGGGTGACCTTTGGTCTGGGTGTGAGGAGCAGGCAGGGATGGGCTGACAGCCAGATTTCCTTCAGGGGGTGTGGGGATGAGCACAGTCTGGCAAACCCCTCATGGAGGAAGGAGATGCCCCAGGGGCAGATGCTGGAGCTAAGCAGTTTCATTCTTGCTTCCATGTTTGCTGTGACAGGGCTACCCTACTTCTCCATTCTCTGGCCCCGAAACCCTCAACCAGGAACCCCTGCGGCAGGGCCCTCTCTATTTAGCAGTTTTTCCCAGCCACTCTCTGCCAAGAGGAACCCTGGCCCAGAAACCAAAGGCGTTCACCTCCTCAGCTACTGCTCCACAACCCACAGCTCTGCTCCCTCATCACCTGGAGTTGTTTTGCTGGCAAACTCCTCCCAGAAAGCTTGTTTTTTGGTCTTTTGGGGGGCAGATTAACTCCAATTTGTTTTTCTGAGAGTTCAATCCCATCCGAATTCTTCAGAAATATCTCAAGTTCAGTTCTACTGAGGAGACTTTTACCGGCATTCCAGCAGTTACACTTTCCCTCCCCATCCTAATTTAACATTGTAATCAACCTGGGATTTTGTGGTGGATGAAATCAATGTGTAGGACTACTTCTAGCCATCAATCATCTTGAATGGAAAGCGTCTAGAAATTAAGCTTAGGTTTAAAAGAAAATAAAGAATAGGGCTGATGGAGAAACATTTTATTGCAAAGGGTAAACAATTTCAAATGAAATTAGGTGGGAAATAAATAGCATATATAAATAAATATATCTACAGATAGATCTATACCCATCACCATAAAGAAACATATCCTTACCTTTGACAGTGGAATGAGAAAATCCAATTTGTAGGAAAGGATCACTCTGGTGAGCAGTACCACAAACACCACATAGGCAGAGTTCTCAAAGTCTGTTAATTGCACCTAGACAAGCAGAAGCCCAGAGAAGTTATGAACCAACTACACAAACATGCTCTTCCCTGACCCAGGCCCTTCCTCAGATCATGTCATTCCCAAGCCATCTCCTAATTCCCCATCTGGGTCTGGAAGCCCTTTGCCCACATCTATTCTCAGAAATCAACCCTCCTTAACTTGGACTGACTTGCTACCATGCACATACTTAATTTTTATTTTATATATAAGAGCCTTCTCATAGCAGCATCAGAAGGGTGATGAACAGCTGGCGAAAGAGTACTTTTGAGTCAGTTCTTGCTGATGCATGTGTCTTACCTCCATGGGTCGAAATTCTACTCTCCATCCAATGTCTGAGTTTGGAGGAGGGGGCTTAAATCTCATTGTCTGCCAATTTGTGGACTGAATATTCTGTGATACAAAAGCAGAGAAGAAAACCAACTTTTCACACATCCAGGAAAATATTAAGATGATCTGGTATTTAATTAAGGAAGAAGACTGCTCACTGTCCATACCAAATTTCAATTGACAAAGACAAAAAGGTACAATTGAAGATTTTCTTCGAGTGTGCTCTTTTAGGAAAACAAAACAGCCAAGTGTTTAACAAAAGCTATGAGGCCCTATCACTGCAAGCTTAATCTCACCCAGCTCCTACTCCCTATCTCCCAGCTACAGAGCAGCATCTGAAGAGCCACGGGGCCCCCACCTTCATCCCTGAGAATTTTAGGAGCCAGCCTGCCTTTCCAGGTGACACTGGACACTTTCATCTGAGAACCCTGTCACATGACAGTTGTTTCCTTTCTTCCTCCTCTCCTGGGAATGCTGCTGCTTCGATGACCCAAGAGCCTAAGAAGGGTAGCTGTTTCTCAATACACTGAGAGAGAGTTCTTTCTCCGTCCTGACCATCTTGGGACCCGATGGCAAGACTGGAAGGATTTATATCTCCTTTTGTGAGTTTGGTGGGGGAAAGAAAGGGGATATAGATGGTATTTCAAAAGGTATATATGTCAATGTCTACATATAACATGACACAGAAATAAATCTATGAGAAGTCTATCTACAAAAAAAAAAGGTGATATGTCTGAAGCACTGAAATAACTGATCAGGTTATTTTTTGTGCAGTGTATGTTTGAATTTTTCACCACTAGGCAAATAAGAAAATACTGAACAATAAAAAAAAAAATTAGAATCAGTGAGATAAACAGTAAGAATCGTAAAATAAGAGTACTTGAAACCGATTTTTTATTTGTCCAAGTTCTTTACTGCACTGGGTAAATGAAAGTCTTATGAAATTTCTTTTGTGTTCTCCACAGGTACAGAAAACTGCCTCCCCATGTTGGTTTGTGAAGTGAAATGCATATAAAACAGAGGATTCCAGACTCTCAGAAGTCAATACATAAATAAATAAAAATAAAACTGAGAAGATACCTCAAAATGGTCAGACTCATTAGCATCATCCAGGTGTATTTTCTCTTCAAACAGTGTCAGTGGGTCTCTAATAAAGAGATGAGCAACATGCTGGGCCAGGAGATGATCAATGCCTGCAAAAAGAGATCACATGGGAACTCACTGCAAAGCGAGAGATACCACTTCCTCTTAGTCCAGAAAGACGACAGGATAGCTCAGGAAGTTTGAAGAAAGGGTGTCTAGAAGCTTGAAATAGCTGGTTTGATTAGTATCCTCACCTCACCCAGTATTTTATCCTGCGGACACTGCGGGAGTGTCAGCGTTTTATTCACTACTTACACAATGCCTGCTGGGGCACTGGTGTGGACCTAGACACAGACCTCCAAAGTAAGCTCCTTTTGCTAAAAATCAAGAAAATCTCACAAGTATTTGGAACCTGAAACTTTAGGAACAAGTAGCCTCATGAGAGAAGTTAAAGACTTTGCACTAAAAATAGAAACCAGACCAGGAGTCAGCAAAAAAGTGTAAAAGAGCTTTGAAGAACTAAAGGCGTACATTCAAACCCAGAAAGATGGAGTAGAAACCCACCTTCCTGCAACAGCTGTTCGTAGATCTCTTTATCTATCGTCAAGTCGATGTCATTATATTTCTCACCACACTTAGATAAATAGCTGTCTATTGAGTCATATCGGGATTTACTGATCCTATAGTTATTGTTCTTCAATGGCTAAAGATTAAAAATATATATAAATGAATATGCTATATAAAATGAGTGGAATATATTTTTATATATGATAATTATATAAAAACCTCAACATAAGATACAGAAAAAAAGTTAGTGAGCCCTAAAAAGTATTATTAAGGAAAATTATGTTTTTTAAAATCTGAAGGCAATTTAAATACCCTTTTTTTCTGGTATGATTTAAATATACTTTTATCTTTTAAAAGCAGATCACTTTCATTCTTATTAAGCTAGGGAAAATAAATACTAAGGTTAAAAGCAAATAAATAAATAAATCTATAACGTAAGATAAACCTATCAAAATAATTATCCTTTAAAGTTTATTTCTACTTAGAAAGCATGTTCAACAATTTATGAACAATTACATGAAGACCAGAGCAGTAGTAGTATAGCCCTGGTTGAGAATATCAAAACCACTTATGAGGGCTCCTTTAAAAACACCCTTGTTCGGGTCCCATCCTAGAGATTCTTATTTAGTAGGTCTAGGATAGGGTCTGGGTGTCTATTTTCAAAGATTTCCATGGGTGGTTCTGATGCACACCCCTTGTTGGAGAGATGCAAGGGTTACTTTACAGTTCAACATGCAAACAAGAGGTGCCATCTCACCCTTATTAGTCAATGCCTAACCTTTTACATGGAAAAAGAATCTCTGACAACAAATTATACTTTCCACAGCAGAAAGCACCATATACAAAACACTCATGTGGCACCAAAAAGCCTTTTGGTAAAAACAGCCATCAGCACTTCCAAAATATAGAAAAATCGGACTACTAATTTTAAATGAAGCTAAAACAAATACAGACATCAACATACGATAAAAATTAACTCCCCACCTAGACCAAATCTTTTTCCCCATTTCAGATAAAAATTGCAGGGAGACATCCTGAAATTGCAAGTAGTTACAAAAGATCCATTTTACCTGCTTGACTTAAAAGGGCTATTAAGGAAAAACAATTCCCACCTCCAGTCCTCGCTCCTCCCGAGTTCTATCATCTACAGATGCAGAAATCACTCCCCAGCGACAATCAATGTCTGACACATAGCCTCGGTAAAAGGGAGATGCAGCACTCAAAGCCATCTAAAAACAAACAAAAGTCAGCTCCTGCAAATTCAAAGTGTCACTTACATGCTAAAAAAAGCTCCATGCAGTTATATTTCTGATCAAAAAGCATGTTTATGCAACCCATACAGAGCACATGTACCTGTGCCTATCTTACAGTGAAATATACCAGGAAGAATCCAGTTCCTTGGGTTTGATTCACTTAAATCATCCTCTCTCTAATGTGAGGACATGAAGTATGGGGGAGGGAAAATGGCCACATTCAAACTTCACATTTAACAAATCAATGTTGTACTAGCAAGAGTAAACTTCTACAGTGTAGACTCTCAGTTCATTATACCTAAACCTACATACTATTTATATTAGTCCATCTCTGACTGAGGTCTTAACTGGACTTAAATAGCACACTGTCAGTAAATTCTGCACATGCTATCTTATTTCATACGAAGTAGTATTTAAAATAAGAGGTAATTTCTACTTACAACAATTGGACAGATAGTAGCCAACTGATCATAAAGGTATCTGGCCTCAGATATACTGCAGGCTTGGAATGTCACCTGTTTAAGAATTGCAAAGTTATTAACACCAAGGAATCATTAGCATGCTCCCCAAGCAGTGAAGTCAGAGAAGGAAGGTGCTGGGCAGAGAGGGGCAAGTTAACAACGCTTCATTAATGGCAACATTTAACGCAAGAGTTTTGTTTAAAAGTTGTCTTAGGTGAATTTAACTAGAAAATGGTATTTAATTATGTTCCACTGCCTATAGACAACTAATATAAATAACCAAGGTCCTAAGTGAAATAAGATTAAATAGTCAAAAAAGAAAAATAAGACACAGACATACGATGATGTTTAGCAAAGCATTTTCTCTTCTACTGGCTTGTTGCCTTCCTATCCCTTCAGTCAGTGAGGGATGCAAAAGGGATTTGGACATGTTAACTATTGTTTTCTTTCTTTCTTCCTTTTATTTTTTTGAGATGGAGTCTCACTCTGTCGCCCAGGCTGGGGTGCAGTGGCGCGCTCTCGGCTCACTGAAAGCTCCACCTCCTGGGTTCACGCCATTCTTCCGCCTCAGCCTCCCGAGTAGCTGGGACTACAGGTGCCCACCACCACGACTGGCTAATTTTGTTTTTGTATTTTTAGTAGAGATGGGGTTTCACCGTGTTAGCCAGGATGGTCTCGATCTCCTGACCTCATGATCTGCTTGCCTCGGCCTCCCAAAATGCTGGGATTACAGGCGTGAGCCACCGCGTCCGGCCAACTATTGTTTTCAAACTTCACTGGTGGCAGTATGGTGAAGAGCTTGGAAGGGGGAAAGACTAGAAAGACAGGGAAGCAGTTAAAATACTGCACCTGTCAAGGAAAAGGCTGAGGAAAGATGTGGGGAGAGTGATACTAAAGTCAAAGTAGCAGGCACTGGTGACCAAGGGGAGACTGAGAGTAGGGGATGGCTTAGGTTTTGGCTTGGGTGTTCAGAGGTTAGAGATAAAGAGGTGTCATGACATGATGGACTTACGAGGCCAAGAGAACAGACAGAAAAAGAGGCCCTCTAAGTGGCTAGGTCTTCAGGGCTGGTGCCCAGAAGAAAAACCCGAGTTGTAGAAAGACCTGGGGAGTAGGCTCAGAGAATGTCCTGAAGATGGGGAGATCACCCAGGAAGCCTGCACAAGGATGGTAGGTAGGACACTTAAGAGTTAGGCAGAGAAAAGATCATATAACTTGGTGAGCATAAATTCTTTGTTACCCAACAGAAACCAAAAAAAAAAAAACCTGCTTTTTTTTCCAAGACGGTAGAAGGGGCAAGGAACACAAATTGTGTTTGTTAGCACATTTGTAATAACTGCAAGTTGGGAACAGTTTTAATCTCCTCTGTTGTTATTCAATAATGACAGTTTGAATTTCATGTTGTTATTCATTAATGACAGCTTGAATTTAGTGTTGGTACACGACATAATTTCAGTGTTTAAGACTTGAAATAACAGCAGCTAAGTGAATATTTTACTGTTATAATCTCAACCTGTTAGTTCCAATGGTTTTAGCTAGATCTCAACTTTGTTTTCCACAGCAATGTCTATTGGAGACTCAAGTTTGCCTGCTCAATTATAACCACATTTCATGTCAATGTGGAGACTGTATTAACTAGTCATTACTAATTTAATAATTAATTCAACACAGAGAAAAGCTGTGTCATAGGCATCAAAGAATAAGAGTTTCAAAGGTTAAAGTAGACACAAATTGATAAGGGTTGGCAATTAAGTCACTGATAACCAAACCAAGGGCAGTTTCTGCAAAGAGGTGGGAACTTGGAAATCGCTTTGCATATGGCATGAAATTACATGAGCAGTGAGGAAATGGGAGCTGGTACCCAAAGTCTTTATGCACTTATTTGCTGAAGTAGAAGCTCCAGAAGGGCGGGGATCTTTCTTCCCATTCTCTATCCCAAGTGCGCAGGACAGCATCTGATACCTGGTTAGTGCTTAACAAATGAGAATCTTGGAAAAAAAAAAGTGGGGGGGGGGTGCTAAAGAGGATGACATGCGGTCAAAGGTATAGTGAGAAACCTGAAAGACCGGGACCCCAAAAGCCAAACTGACAAGGCATTGAGATTTTAAAAAAACCAAAAAACAAAAAACTACATGTTTCCCAAGTATTTTGACTAAAGAATTATTTTGAACATGCATCTCTTAGATTTTTTAGGTCTTTTTTGTGTTGCTCTTAGGTATTTGAGTATGTGTCATTTTTGTTTTTAAAAAGATACTATGAGAAGCAGGTTTTCTTTCCAGTTTTTCAACTGGCTTCTCTTAGATGGCCTAGTATACAATACATAATTCGTAGGTGAATCCTGGGAAATTCAACCCCAGAGAAGTATACAACAGTGAAGTGACTTAGTTATTTTAAATGCATTTAGTAATTAGCTTTCTTAGTCTACAGCTGATATGCAATCAAATTAAATAGGACATCACTGTGGATAATGGCTTTAATGGAAGGAAAAAAAGTTCTTATACCTTAAAAAGCTATGAATACATGACTAATTTGGGCTTCTAGTGTCGTTTTGAGGCATCATATGAAGGAGACACACAATGTTGCTAGGAAACTGATGGGGGTGGGGTTGGGGGTGGAGGGAGGAACTAAGGAACATATATGTTAGAAACTGAAACATCTAATCTAAACTTTATCTACAACCCAGATTTGAAGTCACATGACTTTGGGGGGGGGGGTGGGAGGGGCTACCATAACCTGTCATGAACTTAGTGCTTTTTTTTTTTTTTTTTTTGAGACAAAGACTTGCTCTGTTCCCCAGGCTGGAATGCAGTGGCACGATCTTGGCTCACTGCAACCTCCGCCTCCCAGGTTCAAGCGTTTCTCATGCCTCAGACTCCTCAGTAGCTGGGATTACAGGCACATGCCACCAGGTCTAATTTTTGTATTTTTAGTAGAGATGAGATTTTGCCATGATGACCAGGCTTGTCTCAAACTCCTGACCTCAAGTGATCTGCCCATCTCAGCCTCCCAAAGTGCTGGGATTACAGGCATGAGCCACCGTGCCTGGCTGTGAACTTGGTGCTTTTTAAGTGATTCCTGAAAAGCCCCAAAACAGTCAATAATTTGAATGTGGTTAAAATCCTTTTTGCTTTATACAGTAAGTCTTCCATTAGCCTTACAAAATTACTTTAAAACTATTTTTTCTACTTTACTAAGCAGTTTCTTTTTTTTTTTTCCATCTCTCTAATGATACATAATAGATGTACACAGTTTCAGGGCACATGTGATAATTTAATACATTCATATAATTTGTAAAGATCAAATCAGTGTACTTGGGAAAGAAGTTGGTTTAGTGTTCCACTGAAGAGATATAAAGCAGGGATTTCGGTGGTGAATTGGCAAAATTCATTTCATGTGCCACACACTTTATCTGAGCTAACGATTTTTTTTAAGTGGAGTAGTGAAACTGTACATGTCACTGGGAAAAAGAAAACAATCCTAAGCTTACACTAGATGGAAAAATTCTATCTACAAGCAACAAAAATATTTATCATCTACCATTAGGAAGCATTTACTAGTATACATACAGTGTTTCAGTGGAAAGAATATCCCTTTGGAACCATATCAGAGAAACTATGCGGTCTTCGGCAGAACACCCTGGTTTAATATTAAACCAAGAAAAGGCAATCAATACTCTTAACAGCACTTATACAATTTTAAAACCATGTACTGTAAGCTCTAGAACTTAATGGTTTTCTTTAGAAATACTTGTAATTAAGATAGGAAACAGGCAGTTAAAAGTCGAAAGATCTCTTTTTTCGTGAAGTGTGATGGTTTATGTTTATTTGGAAGTCACATATCTTATACTACCTATAAATGTCAAGAAAACAGAAAGAAATTATCCTTGGCCATGTTATTTAAACACATTCAGAATGGAAAAATCTGATTCCAGCATTCAATTTGGATTATACTTAGTTTTGAAAATAAATAGACCAGAGATATATGCACAAGAAGTGTGTGTGCACGCTGCAGCTGTTTCAGGTGAAGGAAGGCTGGGTTCTGGGTCTTTGCACTGAGAGCAGTCAGGCTGGCGGCTCAGAGGGGTCTTACATGGGTCCAGGCTCTGCACGGCCCTGTGCCTCTAAGGACGCTGTTTTGAATCAGCTGAAGTAATCACAACTGGATAAAATTTCCTTGGACATTAAATAACAAGCAGCCTCTCTCTTTTACTTCTGTTAGTTAAGGCAATAAAATAAATATTAGCTTAGAGTCAGACCTAGAAGGGGACTTAATATCAGCCCTTCTTTCAACTGATGAAAAATCTGAGCCAAAAGAAGTAAAGGGAGTTGCCCAAAAACCTGAGTAGTGACAGAGCCAAAAGCCAACTGCAGGCTTTTGTGTGGCCACCTGATGGGTTCCATGCTCTTCCACTCTGGTCCTAAGTGAGCTTGGACACACTCACTGCCAGGGGCACCATCATTTAAACAGATCCAGGAAAATTTTTAAATGGGTAAACAGAGACAGGCTCCTGTATACTTTACTCAGGGGCAAGACAAACACAAGCTGCTAAATATTTATTCTTTTTGTACCGCTAGACAGCTTTGCACAAATCCCTTGGATCACAAAATCATTGGAATACTTCCATCAGAGCTCATTTTCAGAGTTTTGAACAATATTTAAACCACCTCACTAGCCTGTCACGAGATGGCAGTAAAAACTAGGCATATAAAAAGAGAAGGGAAACAATGACAGAATATATTGCATTTTAAGTTAACTGAAATTACAGTTATAAAGGTATATATACCGTATATACCTTTGTGGTGAACAACAGAGTCTGTAGAACTATTAGTCATAGACAGCTTCCAATGAATTTACTAATATAACTTCATGTTTTTCAGAAAGGCATACCAGCTACCATTTCAACCTCATTAAAATGTGATTTTTGGAACAGGAAACATGCATATATAAAGAAGTTAAAAAACAGAAATGGATGGAACACTTTGCCTCTCTGTATATTTGAAACTATACCTGGAGACAGCAATTGCCCATTCCAAATCCCATGGCATCCATGTAAATATGATCCGGCTTAGAAGCCCTTGAAGCTTCATCATCCTCAGTAAATGTTTCTATAAATGGAGATGGTGTATTCTTGTCCTTAAATACTGTATTATAAAAATACAAAAATAAAAATGGTTTAGAATCCAGGATTAAACAACAATACAACATGTCTCTCTCCCACCCCACCACCTCTCAGTAGACTTACTTGGTACATTGATGACAACCTTTTCTCCTCTCCTATGTCGGATATTTCTTGTTAAGGTACTAAAACAGACAACCAAACGTCATAAATTGGTCACCTAAGAGTCATCGTGTAAAAGAAGAATTTGATTACATACAAGTAAGTGGAATGAAATCATACCTCAAATTAGTTATCTAAGACAACTCAACAGAAAATGTATCTGTGGTGTCAAGACACTACAAGGGAACTTTGTGATTAAAGATTTTGCATTAGTATCAATTCTTTGGCTCCTGCTCGAGAATGCCGTTCTGTCTCCTGCTCAACCCCTGCTCCCAAGGCTCCCTGTAACTTACCAAATCAATTCAGGTGTTCAAAGTCTGCCATGGTCTGCTTTCACTGTTTGCAACATGTCCCAAATTAACTCCAAAGACTTTGGTCAAACTTTAGTACCCACTTTGCCCAGGCATCTCTGGAGCCCCAATACCTTGCTCCTCCCTCCCTCATCTCTGCAGGATTAATAATTATCCTCCAGACTCATGCTTGTTTAGTCCAGAAGCTACCAGGCACACAGTGGCCACTGAGTACTTGAAATATGGCTTGTCCTAATGAAAACATGCACATGCTGTGAGAGTAAAATATACACCAGATTTTGAAGACTCCGTACAAAAAAAATGTAAAATTACTTGTGAGTAAAGGATTACATGGATCAAATGATAACATTTTTGGACGTTTTGGGTTAAACAAAATATAAAATTATGTTCATCTGGTTTTTACTTTAATGTGGCTATGAGAACATTTACAATTACATGTTTCTATGGGCAGTGCTGCTATAGACTCAGCTTAAATGCCACCTCTTCCGTGAAGCCTGCTTTGATTCCCTCAGTCAGAAGCACCTTACTTTCTCCAAGAAGGATTTCTGGTGCATCTTTTGACATCTGTCATAATCTATCTCTTCTTGAGCAGCTGAATTATTTTTATTTTCCTTTAAACACATGACAACATATGAAGTTAGAAACTACGTCTACAAATATCTGTCTTCCCCAAAAGGCTCTGCACATAGCAAACGTGAGGGCCTGTTAAAGGAATGAACGCTGAGAAGTCTCCATGTTCCCACTCTGGATCAGGAGCCTAGGCTCAGGATGACAGATGAGCATGCATTGTACAAAGCTAAGATCAGGCTAGTGAGAGCCTTAAAGCAACTTAAAACCTCAGAATTGAACAACAAACCAACAGAACTTGAAGTTAATGGAAGAGAGTGCCTATTATATATATCAGGTACTGCACCTATTTTATAAGTTATATAGAGTAAGATGGGCAAATCACAGATACTGATGGTTAGAGAGGACAAAAAAGGAGAAATAACTAAGAGAAAAAAAAAATCCCAGTAGGCATTTACAGACCTAGGACTGAAAATAATCTCCCTATTAAAAGAGTTATTCGCAGTGGCTCAGCGAATAACTTTGTGACGACTTGGAGAATTGACAAATCAAGCCTGGTGCACGCATCAACAACCAAGAAGCCTGGGGGTACTGAAGATGTGAACAGGTGCACATCTGCTATCTTCTCTGGTTACTTAGGAAGAGAGCCAAAACTCAGTTAATGCTCAAAAAGGATTTCTAGACAGAAATACTATACTCTCAGAAGTCAGGGGTCTAGTGAAGGGCATCTGCATTTCAACACAAAGCCATACTCACCTGAAGCGAGGGTGCTTGTTTATTGCTTCATCTGGAAAGAAGAGGGACTTGGAAGCTCCTCCTTCCACTGGGTTGGGTTTGACCTCGGGCAGTGTGAACCCAGGACAGCCTAATCTACAACAAATTGAAGAACTAAATAGATGGGATTTGTTTTCAAGAATTAATTGTGTGCAGTCTTGCCATCACTGCACCTGCCAAAGACACCTCATTTCTAGTATCCCCTTTTCAGAGGGCTTTGTGTTTACAAAACAGATGTTGTGTAAATACTGTGCCCCTTTACAACCACTCCCCACACTTCTTGCTCACAAGGATCTTCTTTTAATTCCAGCCCACTACTAACTTTATCCAAGTCTCCACTCACTCACAAACCACACAGCACTTACTCGGGTCCTCTCCATCTCTTCATCTAATAGGAAGGACTGATAGCACAGAAGTCATTTCCCTTGGTCACATCAGCTGTCATGGGTGACAGGTGTCCCCTACATGGCCTATGAGGTGTCTTCCTTTTCCATCTCTAAACTCTCAGATTATCTTTGGACCTGCTGCATGGCACCACTGCCTCCCACTTCCTGGTAGGCTCTGAATCTGGAAGGAGCCTGTTTTTTGCCTCTATAGGTCACCTCATGAGTCCCTCAAGATTAGGGAGTGTCTCTGCAGGTGTCCCCATCTACCCCTGAGATCACCCTCTGAAGTCTGAAACCCAATCCTATTCTCTTACTTGACTTAAGGAGCTCTAATTTCAACACAGAAAAATGAAGCTCCATATTTATTCCTAAGTGTAAAGCTCAAATTCTACATCACTTTTAGTGATGGCCCCAGTTTTTCCAAGTTAGGAATTTGAGGTCAATATTACATGTGCTGTGAGGGAGGACAAAGACTAAGCGAAAGCCAAACAAGGGAGGAGTTTTAAATTAGTGGGAAGAAACTTTTGGCTTGAGGATCAAGACTAGCTCATATCTTTTAAAAAAAAATTTTTTTTTTTTTTTTTTTTTTTCTGAGAAAGGGTCTTGCTCTGTCTCCCAGGCTGGAGTGCAGTGGTGCAATCATAGCTCAGTGCAGCCTTGAACTCCTGGGCTCAAGTCATCCTCCTGCCTCAGGCTCCTGAGTAGCTGGGATTACAGGCATGAGTCACTGTACCAAGTTTTTTTTTTTTTTTTTTTTTTTTTTTTCCAGGGACGAGGTCTCACTATGCTACCCAGAATGGTCTTTAACTCCTAGGCTCCAGTAATCCTTCTGCCTCAGCCTCCTAAAGTACTGGGATTACAAGCACGTGCCACCTCACCTGGCCATCAATGCCTTATTTTTAACCCCTACCTTTTCTTAATATAAAATAAAGTATCTGTTGCCTGCCCAAATCCACCTTGTAAACAATTGAAGGTAGTGATCTTATCTAGAAAACAGTTCCCAGCTACAAGGGTTCTTGAGAATTCTTGAAGCTATGTGCATTATTTACTATGAGCCTAGAACCTTAGGAATAGTCCTTTGGGAGAGTAATAAACTTAAATCTGAGGGGATTCCTTGCTCACCAGAATCAGATTGGATGAAGAGAGAATGAGAATGTGTTTGTGTGGAAGGGAGAAGGTAGAATCAGAACTTGCATCTTCGGACACCTACGGCACTGCTTCATTCTAGAGCAGTGCTGTCCCACAGAACTTTCTGGAGTGATGGAAATGTTTAATATCTCCACTATCCAAACCGATGTGGTAGTCACTAACCACGTGGCTACTGAGCCCTTGAAATGAGGCTAGTTCCTCAGTCACATCAGGAACTACAATTTTCATTTTATATAATTTTAATTTTAAATAGTCACATGATTACTGTTTTGGACTAGAGTTCCACACTATAAATCTTTGCATCTTTATAAAGTCACCCTGTTTACACTTAAGAACCAGAGCACTCCTTTCTCTCTTGATCCTATACTACAACAAAACTTTATCATTTATTGTGGATGTATAGGGAGGCTTCTAACCACTAAATAACTAATAATTATTGTTTCAAGTCCCAAAATACCTTCCTATATGGACAGGGTATAAAAAATTATACATATAATTTTTTCTAAATTACAGGTTTTTAGAATAAAGCTTATTCCTCTGTCTCAACTTTCCCTTCACAATGACTTAAGATGCTGAATCTTTTTATTTTTATTTATTTATTTATTTTGAGACGGAGGCTTGCTTTGTCACCCAGGCTGGAGCAGAGCGGCACAATCTCAGCTCACTGCAACCTCCACCTCCCAGGTTCAAGCGGTTCTCCTGCCTCAGCCTCCGGAGTAGCTGGGATTACAGGCGCATGCCACCATACCTGGCTAATTTTTGTATTTTTTGTAAAGACGGGGTTTCACCATGTTGGCCAGGCTGGTCTCGAACTCCTGACTTCAGGTGATCCGCCTGCCTCGGCCTCCCAAAGTGCTGGGATTACAGGTGTAAGACACCATGCCCAGACACTAAATCTTTTTTAAAAAGGCAACTATCCCATATGGAACCATTCTCAAGGTAAAGGGCACATTAGGCTTAACCCAAAACTTTATTTTCTGGCCCAGAAGGAAACACCACTGCCCATCAATCCTATATATTCTTCAGCTTTAATATATAAAACAGTTCTGGTTTGTGTTACAAATCCCCTCCCACTTTCTTAATTTGCTAAGTGAAATGTACAACCCTCTTAATGTTAAGGGGAAAAAAATGAACATATAAGGTATTAAATTTTCCAGTTCACTAGAAGTTGTCATTTAACATCTGTAACCTACTCCTTGGCCTCTACTCTAGTACTCTTAAGGTTTTCAGGACAATGACCTATAGCAAAAGCCTTGATGTGTCTTCTCTCCCCAGCAGTTCACTGACTCTGTCATCTTTTAAACCACCCACTTTTCCTATCACCAGCACCCACGGGCATCCAGGCAGCCCTTGTCTCCCCTCAGGGAGCTCCCTCACTCACCTCCTAGTAAGCCCTGGCACCAGCTCCACAGCTACTCTCACACTACAGCCCAAGTGAGGGCTGCAAAGCAAAAAGGGGATGCCATCTGCCCAACCCAACCTTTCCAAGGCCTTCAACTGCTTTTAGGAGAACAACTAAAATTTATGGTTAACCTGACCTGGCCTGCCAATTACCTGCCAGCTTCCCTTTACCCCATACCTGCACTTCCTCCTCAGCCTCCTAGTCACACTGGCCAGCTTGCTTTCTTCTAGTTCCCAGGAAGTCCCCGCTTGTTTGGTTCATCCTAGGACTTCTACACACACTGCTCCCCCTCCCTAAGACTGTCCTCCGCTCCTCATTCCTATTTCACTCCTCCTGGAACCTTGGACATCCCACCCCCTCCCCCTCCACCCACCAGAGTCCACTGGATACCTAGGTTGTACTCTTTGCTCCCCATCTCCTCCTGCTAGCACAGCCCCACTTTGACGCTTATGAATCTATGGGTATTTGATTGTTCTTCAACCCCCCAGCTCCACAGAGACAGAGCTGTCCGTCTTCACTCATGAGAGCATGCCCATTCTGCCTGCAGCAGGCACTCAAGTGTCTGAGTGAATGGCAGGGCCAATGATTTTTCACCTCCTCTTTCAAACATTAGGTCGAAGAAATGTGCCCACTCTAATCAAAACAAATCTGTCCACCCTCACCCAGCTGGGTTTTTCCTTCTGGGGGTGGAGAGAGAAGTGACCTGTACATACAGAATGAAGGTATCACAGAAATAGAGATGCTTCTATAAATGTTAGATGGCTGGCTTAAATAAGTTTTCAACTATTTAGATGTTACAGTAGAGATATAAAAAAAAAAATAGAATTCCCATTTAAATGCCCCTCTGAGGCCAATGATATGACCCTGAATGGCTGACGGACACGTATCAGAGAAAAGGTATAAAAATAGTTCAAAGTGTTCTCCACCATTGATACCAACCCCCAGAGCTCCTTTGAACTTTGAGGAGCTAAGTATACTGTCACCATCTGACAGACATCTAGCATAGATAAATCACATTCATGTTTTGGCAGAAATGTATTTTTACATAGAGGTTCTATGTATAATACATATGATATTCATGTACCTCATTCTAAGCGAAGAACATAATTTCACTATTTACTTTTATGTACTTTTGGTCATAACTAGATTTGATGACAAACCCTAAATCTTCTTTTCAGAACAATATGCAAGGACCTAATGACTCACGTTGTTCATAGAGCATCGGTATCGATAGTGCTTTGGGAGCACTGCAGATCCTCTGATCTGCCACTGATGCCACCATATGCTAGCAGGTAAATGCTGCTTTTTGAAAGTGCATGAGGGCGCAACTGTCACAGTCACCAGGGGACAGCATTCCAGAAGCTTTGGCTACTGCTTACAGGGTCAGAACTGTGTGGCAGGCGTGCTGCTCCCTCCACCCTCGCCTGCGGCAGACACGGCCACACTGCTGGTCTGTCATCACAGTATCCTGGTCTTTCCCACTGAGCCCCCACTGAGTGCACTCACCACGGTGCAGCCACCACAGCTGACAGAAGCTGGCATGCAACTGTGTCTGCAGCTCTACTGTTACAGAGTCTATCAAGTGCAGTCTATAAAAGATAAACCATCTGTAACGTATGAGGATTGTAAGGTGGAATGCCCGGGTCGTGACTTGCTCTTTTCATTACCTGTATCTCTGAGAGATCTGCTGGGGCATGTTAATATAGGAACTAACCTGGGAAATGAAGTTATTGTGCAAAGAGCCTGATTTTCTTCTAATATAGAAGTAGCCTCCTTCCGGCGTTTTCGCATGTTGGCCTCAACTGTATTGAACTCGGACATTGTTCCTCCGTAGGGCTGTCCTGGTGTCCCTTCAATCATGTAACTCCCATACTCTGGTCTCCAAAGGGTAGGATGGCTACGGAGGAGAAATAACTTAGTTCCATCTTATTCTTTTGCTATAGTCTGCTCAATTTTTAAGTTTTTAAAGTTGCTTTAAAAGTGTAGAAACCATTAGGTATAAATGAAGCTAAGAAGTCCTTCACAGTTCTCAGTGATTATTACTTTTCCATAGCTATTCAACTACATAAGGGTCAACAAGTATTGGGTCCAAAATGTTTTTTTTCTTTTGAGACAGAGTCTCGCTCTGTCACCCAGGCTGGAGTGCAATGGCACGATCTTGGCTTACTGCAACCTCTGCCTCCCAGGTCCAAGTGATTCTTGTGCCTCAGCCTCCTGTGTAGCTGGGATCACAGGTGTGCCCTACCACACCTGGCTAATTTTTGTATTTTTAGTAGAGATGGGGTTTCACCGTGTTAGCCAGGCTGGTCTTGAACTCCTGGCCTTAAGTGATCTGCCTGCCTCGGCCTCCCAAAGTGCTGGGATTACAGGCATGAGCCACCATGCCCAACCCAAAATCTTTATAAGTAACTGAAAATGCACACAGAGCACTCACTGTCCAGGACAAACTAACCTACTCTGCAGAGAAGGAGATGAGGCCTTAAGGGTTCTTTCAATTCAGTGCTGCCCTCCAAACTCAAATGCAGCTTCCCCAAAACGAATGAGTGGAAAATGAGCAGAGGAGTATATATTCCCCTCCCCTCCCCGTCTCTGTCTACTTAAATGTAGGAATACCTTAAAAACACACCAGGCCGGGTGCGGTGGCTCATGCTTGTAATCCCAGCACTTTGGGAGGCTGAGGCGGGCAGATCATGAGGTCAGGAAATGGAGACCATCCTGGCTAACACGGTGAAACCCCCGTCTCTACTAAAAATACAAAAAATTAGCCAGGCGTGGTGGCGGGCGCCTGTAGTCCCAGCTACTCGGGAGGGTGAGGCAGGAGAATGGCGTGAAGCCAGGAGGTGGAGCTTGCAGTGAGCTGAGATCGTGCCACTGCACTCCAGCCCGGACGACAGAGTGAGACTCCGTCTCAAAAAAAAATCATGCCAGCCAAACAAAGCCAAACAAAGCCCATCTGCAACTTATATCTTGCATCATGGTTTGTGATCCCAGTTATACGCTTCTGCAATACATTTTTTCCCAAAAATGTTTTAATAAAAAACAGGCTTTATATTTAGTTTACTGTACAAAGTGCTTCATATATTAATGTATTTAATTCCAACACCTTAGGTAGGTATTGCTATGATCTTTACTTTACAGATGAGAGAACTGAGGCACAGAAAAGTTAAGTAACTTGCCCAAGGTTATTCAGCTATTGAGTAAAGGAACCATGATTTGAAACTATGGCAACCTGAAACCAGAGCCTGTACTCTTAACTGTTAGGCTATCCTGCCTCCAATAATTGAGAAAAAACTCTATATTCTAGAAGTTTTAGCAGTTTCAGAAACACTAAATCAGCACATGAGAGCTTACTTTGGGTTTGTCCTTTCCCCCTTCTCTTGCAGAGTTTCAAGAACTTTCTCCCCAGACAGGACCAACCGGACTTTTTTATTTTCATGATCAAAAGATACCAACATGTATTCCACCTATTGAAAATAAAGGTGAGAAAAATTAACATTCTTCCAGACTTGTTTTCAGTGTGGCCTCCAGAAGAAAAAGGCAGGGAAACGTGAAGTCTGTAAAGGATCCACAGTAACTCCAGACAGTCACATTTGTTTACAGTACAGCACATAAGTGTTCATATGCATAATATGGAAACCTGTAGAAAGGATCAGTCAGTAGTGCCACTTCCATCCCTTCTTTCCTCTGTCCTACTTAATATCCTATGGAAAGGTCGATACCCATTTTGACAAGCTGTACTTCAAAAAAAAGATGTGTTTTGAAGCAAAGATTCTGTAAATTGCTGTTGTAAAAAAGAAGCTGCATTTTAAAATTTATTTCCTCAGTTGGCTTACTATAAGTTTAAGAAAGAGGTTATCTGGACATTCCAGTCAAGGTAGATTACACTTACTTACTGGCAGAGTAATAAGTAAGGTAGATTACACTTTCATAATCCCACTACCAGTCCCACTTTTGGAGAGTTAAATCATAATCATAAATATACCGTGTGGAGAAGTTATTTGAGGGGTTTCAACAATTTAATTTTGGTTTATCTCAAGTAATTTAAGGCAACTTCTCCACTCTGAAACCATATAAAATTTGCAATGCAGGGTGCACTAGTACATTTATTAACAATACCTCGTGGAATTCTAGTAAAAATAAAGGACATAAACACAAAGTCAGACTTCTGGGCAGAATACAACTAGAACCTACTTTTGTTTTTCCTGAAGTTACAAGCTTTCAATCATGACAGTTGGCGTGAGCAGTGAAGATTATGAATCACTGTGTGTGATGGAAACAAAACATCCATTATCCATATATAAGTGAAAAGATACAGAATTATTCAGGCAAGCCCTTGAAAGTACCCTTTGCACATGGCACCAATACAATTACTACAGAGGTAGGAAACTGATTCCTCACAAGGCAAACCAGGCTACAGTGTATTTGGTTTGGCCTACAATAGTAGTTTAGAAAAAATAAAAAGGCAGGCAACCGTATATCCACTATTTCCCAGATATTTCACATGTAAATCTAGGTTCTCAGTCTTAAAACAATACCCAGAAGCCCAGCACGAAGCCTGTGACTGTGTGACTGGGCTGTTTGCTTTTCAGGGGTGCACACTGTCTGCAGTTTATTCCCTTATTTATGTGTATTTCCCTGGTCTTGGAAGGCATTTGAGTCAGCCGTCCTCATCACAGAAACATTAAGGGCTAAGTAATATGATTATAAAGAGGAAAAAAATGTTAGTAACTGTAGGAGATAGCCTAGCAGATTTAAACAACAACAAAATAAACTTTCAGTTAACGTTTATTAGCTCTCATCAGAATCTTTTAGCTCAAGAAATGGAAAAGTCTGCTTGATTTGGGTACACGAACCAGAAACATGAGATCTCCACCTGCAGAATCACTCAGTGTCAGCTGACTAAAAACTAGGCTGCAGAATCTGGAACTGTTCGCAACAACAATTACAGGTTGCAAGATACCATCTATAGATCTGTGACTCCGGAACAGCTAAAACCTGGAAACAGAAAACTTGGTTGAGTCTCAGAATGGGTATGTGAAAAGATACAAGTTAATCTTTAAATAAGCATAATGAGAAAGGATATGCTTTCATATATGAATCCTAATCTTCAAACCCAGCATGCAAAAGCAGGCTTGATTACCCATTTCACAGGTGGGCAAAGGGGCTCAGAGAGGTAAGCTACTCAAGGCCACAAGTGTCAGGCAGAGATTTGAAGCCAGCCCCGTCTGGCCTCAAGGCCCAGCACACCTTGCTGCTAGGGCTGTAGAGGGTGCCAATCTTGGTAAGTGAAGATAAGCTTTTTATAAAATTGTTATAACCTATATGAAGCAGGGAAAAGTTATAATACTGGATGAAACTATCTCAAATTGATTATGCTTTCATTTCATGGAAGGGGTCCTAACATTATATCATGGAAGCTGGGCTGTAACAATAGTTACAGTCATAGATTTTAACAGATGAACTGGCCCATCCCTCAGGCCCAGGACGGAACCCACTTACTCTGTGTAGCATTCCTAACTCTCCCAGCTAGGAGGAAATGTTCCTTCTTCAGTACTTCCTCCTTCACTCACTTAGACTCCAACTCATCTGCCTGGCATCTGCTACTGGAATTAAGTTATTTGCTTAACTAGAAAACATGCTTCCTAAAGAAAGTCTAAGAGATACTTCCTTGCTTACTGAGTGCATCATTTATTTTTTACCAAATGAGCAAGAACTTGTAGCAATTATATAAACTAAGTTGCAATAACTTTAATTGTTAGTTTCCTAACTTTGAAAAAAATTGAAATCCTTAGTTTTCAAATTCACTCTTAGCCCACAAGTTTAAAACATGGGTAGGGCAAAAGAACAAAAAGTTAAAGCTCATTCTGAGTTTTAAATATCAGTTTTAAATGCCAAACGGATGACATTTAAAATGTTAACAAACCAAACTCTCCTCAATTAAAGTATAATCACTTCATGATCTCATTAAGCAAATGAAACAGAAAAACATCAGAATATTTACCAAATGAGAAAGAAAACCAAATTTACTTTTCAATAGAATAATCATCAGTTGGAAGCCTCAAGAATTTCCTGACGGTTTTTCAAACTAAAATGTAATGCCTTCTGAAGTGCTCCTTCTCTGCAGTCACCTTGAACTTTCTGCACTAGTCCTCAAAGAGGTTCTTCAAACTTTTAGCTTTTTGTTAAACACCCCCACCACCTCAACACATTTATGTTTATTTCCGATTAGAGCCTGTCTATATGAGCATTCTGAATCGTAACTGCATATTTAAAAGTCAAACTAGAGCTGAAATGGGGTTTGACGCAATAACCGAGATGATTGGTGATAATAAAAAGTGATACATTAAGACAACGATTTTCCAATATAAAACATCTAAAGCCCCAATAAATTATTTTATGATTTCTGGATTGTATCCCCATTCTAAACTTCATTTTTGAATCCAAAGGATAAGAGGAACAACATACAAAAGAAAATAATAAAACAGATGCCTTTCTGTATCACAACACTGATTCCAAGGATAAAACTGTATCAGCTTACTAACTTTGAATAGCATCTAGGCTGTAAACCCAGAATTGCAGCAACATCAAATATATTTATGTACTTTACACATATATACAACTCCAAAAGCATACATACCCAAAGAGCATTATAAATGGGTTGCAGAGTGACCAATTTAAACTTGTGCAATTAACATATCATCTTGGAAGTAGGGGAAAAAAATACCCACCGACCTCTATTCTCTGCAATACACAGGTCACAATGCCCTGAAGGTGACTCTGGGATACTGTTTTTTGGCACCCATCAGTTATCCTTTTAATTGAGGGAGAAGAGACCCAATAAAAAAATGCCTGACCACTCTGCAAGACATTCAGATTTTAAATGTGCACTATTTTTACAAATGAAAATTAAAATCTCTTAGACTTCTAGTGCTAAAAGGCTAAATTTTATCCTACTAGAATAAAAACCACTATTCTCAGCTGTCAAATCAAGGACAAAGACACATATAAAAGACCAGAATAAAAGTCATTAATACACTACTATCCCTGAGCTGTTGAACCAAGGACAAAGACACATACAAAAGGCTAGTATGTACTTTGCTTTGTGTGTGAAATAGTGTTGCTAGGAAAACTCCAGACACAGTAATCCAAGTCATTTAATGCAGGTTTAAACAAGGGTGAGGTACTTTTATGTTAATCTGAAATTAGGCCAACAAAAACAAAGAATTTTAACTGAGGCGATGTAAGTACTCAGTACAATGCTGAATATACAGCAGACAGAGAAATACCTGTGACAATGAAGTTTAAGGGTAAATACAAGCTTTTAGGATTTAAGTCTTTAAATGGCATTTACCACTAGCATAAGATAAAAATTTTCTTTTCTTGCTTTTAAAAACTTTTGATACTCTACCTTAAGGGTAAGAGTTTCAGGGAGCTTAGAATTTGAGGAATGGCAGGCAGGGCACGGTGGCTCATGCCTGTAATCCCAGCACTTTGGGAGGCCGAGGCGGGCGGATCACAAGGTCAGGAGATCAAGACCATCCTGGCTAACACGGTGAAGCCCCATCTCTACTAAAAATACAAAAAATTAGCTAGGCATGCTGGCGGGCGCCTGTAGTCCCAGCTACTAAGGAGGCTGAGGCAGGAGAATGGCGTGAACTCAGGAGGCAGAGCTTGCAGTGAGCCGAGATCGCGGCACTGCACTCTGGCCTGGGTGACAGAGCAAGACTCCGCCTCAAAAAAAAAAAAAAAAAAAACAATTTGAGGAATGGCTGGGTATTTTATGAAATACTAATTTCTTAATATCTACTCCTAGAGGTAAAAACAATGCTTAATTAGGAAACAATACAGTTCTATAATACTCAGAGCAGTTACAGGCAGTTCCCCATTTAGGGAGAAAGTTCTTTTGTCAGTTTCTCTGTAAATGAGAAGGAAGGAATTTTCCCTCTCAAACTATTTAACCCATCATATGCTTGACCTCTGAAGAGAAGAAACCTACACCAAGCCCTTCAGGGACTATGAGCTGTGAGGTCCTACATTCCTCCCAGAGACAGCATGAGGACTTTCCCCTCCTTACACCCTGGGAAGGATCTCTATCCAGGTGGTCAGGCCAAGGAGGGCAAGACAGTGAAGGGCTCCCCAGGACCTAGTCCAGGTAGAGTATGCGTGCAGGGCAGGGTCTTCAGACCCCTACTGACATCTGGGGTTCAGGGCCAGCTCCTCCATTCCACACTGCTGGCTCTCTTGCAATGGCCCAAACAATAGTTTTGATCCTTTTGCTAGAACCAACTGTTGCTTCTCAGAGACTTAGTTTTCTCCTTACACTAACTCCTAAACAAGCCTGCAACCATTTTGAGGACTAAGGCTCTAGTTAGAGTTGATGACTACTCAGTGCCAAAAAACACTGTCTTGCTGGACACGCTCCCTGCCCCCCACCCCCAGCACTAACCCCTTTGTCCTTTCATCCATTCAACAAAGCTCTTTGCTAAGCAGGTGCTGGGAATACTGTGAAGAGCCAGGCAGATGTGGCTCCTGTTCTCAGGCTTACACTGGCTGGACTGACAGCCAATAACACGCTATTGCTGAATTATCTGAACGAGTGCTCAAAATGACCAAAGAGAGCTGTGCATATGTAACAGCACAGTCTAAGCCGGTCTAGAAGATCAGAAGGCTTCCCAGAGGAAGTGCCATTTAAATTTAAGTTGATTCCTTACATGGGGACTGGCTAGGCAAAGGTGAGGGTCTAGGGATCCTTCAACATAAAATTCAACCTCCCATAGGATCCCGTCCCCCAGGGGAGCTGCACCACTGACTGCAGCACAATCACCCTCTCGCCTGTCAAAGACGCAGATCACTGCATCCACCCCACAGAGATCATGCCAAGTAGTCACCCTCTAGGTTATAAACTGTTTTAAAGTTAGGGACTCAATGCCTTCTGCCCAGAAGACTGTTTCCTCTCACAGCAAAATGGTAATGACAAATTTTTTTTTAAAAGAAATCTCAACCATCAAGTTGGATGGCATTCACTTCCCAAACTTGGAGCACCCAAAGAGGTGTTAGCCATAGTGATGCTACTTAATTTTTAAACACCCACAGTAACATAGGACAACCTGACTGACAAGACTAAAAGAGGAGCTGTGTTTTAAAAAGTAGAAAACTGAATATGAGATTCTAATACAGATGTAATAAAATTACATATGGCTCAGATTTTTAAAGATGGACTCCCATGTTAGATATGTCTAATGATGACATCACAAATAGGAAAACCACTGTTTGACATGGTAATCTCCAAGCACTTTTAGGGGACCAGTAAGTACAAAGTAGAAACTGTATGTGCTTTTGTGTACATGACATTATACATACATAACATCACACACACAACTATATTTTAAACATATATATTTGATGATTTAAATATATATATATTTGATGACTGTGGATACTGTAATAATTAAATTGTTCTATGTTCCAAAAAGAAAATGTTTTAGCAGTTTTGTCTAAAGCTGTATCAAATTCTGCTAACATTTCATATATTTTGAGAAAATAGGTTTTTTTCCTCCTACTTTGAAATGTCTATTCATACTAAAGAATTTCACATGATACTATGAAAGGTTTACACTTTTAGAAATTAAAATAAATGTGGCCTCTCCCTGATCTAGTTTTCTGTAGCACAGAGCAGGCTGCTTTTTATTTATAACACATTAATCTCAATTTTAATACTGCACAAAAATCAATTAATTTCCTATAGGATTAGGTGGAGTAACTTTCTCAATATTGTCTCAGCCCAAACAGAGAAAACATTCTTAACTTGCCTAGATTAGTGATATGAGTCCCAAGAGAAAAATTTCAAGACTTTAATAAAATAGAGAAAGACAGTGAGAGTTGCGGGGTAAACTGGGAGGACTCTCATACAGGGAGAAAATGTCACCTGTCACCAAAGGAACACAAAAAATTGTGTTGTCCATTATGCTAGTCACTAAGCACATGTGGCTGTGTGGATTTAAAATTACTTAACATAAAATAAAAAAATCAGTTTCCTACTCCCTAATGGATAGTATAGAGTAGAACATTTCTCTTACTGCAGAGGTTGTACTAGACAGCACTGGACCAAAACCCAAGAGAAAACACAATCCTAAAATTAATTTGACCTGGACACACTAATTCATTATTGTTGGCACAAAGGAAATCCTTGAATGTAGACCTGCTCTTTCATGCTCCACGGATGCATGAGACATTTTCTGGGCCTCTGAATTTACATTGGTTGATTTTTTTAAAAACATCATGCTACCACAATTCAGGCATATGTTAGTTTTAATTTTCTGATAATTATAAAGACCATTAAGGCATTCCTACTTTATTTCTGAACCAAATCTAGCAAAACCTAACCAGTCATCTCACACAAATTAACCTCAGAAAAGACAGCACATCAAGTTGCCAATGGGGATGTCTGCTTATGGCCACCAGCATTACTCAGGTACTCTGTAATTTAGAAACCTAAACCAGAACACATTTTCTCTTAAAGAAACAACATTGTAAGTATGAATAGTCCTTATTTACCTCCAATCATCTGTACTTCAGTACAATAGGTTCTGAGTTCTAAAGACAAATGAATTCCTTGGCTTTTTCCTAAGAACGTATTCCCCTGCTAGAGTTCTAGTCACCACGTGGTTGACAAGAAACAGTATCCTGATCCCCAGACAGAAGCTGCTTTGGATCAACTGCCCTGCAGTAGCCAGAGCTGGGGCACTGTAGTGGGTGAGAATCATGGAGAATTTCTGCAGCGGTTCCCTCTAGGTGCAGGAGAGTTTAGGGCTTTAGCATGGGGACAAGACAGAGAACACATCCCCCAGTGGGCGGTGCCCCGCTCAGGGCCTGATACACTTCTTGGGCTGAGCAAGCAAGAATGCACACATGATTTCCTTCTAAGGCATGTTATAAATTAGGCTGCCCTAAATTCAGACTGCCTATGAGAAATTCAGGATTTTAGTTCCTAGGAACTGAAGTTAGACTAATCAACCTAACAGAGAGAAAAAAGAGAGTTTTCTAAAGAGACTAAGTGAGAGTCAATGCTAAATACAGGAATTCTAAGTCCAAAGTGACTGCTAGTGCTCACTGGGGGTCACCTATGCCTCCAGGGACAGGACGACAGGGCTTCAAGACCTCCAAGTTTAATGCCATTCCACCATCATACGAATCTGAGTGCAGACACTGTGTCATAACCACATCTCACAAAGGCAGCATCAGGTTCCCATTCAGGAATCGTACCTGGGTGTTATAGTGGATCCCACCAACAGAGTAACTGTAACCTGTGGGATTTGGAAGATTTAGGTTTTTGTGAATTCAATCTCCTTCCCTGCCATATTTGAAATTCATGCTAAAGGATGAAAATCTCAGATAAGTTAAAGCTCCTGACTTGGGGTTCTGATTCTGGCCTGCTACCTGCTGCCCTGGGAAGAGATCGACACAGGCTGCATAACTATCAAATGAGGTCAGCCTGATTTTCATAGAAAGGGCTCGTCCTGCATCTGCCTTTTCACAGGGCTCGCTTGCCAGCAGATTAGCTGGGAAGGCTGCAGTCACATTACTAAACTTGTTAGCATTTGTCCTGCAGACCGAGAATTTTACCAAGCATATTCAATGGTGTCGTTTTGAAAGAGTGCTGGCATTTCACTAGAAGAGAATTACCTGCTATGGGGTACCAAAAAATGCTTAAGCGTGGATCTGTGGCTGATGACATATTCATATTTTCATTAAAAAACAAAAAGCCTACTTCCTGCATTACCACCATCCCTTTCTCTATTCTTTCTTCTCTTCCTCGCCACCCTCAATCTCATCTCTGTTTGGAGCCTATTAAAACTGTCACAGAGCTCTTTTCCTCCTGCCTATTTGGGCGGTAATAGGTGGGGGAGCAGCTAAGAGTGCAGGCTTTGGAGTCAATCAGTTTGAATCTTGGTAACTTCTCGATGCTTCAGTTTTTGCAGAATGGAGGTAATACTTGCCTCACAGGGCTGCTGGGGAGGATTACATAAAACAATGCATGTAAAGTGCTAAAACAGTATTAAGTACACTGTACCACTCAGGGGTTAGTGGTTACTATTTTCTAGCTCCAGGGCAGTGATACACTGATTGACACAGAATAGTGTCTTGTGTTTCTCAAACATTGGTTACAGCTCCTTTGTGGGCCATGATGAGTTGTGATCAACATAACAAAAAATAATCGTTAATAGGGTAGAATAGAAATATCAGAATATGTCACTCATGGGAAGGGAACTGCTGTTTCGTGGAAATGTTGTTTCACAGAGCGCTTGTTTTAGTCAAAGGTGAAAGCTACTGGCATGGAATGCTGTCTAACCCTACAGTCAGGAAGACCATGGTCCTTCAGCAAGCAGGTCAAGTCACTCTCCTTGAAACTCTTAAATGGCTCACACTCAGCAGAAACTCCAACATCCCTCCTAAAGAGCATTAGGACCAATCTTCTCAGCCTCCTTCATTTCAACCCACCCCACACGATGTTGCAGCTACACTGGCCTTTTCTGTCTCTACAACAATCACTTCAAGGCCTTTAAGACACTTTTGTTCCCTCTGCCTGGAAGATTTTTACCTCAGTATTTCAAGAGCTGGCTCTTGTGTGCTTCAAGTCAAGTGCCACTCCTTCAGAGACCTTTGCTGAACCCCCAACACTGTAACTCCTTCCCCTTTCCACCCTCAAGGGGTGCTACCCACCCTGGTGCCTCCTAAAGTTGTACAAGGTATTTATCCTGCCCAGAGCAGCCTTAATTTTCCCTAATGATAGCCACTTAGAATGTGTTGTAGTCTTTGGCTTTTAAATCATCTGAAAATAAGAGAAAACCCAATGTCCCTTCCAGTTCTAAACTACTGTTTTTGAAATTAAAGTCTTCCAGAAACTCTTAGTATAAGACCATCATTTTTCTTTCACTCATCAAACACAGAACATTCATTTTATTGAAATTAATTTTCTTATTACCCAAAACTTACCCCTTTAGAGCATATGTTTTCTTTAAAAAGTTTACATATACGTGAGTGGAAATCTTTCTAAAATTGACTATCTGCTATCAATAGGAAGATACTACACATACTTTCACTTTTTATTAGGGCTTCAGATGTTTTTGGCAATTTCACTTCTTTAACTACAGCTATAACAGGGCAGGGCCCTTGTGGGCATATCAGAAGGCCACATCTGGACCTGCTTTGGGCAGCTCCTCTCTCGACTGCGCCCTCTCATTTCTGCCTCAATTTCTTGCAGTACATCCTGAGCTGAGATACTAAATGACCGAGTCTGCAGGAACTATGTATAAAGCGATCTGCGTATAGGCCTCAAATATGCTTCCAGGAATAAAGTTTTTGTTTACTTCCCAGTTCTTGCTCTATTTGAGTAGTGGAGCCAACAGATCATAACCCCTAGACACAACTTAACACACTGGCAGGCCAGGGTACTACCCTGCTTAGCTCAGGCAGGACTGCTGAAAAGTCTGCTGGAAAACAGCAGCTTCTATGACCTTTTCTATCTCTGTGAAGCTCTGGTTCCCCTCCAGCAGTTAATCTGAATGGGGCAGACTTACAACCCAGATTTTTACTAGTTTCCTGGAAAAGCGTCATGGAGTCACTCACCTTAGAGTCTGAATTCTGCTAAGTCACCATCCACTTCAAAAACGAGTTAACTGAATCCAAAGGCCTAAAAACAGAATCTTGGGGGAGGGGGACAAAGACAACAGGGGGTCTGTAAGAGCATTTATGTAACTAGGAACATCTGTTTTGGGGGCTCTTTCGTAGTATTGTGTGGAAATAAGTTCAACTACTAAACTCTAACCATAAAACAGACACAAAAATCTAATACAGAAAGCTCTTTAGAGATCATCCATCAGAGTAGAACCTTAGTCATAGAAACTCGCTCAGAACATACCAATCTAAATAACCAAACTTTCCAAGTGCCAATAAAGATATATCAAATATGAACTCTTTTGGCTATAAGTCTGAGGCTCATTACATCCTTCTCTGTCTTTTTAAACCATGTCTGAGAAACAGAACCATTAAGTGGAGATTAAGTCATCACTCATTCAGTTTCACTACACACCAGTGATAACTTAGCCACACAGATATTACCAAAGTGACCCAAACTCATATGCTGTCCCAGTGCAGGCCTGTCTCCTTCTAAAAACTATCATCAAGATTTCAAACATCATATGAAATGTAAAAACATGCATGGGGGCTTTGTGGCATTTATTTTGATCTGACACCAACTTTTGCTATTCTCCCAAATCCTTAATATGTTCAGATATGTTGTTGCCAGACGCCCCCAGTACCTGCCCAACTGGCAAATCCAGAGGCTTCTTGTCCTTCCCCACCTCTTGAAAGCCTGCCATCATTCTTCCTACACACAGCAATACTACTAACTCCCACATCAAATTTCTAGGAAATTAATTAAGATTACTTTTTCAGTTGATGGTAAAGTATGTAATCTCAAAGAAAATGCTGAAACCTGAAAGGTTGCAGGGGGAATGAATTCTACCACTTCTGGTAGAATTTACCGATTTTCATAAGTTACAGAGTATTAAGTATTAAGGTATTCTGAAACAATTAAAAATTGTTAAAAAATACAACTAAAAGAATCTATATATATAAACATGCAATTCAAAACACCAAATGATAGGGTTTTTTAATTAGTCTTACCAAATGAGGAAACTGTGGTCCAAAGAATTTAAGTTCTGTTTTTCTTTTCTTTTTTTTTTTTTTGAGACGGAGTTTCACTCTTGTCGCCCAGGCTGGAGTGCAATGGCGCAATCTCAGGTCACTGCAACCTCTGCCTCTCAGGTTCAAGTGATTCTCCTGCCCCAGCCTCCCTGGTAGCTGGGATTACAGGCATGTGCCACAACTCTCAGCTAATTTTGTATTTTTAGTAGAGAGGGGGTTTTCACCATGTTGGTCAGGCTGGTCTTGAACTCCTGACCTCAAGTGATCCACCTGCCTCGGCCTCCCAAAGTGCCGGGATTACAGGCGTGAACCATCACGCCCAGTCTTTAGTTCTGTTTTCTAAGCTCACACAACCCGGGGTGACCCCAGGTCTTCGACTCTGATCTTCAGACTAAAGCTCATTAATAAAATGTATGTCGACTTTGAAACTAATTGTGTTTTTACCAAATATCCAGTCACAGGATGATAACAGAGATACTAAATGATGAAAACTATGGCTTAAGAGCAAAGAAAATCCTGACCTTTTAAAAACTTGGCTAAATCTTGGGTGCTGGCAAGTATCTTATAAACCACAATGATAGCCAGCTTTGGACAAAGTTTACAGACAAAGGAGAACACAGCTAAAAGGATAGAAAAAGTGGGAAACACTTCCACTTCTAATCAAGATGGAGTAACAGGGGCTAAATTTACCCTCCTACCTGAAAAACCAAAAAACAAAAAAAAAAAAGAGAGAGGAAGAGAAAATATATGAAAGAATAATTTTCAAGACACTGCGTATCAGATAAGAAAGGATCCCTGAGAAACGGGGGAAAATCAGTGGGCCCTACAATTGCCCCCACTTACTGCCTGGGGAGAGGCTCCAGGTCATGGGCAGGAAGGTGAAGAAGAGCCCAGTGGACTCCCTGGGTGGAAGAGATGGAGCTGAAGGTCCGGGGAAACCATTTACAATAGAACTGAAACATGAGAAACATTCAGGGATAACATGACAAAAAAGATGTGAAAGACCTATACACGAAAAACTACAAAACACTGCTGGGAGAAATGAAAGATGTAAGTAGAGTGGAGAGATATTCATATACTTGAAGACTCAATATTGTTGAGATGTTAATTTTTCCCAAACTGATCTACAGATTCAATGCAATCCCAATAAAAAACCCCAGCAGGGTTTTTTTGTTTTAAGTAGAAATTGCCAATCTGGTTCTAAAATTCACGTGGAAATTCAAAATATCCAGAAGAGTCAAACCAGTTGAAAAAGAATAAAGCTAGAGAGCTAATACTACATGATCTCATGGCTTATTATAAAGATTCAGCAATCAAAAGAGTATGCCATTAGCCAGGTGAGGTGGCACATGCCTGTAAGTCCCAGCTACTTGTTAGGCTGGGGCAGAGGTTTGTTTGAGCCCAAGAGTTCTAGGACAGCCTAGGCAGCATAGCAGAACCTCATCTCTTAAAAATAAAAATAAGGCCAAGCACAGTGGCTTAAGACTGTAATCCTAGCACTCTGGGAGGCCAAGGCAGGCGGACTGCCTGAGCTCAGGAGTTCAAGACCAGCCTGGCCAACATGGCGAAACCTCACCTCTACTAAAAACACAAAATTAGCCAGGCGTGGTGGCGCATGCCTGTGATCCCAGCTACTTGGGAGGCTGAAGCAGGAGAATCACTTGAACCTGGAAGGTGGAGGTTGCACTTAGCTGAGATTGCACCGCTGCACTACAGCCTGGGCCATAGAGTGAGAACTCTGTCTCAAAAAAAAATAAAAAATAAAAAAAGAGAATGAAAACAGACTGAGAGGAAATATTTGCAAAGTTTGCAAAGCATGTGTCTGATAATACTTACATCCAAAATATAGAGAACGCTCAAAACTCAATAGTTTTAGAACAGACAAATGATTTTAACACACTTCACAAAAAAGATACACACATGACAAATCGGCACATAAAAAGATACTCAACATCACTGATCTTCAGGAAAATGCAATTTAAAAATACAACAACGTACCACCACACTCCTATTAGAGTAGCTAAAATTAAAGAGACTGCCCATACCGGTGTTAACAAGAATGTGGATGAACTGAACTGGCATACTCTGCTAGTGAGAATGCAAAATGGTATAACCACCCTGGAAAAGTTTGGTATTATAGTTTCCTTAAAAAGTTAACAACACGCTACTCCTAGGGTAATAAGATGAAGAAAAGCATTAGTCCATACATACAAACTTGTATGTTAATGTTCATATAATTTTTTTATAATAGTGAAAAACTGAATGCAACACAAATGGTGAATGTATAAACAAACTGGTATAACCATGGAATGAAATATTACTCAGCGACGAAAAGGAATGAACTACTGACACATGTAACAACATGGATGGATCTCAAAATATTTATGTAGACTCTAAGAAGGCAGACCAAAAGAGGATATGCTGGATGATTTCCTAGGTATATGAAACTAGATATCAAATGCAAACTATGATTTCTTAAATATGAAAATCTAGAAAATGCAAACTACAGAAAGCAAATCAGCTGCATGGGATGGCCAGAGGAAGAAATTACCAAAGGGGCATGATGACATTTTTGGAGATAATGAATATACTTATTATCAGAGGTGATTTTATGATGTATACATATATCAAAACTTACCAAATTGTACATTTTAAATATGTGCAGTTAACTTTATGTTAATTATAACTCAATAAAGCTGTTAAAATGTTTTTTTAAAAACACCTGATTATATCATGAAATGTAGAAACAGAGTACTAATTAGCAAGCTCGTTAGGATATGGTCTTTCCAGTAATACCAGCAATATCAGTAATGCTTCATATACAGTTTTCTAACTTTAAGAATATATTCAGATGCCTTGACAGTATGTAAAAATGTTCAGAAACATAAATAGTGATGTTAGAGGCTCAATTAATATTGTGACATCTTTTCTGAACATACAGAGTCTTACTGAATGTTACTCAGGTTTATGCTTCAAAATGAAACTACAGACAGTACCAATCAATGAGTACATCTGCTAATACCATACTTCTAGACAGTAGGGTCTTAACATGGAGGAATTCAACCATGATATGGTAGGTCACAGTAACTGATAAGTCTTAAAAGATTTTTTCTGTAGGAGATAGGTATAGAAGACTAATACACTTTTTTTCGATTCTACTTTTCTCATGCTTTTAAAGTACAACATAACCTCTACTTTTTGAGAACTAGACAAAGACTTCTACAAGCTGGCTAAACCTATTCACTGCATTTACAACACTAAACTGCACAATAACCTTCACATACTATCCAATGGTATTTCTCACCTTTCCTCCTTTGTTACACTGTTCTTTTGACCATAATGCCTTCCTTTCTCCCCTTCATCTAATTAATGACCACACACTCTTTAAGGCAGTTTCTCAAAGGTGGTGTCTGAAGGAAAACCAGAATCAACTGAAGTGCTCTCCCCCTCTCTCTCTAGCATACACGCATGCACACACGTGCAAAGGGCACAAGGGAACTTCTGGGGGTGGGTAGGGGTTAACGGACAATAAATGCTGTTGAATCAATGTCCAGTGACAGCTAAAAAAGATAGAGAGATGCGACAACTTTGCTTTTTGTGTTACAGAATACGCTATGACCTATAGAAGGAACCTGAATCTTTGTAATGCCTATTAAGAAATAATTAATTTGTGCTCTATATCTTATTTTAAGAAGCCTAGCCTGAGCCTGTGTCAATGCGTTTTTGAAGCGCAACTTAGAAATACGATCTAAACAGCTTGAGCCTGGGAGGCTGCGGCTGCAGCACACTGTGATGGTGTCACTGCACTCTAGCCTGGGTGACAGAGCAAGAAAGACCCTGTCTCAAAATAAATAAATAAATAAATAAATACATAAATACATAATATTAAAAAAAAGAAAAGAAATACAATAAAAAATTACTGTTAATGGAATATAATTGTATCTGAACAAGCAAGTTTCAGTTAACTGTAAAAAAAAACCAAAAAACCCTACATATGTGGAATGTTTCATTCCTCAATGACCACAGCTATTTAAATAAGATATACTGGATGTTTTAAATTTTCTAAGTAAATGGTTTAGGCTATTTGTGAGATTTTACTTAACAGGCTAGGCACCTGCAAACCACCTCACTAATATTACCCCATTTAATCTCAATAACCCTGCAAGGAAGGTAGTATTGTCCTCATTTAATAGATGACAAAATTGAAGTTGGGAGAGTAAGCAACTTGCCCAAAGCTATAGAGAACCTTCAATTTGACTCAAATAATTGTGTTTTTGTCCATTCTAAATTTATCACTCAAGACTGTATTTTTAAATAGGATCATACACTTATTCATTAATAAGCTAGGCATTTTCTTTTTTCTTTCCTTTTTTTTTTTTTTTTTTTTTTTTTTTAAAGAGATGGGGTCCCACTTGGTCATCCAGGCCAAAGTGCAGTAGTGGCATGATCCCAGCTCACTGCAGCCATGAACTCCTGGGCTCCAGTGATCCTTCCACCTCAGCCTCCCAAGTAGCTGGGATTACAGGCACAAGCCACCATGCCTGGCAAGCTATGCATTTTCTTTTTTTTTTTTTTGAGATGCAGTCTCGCTCTGCCGCCCAGGCTGGAGTGCAGTGGCGCGATCTAGGCTCACTGCAAGATCCGCCTCCCGGGTTCACGCCATTCTCCTGCCTCAGCCTCCCGAGTAGCTGGGACTACAGGTGCTCGCCACCACACCTGGCTAATTTTTTCTTTTGTATTTTTAGTAGAGACAAGGTTTCACCATGTTAGCCAAGATGGTCTTGATCTCCTGACCTTGTGATCTGCCTGCCTCGGCCTCCCAGCTATGCATTTTCTAAATAGTCACTTCAGCATTCTGAACCTAGCATAGGCAAATTGGAAGTTCAAACTCAATGGATGATATATCAGCCCTTAATAAATCTCATCTCTGTTTTACACATAAGAACATGCTCATAAAGATTAAAGATACATTGCATTTTCCTCTCAAAGTTCACATGGACTTTTCTGCTAACTAGAGGACAATTTACCTTCTTGCCTTCAAGAGCCACTGCACTGGGTTACAAACTTAGAAGTAAAAGTTTAGTTTTAAATGTTGTTTTCTGACCCTCTACAACCTATACAGTTTGAAATCTGTAAAAAGAAATTCAATGAAATTTATGATTGTAAATAACCCAAAACCTGGTATAATGTTTAAGGACTGGACCTGGAGTCAGACAGATTTCAATGCTGATGATATGTCTGCCACTAAGTAGCTGAAAAGGTCTGGCAGGCAGCTAACACTGGAGTCATCAGAAAAAATCAAGTCATATTTGTTACATTTACATCATAGATTTCCCAGATCTGTCTTTTAATGTGCATATCTAAGTTACAAACAAAACCCATATCTGAAAAGCTGCATGTGAACTGTGCAGAAGGGCTTACTTGTTTGTATTCTCAGCAGGCAACAGGGCACCCAGGAATATCCCCCTTACCTCTCCTCATCCTGGGGCAAAATAGGTATCTCCCTGGAACCTAAGAGTTGGAACTTCTGTTTCCCACAGAAGCAGCACAGTAAATGGTGGCTAGAGTTAGGACCTGTCATATTAAAGGTGAAACAGGCATCTGTAGGCTGATCTTGGAGCTTCTCACAGGAAAATACCTGAGTTCCAAAAAGCCAGCATACACGCACCTCTGTAAGACAATCCACTTCAGCCTTGGATGAGAACACAAACTGAACCCCAAATCCAAGGTTCTTTCTGGTGTGAAGAGACAAACACTATCCTAGTAAGTAGAGCTGAGCATTTCTAAAGTGGCAGCCTCTCCTTCCAACCATACCTATGGCGCGTTTTAAGTTCATTTTTGTCTTTTTTTTAATCCAAGTCCATGGCTCTATAAGTGCAACAGTAAGCAAAAAAAGCAGCATTTTGATATGATGCCCATAAAGCCCAACATATCACATCCAAAACACCACTTTCTGTCCTGCGGGCCATTCTTCATCTCCACGTGGCACACCATCCACCACACCCACTTTTATCTACCACACACACTTTTATCTGCGCAGCCTGTTTCTCAGTTATTTCTCAAGGCTTCTGCACACAAACAAGCTCTCTTGCATCTGAGCCACTAGGCTTCTGACCTGTCTTCACACTTCTATTCAGAATGTGTACCAGTGAGCTCCTACTATGTGCAAAGATTAGTGCTAACCTGTTCTTTTTCACGAGGCTCACCTCATTGAATAAATAAATCTGAGACTGTGGCCTTCAAACTCTTCAACTGTGAACCATAGTAAGAAATAATTTACATGCAATCCAATGCACAAGCCTACCCTTCACACACCTCCTCAGAAGATAACTCAGAAGTTTTACATAATATTCTTACTATGGTATGATAAATTAATATTCTTCACCCTATTCCATTTAATATTTTAAAAAGTCCTGTTGGCAAAGAGATATTAGCACTCCAATGTTCATCGAAGTTATTCACAATAGCCAAGATGTAGAGACAACTAAACGTTCACTGACAGAAGAATGAAGAAAATGTGGTACATACAAGCAATGGAATATTATTCAGCCTCAAAAAAGAAAAAAAAAAAGAAAATCCTACAGTATGGGACAATTTAGATGACCCTTGAGGACATTATGTTAAGTGAAATACATCGGTCACAGAAGGACAAATACTGCTTAATTCTACTTATATCAAGTACTAAAGTAGTCAAACTCATAGAATCAGAAAGCAGAATTGTTGCCAGGAGCTAGGTGGAGGGGAAAATTGAGGAACTGCTAATCGGTGAGCATGGTTTCAATTATGCAAGATAAACTAGTTCTAGAGATCTGTAAAACATTGCCCCTGTAGTTAACAATACTATATTTGTGCACTTAAAAATCTGTTAAGGAGGTAGAGCTCATGTTAAGTGTCTTGCCACACACACACACACACACACACACACACACACACACAAAAGTCCTGGTTGGAATCTTCTAAATGTATGTCAACCCACTACTGAATCATGACCTGCAGTCTGAAAAATAATGCTCTTACAAAAGGGTGATTAGATTCACATGATGATGCCGCTAGAGGAATGGTTACAGGCATCAGCAAATACTTAGGCATGATGAGACCCTCCCATCCTCACCCCACAAAAAAAAGTCACACCTTCTCTCTGCATATAAGAGATGTAGAGAGGTGGCCAGGCACACTGGCTCATGCCTGTAATCCCAGCACTTTGGGAGGCCAAGGCAGGTGGATCACCTGAGGTCAGGAGTTCGAGACCAGCCTGGCCAACATGGTGAAACCCCGATTCTACTAAAAATACAAAAATTAGCCGGGCATGGTGTTGGGTGCCTTATAATCCTAGCTACTCAGGAGGCTGAGGCAGGAGAATCACTTGAACTCTGGGAGGCGGAGGTTGCGGTGAGCCGAGATCACGTCATGCACTCCAGCCTGGGTGACAAGAGCGAGACTCCGTCTCAAAAAAAAGAAAAAAAGAAATGTAGAGAGGTACCACAATGGAGAATTAGTATCTGCATCCCAGATCAAGGGCGGGAGGTAGAACAAGCGCGGGGGAGACCAAGGTTTCACTGAAGTGCCATGGCAGGAGGAAAAAGTAGAGTGGGGCTTCTTTTTCTTTAATCACCTAGGCAGTCTTCACAATCTTAATTCTTTCCTTTGTGTCGGGCAACTGTCAACACTTCAGGGCAGGAATGTTATTCTTCTCAAAAATTCTATACTCCACCCAGAGACATAACTGAAGCAAATTTAAAATAATAAAAAATGAGCAGCGGGTTATGCTTTTCTTCTAAGATGAGTTTTCCACCTCAGTTTGTTTACTCCCCACTCCAAAAGACATTAATATGTTAGTAGGGTGGGGGGGCGGTGGGGGAACAAAGGAACTTGTGGAAAACAAAATAGTCTAGGGAAACAGAAAGGATAGATCATAAAACAGTAAAATGCTGGTAAAAGCAGCATTTCAAATGAGGTTTAAAAAATCAATTTATAGCTTTGTATTTAATTTATGACAGAGTATTTGGAACAAGAAATGTGAAGGTATAGTCTTAACAGTCACTAAAGAAAGTTTTCAGTGAACATCATTTACACATTTTAAGGTAAGAGCAGTGTTATCAAATCTTTTTTTGGGGTAGGGGGCTAGGGTCTCACTGTCACCCAGACTAGAGTGCAGTTGAACAATCACGGCTCACTGCAGCCTCAAACTCCCAGGCTTAAGCGATCCTTCTATCTCAGCCTCCCGAGTAGTTGGGGCCACAGGCACATGCCACTAATTTTTTATTTTTGGTAGAGATGGGGTCTCGCTATATTGCCCAGGCTGGCCTTCAACTCCTGGGCTCAAGCAATCCTCCTGCCTGGGCCTTCCAAAGTGTTGGGATTACGGGCCACCACGCCCAGCCATTATTAGAGTCTTAATACAATACCAAAGTCTAATTCTCCACAGATCTGCTCAGCGTAATTTTTTCAAGAAGTGTTATGACCTGGCTGAAATGCTGGGTCCAATTTTCTCTCCTTTATAGATGCATAATACAAGTTTGCATTATGGCCACTCTTTTCCAAGCCCCTTGATCTTTTGGAGTGGGAAGGAGGTAAACCTATTGCAAATCTCTCCATGAAAGCCTGTTAAAGCAGAGACACGTACTTCAAGGCTCTACTCTTCAGCTCTTCCCACTTCAATTTACCCAACAACTACAAAAGTTACTTAAAATAGGTAGTTCTAAATGCTCTTCCTGCCAACAGGAGAGGCCTTTTTTAAAAGGGTAAGATTAAGGATTCCTGGAGTGTCTTGCAGGAATACACCAAATGGGACAAAGATGGATAAGGGGTGGTGGGGGGTGGGGTGTTGTCTCCAGAAGGAGTTGCTGAGCTCCAACTGTGCTGCAAATTTCCTGTTGATGTAGTTCTACCTGGGACAATGACTACCAAAGACTTGAACTGCCTGTCTTTGTAGAGAGACCTAGTTAAATGTCAAAAGCAGCACAGGGCCCGGCACATTGGCTCATGCCTGTAATCCCAGCACTTTGGGAAGCCGAGGCGGGTGAAAAGTCAGGAGTTTGAGATCACCCTGACCAACATGGTGAAACCCTATCTCTACTAAAAATACAAAAATTAGCTGGGCGTGGTGGCAGGCACCTGTAATCCCAGCTACTCAGGAGGCTGAGGCAGGAGAATTGCTTGAACCCGGGAGGCTGAGGTTGCAGTGAGCCGAGATCACACCATTGCACTCCAGCCTGGGCGACAGAGCAAGATTCTGTCTCAAAAAAAAAGAGCAGCACAAAAAAATGTCAAACTTTGAACTGCTCTACAATGACTAGTTACCATACAGTGGGAACTTGAAATAGTAGTTCATTCACTCATTCATGCCACAAGGACCTGATGCCAACTACACCAGGCACAAGGCTGGGCTCTAGGAAAACAGAGGTGAACAAGCATAATGTCCCTGCCCAATTTCGTCTTACATTTTCCTGTGACACACAATACAAAAATGAATATACAAAATGGCAGATGCTGTAAAGAAACTATGAACTTTACAGTAAAACTGAAGAATCATCACCAAAACACATGCTGTGCTTTTTCTGTTCAAAGAAGTGTGACAAACCACTTTTTGTAGAAATGTGAATTACTAGTCATCATACTTTCCTAATTTAAAACAGCACAATTTCTTCAGCTGTAGGAGGTAGAATCCCAATCTTAGAAAAAAAAAAAAAACTAACTTTTTGAAAGGAGATATTCTGCACTGGTGTAACAGCACGTCAGCACTTAGGCCAAGATTGATAACAACACTGGCCAAAAGATAAACAATTTACACAGGTGGCAAGCCATCTAAGGCAAAAGCTAAAAACAAAAACAGAGATGGACTTCTCAAGAAGTCATTTAATGTGTACTGCATACACACGTAATTTTCAAAAACAGAAAGGGAAGGCACAAAAAGTTTTGGCAGATGACACTAAATCAACAGTTTTAACATTGCTGCATTCCAGATCATTCCAATAAACAATGGTTCAACCTACTGAGAATCTAGAGACATTTCATCTCTAGGCAGAACACTGGTTTGTAAAGTTTAGTTGCTGGACCTAGGCCATGGAAAGACACAAGCAAATCCTAATGTTGAAACTCTAAATGCATTCCCACTTAGAATTAAACAGGAAAGGGAAGGTTCCTCCCCCATGTAGGAAACTGAGCCGTAATTTACTGGTTTCAATTTATAGCTATGAAGTGTGTGTGTTTTGGAGGGGAGGGAAGATGAGAAGTTGGAGAGGTTTAAGGAAAAGACACCTGCATGAGGTAGGGCAGAAGTGGACATCCTGAAGACCTGATTTCTAAAAGCAGCAGGCCTACTAGGAAAACTTAAATCTCTTTCATATTGACCGCAAAAGCGAATTTTGAGCCTGTAAGGTGGATCATGGTAGTTGCCGGTCTGCAGATACACTAGGTTGAAGACTCGCAGCACCTAATGTCACTTTTTCATGCTCACGCCCTCCCAGCGCCCAATCCGTGTTTATGGAATGAAGGGGAAAACCCAAAAGAATGAATGAACAAGAAAGGAGTCTAGTCAGGAGGATGGCCCTGGACGCGGACTAGGCGAAAGCAGGGACGATGCTCCCGGGGCCGGGAGGCGCTCGAGGACCCCCGGGCGCAGTGGAGAACGCGGACCGCGATAGGGCCGGGGGCGTAGGGCAAGACAAAGGCAGCGCGGGCGGCCAGACACGGGTGCCCGGCGGGGACGGGGACCGCGGGCGCTCACCTCATCGCCCCACTTGAGAACGTCCTTGTGCCGGTCCTTGACGGCGTGGTAGATGTGCAGGAACTGGAGGATCCCGTGCCGCCGCACGTGGTCGGCATGGCGCTTGGTTTCCTCCCAGCTCAGCGGCGAGCCCTGGGACAGCAGCCCCATGGCCGCCCCCTCCTCCTCCTCCTCCTCCTCCGGGCTGACGGCGGTCGCCCGCTCCGGGCGCGAGACGGACACTCAGCCGCCCGCAGAAGGCGGCTGCCGCTCCACCCCGCGGGGGCGCTCTCGGGCCGCAGTCGGCGGAGGGAGGGTCCTGCCCGCTCCGGCTCCCCGGCGGCGGCCCCTGGCGCCCAGGTGACAGACCCTGGGTCCGACGCACCGCGCGGAGGCGAAGGCAGAAGACCGAGAGCAGGCGGGACGGCTCTCGGCCCGGCGGCCTCGCCCTCCCCGCTGCTCCTCCTCCCGCTCCGATGCGGCGGCGGCGGACCCCACGGCCGCGCTGCCGCGGCGGCTCCCGCTTCTCTTTGCCGGTCTGGTGCACTGGCTTCTTCCTACTTGTGACCAAAACCTGCGCCGCCGCGGAGCATGCCCAGTCTTTGCGTCCGCTAGCTCGCCGCTCCTGGGCGCGATCCTGCGCTCCAGGTTTTATAGACTACGGGCGAAGGCGGGGAGAGGAGGCGGTGCAGCGGCGGAGGCGTGGCCTGAAGCCCGGTGGGAACCGCGGGGGCTCAGGAGGCGTGTGCAAGGGTGATTGGGTCGCAGTTGAGGGGAGCAGCTCGCGAGAAGGGGGCGTGCGGTCGGCCTCGCTTTACGCAAACGCGACATATCAAAATGCATTTTTTTTCCTAATCAGAAGAGATAAACTTGGGATTCGGGAAGAAAGTTGATTATTTGAATCAATGACGAACTCACCATATTATGTTTTAGTTGGACAGGGCCTCACACTTAGAGTGAGAGCGGCAGAATGTGTTGAGAAAAGTATTAACATGGTAGTGAAGTGAAACAGTTCAACTCTAGGCTCCATCACTTACTGACTGTGAGACTTGGGACGAGTTCTTCCCATATCTGCATAAAATTAGATTAATTCTATCTTTTATAGATGTCGTAATTATGTGCATAGTGTACATGTGTATAGTGTTGGCCAAAAAATTGACCTGGTTATTAAGAGGAATCAATTTGTCAACATGTGTAAATCATTATTCCCTACTGTCTTGATTAACTGGTGACCTATGTTCTCTGGATGGCACGGACACCATTTATTGCAAAAAGTCTCCAGACAGACCATATGAGGAACCATCTCCAAAAGTTTATCCTCCATCTAAACCTAAAATTCATCCCTTAAGTGATCAAAATGACGTTCTTGTGAGCCTACCGTGGGGTGGGGTTGAAGATAGTGGGAACACCTAGAGTTGGCCTTATCTCGGAGGGAAAGGAGAGGAAGGAGGTACCGTGCCCCCAAGTGATTGTTTAATAAATATGTGTTGACAGAGCAATGACCTGTCAGGGGAAAAGTGAAGGCAACTAGATCATACATGTACCTACCCAGAAAGTGTGTATTTATCATACCCTCTTCCCTCGCACTACAGAGTTAACATTTAGTAAGCACTTATTAATTGCTAAATGAGTGAGTACATGATAGCAGGATTCTCTTCTCCCACAGCCTTCATATTGGATGTGCCCCTCACAGGGCTTGGGGGCATGAATACCCAAGGTCTGGCTGGGATTTCCACAATGGTGTGTGTGTGTGTCTGTGTGTCTGTGTGTGTGTGTCTGTGTGTGGTAGGGATGTTTGAAGCTCAGGAGAAGATGTTTCCATCCTCATCACACAGGTGGGATAGAAATCAAACCACATTCTAATTTTTCCACAGCCTTTTCAACAACCTCCTTTGCCCTCCCACCAACCTCACCAGATCTGTATATGGTTCTGGCACTCTGTTGTTTTTCCTGCTTGAAATTCTCCATCTGACACACTCATGTTCATCTCTTGAGTCACAGTTATTCCTCTCTGTGTTTTGGTTGCATTCGTACATTAATGATAGAGTCATTTTAAAGATAGCTCCACACTAAATAGTGAATTCCTCTGGGGCACAGATGACTTATGCCTTTTGTACCTTTAATTCTAGAAAAGTGCTTGGTATAGAGTGTGTGCTTAATAAATGTTAGCTTCTCCGTGAAAAGCAGGTAGTGGGAGAGGGGGAGAAACAGTGTTTCCCATGTAGGTAAGACATCCAAGGATCATTGGGTTATTCTCATAATGTCATCTGACATTCTCATAGACCTGCATTGTTCAACACGACAGCCATCAGCCACATTGGCCAATGTACATTTGAAATGTGGCTAACATGACCGAGAAACCAAATTTTCATTTTAATTTAATCAATTTAAATGTAAATTTAAAAACTGATATTCCATTCAGTTACTGGAAAACTTTTAAGTAAATTTGAAACAAGTTGGAAATGTGAATCCATTTTTGACTGTAAATTTTATGAAATGTAATTACAGATCAAGTATTTCCAATGAAAACTTAGTGGCCCAGATGTGTTGTGAGTGTAAGTCACACACCAGATTCTAAGACAGTAGAATAAAAAGATGTAAATATCTCATTAAAAGTTTTATATTGATTACATAGCGATATAGCATTTTGGAAATTTTGAGTTAAATATGATGTGGTATGTTATTTAATTTACCACCACCCCCACCCACTTTTATTTTTAATTTTAAAGGAGGCTACTGAAAAATTTAAGATTACATATGTGGCTCTCATTCCACTTTATTGAAACAGTACTGATGTAGACCTTGATTTACACTTTGCAAAGCAGTTTTCCCATACACCTGCTGCACACCATACACTTTTCCCATGCACCTGTTAGGAATCATGGACCTGGGCGGTTCAATAATAGACTAAATTCTAGTCTAGCCAAAGCCCTACGCGACACTGAACCTAGTAAGAGTTTAACACTGTAATTGGAGTTACTCTGTCCTAGATCCCGGCTCACACTCACATAAGGGACCTCCCTCACCCTATCCTACCCCCCCGAATTCTGAACCAGCTCCCCCAGCGGGGGTCCCAGAGCTTTGGACAATCCCAAAAAGGGCGCCGGCGCTGCTGCACCACAGGGCAGTTATGCCCAATTTAAACCTTGATCTCTCAGTGTCTTTAGCCTTTTCTGTTACAAAGAAAAAACAAAAATCCCATCACGGATCAACTGAAGTCATATTTAACAAGAGTTACTCCCCTCTGACAATGCTTTGCCTGCATAGGTCCACTACTGCTCGATTTCATTCTGTAGACTGCACCCAGGGCCAGGTTTCGACATCTGGAAGTGAGTTTTCAGCAGACAGCTCCATCAGGGCTGTAACGATAGCTGAAGGGGAAAGAAGGAGCTCATATCTTGCAGAATCAGCTCTTCCCTAGACCATGACCAAAGGCCGATTCCCAGTAGTGTCTTCCGCGGAAAAACGCGAGACCCGCTCTCCAGGAACCCATCTCTGCCCAGCGGCGCCCTGGCACCGCAACCTCGCCTCGCAGCCCCGCGGACCAACACAGGCCCCGCCCCCAGAGCCGTCCGGAAAACCTGGACCGTGGAGATCCGCATGGGGGGACGCCGTGCAGTCGTGAGGCCAAGCTGAGCATGCTCGGAGAGCCGGCCTGTCGCGGGAGGAAGCGGTGTGGGCCGCGGGCGGCGCACGCCGCGCAGTTGTTGTGATACAGCCCCCGCCACGTGACTGCGCGGGCCCGCCTCCCCCGCGCGCGGCACCGCCTCCCCGTGACTCAGCGCTTTGTGCGGGCTCCGAGCCGGAGGTCAATCTGGGGGAGGCTTCTTAGGGCAAAGTCTCAGTCCATCACTCCTGACCTCTGGGCTGCTGCTGCTGCTAGGATTGCCGCAGTCGTTTCAGACACGATGGGTTTCGGGCCTCCAAGGACCAAAAAATACATCATTTTCTCTGTGGTCACGCCATTCCCAGTTTCCCTTGAGTCAGCGGCTTCGCGAGATCAAATAAGGAAAACAGAGAGAGTGCCCAGGGGACTCTGAGGAAGGCACTTCTAGGTTATCTGCCCCTGCCTTTACCGCTCTCTTTGGCTTGAGTATCCCTTGACCTTGGTGGTCTGTCGCTTGGGTCCCAGTATATCACATTCTATGCCAGGCACTTTGAGCTGGTATCCGTAAAACAGTACTAATCTTTGCCACATTTTATAAGTGAGGCAACTGAGATCCAGTAATACTAAGTAACAGGTAGTGGCTAAGCTGGGGTTTGAACTCCAGTGATATTTCAAAGCTGTCTACTACACCACTTAGCCTGGGTGAAGCTGGTGGCTGCCTTCAGTGTGATTCTTCCTGGGACTTGATGCCAACCTTCATTACATCCTTTCTTCTCCCTTGACACACCCTTTCCCCAAAACCCGCGGATCTGCCTGTGAAGTCCTTAAGCTTTTTGTCTGTTAAATTTCTTTCTTTTTTTTTTTTTTTTGAGATGGAGTCTCGCTCTGTCGCCCAGGCTGGAGTGCAGTGGCGGGATCTCGGCTCACTGCAAGCTCCGCCTCCCGGGTTCACGCCATTCTCCTGCCTCAGCCTCCCAAGTAGCTGGGACTACAGGCGCCCGCCACTATGCCCGGCTAATTTTTTGTATTTTTAGTAGAGACGGGGTTTTACCGTTTTAGCCGGGATGGTCTCGATCTCCTGACCTCGTGATCCGCCCGCCTCGGCCTCCCAATGTTAAATTTCTTAATTGGTGAAAACAAATAGTTAGTTATTTCTTAACTTCAGTGTACATGTTAAACAACAAAAGATACAGAAGGAATTTTCTCCCTACAATTGAATTGTACTTGGAATTTGACTTGATCTTATTCAAGAAGATCCCTGGGGGCTTTATGATGGAAGAGCAGTAGCCAAAAGACTGGGGCTTTGGCCCCATCTCAGAGGGCTACCTGCTGGGTCAATCTAAGCAAAGTTGTGATAATCATTGGAGAGTCCTTTCCTCTCATCTGTACAAATGAGAGTCTGGAGGAGATAAAGTTTCCCTTCCAGCCTAAACATTTTCTGATGTTATTACTAAAATTAGTTGAAAGAGTTCAAATCTTTTTGTATCGTGTACTATTTGTAATACATGCTGCTGAGGTGTGCTATTGTCATTGTCAAAAAAGCAAGGAAACTCTTTTGACCTTTTCCAAGCCAATTTTTAGTTTACATGGATTTTTGAAAAATATAAATGTGCTTGTTTTCATGTAGAGTTACAAAAGGTCTGTGAAGTTCAAGTGAAGAACTTTTTTAACATGGAGAAGTTTGAGTGTGCTAAAGAAGATGGGTAGGCATCAAAAGGGGGCAAGATTGAAGATGTGGGAACAAGAAAGGATATTTTCAGAAGCAAAATGTCTCAGGAGACCTGACTTGTTGGGATCCAGAACACATGGGAAGTGGTGAGCTTTTTTTCCTAGAAAAATCTCATTGTCTTCTTATAGAAGATAAAGACGCCATGATAATGTGTTGGGACAGGGCGAGTGATATCTGAGTCCTGTAGACTCACTCTTCTCACTGGAGAATAATTAAAGATAACTTTTTATTATGGACATTTCCAATAAAGCACAAAAGTTGAGAGAACATAGTATAATGGCTCTTCATGTACTTTTTTCTTTTTTTTTTTGAGACGGGAGTCTTGCTCTGTCACCCAGGCTGGAGTGCAGTGGCATGATCTTGGCTCACTGCAACCTCCACCTCCTGGGTTCAAGCAATTCTCCTGCCTCAGCCTCCCGAGTAGCTGGGACTACAGGCGCCTGCCACCACGCCGGGCTAATTTTTGTATTTTCAGTAGAGACGGGGTTTCACCGTTAGCCAGGGTGGTCTTGAACTCCTGACGTCAGGTAATCTGCCAGCCTTGGCCTCCCAAAGTGCTGGGATTACATGTGTGAGCCACTGTGCCTGGCCCTAGTTTTTGTATTTTTGGTAGAGATGGGGTTTTGCCATATTGGCCAGGTTGATCTCAAACTCCTGACCTCAGGTGATCCGCCTGCCTTGGCCTCCCAAAGTGCTGGGATTACAGGCATGAGCCATGGTGCCCACCTCTTCATGTACTTATTATTCATCTTTGTATGTTACAGTTACTTACCTCCTCCCATTAGTTTAAAGGAAATCTCACTCAAGTCTGATCTCAGGACCTGAGCTCTAAGTGAAGGTTGAAGAAAGAAAGAGGAATGTAGAAGATGAGGTTTGAGCAGCTGATATGGGAGGTGATCTAGAAAGATGGAAAATAATGAGCAATACCCTAATATCCGTAAACCAAAAATAAAATTCTAAGCCCTCCAACTACCTGAATGGACCACTCCTCTAGGCCAAGAACATTCTAAAGTAAACCTGAGGCCAGGCGCAGTGACTCACACCTGTAATCCCACCACTTTGGGAGGCCAAGGCAGGCAGATCACCTGGGGTCAGGAGTTCAAGACCAGCCTGGCCAACACAGCGAAACCCCGTCTCTACTTAAAATACAAAAATTAGCCAGGTGTGGTGGCATGCACCAGTAATCCCAGCTACTTGGGAGGCTGAGGTGGGAGAATCACTTGAACAGGGAGGCGGAGGTTGCAATGAACCAAAATCACGCCACTGCATTCCAGACTGGGTGACAGAGTGAGACTCCGTCTCAAAAAAAATAAAAAATAAATTAAAAAAAAGTAAACCTGAAATATGAAACACTACTTCAGGCCATGATGGAATAGGTGATCAGACATGCCTAATTATAACATCCTCCCTTTGGATTTCAGGCACAGCTGACCAGCATTAACATTGAAACAGACCTGAAGACTGACTAAACAGGTTCTTTGGAACAATAAAATACCAACATGATGGATAATAGGCCCTGAAGAAATCAAGTATTTTATCTTAAAATACAGTTCTTTGACATATTTTGAAATGGCCCTGCAAAGCTGTTTCTTGTGGGGAAAATCTACATCCTGTAGAGAATCCCCTTCCCTTTCCAGGTCTTTTTCCTGATCCAGAAGAGAATTAACGGAGTCTGGCACCTTTTTAAGTCTCCCAACAAACATTTACAGTCTATTCTCTTTGAAGCCTGCTACCTGGAGGCTTCATCTGTATAATAAGAACCTTGGTCTCCACAACTCCTTAGTTAACCCAGACACTCCCTTCTATCGATTCTAGGTCCTTAGGTAAACTCAACCAATTGCCATTCAGAAAACCTTTGAATCCACCTATTCAAATATTAGCGGGGACCTGGAACTGACCCTCTGATACGGTTTGGCTGCGTCCCCACCCAAATCTCAACTTGAATTGTATCTCCCAGAATTCCCACCTGTTTTGAGAGGGACCCACGAGGAGGTAGTTGAATCATGGGGGCTGGTCTTTCCTGTGCTATTCTCACGATAGTGAATAAGTCTCACAAGATCTGATGGGTTTATCAGAGGTTTCCCCTTTTGCTTCTTCCTCATTTTCTCTTGCTACCACGCTGTAAGAAGTGCCTTTCACCTCCCACCGTGATTCTAAGGCCCTCCCAGCCATGTGGAACTGTAAGTCCAGTTAAACCTCTTTTTTTTTTCCAGTCTCAGTTATGTTTTTATCAGCAGTGTGAAGATGGACTAATACAGTAAATTGGTACCAGTAGAGTGGTGTGTTGCTGAAAAGATACCTGAAAAGGTAGAATCAACATTGGAACTGGGTAACAGGCAGAGGTTGGAACAGTTTGGAGGGCTCAGAAGAAGACAGGAAAATGTGGGAAAGTTTGGAGCTTCCTAGAGACTTGTTGAATGGCTTTGCCCAACATGCTGACATGTTGACAATAATGACAGCTGACAATAATGTCCATGCTGAGGTGGTCTCAGATGGAGATGAGAAACTTGTTGGGAACTGGAGTAAAAGTGACTCTTGTTACGTTTTAGCAAAGAGACTGGTGGCATCGTGCCCCTGCCCTAGAGATTTGTGGAACTTTGAACTTGAGAAAGATGATTTAGGATACCTGGTGGAAGAAATTTCTAAGCAGCAAAGCATTCAATAAGTGACTTGGGTACTGTTAAAGTTTTATAAGGGAAGCAGATCATAAAAGTTTGGAAAATTTGCAGGTTGACTATGTGATAGAAAAGAAAAAACCATCTTCTGGGGAGAAATTCAAGCTGGTGTCAGAAATTTGCATAAGTAGCAAGGAGCCTAATGTTAATCCCCGAGACCATGGGGAAAATGTCTCCAGGCCATGTCAGAGACCTTCATGGCAGCCCCTTCCACCATAGGCCTGGAGGCCCAGGAGAAAAAAGTGGTTTTGTGGGCCAGGCCCAGGGTCTCCGTGCTGTGTGCAGCCCAGGGACTTGGTGCCCTGTGTCCCAGTCACTCCAGCCATGATTGAAAGGGGCCAACATACAGCTCAGGCTGTGGCTTCAGAGGGTGGAAGCCCCAAGCCTTGGCAGCTTCCATGTGGTGTTGAGCCTATAGGTGCACAGAAATCAAGAATTGAGGTTTGGTAACCTCCACCTAGATTTCAGATGTATGAAAACGCCTGGATGCCCAGGCAAAAGTTTGCTGCACAGGCAGGGGCTTCATGGAATACCTCTGCTAGGGCAGAGCAGAAGGGAAATGTGGAGTTTAGAGCCCCCACACAGAGTCCCTAATGGAGCACTGCCTAGTGGAGCTGTGAGAAGAGGGCCACCGTCCTCCAGATCCCAGGATGGTAGATCCACTGACAGCTTGCACCATGCACCTGGAAAAGCCGCAGACACTCAATGCCAGCCTGTGAAAACAGCTGGGAGGGAGGCTGTACCCTGCAAAGCCACCGGGGCAGAGCTGCCCAAGACCATGGGAACCCACCTCTTCCATCAGCATGACCTGAATGTGAGACCTGGAGTCAAAGGATATCATTTTGGAACTTTAAAATTTGACTGCTCCACTGGATTTCGGACTTGCATGGGCCCTGTAACCCCTTTGTTTTGGCTAATTTCTCCCATTTGGAATGGCTGTATTTACCCAATACCTGTACCCCCATTTTATCTAGGAAGTAACTAGCTTGCTTTCGGTTTTACAGGCTCATAAGCAGAAGGGACTTGCCTCGTCTCAGATGAGACTTTGGACTGTGGACTTTTGGGTTAATTCTGAAATGAGTTAAGACTTTGGGGGACTGTTGGGAAGGCATGATTAGTTTTGAAATGTGAGGACATGAGATTTGGAGGGGCTAGGGGTGGAATGACATGTTTTGGCTGTGTCCCCACCCAAATCTCAACTTGAATTGTATCTTCCAAAATTCACACCTGTTTTGGGAGGGACCCAGGGGGAAGTAATTGAATCATGCTGGCTGGTCTTTCCCATGCTATTCTCGTGATGGTGAATAAGTCTCATGAGATGTGATGGGTTTATCAGGGGTTTCTGCTTTTGCTTCCTCCTCGTTTTCTTTGGCTGCCACCATGTAAGAAGTGCCTTTCACCTCCCACCATGATTCTGAGGCCTCCCTAGCCATGTGAAACTGTAAGTTCAATTAAATCTCTTTTTCTTCCCAGTCTCAGGTATATGTTTATCAGCAGCGTGAAAATGGACTAATACAGCCCCCTCACCCCGAGTTGTCTCATGTTTCCCAAGTTGTCTCACATTTTCAGGGCATGTTTCTGGACTGAACCACCATCTTTCATGTACTGATGTCTTACATCCACCTAAAATGTATGATACCAAACTATATGTAGCCCGACCACCTTGGGCACATGTTCTCAGGATCACCTGGGGTTGTGTCACAGCCCATGACCACTCATATTTGGCTCAAAATAAATGTCTTCAACTATTTTATAGAGTTTGACTCTTTTTGTTGACATATCTTACTGGAAACCAATTTCTGTCATTCTAAATTTGGAGATGGTAGATCTTATCCAGTTTTTTCACTCCAAATTATCCAGCTATTGTTCCAAATTATGGGGCTTTGTATTTAAAAACAAAACCCAAAGCCAGAAAAACATGCTTGTCGCATATAGTATAAATGATTTGACAATGGCTGTGCATGGGTGATTAATATTGCTAAAATAGGCCAAGTGTCAAAATGTGAGTAAGATTGCTAAGGCATGTATTTACCTTTTTAAAGATATCTGATCTTAGTCTCTGCCTTTTTTCTTCCATTTCATTCACCTTAGTTCACATAAATATATGTAAAGTTCATTCTAGATTAGATAACACCAAATAATTGAACTTTGGCGCACTATAACCTATCATTCATGGATGATGAGATGTGAAAAAGTGTTAGCCATAATTACATCTATGTAGAAAGGCAATTGTACTGAATAATTGAGCAATTTTGCTTCGATAAGACCAGTTCCTAAAAGCAAAAAAAAAAAAAAAAATATATTGTACTTCCCGAAAGTATTTTTTCTCATACAATACCTCCTGCCACTTATTTTAGTACTTAAACTTTAATGTAGTAAGTACCTTAAGGAAAAAATTCAACTCACCTAAAAACTTATCTTACAATACACAGGACATCCCACAACAAGAATTGTCCTACTCTAAATGTCAGTAGTATCAAGTTTGAGACACTCCTCTATATGTTGTGAAAGGATAATAAATCTCGAGACCTCCAAAGCACTAAGCCAAGGGAAAAATCAAGCTGGAAACGATGTCAGGCAAACCTGCCTGCATCTCATTTTATTCCTAAATAAAATAGCTACAAAGATAAAAGGCTACATACCTCCCTCACAATTTGCCTACAAGGAATTTCCTTGTGGACAAGGGATAGACAGAAATCAAAGTCATCCTTCTGAGGCTCATCTGAGACAAATGCATATCTGATTGCTTCCTCTGCCATATTGTTTATATAAAAATGCAGATTCACTGAGCCAGACTAAATTGTGTATTCGGTGAAAGGCTGGTCAAAGACTCAAAGGAATCCCCCTCTGCTCCCCCCAACCCTGTGTGCCTTACTGGACTGAACCAAGGTACATCTTACACATAATGATTGATATCTCCTGTCTCCCTAAAACAAATAAAAGCAAGCTGTACCCCAACTACCCTGGGCACAAGTCATCAGGACCTCCTGAGACTGTGTCACAGGTATGTCCTTAACCTTGGCAAAATAAACTTTCTAAATTGACTGTGACCCGTCTCAGATATTTGGGGTTCACAATGTATTACGATGAACTCTATTACACGAATGCTTGTCTTTAAATATTTGCAAGGGTTTCCAAGATGGTCAAAAAGAATAGTTGAGAAGAACTGAACATTTACAATGGTTAGTGTCATTTTATTTGCAATTATCACAGGCACAAATATGTATATATAGTCACCTAGTGTACTCCTCTCTAATGTGCTGATGGAGCCTGTGATGGGAGGGGTTAGGGCTCTTTCTTAATCCTGTTTCTGTTTCTCTTGTGGCCAGTTACTTGTGAAAGGAAAATGAATCTTGGGGCCCCAAAATCACTAAGCTAAAGGGAAAAGTCAAGCAGGGAACTGTTTAGGGCAAACCTGCCTCCCATTCCATCCAAAGTCATCCCTCTGCTCACTGAGATAATGGGTATCTGATTGCCTCCTTTGGAAAGGCTAATCAGAAACTCAAAGGAATGCCATCATTTGTCTTTCACCTACATGTGACCTGGAAGCCCCCTCCTTGCTTGAATTGTCCCACCTCACCAGACAGAACCAGTGTACATCTTACATATATTGATTGATGTCTCATGTCTCCCTAAAATGCATAAAAACAAGCTGTGCCCCAACCACCTTGGGCACATGTTGTCATGACCTCCTGAGACTGTGTCATGGGTACCCATCCTCAACCTTGGCAAAATAAACTTTCTAAATTAACTGACACCTGTCTCAGATATTCAGGGTTCACATTTTGGCAACCATGAAGGGATTCTGAGTGTTTGTGCCACTGACATTTGACAAATCTCCTATCAGTGCCTGGTACCAGCTCGAGCTAGCTTTATGGCTCAAACCAATAGGACAATTTGCTGAAGCCTGCAAGCACCCCCTCCAGAGAATCCCTGATTTCCCAAAATGTGGTTGAGATCTAAAGTTTATTTTGTTGTACAACTTCCTTTGGAGTTTTACTTGCTTCCAGTACAAGGCAAATTTTTCCGGCTTCCATGAAGATTGAAGATAGGTAACTCCTTTATAGAGTTTCAGCTTGCTTCCAAGAGAAGCCAAATTTGAGATTTTTCCTGCTTCTAGGATGGTAGAGAGCAGTCTTCAGCTTGGGACTCATCCCTAAGTAAGTAACTGAATTGGGGTTTGTTTTGGCTAAAGTTAATATGAACAACTAGCTGGTCTTAATTTCTCCTTACCATTAGAACACTCAGTAATTTTACAAGTTGTGCCATTGTTTTTTGGCTTAACTGCTTTTTTGTTGTTGTTTGTTTCTGTTTTTGTTGTTGTTTCAGTCTTTTTCCCATTGGGTTTGATCAAACTATCTGACTTGATCAAATCTGAAGGAAAGTTCCAAATTATGAGGAATAAGGCCTCTGAAGTGGCTAAATTCTCACAAAAGAAAAGAGAAAAGAAAAAAGGTGGAGTGGTGGAGGGAGAAAAATGGCCAGCAAAAGAAAAAAAAAATATTTTTGATTTTGACTACTTAAGGGGCTTTCTTTACATAGCAAGGCCACCTCTTTGCTTGCCAGGCCAAACTGAAAGAGCAATGGCTGTTGCCCTACACTGCAGTTCCATAGCTAAGGGTTCTGCCATCTTTTTTTTTTCACCACAACAGCCTGATTTTGGTTCCTAAATCAAGCCCTTTCTGGTTTGATACTTGGTACTTCTGCAATAGCAGCAATTTGTGTGTGTGTGTGTGTGTGTGGGTGTTTGTATTTAAAAGGACATCATGGTTTGTTTGTTTTTCTCCTAGGACTTCCTCTCTTTTTTTGAGCAAAAGATTTTTTCTTCTCAGTTGGCTGAATTCTGTTTTCTTCATTTACTTCTGCTGTCTCTCCTTTCTCTTGCACCCTCTGCCGCATGAGGGGCCTAAAATAGTTTATAGTAGCCTGGGGTTCCTTAAGGAAAATGGAGAAGGCACCAGACTCCCTATTGGGGAGAAACCCATTTTTCATTATGGAACTCCAAGAGTGTAAACAGACAACTTGTATCAGCTCTTAAACTGCTTGCGTTTGTATTGTGTTACCTGATTTATTGACTAAAATAGGTATTGCAACAGAGGCTACTCTTCAGTTTTTAAGGAAGAGTGTAATTTAGACACTTTGAAATGTCTTTGCTTAAAAACAATTGTTTTAAGTGCACTGCAAAAGCATTACATGGTCTAGCCTCATAATAATTCTCCCTTTTTGGAGACCCAGGATTCAGTGTGGGCTCTGCCCAGATTTCAGAGATCTAGGCAAAAAAGAAATAATCCCTATATGAATAAAATTGGTCTCCTCATACAATCCCATGATAGAGTTCTATAATTTTATGTTTGATTTGGCATCCATCTTTATTCTCCCTCTAGCACCACTAGACTTTTTCTGTCTGTACCTTGAGATATAAATTTTGCTATCTGATTTTTCATCTAAGAGTTGTTTCCTTCAATATGCAGGTTTAGGGCTATTTAGCTGACAACTGCCAGGTTAATGAAACAGGTTATCATGAGTTTGCAAGTCTAAGACAGGGGAAAACAAAAGGAGGTCTTAGGAATCTATAAGATGTACTTCTATCAGTATGCCTAATACATCTATGTATCTATGTGTTATGTACACGTTTCACTACTAAAAACATATAAAAGAGCTGTAATTAATTGGCTTGCAGAAAAATAAAGGTGCTTAAATCCAATGCTTTATCAGAGAAAAGAAAAGACTAGCCAAATGCTTTTTCAAGTTTATGTGATTTAAGTAAAATCTTTAATAAATAAGCTAGCTTTAAAATTACTGGCAAAGTAATATTAGAAATGTCTTAAGAATTGCCAGCATACATTTTCGTTTGCATTTATGGATCAAGTCATTTCATATTTATCCCTGCCAAATACTGTAAGGTGTCAAAGTTTGGCATAGGGTTACAAAACTATAAACCCAGCCTAAAACAGAATGATTTTTGTTTGTGTTAATTTTTAATAAATAAGACATTGATATTGGTTTAATGAAAATAGCTACATCTTGAATTATTTAGTAAAATTACTGTAACTTCTAATCTTGTGGCCTTAGGGAGTCTAGTCCACAGGCAATAAGGTTTCTTTTGGGAAATGACTGTTATCATCTTTGTTTCAAAGCTAAACCAAACTAAGTTCCTCCCACAGTCAGTTCGGCCTATGCCCAGGAATGAACAAGGATAGTTTGGAGGTTAGCGGCAAGAGGGAGTCAGTTAGGTCATATCTTTTTCACTGTGTCAATTATAATTTTGCAATGGTGAGTTTCATAACTTTAAATGATGACTATCATAGTTTTCATAAATAATCTAGGTAAACAATTAAAATAATTAGGTAAATGTAATGGGATAAATACTTATAGATAAACTTGTCATAATTTAGAATCTAAGGTTGCATTAAATTAAATAATGGATATTTCATTATTTGGGTATTTTACAATGAAAATATATTATAGGAAAATATTTTTTCTAAAAAACAAAATGTGTCCTTTTTAAAAGGTGAACAATTTTTGTCTAATTCAAAGCTTATTTTAAGGTTATATATAAAACAAGATAAAAGAAACCAGGAAATGAGGCAGATGTAAAGAAAGTTGCAGAAATAAAAGGTATTTTTTGCTAAGAAAGCTCAAAGAGAAATAATTTTATATGAGAAAGAATCTTGTATGGTAAATTTATTCTGGAATAAGATGACGGGTTGTTTAAGAAAGAGGGATGTTCAGGACAAACCAGAAAGTCCAAGCATGTCATGAATGATCTGTGTAAGTCACAATAAGAGGATTTATTTAAAAAAAAAAACTTTCAGCCGGGCACGGTGGCTCACACCTGTAATCCCAGCACTTTGGGAGGCCGAGGCAGGTGGATCACCTGAGGTCAGGAGTTCAAGACCAGCCTGGCCAACATGGCAAAACCTCATCTCTACTAAAAAATACAAAAAAATTAGCCAGGTGTGGTGTCAGGTGCCTATAATCCCAGATACGCAGAAGGTTGAGGCAGGGAGAATTGCTTGAACCCGTGAGGTGGAGGTTGCAGTGAGCCAAGATTGCGCCACTGCATGCCAGCCTGGGTGACAGAGTGAGAGTCTGTCTCAAAACAAAACAAAACAAAACAAAACAAAACTTTTATATGATCAAGTTGTATATGATTAAAGGGAAATTATAATGGTCTTTCTAGAAATTGGGTTTGATGTAAAAAAACACACTTACACATTAAAGAATTGATTAGAACAATAAAAGTTTCTTAGGGGATTGATTTACTCTTTTTCTTTATTTTTCCGAGACAGATTCTTGCTCTGTCACTCAGGCTGGAGTGCAGTGGCGCATTATCGGCTCACTACAACCTCCGCCTCCCAGGTTTAAGCAATTCTCCTGCCTCAGCCTCTCGAGTAGCTGGGATTACAGGCATCTGCCACCACGCCTGGCTAATTTTTGTAATTTTAGTAGAGACGGGGTTTCACCACATTGGCCAGGCTGGTCTTGAACTCCTGACCTCGTGATCTGCCTGCCTCAGCCTCCCAAAGTGCTGGGATTACAGGCATGAGCCACCATGCCTGGCTGGATTTACTCTTAATAAATTGTAAGACATTTTAATTTTTTTAACCCAAAGTTCAACTTTTATTGCATCTCACCATTTTTGGTTTTCTCTCCCCTTTTAAAATGTGTAAAATAGTAATGCTCACTTTCATCTCATTTTCAGCTCATGTAAGTTTTTTTTCCCTCGAGTTCTGTTTGTTGTGGCCTGATGCTAACAATACAGGTCTAAAGGAAATGTTTTCTTCCAACATAATATTTTGTGCACTGCAGAAGGTCTTTTGTTTTGCTTTTTGGTAACTGACTAACAGATTTTACATTTTATTGAAATAATTCCTATGCCATTATTATTAAGTTTTGGTTTGTTTAGAAAAAAACTGAGGTTAAAAGAAAATTTTTAAAAAATTAAAGGTATTACATCCGTGTATCTTTCTGTATGTGCTTTTAAAGTACTTGTGACATTGAGTTACAGGGCTTTGACTCCTGGGTCTAAAAAGGACACCAAGTCTTGCTAAATCTTAAACACTGACAGCAATTAAATCCTCATCTTCAGGTCTGGTAGAAGAAGTCAATCAAAATAAACTGGATTCCTAAAACACAAGGCCAGAAATTAAAGCTAATCAACTCCTCAAGGCCCAGGGACTATTCTGTGGAAGAGGTGTGTGTTTAAGATTGTAAGGACTGATTATGATAGAGAAAATAAGTTGTTTCTCTATAAATTAACCGTTAATGTCAAAGGCATACTGATGCAAGACCATCATATGGTTCCCTGTGTAGTATTAACAAGGTTTTCTGGAAGCATTGACTGACTCCTTAATAAAGGTTATAAAAGTTATAAAAGGTTTATGGAAGTTATATCTTATAGTCAGGATTAAAATTTTATAGATTGTGTATAAAATTTTGGAAAGCAAATTTAATTGGCTTCATGCTGTTTTTATTAGGGCTTGTTTGGGAAATTAAGTCTCCTCTCTAAAATAATGAAGGTTTTTGCCTTTTTTTTTTTTAAATCCTTGAGTTATCACTTTGGTTAAATAAATGACTTTTTACAATGACCTGTGATCTTATTTTGTGATATCAAGTGTTTTCAACCTTTGATATTTGACAAAGTTTCCAAAATCAAATTATAAATTATGTCTTTATCTGACCTAATTCATCCTTTAAAATATTATGTTCCCTAAAGTCCAAAAATGACATATTTGTCTTATTTGGTATAAAAATTATACAGGAAGCACTGTCAAATATGAAATGGTATTTGGTTTTCTTTGGGCTGTATTTGTATAAATGTGTTATTGGTATCTGTTCCAAAATAATAGGAAACTCCTAAAATTCTGATATGACTTAGTGTATGTTATCAGTAATTATAATTGTTATGTTAAATTATTGTATGCCACAGAGGTAACAAATTTTCTTGTCAACTGTGTCTTTGACTATGGCTGCCCTAAAATTTTTTGTCATCCATGGACAATTGTTGTCTTGTTTTGTTCCTCTTTTGAAGGTAGTTTTATAATCAGCTATAAAACTCTTAACATGTGTTCTTGAATGCAGTTTTCTGATAACTTTGGAGATTGTGACATTAGAAAAGAGGAAAAACTTTCAGGACTTACGGAGAGCTGAAATGTTCACGAATATCAAGCAGAACAGAAATTAACTGCATGGACTGAACCAGTAGAAGACTGAAGTAGTCTTTTTGACTTTTTGCACAAAACGTTGCTGATCCTTTGTTTTGTTTTTCAGAGTCAAGGAAACTTTTCTTTTGAGCTATTGACAGCTTTTAACAAGTATACTCCTATGAACGAAATTTGGAGCTTATTTGTTTCTCTCTACCTGATTTCTCCAAAATTTGGAAACTACTTGTAAGTATTCGTGACTTACGGCAATATAGTTATTTGCATAAGTGAAATAAGAATCTGTTTTTATTTGTAACAGGACACAATTGGAGAAACTGGTTATTTTACTGAGTCTTTGGCTGGAATGGTGTGCTTTCCTTTAAGGTATTAAACTTGATTTATAGAGCCAATAAAAACCCCTTGGGGAAACTGGCCTCATACCTTGTCTGCACAGTCCCTGAACGGTGTTCCTGACCTGTGGTAAGTAAAGAATGTCACTTTCTGACAGGCCCAAGAGCCCTAAGTTATGTTGGAACTCAAAAGGAGAATAATTCACCCAACTCATAGGTATTTGATGGTACAAATCTGTGGCTGGGCTTGGCTTTAAAAAAGGCTTATGTGAGATTCCTTCTATGGAAGAAGTCCATCAAAGCTAATTTTAAAAGCCTATGTGAAAAATAATTATTCTTGCTTCACTTCATACAAATAATCTGGCCAAGTATAATAAAGCAAATTGGTTCTTCTATGATTTGTTTTTAGTGAAAATGGGAAACTGGAGAGAGAAAAAATACGTTTCAAAAACTATAGTGCACCTGTTGTTAGATTTTAGTCTTGCCTAATGTTTTTCTATTTTTATTATTTTCTACAGTTTAGACTGAATTCTAATTTTTCCTGGCTACAAGTCTCCAAAATAATGTTTTCAATTTTTTTCCTTCTTTTCCTTCCCCTCACCCCATTTTTCCTAATTCGAAATAATTGAAAACTAAGCTGTACTTTCTAAAGTCCTGCAAACTGAATCTAGACAACTTAAACTTCAGAAGAAAATAAAAGCAAACTATTTAGGTACATAAGCCACTTTCATACCTACCTACTGATGTATGGACTTCAAAGTAATGTGGTCTATATAGATTTTCTAGGATTGTTCTCTTGTTTGTTGTTTTTCTCCCTTCCTCCTACTATTGTCTCTTCACAGGACATGAGACTTCTCAATCTGCTAAAAATGAGCTTTCCTAATAACTTGGGACCTACCCCTGTAGGAATAAACTATCCTAGCCATGAGAGCAGAGACTCATTTTCTTCTAAAATGCTTTCTTCAAAAGATTTTTAAAAAGAAAATGGAAGAAGTGTGAAAGGAAAATAAATCTCAGGGCCCCAACATCACTAAGCTAAACGGAAAAGTCAAGCTGGGAACTGTTTAGGGCAAACCTGCCTCCCATTCTATTCAAAGTCACCCCTCTGCTCACTGAGATAAATGCATATTTGATTGCCTCCTTTGGAAAAGCTAGTCAGAAACTCAAAGGAATGCAACCATTTATCTCTCACCTACATAAGACCTGGAAGCCCCCTCCCTGCTTTAGTTGTCCTGTCTTTCTGGACATAACCAATGTACATCTTACATATATTGATTGATATCTCCTGTCTCTCTAAAGTGTATAAAAAAAAGCTTTGCCCTAACTACCTTGGGCACATGTCGTCAGGACCACCTGAGGCTGTGTCATGGGTGCATGTCCTCAAAATTGGAAAAATAAACTTTCTAAGTTAACTGAGACCTGTCTCAGATATTTTTGGGTTCAGATATTCATCCAGCCCTGGTGTACCCTCTGAAGTATGTTATGCCAGTGCATGAGAAACTGGTTATATACTTGTACCATTATTAACGTTAAACTATAGAGTACTTAGTGCTCCTGTCTACATTTCTTAAAAATTCAGTTTTAACAAATGAAAACTCAGATTTCTTAGAAGCTTTGTTACTACTCGACAGGAAATGTAGCATACTGTGTATTAGAACTGAGGGAGAATCCCAACTCTGGTCCCTCCTAGCTCTGTAATCCTAGACAAACTACTCTGCTTCAATTTCATCATCTATGTAATTGGGAGTGAGGAGAAGCAGTAAGTTGCTGAGTGGTTCTGAAGATCAAAAGTAACATATATGGAGCATCTGGCACATACTAGGAGCTTAATAAATTGGTACTTCTTTTACATCCATCAAGAAAGGTAGGAATTTCAGGAGACACAACACTGCTAGACTGCAACAAGTAGCAGTGAGCTTGGAAAACACTAGCCGTGGATGCTTTTGCTGCTACAATAGTAAGAGGTCTCAAACTTTTCCAGAAAGACACTCTCCTCTTACTCAAAGCCCAGCATTTGTAAAAGCTGGGGTTAACAGCTTTCATCTGGCCACCAAAAGCCACCTCGCTGGCACTTTAATTTTCAAAGTTTTGTGACTGTTACCAGTGTTTTTTCTGCAAGTATCATTCAGACAAACCTTCGCTGGCTCCTCTACCTTCTTCCTCTCCAAGCAGAAACCTGGATTAAATATAAAACAGCTTGCTCATCAGCAGCAACCTCCATGGCCTTGGGTAGGGGCGTTGTGGAGTCATGCTTCAAGGCTGGCAGGCCCCAGCTGTCAAGGAAAGGTAGGCCAGTGAGTTCCTCATCAGATAGTTGCTATGAAGGCTCATTTGGTGTCGGCAGCTCTGCCCTGGCACAGCCAAACTGTCATCCTTCAGAGGAGTGTTCTGCCAAGGGGATGGGCACCAGACAAGTAGGTTTCCCTGTTTGTCTTTGATCTGGAGAAGAAAGGGGAATCAAGACATTATTCAATATCTATTATGATCAGAAAAGCTTATATTTATTCCGCCCCACAAACTGAGTAAAGCAGAGCTTCCCAAAAAGTGTGCCCAGAACATTAATGTGCCCTGTATAGTTACCAAGTGCCAAAATGCCAATTGCCCTCAGCCCTTGTGAAAGCAAAGCAGGACTTCATTCAGGTGATCAGAGCTCCCTGATCTGGTCACCTCTCACTGCAGGTGGCAACATCCTTTGCAGTAAAATATTCTCATTTTCAAAGTGTACAATATTATGAAAAAGTTTGGGAAAGACTACTATAAGGTATTACCTTGGTTTACAGAGGAGGAAGTTGAAGCTCACAGATTAGGAAGCATACCCAAAGATCACACTTGCAAACAGCAGAGCCAGTATTTGATTCCAGGTTAGTTTGCCTTCAAAGTCCAAGTTCATTCCACTTTCCTCACATTGCTGAAAACAATACAAAACCATAAAAACAGTAACACCAGAAATCTGAGTAGACCTTTTTGGTTTAGGAAGTGCTTTGACAGAAGAAAGGAAGACATAAGAGGTGATGGAACAAACACTTCTCATATACCTACAATGTACCTCGTGCTTTACATTAACAGTCTTATCTTTTTAACAGTTTTAATTTGTTTTGCATAAACTTATAGTAGATAAACATATAAACTTATGGTACATTTTTTACAAATTTAATTTGCTCTTTCATAATTTTCTCTCTATGCCCCACTACTTTTTTTTCCTATTTATTTATTTTTGTATATTTAGGGGGTACAAGTGCTGCTTTCTTACATGCATATGCTGCACTATGGGCTTCTAGCATACCCATCACCTGAATAGTGAACACTGTATTCAATAGGTAATTTTTAAACCTTCACCCCTCTCCCCATTCTCCCACCTTTTATAGTCCCCAGTGTTTATTATTCCACTCTTGTCCCTGACTCCTTCTAATAACTGATTCAGTTCTTAGAGATACATTTAATGATAGAAACTGGACTTAATCCCATTTCTTTTGACTGCAAATTCTGGACCCTCCTTGCCCCAAGAGCAATGGAATAATTAATTCAAAAGAGATTTTCAACATAAAATAGTCATATTTACTGGACCAAGACTGTACAAAATAAACTCTTAAATTTGATGCTGTTTTTAGGTTTTTTAATACATTTCTATTTCTCTCTGTATACCTTTTGATTTCCTAGTTCATAATTTTTGGGTTTCAGAAGGATATCTATGTCATGTGCTGGTGGAGGAAGATACAGGGTAAGACCAAATGGCAGATTGGTTAGGAGTTGAATCACCAATCACTTGAAGTAGAGGCTTGAGAGATTAAAGTAACTTGAGAGTTAGCATGGCTAGAAGACTCTCAAGTGATGATTTCTTTTTAAAGGAAATTTTTCTCTAAATACAATCCTTAACATAAATCCATGGAAATAAAACAGTATCATTTCATAATATAATTCACCAAAATTCATGGTATCAAAAATGAAAATTCTCTGTCTAGAGATGTCTCTCAAACACACAACAAAGCCATTTTGTCCTGTCTAGGAAAACCCAATGTAACTTTTGTGAGCGATCATGAACCATTTCCGTGTCCAGGGAACTAATCACTGCTTATGCTGTGTTCAGTAAGGTCAGGGGCACAATCCTGTAGTTGTAGGCATTTGTGATGGGGAAATCTGGTAGTTTTTCTGAGTCATAATTTGATTGCAATGGTGATGGCAATAGCTGAAACTTTGACTGTGAGAATTTGTCCTTGAAGATAAATTATTATTGAGGTTACATCTGGCACTATTTTCTTTTTTTCATTATGCAAAACAAATAACTAAGAATATGGTCAAACCCCGTCTACTGAAAATACAAAAACAAAACAAAGCAAAACAAAACAAAGCAAAACAAAACAAAACTAGCTGGGCATGTGGGCATGGTGGCGCAGGCCTGTAATCCCAGCTTCTCAGGAGGCTGAGGCAGAAGAATTACTTGAACCCGGGAGGAGGAGGTTGCAGTGAGCCAAGATCGTGCCACTGCACTCCAGCCGGGGCGACAGAGCGAGAGACTCCGTCTCACAAAAAAAAAAAAAAAAAAGAAAAAAGAAAAGAAAGAAAGAAATATTTTACAGTTGTTTTTAAATGTTTAATAGCTTGGATTATATATATGTTCATAAACCTGCTGTCAAGTTAGTACCAGTGTTGATCTGGGTTGCAAGGAACTTAGTTTGAAAGTTTGGATAATACGTAAAGTGCCACAGTTATATAACTAAGGCAATTATCTGTCAGTTAGATTAAATTTGTGTTTGTTTATTTAACAAATACTAGGCACCCACTCTGTATGGGTCCTGTTTTCGGTGCTGGGGATATTGGGTGAATGAGAAAGGCAGCATTTCTGCTGTCATGAAGCTTTCCTTCTAGAAAGAGAAGACAGAAAATAAACACAATACATTGGACCACTTTAGGTGCCATTTTGAAATAATAGAGAGCACCTGTTGTTATGAATGTGTCAGACTGTCTTCTGGTTAGTTTTGCTAATAATTTACCTACAGGTGCAGTGACTCTGCAGGTTAAAAGAGCTGCCAGCTCTTAGAGAATTTTCCTTTGCTCCTGCTGAAGATAAAATCGGAGAGTTATAGTAGAGAATTTTTTTTCCCCATTTCCCTTCGAGTAGGGCATACAGCATCCTTCTTAAATATGGAGTGGGTTAATCAGCATGAATTATAATTGAAAGACAGATGCTTTAGTTCTCTTTGAGAATCCCTAGTTTCTGTTATGAATCTATAGTTCCTTAGAAACACAGTATTTAACCAATGCCTAAAGCCTGAAGGGTTTATGAGAGATTTATGAGATTTACTCAGCACGCCAAAATAGTGTCATAATGTTAAAGAAATTCGACTGATATTTTAAATTGACTTACCATGTTGTTACGTGGTGAAGGTTTTTATTTTTTTCAGAATTTACTTGGGATAAAAACAATAATGAGTGACATGCCTTTGATAGTATTACACTATAATCTTTAGAAGACCATGCTGATATAAAGTTCCAGGCACAGGATGGTAGAAAACATAGAGAATGTAAAACAAGAGGAAAAAGTACAAGTAGTCATGTTTTTCAGAAATCTGGTACATTTGATGATGTCAAATATGTAAGAAACAAATAATTCATATTAGTATATTATACTCAAAGTTGCTTATAAATCCTGTTTTTTTCCCTCATAAGAAAATAACATAAATTCTGCTTAAAGATAGACTCCCCAATAAGGGTTTCTTCTCTTTTATCCATTCTTGTATTTTCTAGATGTAGAAAGGAGGTTCAGAGTCATTACATTTTAACTACAGTAATATGTTTTGGGGTTTCCAAGTTTTAGTTTTCAAGTTATGGCTGGTTTATACAGCTTCAGGGCTGTTCTGTATTCAGATGATTATAAAGTGATTGGTTTGAAAGGCCAACGTAAGTCTGCAAATATTTACTTCAACTTTTAAAGTCTGTTAACAGCTCAATTCAGGTAACATGTTGTTGCATGATTAAAGAAAGCTAAGTTTCCTTTAACTGTACTTAGAAAGAATACTGTTGAAGTAATAAACAACAATGGCTATTATGTTTTTTTTTTGAGGCTTATAGTTTTAGTAATCGCATTAGTAACTGCATTCCAGAGGTCCAGAGCTTAGAAGGACCTACAAGCTGTAGTAGAGATTGTGAAAAATTACCAGAAACAAAAAAGGAGAAAGACAGAGACAGTGAGAGATGAAGAAAGGGAGAGGGGAAGGGAAGGGAAGACCAACAGCCTGGATTAGGGGTTTGGATTTCTTACTTACTAGTTCATTCATTAAGTCATTCATTTCTTCTTTCAAAATATTAGTGTGCTGGTGAAGACTTTAAGCAAATAAGTGAAACTCTTAGCCGAAGTTCTGGGAAAAAAATAATTTTTTTTTTTTTTTTTTTGAGACGGGGTCTTCCTCTGTCACCCAGGCTGCACTGCAGTGGTGCGATCTCAGGTCACTGCAACCTCTGCCTCCAGGGTTCAAATGATTCTCCTGCCTCAGCCTCCCGAGTAGCTGGGACTACAGGCACCCACGACCACACTTGGCTAATTTTTGTATTTTTAGTAGACAGAGTTTCACCATGTTGGCCAGGCTGGTCTTGAACTCCTGACCTTGGGTGATCCACCCACCTCAGCCTCCCAAAGTGCTGGGATTACAGGCATGAGCCACTGTGCCCAGCAAGATTTTTTTTTTTTTTTTAGTAAGAAAAACTGGAAAGGATAATAATTCTGTCTATGTCTCACAGTTATTGTGAGGCTTAAACAACAACATATATGAAAATGCTTTGGAAAAATTCTCTAGAGAAGAAAGTTCTCCACAGGTGCTATTAATAAAAGGCACATGCCCATTTACCATCTTATTTCTGAAATCATATTTGAGGTATTTCAAGCAGCCTCCAGTGGGGCTCTGGCCCAGTAGCTCATAGTGCGAGATGAACAACATGTTTATCTTGTAAGAAAGCTAGCAGAGTGTCTTAATATTTCAGCTGAGTGTATGAGGGGACAGTTGGAGCAGAGCAATCTCTCTTGATTAGTGCAAAAAACTACTGATTTGCATATTTAAGATATGATATCTCATTGTATGGGAAGAAGTTGGGCAAATGATTCATCTGGAAAAGATCAAGGAGGCTGATTCATTTAATTCAGGGCTTATTTATGCAAAGCTGTTTTTGAATGTTTGCAGATCTGGATCAAATAATTATGGCATTAATTGAGACATTAGTATGTGTTCATCATTGGGTTCAAATTCATAAGCATCCTGTTATTTAATTCTCACTACAGCCATATGAGGTGAACAATAATATCCTCATTTTGCCATTGAAAAAAATAAATTTTGATGACTTAAGCATTTTTTTTAAAGTTTACATATCTAGTAATTGGCTCAGGGCTCTCCTGCAAAGTTAGCTGTTGGCTCTGAGAATACTGGGGTCAGTGACCTGGGGTCAGTGATCTTACCTGCACCCCGTCCCTATTTACTGTAGCATTTGCAGAAGATGCTGTGTTCCTTCTCACCTCCTGTGATGGTGGCATCATCCTGGATGGCAGCTCTCCCTCTAGTTAGGTCAGTCTATCTCTTGCTTCTCAGTGATGCTCTAGTTTCAGCAGTCAGTGAATACTCTGCAGGGGTTAATGGAGGAGCTGGGAAGTGTAGGGGTTCAATAAAAGGAAAGATGCAGAAAAAGGAGTAAAGTAAGGGGACTGGGGAAATATGAATAGATTTAATGAATATTTATTAAGTGCCTACTAGGTATCTGGTACCGTGCTAGGTACTGGGACAAAATAACAAGCAAAAGGCAGGATATTTCTCATGGAGCTTATAGCTTAGTTGGGTGGGAGGAGACTAGTGTTAAATGAAGAGCCACATAAATGAATGCACTGTTCCCGGAATGAACCAAGGATCAGGCTGCTTATTCTCACGGCCCAATAACGAGATGCAGATGAACTGGGAAAGAAGAGAGTTTACTTCTGTAACCGGGTATAGAGAGAAGGCCGGGAAAATATCAGCAGACCAACTCAAAATTACAGTTTTGCAGAGCTTATATACCTTCTAAGCTACATGTCTACGTGTAAGTGTGCATTCATCGGAAGACATAAGTTATTAATTTCTTCTAACCTATAGCTAAAGTCTGTGGCCTAAAGACCTTCCTGTGGAGCCTCAGTAAATTTACTTAATCTAGATGGGTCCAGGTGCCAAAGGTAATTACCCTTATCTTGTCTCCTTGCTAAATCATGGAGGTTTAGGGAGTTCCTTCAGACCCCAGTAAAACTTGTTTAATACTAAACGGATCTTGTTAAGAATTCCTTTGTTATCTTGTCATGCTTCAAGGCCCAGGAAAAGTCTAGGCAAAACTCTCAGTGGGCTTTTGTTACCTTCCAGCCTTTGTATAAGGACACTGGCTCTATTACGTTTGTTGTTGTTGTTGTTTGTTTGTTTGTTTGTTTGTTTTTGAGAGGAAGTCTTGCTCTGTCGCCCAGGCTGGAGTGCAGTGGCATGATCTTGGCTCACTGCAATCTCTGCCCACTGCAACCTCCGCCTTCAGGGTCAAGTGATTCTCCCGCCTGGGCCTCCAGAGTAGCTGGGATTACAGGCACCTGCCACCATGCCCGGCTAATTTTTGTATTTTTGATAGAGATGGGGTTTTACCATGTTGGCCAGGCTGGTCTCGAACTCCTGACCTGAAGTGATCCACCCGCTTCAGCCTCCCAAAGTTGTGGGATTACAAGCATGAGCCGCTGCGTCCGGCCTTCTATCAACTTATTTATTTATTTATTTATTTATTTATTTTTTGAGGCAGAGTCTCGCTCTGTCCCCCAGGCTGGAGTGCAACGGGCGGGATCTCGGCTCAATGCAAGCTCCGCCTCCTGGGTTCACGCCATTCTCCTGCCTCAGCCTCCCGAATTGCTGGGACTACAGGCGCCCGCCATCATGCCTGGCTAATTTTTTTTTTTTTATTTTTTAGTAGAGACGGGGTTTCACCCTTATAGCCAGGATGGTCTCGATCTTCTGAGCTCGTGATCCGCCTGCCTCGGCCTCGCAATGTTTTGGGATTACAGGTGTGAGCCCGCACCCGGCCTCTATCAACTTTTTAATATTTAACTTAACACTCAGTCAGTGCTGAAACAGTTGTCATGGAGGCCTGCCTGTTCAGCTGTTAGTGAGACCCGGCCTGCTACAGCACAATTTAAAATTGTGAGGTTCCATGACGGTGAAAGAGGGCTATGACAAAGAATAAGGGGAAGAAGATATAGTTTAGATAACAGGGGTGTGTTTTTCAGAAAAGGCCTCTCTGAGGAAATCGTGTTTAAAATGACATGTTTATAAACTGTGTTTGAATACTGAAATACTTGTATATTGATAATTCTAAAATAATACAACTATTAGCCTTTGAAATTTGTAGTTAATAGTAGGAAATACATTTATTTTTATTACTTATGCACAGTTTTCTTACCATTTTTAAAAGTAAATTGTAGATATAAGTGAATACTTCTATATATGCTTTAGTTATAAAATTTAAGGAACTGCTATTTGATTATCTTCATATCACCTGGAATAAGCCATGAGCATTACTGATTTTTACAGATAAAATATCTTTTGTTTTGTGAAGGATTTTTCTGTATTTCCCAATTAACTGTTTCTATATATACAATAAAAATTATCTTCTCACCATTCAGTGTGTCTGTTTTAAGGTTAATATTGTACCAAATATGGACTAATCCTCATTTCTAAAGCTTATGTAACCACATAGTGTTTTATGTCCAATAAAATGTTATTTATGTACTCGGTTTACAACATATCTAATTTTTCATAGAGGAAATGGACATTTTGGCAACGTTTAATGGTGACAAAATGAAACAGAATCTTTTTTTTTAGAAAAATAAAATATGTACTTTCTACCTTTTGGATATGAATTTTCACTTGTTTTCTACTGACAGTTACTTCTCAAATAGTGTACATTACAAATAAAGTTATCATAATTAGTGGGAAAGAATATTGATCAAAATATTTTATATTCCATCTTTACCTCTGTTCAAAAACTTCACGTAAAATTGTATATGTACATTTCAAAATGTAAAAGTAATGTTTGTAAGGATCTTCACAATTATCAAAGCATTAAATGTACCATTTATTTTTTATTTACTGAATAAAAGGGAAGTTTATTAAATGGTACAAATATCACATTTTCTCTGTTTTGATACTTGTTTGTTACAGTTTATAGTTTATGCTATCTGAATCCAGGATTTTTTTTTTTTTTTTAATAGAGATGGGGTCTCCTTATGTTTCCTGGGTTGGTTTCCAACTCCTGGCCTCAAGTGATCCTCCTGAATAGTTGGTATTATCGGCATGCATCACACCAACTGGCCCTTTTTAAATTATTGTTATTATTTTAATTTTATTTTTTAAACTAAAAAAATTTTTTTGAACTAAAAGTAGATCTGCCATTTGATCCAGCAATCCCACTAGTAGGTGGGAAAAGAAGTCATTATATGAAAAAGATACTTGCACATGCATGTTTATAGCAGCACAATTTGCAATTGCAAAAAATATGGAACCAACCCAAATGCCCATCAATCAACAAGTGGATTAAGAAAATGGAATACTACTCAGCCATAAAAAGGAACGAAATAATGGCATTCGCAGCAGCCTGGATGGAATTGGAGACTATTATTCTAAGTGAAGTAACTCAGGAATGGAAAACCAAACACCGTATGTTCTCACTTATAAGTGGGAGCTAAGCAATGAGGACACAAAGGCATAAGAATGATATAATGGACTTTGGGGACTTGGAGGAAAGGGTGGGATGGGGTGGGAGGGATAAAAGACTACACAATGGGTACAGTGCACACTGCTTGGATGACGGGTGCATCAAAATCTCAGAAATCACCACTAAAGAACTTATTAATGTAACCAACCACCACCTATTCCCCAAAAACCTACTGAAATTTGTAAAAGAATCAAATACAATACAATAAAATATGTAAAATTAAAAAAATTTTTAAATAGGGATGGGGTCTCACTATGTTGCCCAGGCTGGTCTCAAACTCCTGGTCTCAAGCGATCCTCCAACCTCAGCCTCCCGAAGTGCTGGGATTACAGGCGTGAGCCACCATGGCCGGCCAGATGCTGACTGGAGTTTAAATTCAGGATTTCTTTTATGATCATTGTTTATTATTAATGTTAGGAGTAAATTTTTTTTTCAAAAAAGTCTTATTTAAATCGATGGCACAACTTACAATTAATGGCATTTTAGAATTGGCATCATATGGCATGATTTATATTTTGTCAGCAGCAAGCCTTGATTTCATCCACCTGGAGTAGAAAATGAAATACTATTAAATTTTAATGTCCAGCTTTCCATGGTTCTTCTCCCCAGGCTGTGATCCCTTGAACTCTCCCTCATCCTCCACTTTCTCACGATTCTCGTTCGGTATTTCTGGGAGTCCTGGACGGCGTGCCTTACACCAGGTTTATAACCCGCTCCTCCCCTGGAGGTACCTGCTGCTAGCTCTCCCGCTCTGTTCCTGGCCACGCCCACTGCACTTCCGGTGGCCTGAAGGAGGATCACATGAGACATCCCGGGGTCTGGCTGCATGCAGTCCCCAGAGGCTGTCCCCTCAGCACTGTTTAGTAGTCGGGTTCTCGGCGACTTCAGTCTAGTCCCCAAGGCTTGCTCTCCTTCGTCCAGGAGCAGCTCTGCTCAAAGCCAAAGGGTCTCCAGGTGTCTCAGGGAAGCTTCTGTCACAAACTTACTGCAACCTTTGCTTTCCAGCCTTCCACACACACACAAGTCTCCATGGAATCACAGGGCAGTTGCAACTCCCCTTTCAACAGGAAAACTGCAACAGCCTCCCTTCTACCCAAAAGGCATCACGTCATTTAAAAGAAGGATGAGGCAGGGCAGTCAGTAATAACAATGGCAACCACAATAGGTGTCACTCCATTTTGATGTTAGGAAACTCAACAGAGAAAATCAGAGAGGTTGAATGAGTTGCTCAAGGTCACAGACCTAAGAAAACCATGCTCAGGATTTGAACCAAGGACTGCCTCTCTCCAAACACACCTATGCCATCTCCCATAAAAGGACTGGATTTTTTTCTGTCCCATGGCTGTTTTTACCTCTTGCTGAGCCTATCAGCTGAGGTACGTAGGGTAAGGTGTGGGGAAGCACAAACTCCTCCATGTGCAATGGGTTGAAACACCTATTCCACATTACTGCTGTTGTTGCAGCAGGGATAAAGGGGGGGGTCGTGACCTACCAAAAGGCCCCTGAATTTATTTTTCAGCTTTTAGCTTATATTTTTGTTTCTATTGTACCATTTGATGCATGCACTTAAGTGCCTTTAAAAAGGAAACTCCAAACAGCTGAGAAAGAAACGTTATAAAATTGATGACATCTTTTTTTTTTTTTTTTTTTTTTTTTTTGAGACAGAGTCTTGCTCTGTCGCCCAGGCTGGAGTGCAGTGGCATGGTCTTGGGCCACTGCAATCTCCCTCTCCTGGCCTCAAGCAATTCTCCTGCCTCAGCCTCCTGAGTAGCTGGGACTACAGCCACCTGCCACCACACCCAGCTAAGTTTTGTATTTTTAGTAGAGACGGGGTTTCACCATGTTGGCCAGGCTGGTCTCAAACTCCTGAACTCAGGTAATCTGCCCGCCTCAGCCTCCCAAAGTGCTGGGATTACAGGCATGAGCCACCGCACCCGGCTTGATGACATCTTTTATGAAATCCTTTTTATGTTTTCAAGTGAATTTGGGTATTTTGTTTTATGTTTTCAAGTGAATTTGGTCAGTTTTCTCCCTTGAAAGAACCAATGCAATGCAATTTATTCATTCAGACTTTCTTTTCCTTTCTCTTTCCCTCCCTTCCTTCTCTCTGTCTTTCCCCCATTTATCATCTAGGAGACACCTGCATTACAGTGTTTGAAGCAGTTCTAAGCATTATGGGATACAGAGATGAATATAACTGATACCTGTCCTAGGATATTACACTGTAAAGAACTGGATCTTTAGAGCAGAAGGCAAATACAGAAAAATTCTAATACCAATTATAAAAGGATAAATACTTAAGCAAATCTGATAAGTGTGATGTTTTTTGTTTTGTACATAGATTACTCTCCACTGAGAGAGAAGAGAGCAGGGCACTAGGGAAAGCATCTTGAGGAGATGGTGTACGGGGTAGATTTGGAAGGATGGGTAAGAAGTTGTTATGCAGATATGGAGCATGGGCAGAGTTTAGGGCAGTAGAACCATCAGAAACTGTATGATGGGATCAATGAAGAATAGGCTATACATGGTGAAATGAATGGAATGCTTACATCCCCCCTAAATTCATATGTTGAAATCCTAACCCTTAAACTGATGGTATTAGGAGGTGAGGGCTTTAGCATGTGATTAGGTCATGAAGGTAAAGCACTTGTAATTGGAATCAGTGCCTTTACAACAGGGACCCCAGAGAGCTAGCTAAACCCTTCCATGATGCAAGAACACAGCAAGAAGGCACCCTCTATGAACCAGAAAGTGGGCCTTCACCGGACATGGAATCTGCTGTGCCTTGATCTTGGACTTCCTAGCCTGTAGAAATGTCATAAATAAATTTCTGTTGTTTATAAGCTACCCAGGTTATGGTATTTTATTATAACAGCCTGAAATAGACTAAGACACATGGTCAACAATAGATATTTAATTTTGATGGGATGTTAGTTTTTCAAGGTGGGTGAAAAAATAAGCTTAAAAAGGTAGGCCAAGACCAAATTTAGGAGACCTTAAATCCTTAAATGCCAGCCTTTGGACTGACATAGGACTTTTTTTTTTAGAGTCTCATTCTGTCACCCAGGCTGGAGTGTAGTGCCGTGATCTTGGCTCACTGCAACCTCCGCCTCCCAGGTTCAAGTGATTCTTGTGCCTCAGTCTCCTGAGTAGCTGGGATTACAGGCATGGTGTGCACCACCACGCCTGGCTCATTTTTCTGTTTTTAGTAGAGACAGGGTTTCGTTATTTTAGCCAGGCTGGTCTCCAACTCCTAGACTCGAGTGATCTGCCCACCTTAGCCTCCCAAAGTGTTGGAATTACAGTCATGAGCCACTGCACGTGGCCTGTTTTGTTTTTCCTGTTTTCATTTTCCAGTTTTCCTGTTTGTTGAAGATTGGTCCAATTATACTCCTTAGTTTATTTCATACTTTGGCCAATGGTCTGTGTTAGGCTCCTCCTTCTCCATCATTCATTCATTTTTATTTTCTTTTATTTCTGCCTTTGATTTCCATCCCCATCACCCACCAATGGCAGCAATTCTTGGGCACTTGATATTTATGCTTTTCTTTGTATGTGTCTTTATTATATAAATACTATTGTATGCATGCTTTAAAAATATTTTTCTGCCAATCGCGGTGGATCATGCCCAGCACTTTGGGAGGCTGAGGCAGGCAGATCACTTGAGGTCAGGAGTTTGAGACCAGCCTGGCCAACACAGTGAAACCCTGTCTCTACTAAAAATATGCAAATTAGGCCAGGTGCGATGGCTCCGCCTGTAATCCCAGCACTTTGGGAGGCCAAGGCGGGCGGATCATGAGGTCAGGAGATCGAGACCATCCTGGCTAACATGGTGAAACCCCGTCTCTACTAAAAAAAAAAAAATTAGCCAGGCGTGGTGGCGGGTGCCTGTAGTCCCAGCTACTCGGGAGGCTGAGGCAGGAGAATGGCGTGAACCCGGGAGGTGGAGCTTGCAGTGAGCCGAGATCGTGCCACTGCACTCCAGCCTGGGCGACAGAGTGATACTCCATCTCAAAACAACAACAACAACAACAACAACAACAACAAAAAAAACGAAAATTAGCCAGGCGTGGTGGCACGCCTAGAGTCCCAGCTACTCAGGAGGCTGAGGCAGGAGAATCGCATGAACCCAAGAGGCAGAGGTTGCAGTGGGCTGAGGTCGCCTCACTGCCCTCCAGCCTGGGCAACAGAGAAACAGACTCCGTCTAAAAAAAAGAATAATAAAAAGTAAAAATAAAAAATGGAAAATCTCAAACACAAAAAAGTAGAATATTATAATGAACTCTCAATTATCTACCATCCAATTGTAATAATGATAAATTATTGCCAAATCTTGGTTTATCTCTATCCCCATCCACCCATTCCTTCCCCTCAGGTTATTTTGAGGAAAATCACAGATATTATATTATTTCATCTGTAAATATTTTAGTATAAATCTTTAAAAGATACGGGCTTTTTGGGGAGGAAACATAACTTGAATGCTATTATCTTCCTTAAAAAAGGTGGTAAAGGCTGGGCACAGTGGCTCGTTCCTGTAATCCCAGCATTTTGGGAGGCCGAGGTGGGAAGATCTCTTGATTCCAGGATTTTGAAACCAGGCTGGGCGAGATGGTGAAACCTCATCTCTACAGAAAATACAGAGAAGTTAGCTAGACATGGTGGTGTGGGCCCGTAGTCCCAGCCACTTGGGAGGCTAAAGTGGGAGGATTGCTGGAGCCCAGGAGGTCAAGGCTGCAGTGAGCTGAGATAGCACCACTGCTCTCCAGCCTGGGTGAGAGAGCAAAACCCTGTCTCAAAAAAAAAATTGTAGTGAAAATTTTGAAAATATTTCTTAAATAAGTGGTGTTCACATTTCCTCAGTATTTCTGCAAAATATCAGAGGATGTTAAAATTATTAAAATGTATAAATTTGGGCTGGGCATGGTGGCTCATGCCTGTAATCCTAGCACTTTGGGAGACTGAGGCAGGTGGACACTTCAGTTCAGTAGCTCAAGGCCAGCCTGGGCAATACAGGGAGATCCCGTCTCTACAAAAAATACAAATAATCAGCTGGGCATAGTGGCTCGCACCTGTGGTTCCAGCTACCTGGGAGGCTGAGGTGGGAGGATTGCTTGAGCCCCAGAGGTTGAAGCTGCAGCGAACTGTGATTGCACTACTGCACTCCAGCCTAGGCAACAGAGTGAGACCATGTCTCAAAAAAAAAAAAAAAAAAAGAAAATCTATAAATTTGGTGAGTTGCCCTGAAGAGTTGGAACTAAGACTTCTTCGGTTATGTTGAGGCTGGTTCTGGGAACATTGGAAATACTGCAAACTGGAACCAACTGTTGCTACTGGAACAATACTGCTACTACTGGGGAGAATAGGGTTGGTGTGATGGTAATGGTTCCCTTTTAGATTTTTCGGTTCTTTAGAACCCGGCTAACTCTGTTTCTGCCTCCTGTATGGACTCACCCTGATGCTACCAACTCATGTCTTTTTGTCTCCTCCTCTCCACTACTGTGTTGATATTATTTAGAATTTTAGTTCTGGATTATTATGCTATAAATATATTTTTATTTCTCTCTCTTTTCTTTGTTCATTTTTGAAAATAAAAACAGCATCTGAATTTCATATGTCTTTATCAGATAAAAATTCTATTTTTCATTTATTATGTTTTTTGTTAAAAAACAGCTTTATTAAGGTATAATTGACATATAATAAACTGCAAATATTTAGAACGTATGTTTTGGAAAGTTCTAACGTAGGTATACACTCTTGAAACCGTCACCCTAATCAAGATAATGAGCATACTTATCTCTACCTTCCCCCTCCCGCCACCGTCAAACTTCCTTGTGTTGCTTTGTAACCCTGCTCACCCACGCCTGCCTGCCTGTTTCCCCTGTTCCCAGGCAACGACCCATCTTCTTTCTATCACTATAGATTAGTTGCATTTTCTAGAATTTTTTATAAATGGTTAAAACAGTATGTACTCTCTTTTATCTACATAGCATAATTATTTTGATGTTCACTTATGTTGTTGCATGGATCAATAGTTTATTCTTTTTATTGCTGAATAGTATTTCATTATATAAATGTGCTACAATTTGTTTATCCATTCGCCTAGTAATAGACATTTGGATTATTTCCAGTTTGGACTATTACAAATAAATTTGCTATGAACATTTATATACAAGTCTTTTGTGAACATATGCTTTTTTTTCTCCTGAGGTAATTCTTTGGAGTCGAATTCTGGATCATCTGGAAGGTGTATATTTCACTTATTTATTTATTTATTTAGAGACAGGGTCTTGGTCCGTTGCTGAGGCTGGAGTGCAGTGGCATGATCTCGGCTCACTGCAACCTTCACCTCCCAGGTTCAAGTGATTCTCATGCCTCAGCCACCTGAGTAGCTGGGATTACAGGCGTATGCCACCATGCCCAGCTAATTTTTTTGTTTTTAGTAGCGATGGGGTTTCGCCACGTTGACCAGGCTGGTCTTAAACTCCTGTCCTCATGTGATCCGCCCACCTCGGCCTCCCAAAGTGCTGGGATTACAAACATGAGCCATTGCCCCTGGTCTGTATATTTACCTTTTTGGGAAACTGCCAAACTATTTCTAAAGTAGTCATATTAATCTGTTCGCTTTGCTTGAGGCTGGGTAATTTATGCAGAAGGGAGGTTTATTTGACTCACAGTTCTGCAGGCTGTACAAGCATGGCACTTTGCATCTGCTCAGCTTTTGATGAGGCCTCAGGAAGCTGTTACTCATGAGGTGTAGGGGGAACAGGTGTGTCACATGGTGAAAGCAGTAACAAGAGAGATGCCAGGCTTCTTTAAACAACTAGCTCTTACACAAACTAATAGAGAAAGAACTCACTCATCACCAACGGGATCGTGCTAAACCATTCATGAGGTATCCGCTCCATGATCAAAATACCTCCCACTAGGCCCCACCTCCAACATTGGCGTCACATTTCAGCATGAGATTTGAAACTATATAAGTAGTTGAGTCATTTTACATTCCAACTAACAGCATGTTAGAGTTCTAGCTCCTTTAAAGCTTTGGCAACAGTTGGTATGGTTAGTGTGTGGTGGTATTTTATTACGGTTTTAATTTCCATTTCCCTAATGACTATTGGTGTTGCCTGTCTTTCATGTGCTTATTTCCCATCCATCTACCTTCTTTGGTAGAGTATCTGTTCAAGATAAACCACATTGTGCACCATAAAATGTCTCAATAAGTTTAAAAGGGTTTAAGTCATATAAAGTGTGTTTTCGGACCACAATGTTATTACATTAGAAATCAGTAACAGAATAATATCTGAAAAATCCCCAAATATTTGGCCCCAGTGTTGCTGTTAAGAAATCTGCTGCCAAATCTTCTTGTATCTTTGGAGGACATATGCTCTTTTTTTCCTGGAAGCTTTTAGTATTTTCTCTTTCTCTTTGTTCTTAAATGTGCAATAATCTTTCTAGGTTCTTAATCTCTCCTATTTGGCATGCAACCCTTTCCATCTGACTTCTTTTATCTTTAATTTAGAGATAATTGTTTTTGTTATTCTCTTAAATATTTGTCCTCCCTTTATGTTCTCTTCCTTTGGACTCCTGTTTTCAGGATGTCAGCATGTCTACTTTTATCCTCCATGGTATTTAACTTTTTATTTCTGTATTTCTCTCTTTATCTTTTTTTCTGCCTTCTGAAAGATGTCCTCAGTCTGCTCTTTCAGTTTTACAATTTTTCCTTTGGCTGCATTCAGCTTGCTATTTATCCCATCTAGGAGTCTTACTTGGAAGCATAATTTTTTATACTTTATGTATAATGTCTGTCTGTCTTTATGACTTTTTTCCTGCTTCCTATTACCAGTAGCTTTTTGACAATATTGATTGTGCTTATTTTGTTTCAGTTGTTTGAGACAGTCTCACTCTGTCACCCAGGCTAGAGTACAGTGGTGCAATCTCAGCTCGCTGCAAACTCCACCTCCCAGGTTCAAGTGATTCTCCTGCCTCAGCCTCCCGAGTAGCTGGGATTACAGATGGCCACCACCATGCCCAACTATTTTTTGTATTTTTCGTAGAGACAGGGTTTCACCATGTTGGCCTGAGTGGTCTTGAACTCCTGACCTCAAGTGATCTGCCCACCTCGGCCTCCCAAAGTGCTGGAATTATAGGCATGAGCCATCGTGCCCAGCGTGGTTGTGCTTATTTTAAATTCTTAATTTGTTTGTTCCAGTATTTCTGCTTGATATCGTGTATGTTCAGTGTGTGTTTTTCTTTTTGCAGTGGTTCTAACCTCAGGTATTTTAAGCTGTGAGCTGATGTTCCCCTGGAGTTATCAGGTACCAATGTGACATACCAATACCAGGTCCTACTTTCTGTGTTCCTTATGGTTTTAAGATTAAGGAGTTGAGTCCCAGAGAGTCCCTTAGGTGTTGGAACGATAGTCAACAAGCCATCTGTTGCCCCTCCACTAGGCATTACTCTGCTAGGGATTCTCCTCTAAAGCCTTTGAAAGGGAGCCGGTAGTCATCTCATAAGTGATGCACCATTTACCACACATGAGGAGGACTGGAGGAGTGAGTGCTCAGGGAAGCTGGTCAGCCTCCCCTTTTTAGCGTGGGTGATTGCTGCTGCCTCCTGACTCACAGTGGTTATGGGACAGGCAATGGTCCAAAGGAAAGAGGAGAGAAAAGGAGAGCAGAACCTAGCAGCACTCTACCTATTATTCTAACTCTGCATTCCTCCCCACCCAAAGTTTATGATGGCCTTTAGTGTCTCCAGGAGTTTCTCACAGTTTTTTTCTAGGGCTGATTCCCCAGGGCATCTGTGGCCTGTGCCTGATCTTGTCTGTACTTCAGGGGCCAGCAGTGGGGGATAGGTTACTGAAAGTTTTTGAGTTTTGCTGTGAGAAGATTAATCTTTCAGCAGAGTGCAATAAAAGGAGGAAGGAAACCCTGTTACTAGTTTAAGTAAGCAATAATGGAGATCTGGATTAATAGTTTGTATGTTGAAGTGAGAAGATTTTTTTTTTAAGTATAAATGATTTATTTGTTAGTTGAGCCCAAGCTTGAAGAAGCTGCTCTTTTATTTTGCCTCTTTTTTTTCTTACATATGTTTATTCTTAGCCTTTTCTTTTCTTTTCTTTCTTTTTTTTTTTTTTTGCAGTGAATTCTACAAACTAAGCACTGGAAGAATGTCGAGATGTTACAGTGAAAAAGGAAGCTAAATGAGGCCAGATTGGAGAGCAAATTGTTATTATTTAAAACTTATGGACCACCTCGAATATGCCAAGTTCTATTTAAGAAAATACAGAAACATGATTCCTTTCATTTAACAGCTGACATTTTCAGGAAGTATACACCACATTTTTGTGTGTGTTTTACTCCACATACTGCCAATATTTAAACTTGCTTAGTTTGAGGAATTTCCTCTTATTAGTTTTCTTTTTCTCAACTTTTTTTTTAGAGTGGTTCTCTTTCTTTTTTAAATTTTGTTTCTGTTTTCTTTCCTGTTTTTAAAAATAAAAATAGAGACTATGATCAAATATCATTGCATATGTTCCTATTACTGGGTTGAAAGTTGGTAACTGAAACACTACCTTTATTCTGTGATTTTTCTAAAAGCAGGCTGGATGAACTATTTGTTATCCTTTTTGCAATTGTTCAGTGTGTTTGTCTCTCCACAGAATGGTAACTGGCTGATCTCCATTTTCATTTCAGGTTAAAATCAAGGAAATCAATTTGAACTGTAGCACGCAAGTTTTATGTTAATTACAAACATATGAAAAATGTTCAGTTTTAAGTAAGATAATGTTGTTTATTTTTCCCCCTGTCTTTTATGCCTCTAATTCTGCTATAAATCATATGTAAAAAGAATTTGGTGAGACGCAGTAAGAATTCTCATAAAATGCTGATGGGAAGGAAACTTCTGCTGACCATGAAGGATACTTATAGATACAGTGTAGCTACTCCCCCTGTGCTCCCACCCCCACCATATACCAGTGGTTCTTAAACTTTAACATGCATCATAATCACCCAGAGAGTTTGTTAAAACAGGGATTGCTGGGCTCCACCTCCAGAGTTTCTGATTCAGTAAATCTGGGGCAAGCCTTGATAATGTGTTTCCTAACAAGTCCCCAACTCATAGTGACACTACTAGTCCAGGGATCAACTCTGAGAATCACTGCCATATACCAATATTTCTCAGTACTGACTGCACCTGGGGATTTTAAAGAGAATACAACTGCCAAAAATTACCAGTGCTCAGGTCTGTTCCCACTGATTCTGATTTAATTGGTTGGGAATGAGGCCAGGATACCTGTATTTTATAAAAGTTCTTCAGGAGATTCTAAGGTATACTTAGGTTCAAGAAGCACTTCCTTACACTCAATCTCCACCCGTCATTCAGAGAAACTCATGTAGTTTCTGTTTCACCTTCCATTAAAGCCTTCAATGTTAAGCTATTATCAAGATATTTTTATATAGACTGGGATGCCTATTAGTCTTAGTCACCACCAAAATGTAAGTCACTAAGTATTTATCCTCTCCCTTACTCTTACTATTTCTCCATGATTTCTCTCCACTAATCCATACCTGCTCCTACTTTGCCTTCCACCATGAGTAAAAGTTCCTTGAGGCCTCCCCAGAAGCAGACGCCGCCATGCTTCCTGTACAGCCTGCAGAGCCATGAGCCAATTAAACCACTTTTCTTATAAATTACCCAGTCTCAGGTATTTCTTTATGGCAATGCAAGAAAGGACTGATACAGGTAATAAATCATTCATTCATTCAAATAAAGTTACCATAGTGTTGGGGATACAGAAAAGAGACAGCCCCTTAAGGAGCTCAAAGTCCTCAGAATACCCTTCCTTTATTGTGATTTAGTGCCACTTTTGAAGACAAAAAAGAAGTAAGAGTCTTATTTCGTGAACATGTGGCAAATGTATGACTCATTACGTTTATGGTTCCACTAAGTTTAAATTAGGAGGAAGTTCCTAATAAGTATTTTTAAGCAAAAAATAGTTGTGATCGATTGTAAAATTAGACACAAATTATCTCATCTCTTTATGGATACCCTATGCAATGTGAATTTGTGGTCTTCCCATCATGAGGTGAATTCTATTTCTCCACCTGGTGAATTTGGGCTTGGTCATGTGACTTGATTGGCCAATGGGACATTATTAACAAATAAATGCACTGCAAGTAGAGGCTTGAAAGGTGCTTGTGCATTGTTGGGGCTTGCTGTCTTGCTGCTCTTCGAGCCTTGAGATAACCATGTGAATGAGCCTCTGGATGAAGAGAGACACAGGGTCATGCCATCCCTGTTACTCCAACTAACAAACACCAGCCACCAAACCTAAGTCGGAGGCTCTCTTAGCCCATCCAACTCCAGCTGAACCACCAGCTACCATACAGATGTGTGAGTGAGCCAGCAGCCAGCAGCTGTGCAGGCCCAGACCGAAAGAACTACCCATTGGAAAGTAGGTGTTGGATTCTTTCCAATCCACAGAACCAAGGACAATAATACATGCTTTAAGTCACTACATTTTGGGGTGCATTGTTATACAGAATATATATATTCTATTGTTATATAGAATTTTTAGTTATCTTAAAATTTTTTAAAACTTAATTTAACCTGCTGTGACTACTGGATTAGGATGATTTCAGAAAGTAAAAATAGAGTCTTAAAATGTAACATTTCTTGCAGCTGGCTGTCGGTTCTATTGAATTTTTACCTAAGGATTTAAATGAATTAGTTGACAGAGATCTTTATTTTTTATTATCTCTGGTGCACAGCGTGAAGTTGAAGTTGGGCGAGGGGTAAAATTTTCGGTTAGTAGCTGGATGAAAGATCAGCCGATTCTCCCAGCTTTTAGTCTTGCTCTGCCTAGTACACTATCAGTCAGCATTTGCTTAAGGAGTGGTTGGTATTTACTGCTTTTCAGTTCAACAACAGGCTACTTTTTAAATATAAAAATTACCACTCTGAGTTCTATCCACCATCCACTCATCTCTCAGTCACTCATTCCTGCTATGCAACGGCTCCAAGGGATATATTCTAGGAAGCCATAATTATAGTCCTTGGCTGTAAATCCATTGGATGCAGCAGTTGTCTCTGTGCTGTCTCTCTCTCACTTGCCACTCCTCAACCCATTGTAATCTGGTTTCTGCTCTCCCATGCTAATGAAACCTTCTCACCAAGGCCACAAAGAACCTGGTATTGCTAAATCCAATGGATACTTCTCAATTTCTATTTTAACCTCTTAGCAGCATGTGACATTGTTGATCACTCCCTTCTTGAAGAACGTTACTCCCTTTGCTTCTGCTATACCACTATCTTCTGCTCTTTTTCCTGTTACTCTGACCATTCTACAGTGTCTGTTGAGGGCTCTTTTGTATCTCCCCATCTTTAAATATTGATGTTCCTTCAGCTTAGGTCCTGGGCCTTTTCCTCTTCTTCCTCTACACACTCTTCCTGTGCAATCTCCTCCCTTGCATAGCTTTGATTATCTTGTATGTATTCATCTCTTCCAAAGCAATGTCTCCAATTGAAGTCACTCTCCTGACCATCAGAAATCCAGCCATCTACTGAAAAACATCTCTTGGATATCTCTCAGGCACCTACCTCAATCTCAGTATGTCCAAAACTGAAGATTGAAACCTCCGCTTCCCCCACCCGCACACTGCTTTTTGCTCCCTCAGCTCTTTTTGTATCCCATCTGCAGTGTCTGACATGGCTGTTTACCTAGTTACCCAAGAGAGAAACCCAGGCATCATCCTTGAGTTCTTCCATCTCCAGTTCATTCATATGTCCCACCAGTTCTATCCCCATGAATAGTTCTTGTTTAAATCCAGTTCTCCTCATCCGCACAGCCACATTACCATGTTACCCAGCCCCGAGCCATCCTCTTCTCTTGCCTAGATTATGAAGCAGCTTTGTAACTGGAGCACTTGCCCCGGCCTTGCCACTTCCCCTCCATTTTCCACACAGCTGTCAGAAAGACCTTAGAATGCAAATCTGGTTATGAACGTCCCTTCTGTTAAAACTCTTTAATTTCTTTCCACTTCCCTTTGTATAAACACCCATACAGTTCACGATTTAAATTAGGGGAATGATTCATAATGTGCCTAACTCTCCAATCTAATTTCTTCCAAACTTTGTCATCTAGCCAACCTAATTTCTTTTGGTTCATCAGTGTTCTCTTCACCTCTCAGCATTTGAATATGTAGTTCCTTTTGTCTGGAATACTCTTCTCCCCTCCCTCCCCTATTTGGCTTGACTAACTCTAATTATTCTTTCAGGGTCCAGGTTACATGATCCATTTTCTGAGAAGCTTTCTCTGATGTCTCAGGTCTGGAAACCCACCCCCTCCAGCACCTCCAGGGATTTCCTCCATCACTGTTTTCTGAAATGTGTGCTTTTCTCCGGGAGGCAGACCACATGGGATTTTCTCAACTTTAAAGCTCCAGCAACTACCACTGGCCCCGGCACACATCACCCTCATAGTTGTGCTGAATTTAATTAAATGTTAGGGTTGTTTTTCCTTTCTCTCTCTTTATTTATTTATTTATTTATTTATTTATTTATTTCTCTTTCTTTGTCTTTTCTTTTTTTTTTTTAGACAGGGATCTCATTCTGTTGCCCAGGCTGGAATGCAATGGTGTGATCCTGGCTTATTGCAATCTCCTCCAAAGACCAAATCTCCCAGGCTCAAATGATCCTCCCACCTCAGTCTCCCAAGTAGCTGGGACTACAGGTATGTGCCACCACCCCTGGCTAATTTTTGTATGTTTTGTGGAGATGCAGTTTCACCATGTTGCACAGGTTGGTCTTGAACTCCTGAGCTCAAGTGATCCTCCCACCTCGGCCTCCCAAAATGCTGGGATTACAGGCATAAGCCACCGTGCCCAGCCAGAGTTGTTTTCAAGTTATCTATTTCTTGTAGCAAATTAATCTGAACATTTCACTAATGAAATTATTGTATGTGTTCTTCACTCTAATTATATATTTAGACTGTAACAATATTTTAGATAATAATGTTATTTTTCTTTATTGTGGTAATTGTAATTGGCTTTTATTCTTCCAAAGTAATTACTTTTTGTTTTAAAATATTTTCTCTCTTTGATGTATCTAGATTATGTCAATATGGCTGTCTTAAATGACCACATTAGAAAAAAATTAAAAAGGAGCCAGGGCAGTGGCACACACTTGGAGTCCCAGCTACTTGGGAGGCTGAGAGGGGAGGATCACTTAAGCCCAGGAATTCAAGTCCCAGCCTGGGCAACACAGCAAGACCTCATCTTGAAAAAAGAAAAGAAGAGAAAAAAAAGAAACAGGCCAGGTGAAATTAGTTTTAACAGTATATTTTATTTAACCCAATATATCCAAATTATTATGATTTCTTTATATAATTATGTAAAAATTAATGAGAGATTTTACTTTTTTTTCTTACTAAGTCTTTGAAATCTGATGTGTAATTTACACTTTCAGTCCACCTCATCTTGGACTAATCATTTTCAAGTGCTTAGCCACACATGGCTAGTGGCTGACATATCGGACAGGGCAGCACTATACTCTTCTCAATTCTCAAGTATTCTAATCACACAGTTTTCTTCTCCATCTTTCTCCTTCTCCATCTTTCTCCTTCTCCATTTCAGAAAATGCACGCTCCCAAATCATGTGTCTCTAAGCTAAGGCCCAGCCTTTCAAAACTGAAATGCCAAACATTTGATTCCATTGTTATTTTCACTTTGCCAGGTGTTACCTGCCCTGAAGCTTTAAAGAACAATGCCCTGGATGACTTAATCTGAAAGGGCAAGGAGAGCATGGAAATGTGAGTGGGTGCATGTGAAACTGTGTTTAAAAATATTATCCAGCCACACCTATAGTAATTTCTAGAGCTTAATTTCTCCATTTACTTTCAAGAGCCCAATTTCTCCATTTACTTTATAGAGCTTAATATCTACCTTATAGCATGTAGCAATCATGTAAATAGCAAAAAATGATTTGTTTTCTTTATAGTTTTAGTTTTGAATTGTCTATGTTGAAAATCAAATGTTTGTTTTCTAAATTTTTGTATAGTCTTGAAAATATTTTTCCAGTCTGCCAGAGTTTTTAACCTCCAAATTTGCTTGGCATGTTTCACCCCAAACTGTCTAGCATGCACTGAAAAATTATAATTTTGTAAAATAAAAGATCACAGTCGCAACTGTTTGGTGACTCCTCATGGTTTGCAGTTTTATTTTTTTTTTACTCTGAAAAGCACATGTTTATTTTTAGCATTTTTCCTTTTTTAATCTCAAAAAGATAATTAAAATCAGGAGGACCACTTGTGAAAATCTCTATGTGTAGATATTGCTAATATTCTGGACCCAGGAAAAAGATGGGTTGAGGGCATTTCTCTATAGTCAATTTTTTTTTTTTTTTTTTTGAGACAGAGTCTCACTCTGTCACCCAGGCTGGATTGCAGTGGTGCCATCTCGGCTCACTGCTACCTTCACCTCCCGGGTTCAAACAATTCTCCTGCCTCAGCCTCCCAAGTAGCTGGGACTACAGGCATGCACCACCATGCCTGGCTAATTTTTTTGTATTTTTAGTAGAGATGTGGTTTCACCATGTTGGTCAGGTGGGTCTCCAACTCCTGACCTCAGGTGATCCTCCCACCTCGGCTTCCAAAGTGCTCGGATTACAGGTGTGAGCCACCGTGCCCGGCCGAGAGTCAAATGTTTTTTAATGTTTACTAGGTACTGCGTGGCAGTCAGGCCCACAGAAGATGAGGGTACAATTTGAGAGGCACATGAGGGCTACAAACGAGAGCATGTGTGAACTGTATGAATAAGTGTTTGTGATTGGTGGGTATATGGGGCACCTTTTACATTTCACTTGGCATCAACAGGTGCAGATACGTCCTGGTAATGCCTCAGATGCACCGCATATCTCACGCTGTTCTGTTACTTCTCTGTTCTTGCTGTGTGGGTGTCCTCAGAAACCCACTGAGACATTGTGACAGATGCACACACTTGAAGTGCAAAAGAATAACACTCCAGGGGGCAATCTGACCTGGGGGATGGGAGCCAGGGTATAATATGAATGTGTATTATGCATATCTCCTTCCTCTATGCTTCAGAAGGATAATTCTCAGTGGCATTTTACACAGCTCCTCAGAGCTCCTGGTTGCCTGCAGCAGTGACTATCTTGATTATGTATCCGGGGATTGGCTCTTTCCCCAAGTTCCCTCATCTGTTCCTTGGGATCCCTTCCCCAAATAAACTGAGTACAAGCAAACCTTTGTGTCAGGCTCTGCCTTTGGAGGGATCCTGTGCTCATATAATGGCACAGAGCAATGAGTGAAAGGAAAGAACCTGGTGTGTCTCCAAGATTTGGTTTAAACAGCTTGGTAGTCAGTGGACTTAGAGATGAGACATCGAGAAATAAGAGTCGCAGCAGAATATGAGAGTGGGGAGATGATGAGTTTGATTTTATGCCTGTTAAGTTGGAGAGGCCTGTGGGACAAATAGATGGATATTTAATAGGCAGTTAAAATTATGACCCTGTAACTCAAGAGAGAGGTCAAGCTCAGGGAAGATTACAAGTTATTTGCATATGGGTGGCAGATAAAGTCTTGCTTACAGGGAAGTTCACCTTGGGAGAGTGTGTATAATGAGAGGGGAGGAGCACTAAGGACAGAACACTGGGGACTAGCATTATTAAATCACACCAAGAAAGAGGAGCCCACAAAGGGATGAAAATAAACAGCAGGAGGAGAACCCTGGACAACTGGGATCCCAGAAGGCAAAGGATAGTTGTTTAAGGAGGGAATGTCCAACAGTGAAAAAATCATGGAGAGGTCAAGTAAAACATGGTGATTTTTACCTTAGAAAGTGCACATTGAGTGTTATGTACTGCAAGTGTGATCACAGTAGGGTGAGGAGTGAATGGAAAATGAGAAACGGGGCAGCAAATGTAGACTACTCTTTAAAGTGGCTTAGATGTGAGTGAAATGAGAAAGATATGGAATTACTTGAAGGGACTAAGATGTCAAGAGGGTTTTTTTTTTTTTAGTATAGAAAATATATAAAGATATTTTATGTTGAAGTCTGGGTCTAAAATAAGCAAATATTATAGAATTTCCATTCAGGAGAATGATGAAATCCCTACTGTTAGTTAGATCTATTACTATTCTATTACTTACAGGAGTTAATCTATACCTGGCAAAGCCACGTGTAAAATTTTCCCATTATGGAGTTTTTATTTTAGAATCCTAATTTAGAACACCTCTCACTGCCTCATACCAAAGCAAAATTTCATTTTTCTCTGGTTCCTGGTTAACATCTTTTCCTTCAAGTACTTGTTTATCAATAACTGATGCTCTTTGGTGGTTAGAAACTCCCTTTTTCCAGCCTTTCTGCCCTGCCTTCACTGAAGGGAGAAGACTGAAAGATCCACACGTGTATCAACTGCTCCTCTCCTGAGGGCTTCTCAGCACTTACAACTTTCTGTTTGTCACACTGTGAGCCAGTGTAGGGGCCCACATATAATAGGCACTTTTTTTTTTTTTTTTGAGACAGAGCTGGGCTCTGTTGCCCAGGCTGGAGTGCAGTGCCGTGATCTCAGCTCACTGCAACCTCTGCTTCCCAGATTCAAGCGATTTTCCTGCCTCAACCTCCCGAGTAGCTGGATTTACAAGCACATTACACCAAGCCTGGCTAATTTTTTCTTTTTTTATTAGAGACGGGGTTTCATCATGTTGGCCAGGCTGGTCTCGAACTCCTGACCTCAGGTGATCCACCCGCCTCAGCCTCCCAAAGTGCTGGGATTACAGGCGTGAGCCACTGCGCCGACCTGCACTTTAATATTTTGAATGGTTAAGTGAATGACTGTAACCAGAAGTAATTGAGAAAGTTGTAAAAGAGAAGTGTCTGCTATTACGTATAGATTCACCTCTCTGCCCAATTTATTAAATCCTGGAGATGTTTATAGGCTATTTTAGCTACAGATTTCATTCTCTTTCAATATTTCCCCAAATTGGAAAACATTAAATAGTAAGACCAAACACTCCACAACAGAGGGAAGACAAGAAGAAACTGAACTGCTGCATCATTCAACTTCATCTTTGTGACATTTTCTTGCTGACAATCACAACAAAATTTAAAGCATTCATAATTCTGATTTTAAGTTCTATTTTGCATGGTGTTAAGAAGAGTAGATTTCCAATAATCCCTGCTACTTTTCAGGGTTTTCAAAATTGGGTAATAAATATCCCAACTGTACATTTGTTAAGTAGTAAAATTATGTATGAGCTATATGAAGAAATGGCTGTAACTTGCTGTAGTGGTACCAACCAACAACTGGCTTTGTAAAAATTCTTCATATTGAAATATATTTACAAGCCAGATTTTTAAATTGATACATAATGCCTGTACATATTTATGGGGTACATGTGAAATTTTGTTACATGCATAGAATTGCAATGATCAAGTCAGGTATTTAGGGTATCCATCACCTTGAGTATTGATATGGTTTGGCTGTATCCCCATCCAAATCTCATCTTGATTTGTAGTTCCCATAATCCCTAAGTGTTGTGGGAGGGACCAGGTGGAGATAATTGAATCACAGGTGCAGTTTCTCCCATCCTGTTCTTGTGATAGTAAGTTCGTTCTCATGAGATCTGATGGCTTTTTAAGGGGCTTCTCCCTTCGCTGGGCACTCATTCTTCTTTTTCTGCCGCCATGTGAGAAAGGACATGTTTGCTTCTACTTCTGCCATGATTGGAAGTTTCCTGAGGCCTCCCCAGGCATGCTGAACTGTGAATCAATTAAACCTCTTTCCTTTATAAAATTACCCAGTCTTGGGTTTGTCTTTATTATCAGCATGAGAACAGACTAATATAGTATTAATAATTTCTGTGTGTTGGGAACACTTCAAGTCCTCTTTTCTAGCTTTTTTGAAATATATAATACATTGCTGTTAACTATGGTCACCCTACTCTGCTATCAGACATTAGAGTATTCCTTCTATTTATCTGTATGTTTGTACCCATTAACCAACTTCTCTTCATTCCCCCACCACACACACATACTCTTCCCCTACAAGTCAGATTGTGACTATAGAGTCTTTCTAGTCATTCTGATTTTTTGAGTGGTGAAGTGGAAGGCACTTTGGACTTAGAATAATGGGCTTGTGTTTAAGTTTAATATCTTTACTATGCAATGCACTGATACATGTGATCTTGTTTGGTGAATGAAAAAGTAACATGACAATATCAAGTGTTACCATTATTACTAAGTCTTTAAAAATGGCTGGGTATATTACCTCAGAAGTTAACAAGTATTGAAAATAACATCATCTTCTGAGTCAGACAAATGTGAATAGCATTTCTGACTCTACTCTGTACTGTAATTACTTGTCTCCTCTCAGCCTTAGTCTCTGTTCTGTAAAGTGCAGAGAAAAAATTCTTACCTAATAATGAATACCCTCTAGTGTAGTGAGGATTATATAAGATAAAGTATTCACTGGATCTGTCAAATAGTAGATGCTCAATAAATGTTAGTTTTCCTCTTAGTTTCTGCATTTATAAAATTGTGATTACATTTTACTATTTTGGTTAGTTTTTTTAAAATTTTTATTTATTTATTTATTATTATTATTTTTTTGAGATGGCATCTAGCTATGTTGCCTAGGCTGGTCTCAAGCTTGGGGGCTCAAGCAATCCTCCCACCTCAGCCTTCCAAATAGCTGGGATTACATGTGCCTACCCCCCTGCCCACCACCAAGCCCGGCAATTTTTTTAAAATTTCTTCTATTTTTTTGAGACAGGGTCTCACTTTGTTGCCCAGGCTGGAGTGCAGTGGTGCGATCACTGCTCACTGCTCACTGCAGCCTCAACCTACTGGGCTCAAGAGATCCTCCCATCTCAGCCTCCCAAGTAGCTGGGACTATAGGTGTGTACCACCGCACGTGCCCAGGCAGGTCTCGACCTCCTGGGCTTAAATGATCCTCCTGCCTTGGCCTCCCAAAGTCTTGGGATTATAGGTGTAAGCTACCATGCCTGGCCATTTTTTTTTATTAGACTTTAAAAATTACTTCAAGAAAATAATATTTTAAACTTAAAACGGTTGAAAAATTGGAATTATGATGAAGTACCTCACTGACCATCGCTATAAGCAAGAAGTATAGTTGAAAGAATATTTTACGTGGAATCAGAAAAACCTTGATTCTAGTTCTGGTCTCAACTATTATTATCTCTATCACTTTGGACAATATGTGGCAACTTACACAATATTGGGTGAGGAAACAGACTAGTCCCAATTCCTAAGCAACTTTTGGCATGAGGGTGGGAAGTAAGAAGGGGAAAAGAATGTTTAGTAACACGGTCAAATGAGAATTTATTTCCAGCTTTCATTTCAAGTGGGAAGTGACTCCTAACAACTAAAATAGGTTTAAAACCACACACATGCTTAGTCACCACAGCATGCAAGATGATAATTTTCAAAAAGGACACCATGACTCCAACTCCCACAGATTCAGTGGCAGAGATCAGCAATTTACATCCATGACTAGGATTTTGCAGCCAATAATGGGCAAAGCCTTTCATCCTAATCAGCTGATTAAAAACTTAGTCTTAAAGGAATGCATGTGAACAAGCTAATAAGCAAAGCAAACATTCTGAAATCACTCCTAAGGATCTCGAAGCAAGAAGCAGACATCTAAATGATTGAGTGGAGTGTACATGTCATGAGTCATGTAGAGAACCAAATTGGAACCTAGCTAGTTCCTTCACCCCACTAAGAACTTTATGGAGGAGAAGTCAGAGATGGTATAAAAACATAGTCCATGTCCTTTAGAATCTTGTGTACATATTCATTTACTGCATAAATCTCACAAGGTGTCATTCAGTCATTCCAATCAGTTGTTTTATTTCCTTAAAAATCTGGAGTTTAGGTGTTGTTTTAGATTTTTGAACATTAGAATTAAGATTGTAGCCTGGTAAAGAAAACACAACACCTGGTAAAGAAAAACCAGGGCTTTTGCTAACTCATATGGCATCTTTGAATACATGAGAGAAGTGAGCCACTTCCTTCAGGTAGATGCAGCCTGCACCAGGGGCATGGCATGGAGAACAGAGCACAGAATGAATTCCAGCTCTGCTCATCACCTTGACTGCATGCCCTGGGGGGTGGACACTGACTGTGTATTACTTCAATTATTTTGACCTCACTTCTTATTCCAGCCACAGCTGCAGTGATCAGCTCTATGTTGATGTCAATCAGCCTCACACAGGTGCCCCTGAATAGTAGCTCACCTACCGCTCTAGGTCTCTCACTTTTTGTTTTGGTACTTTTGTGATCCCTCCATGGTCTAATCCATGGAAACCTTCTTGGCATCCACACATGTGCAAGATTAAAATGCAGGATGTGCAGGGAGAGAAGGATGCAGGAGGGTGGAGTTAATAATGCTCTATGAGGGAACCCTTGACCAATGGGAGAGAAAGAGACCAGTAGATAAATGATAAATGCTCTGTCCCCTCCACTCCCCACCCCTGTGAGCGTTCTAAGACACATTTCCTAAGGGTGTTCAAAGGGTCCCAAACTGATTGTTTGAAGCTCTGCCTTGGAGGTACTCACCATAAGACAGACTCATACAACTATATGCAGTAGTGCCAACAATGATCCCTGACCCTGCCTGCTTCAGATTCCACCTTAAACAGACTCATTTGTCTCTGGGTGCTTTACATGTTACATAACTGCTTGACATTTCTGAGCTCCAGTGCCCTCTCTATAAAATGTATTTAAGTGTAAAGCACTAAGTAAATTTAAATCATTATTTCTCCTTTCAAATCTCACGTTCACTACCATATAAACAAATACTACCATATAAACAAATATAAAAAATGCCTTTGTAAAAGAAATAATTTATAAAGATCTCTAGACTCATGACAACAGGTAACGAGTGTTTTAGACTGAGCTGCTGATTCTAGAAAGAGCTCATTTCTAATTTATCTTTATCTAGGCAGTAAGGTTGTTAGGCTCACTGTGCTTTATCACTGCCCCACTTTTCCAGAAGTTTATGCCAAATCTGACCCCTTGATCTGCGTGGTTTTGCCTGCTTGCCTATGTCTGGTTTTAAGCACCATTCATTCTGTATGGTTCTTTAACATTTTTAGAGCTTGAGGTGCTAATCAGGTGCAAGCAGCTTTGATGTGCTTCCTTTCCTCTAACCAGCCCCCAGCTGGGGTCTCTTCTCTGTCAATACTTCTGCAGGTACTACTCTGTGACATCAAAAATAATCTATAATTAATTTATTACTCTATTGGACTTTTAACTTATTTTCAGTCTCAAAGATAGCCTTCCATTAACAGATGAAATAAAACATTGAATAAAGAACTCTTTTCTTTCTAAAGCATTATTACTTCATTTTATTTCATTATATTAAAATGCATTATGGTACAATCAGATTATTGTCATTCATTACAATTTCTTCACATATTCATTGGATGCTAAATATTTCCATTCCTGGAGTCAAGTCAGTGTCACAGAAAACTGTATCTAGCTACTTTTCATAGCACACGATTATCATATCCTTGATTTCACTGTCACATTTTTGGTACTGTGAAGTGGACAGTGGGCATTTAGGGACATGGGCTTAGGCCCAATTCTGCCATTGGCTGTGTGACCTTGGATGGCTACTTAATTTCTCTGGCCTCCAGCTTCCACTTTTATAAAATGTGACTGTAGAACTAGATACACCACATTCTCTAAAATTCTATACGTATCTCCTCTCTGCATTTGATCCTCTGCGACCTGGGTCAACTCAGCACACACTAGGGTCAAGGTATCAGTATTAGTCTGTCCTCCTTTCTTACTTTCTCTTTCTCAATTGTCCTTTGCATTTTTTAAAAACTCACACCAATAATTCACTTTGAATCTTACTATGGCGTTTTGTCCTGGGCCATAAAAACCTCTAGGTTACCAACAATGGGACACTTTGAAAAGTTGATGTTGGAGGAGTTTCCTTTAGAAAAGGCATTATAAGCATGGCGCATGTCTGTTAATGGAGTACCATTAAACATAGGGTCTTTCAGCCCATATTCAAATTTTCTGATTTCCTACAGAGCATTGGAGCAGTAGGTATGAGATAATTTTCATTTAATGACCTTCCTTCTTTGTCCATTTTTACTGTGAAAGAATGACTTTTTCCTAACGGAGCATCCAGTGAGAGCAGAGCAGATGCTGGAGGAGGGGTTGAGGGAGGCAGCTCCTTGTCTTCCCCTGGGGAGAAGCTGGTGTCTGTTAGTCATAGGATTAGAATACAGAGATGGTCGGCTTGAGGACATGTATTAAAAAGTCAGGTCAAAATGATAAATGAAGTCGGATTTTTTTTCTTACAAAATGTCTGATTTGGTGAGTTGACCTGACAACCACTGGTTCTCTGTATTAGTTTGCTAGGGCTGCTGTAACAAAGTCCCACAGACTGGGTGGCAAACAACAGAAACTTATTTCTCACAGTCTGAAGGCTGGAAATCCAAGCTCAAGGTGTCAGCAGGTTTAGTTTCTTCTGAGGCCCCTCTCCTTGGCTTGCAGATGGCCGCCTCTTTGCTGTGTCCTCACTCATACAGCCCTTTCTCTAGGTGCGTGTATCCTAGTGTCTTTGTGTTTTCTCTTCTTATAAGGACTCTAGTCAGACTGGATTAGGGACCTGCCCTAATGGCCTTGTTTTAACTTAATCACCTCTTTAAAGGCCCTGTCTCCAAATGCAGTCACATTCTGAGGTATGGGGTGTTGGGTGTTCAACATGAATTTTGGGAAATTACAATTTTATTTTTTATTTTTCTTTCAGCCTAGAGAATTTCTTTAGCATTTCTTATAGTGCAGTTCTGCTGACAACAAATTCTTTCATCTTTCATTTGTTTGAAAATGTCTTTATTTTGTTCTCCTTTTGCAAGGGTAATTTTTTTCAATGTACAATTTTGGGTTGATAGGTTATTTTTCTTTCTTGTGGCACTTTATTTATTTATTTATTTATTTATTTATTTATGACAGAGTCTCACTCTGTCACCCAGGCTGGAGTGCAATGGCATGGTCTCAGCTCACTGCAACCTCTGCCTCCTGGGTTCAAGTGATTCCCCTGCCTCAGCCTCCTGAGTAGCTGGTACTACAGGCGCATGCCACGACACCCGGCTAATTTTTGTATTTTTAGTAGAGACGGAGTTTCACTGTGTTGGCCAGGCTGGTCTTGAACTCCTGACCTCGTGATCTGCCCACCTCTCCTCCCAAAATGCTGGGATTACAGGTGTGAGCCACCATGGCTGGCCTCTTGTGGCACTTTAAAGTTTCATTTTCTGACTGCTTTTCACCATTGTTTTCACTGAGAAGTCAGTCTGAGTATGTATTATAGTTCCCCTGAATGTAATGCATCTTTTCCTTTGGCTTCTCTTAAGATTTTTCTCTTCAACTGTGTAAGGTCTTTCTTGTATTGCTATAAAGAAATACCTGAGACTGGGTAATTTATAAAGAAAAGAGGTTTAATTGGCTCAAAGTTCTGCAGGCTTTAAAGGAAGCATGGTGTTGGTATCTGCTTGGCTTCTGGAGATGCCTCAGGAAGCTTACAATCATGGCAGAAGATGAAGGGACAGCAGGCATATCACATTGCCAGAGCAGGAGCAAGATGGTGAGGGGAGGTGCCACACACTTTTAAATGACTAGATCTTGTTAGAATTCACTATTGCAAAGACAGCACATAGCCATGAGGGATCCACCCCCATGACCCAAACACCTCTCACCAGGCCCCACCTCCAGCACTGGGGATTACAATTCAACATGAGGTTTGGGCAGGGACAAATATCCAGACTATACCATCATCTTGGGTTTTCTGCATTTTGGCTATGAAATGTCTATGTATGTTTTTCATAGGGTTACATTGCATGGATTTCACTGAGCTTCTTGGAGCTGTAAAACTAAATTTGGGAAAATGTCATTCTTCTTTCCTTCAAATCTTTTTTTATGCTCTGTTTTCTTTCTCTTCTCCTTCTGGCACTCCTAGTATACATATGTTAGAGCATTAGGTATTGTTGCGCAGGTCCCCAAAACTCTATTCATTAACAATTTTTTTCTCTTGTTCTTCAGATTGGATGAGTTTTAGTCTATTTCAGCTGCTACACTCTAACAAAATACCTTAGACTAGGTAATTTATAAACAATGGAAATTTGTTGCTCCCAGTCTGGAAGCTGGGAAGTCCAAGATCAAGGCGCCAGCAGATTTGGTGTCTGGCGAGGGCCCCATTCTTCATAGATATTGCCTTCCAGCTGCATCTTCAAGCCTCTTTTATGAAGGCACAAATGTCACTGATGAAGGCAGAGCCTTCATGGCCTAATAACCTTCTGTAGGCCTCACTTCTTAATACCAGCACATTGAGGATTAGATTTCAACACATAAATTTTAGAGGGACACAAACATTTAGATCATAGCAGATGATTTCTTTTGATTTGTCTTCAAGATCACTGAGTTTTCTTATGTAATCTCTAGTTTACTGTTAAGCCATTTAATGGATATTTTATTTCAGAAAATGTAACTTTCAGTTAGAGAATTTCCATTTGGTTATTTTTTATAATTTTTATTTCTATACTGAGATTTCCCACCTGTTTACTATCTTTATCTTTTCTGTTGAGTCCTTAAACATATTTACAATGGCAATTTTTATGTCCTTCTCTGCCAATTCTAGCATTTAGGTCACCCTAGAATCCATAAATAAAGCTTCATGGGAACACAGCTCTGCTAACTTATTTATGTGTTGTCTCTGGCTGTTTTCATGTTACTCAATGAGATAATTGAGTGGTTGTGAAAGTGATCATATTACTTGCAAGCCTAAAATATTTACTGTCTGAACTTGAAAGAAAAATTTTGCCAACCTCTGCTCTAAAGAATACCCCCACACTCGAGGGTACAATCCTTCTTATTCTATGACTTTCCTACAGTCTCAGGAAGTACCCAAAGTGCCTAGTTAGCTCTCCCACTCGAGCTAGGCTGTAAATCCAAAGTCTCCCAGCACTCAGCTGTCGCTGCTACCTCCCTTCAGCAGTCAACTCTGCAGCAGCCTCTCTCTGCTGGGCTTGTGTAGTTTTGCCCTGCACATGTGCAGCCCTGCCCTCAGCCAAGGATCTGTAGGGAACTCCCACTTAGACTTCTAGGAACTCATCTTTGCAGCTCCCTCCTTACTGGTACCATGCCCTGCAAATTCCAAACTTTTTGCATCCCTGAACTTCAGTCTCTGCCTCTTCAGCTCAGGGAGACTGCTGTGCTCTGTTTGGGCTCCACTTCATGGCCTCTGTTGTTCAAAAAGTTGCCCCCAAACCTGGGACAAATGTGCTGCTCACTTCATAGGCTTCCTTTCTCTGAAGGAGCACAGTTCTATGCTGCCTTGCTTCCAACGTCCGAAAATAGCTGTCATTTATTTTGTCATTTAAAAACCTTGAATTACAGTAAGGGAAAGCATATTCATAAATGAAATGATGTAAAGACTTTAAGTCTACCTAACATCTAGTTTTTTTCTTTTTTGCTAATTGGACTATTCCTCTTTTCATTCATGTCCTTTAAGTTTGTTTATGGAAAAAAATTATGACGACCACACTCTTCTGTGGTTATAGGAACTTTCACACCCATTACAACATTATGCATTTATATTCTGACGACCTTGATGGGACACACAAAACCTGATTCTTGCAACTTTGCCATGAACTTTGTGATTTCCAGAGACTGGTAACCACTTAGCCCCACAAACTTCTAATTCTCTACACAGATTATCTCTCTTTCCTTGACTCTTATGGTTTGTAAATAAATGTCTTTTACACAACTCTGAAGCGCGTCAGATTTTATGGTACCCCATAGGGCTATAATGCCTATAGAAATGGGACCAAATTGAAATTTTGGAAATCTCTCTTGGCTTTGTAGACTAGTTGGTCGTAACTTCCCAAGTCACACTTCTGATACACCTGTGAGGGATTACTGCTTTGTGCCACACTAGATGACCTGCAAGGTTTTCTAACCATAGATAAAGCCAGTCTGTGATTCTCATGGACAAATTTTATGTGTTTGTTGGAACCAGGCATCCAGAGGTTCCTCATTTTGTCTGTGTAACAGATGTCTTTCAAGAAACCTGTCTTTCAGCCAGGCGCGGTGGCTCACGCCTGTAATCCCAGCACTTTGGGAGGCTGAGGCGGGTGGATCACCTGAGGTTGGGAGTTCGAGACCAGCCTGATCAACATGGAGAAACCCTGTCTCTACTAAAAATACAAAATTAGCCGGGCATGGTGGTGCATGCCTGTAATTCCAGCTACTTGGGAGGCTGAGGCAGGAGAATTGCTTGAACTCGGGAGGCAGAGGTTGTGGTGAGCCGAGGTCGTGCCATTGCACTTCAGCCTGGGCAACAAGAGTGTAATGTCGTCTAAAAAAAGAGAAACCTGTTATTCAATTGTGACCAGTCTTAGTTTACAGCCCTGGATTATTGCATGTAATTTCTTCTTTGCCTCTTCTCCACTACCACCTATCCTCCTATCTCTCTCTTCTTTCTATTACACACAATGAATGAGTCCCTACCTCTGTGCTGGGCATCATTCTAGAAATAAAAAGGTAAGCAATGTAGACAGAGATAGTGAATAAATACATATTAATAATGTTTTAAAACTTTAAAAATTGATATAAACTTTCATATCACAAAATGTATAAATCTTAAATATAAACTCAATGAATCACTTGAGTGAGCTTAAGTGTAAGCTCAAACAATAACTTAATAGTTTTCATAAGTGCTAGAAATCTTATCCAGGAATAATTGAAATTTTACCAATGAGCATAATATCCCAAATAAAATAAATGGGCTTTGGTTTGAATTGTCAGTTTGAAGACCATTACTCAGATATTTGAAAGTTGTTAGTTTGGGGCAAGGTCATCACACCATGGCCTGTGGGACTAGGGGCTAATAATGGTTTTTATATTTTTGAAAGGTTTAAGACAAAAACGGAAGAAGAAAAAGAAGGAGAAAGAGAAGGAACAGAGACTATATGTGGACTTCAATGCTGAAACATACTTATTATCTTGTTTCTTATAGAAAAATTTGCTAACCCTGGAGCTACAGAGTAAAAGTCAACTGGAAGCCAAGACAGTGATTTCTTTTCTTTGTTCTTTAGCCTAGTAAGCCAGATGTGTCAACAGGTTCTTTTTGACTGGCATTAACATCTTGCTCAATAATAAAAGGCCTTAAATTTTTACTAACTTATATCAGCCCCACCTAGTGAAATTAAATACAAGGAATAGTTAGCTGAAACACTGTGTACCAGAACCATTAAGTCAGGACAGTCTGAGGTTGTTGACCTCAATTTTGATATGAACTGGATTTTTTAGACACGTAGGAATAGTTATGGCTATATTTAACTATTTTCATGGCTATGGTGTATGTTTTTAAGACTTTCCCATAGATATTGTCATTATCTACTGGCTGGGGCCTTTAGAACAGATGGGAGAAGGGGAGAAAGCAGGGAATGGATACTTGGGGTTGTGATTTAGCAATTTCTAATCATATCCCTATTCTTTTTTTTTTTTTTTTTTTGAGACTAGGTCTCACTGTGTCACTCAGGCTTCAAGTGCAGTGGTACAATCCTCGCTCACTGCAACCTCCACCTCCTGAGCTCAAGTGATTCTCCCATCTCAGCCTCCCAAGTAGCTGGGATTACAGGTGCAAGTGCCACCACACCTGACTAATTTTTGTATTTTTTGTAGAGACGGGGTTTCACCATGTTGCCCAGTCTGGTCTCGAACTCCTGGATTTAAGTGATCCACCTGCCTTGGCCTCCCAAAGTGCTGGGATTACAGATGTCAGCCACTGTCCCCAGCCATACACCCTATTCTTCCTTCTCTCTCCAAATACTCTACATGCCTTTTCCTCAAGTTGACCCCAGCTCGGACTTTGCCTCAGCGCTCAATATCCTACTCTCTAGAGGGGAATTCTACCTCAAATCAGGCCCATGGGGCTAGCATTTGTCTGATAACTGGATAAGAGGCAGCATGGGAGTTTTTAGGTAGTTTTGATGTTAGATTTGTTGTTATGGTTTGGGCTGGTCTGTGTGATTGGATGGACTATGTTTAACATAGAGAGAAAGCTAGAAATAATTAAGAGAGTGTTTGAGCCATAGTAAAATGGGTGGATCTTAGGGAAAAGTTTGTCCTGAAAAGGGAGCTTGAGTGTAATTCAGGAAATTTGGACAAAAGTTACACAAATAGAACAAAGATGTCTGGGGTTAGAGATAGGTTGTCAAGAAATAAACTACCCACAGTTGCAGGCCTCAATGAGCTTCCAATAGAGTGTGGTAGATAGACAAGATAGAGATAGAGGTCAGAGATGTTGCTAAACTTCTTACATTGCACAGGACAGCCCCCTGTGCAAATAATTTTTTGGCCCCAAATGGCAATGATGCTGAGATTGAGAAACAGCATTTGGGAGGATCAGCATTCAGGAAGCCCCCTTTCTCCTCTCCTGCCAAGCAGGCTAGAATTGGATACAGTACAGAAATGGGAAGAATGGCAGTGTGACAGAAGGCTAGTCAGTGAGATGGAGCTGAGAAGGACCTGGTCATGCAGCAGGGCTACAGAGTCCATCATAATAAGGAGACCTCGGATTTTATTGCAAATCCTCCATGAGTTTTTTCATCCATCCATTTCAAATGTAGAGATTCAATCAAGTTCCTATTTTCCAGGAAGTTCCAGGCAGTTTAACTACAAATAAGGGGAAGTCTTAGGTAAAGCACTGCAATAACGCTTTCCTTACTTGCTTGTAGATTCTATAGCAGAAAAGCACCTCATACAGTTTTATGTATAAATTAACCAGCCTAAATATTGTCTACTAACTTTCTTGCGTCTTTGAGACTTTTCAAATACTGCACTTGTCAGTTTGATCTCTCTCACATGTGCCATAGTATCTTGCTGAGCTCACTCTCTTCCCTATAGATAAAAATGACTGAGTCATTTTTGATGGTCCATATGGTTAATTATTTCATAATTGATTATTTAAATTGGATTAATTAATTCATTAATTAACAATTAGTTGGTTAATATGTCACAAATGCCCAGAATCATGCATCTTTATTGGAATTTCCATAAGTTTTTCTAGACTAAATAGGACCAAAAATGTAAAGAAGAAATGTTTTGTTTTGTTTTTTTTGGTTTTGTTTTGAGATGGAGTCTTCCTCTGTCATCCAGGCTGGAGTGCAATGGTATAATCTTGGCTCACTTCAACCTCTGCCTCCTGGGTTCAAGTGATTCTCGTGTCTCAGCCACCCGAGTAGCTGGGATTACAGGCACGTGCCACCATGCCCGGCTAATTTTTGTATTTTTAATAGAGACGGGGTTTTGCCTTGTTGACCAGGCTGGTCTCGAACTCCTGACCTCAAGTCATCTGCCGGCCTTGGCCTCCCAAACTGTTGGGATTACAAGCATAAGGCACTGTGACCAGCCAGAAAGAAATGTTTTTTTTTTTTGCTACAATTGTCAGGAGGTTACATTGAATCAGCTTTTGAACATAAGTTTTCTGACCTATTAAACTGGCATTTAATAAATGGAATAGTTTATTCACTTTTCCAATATTGTTGCAATTCAGACCCAAGGTTGAAGATCCTAATTGCTTCAGTAAAGAAAATATAAAGGAAAGAAAGATATAACCTCCTTTATTTTGCCAATGGTACATTTGTAAACTAGCCAAAAAATAGTAATTTGGTTAAAATATAAAAAAGTACGTATGAAGGCTCTGTAAATAAATAGACATGACTAACTAAGAATGCCACAGAAATGTCAATTGATGTGTTCCCTCTTTCTTTCACTTTGACCCAGGGGTTGCAAACAAGCCAATGATTCTCAGCCCTGGCTGCATTTTAGTGAAACTTTCTCTGACAAATCTTTCTTACTTGGCTGGAAACTCTGTGCCAGGAGTTGTTTCTTTCTTTTTTCTTTTTTGATGAATTTAAACTCATTTTGTGGGCCTTTAAGTAGGTATCCAATGTTGGGATAGGTGGATGGATGAATGGATGCGGGAATGGAATAAACAATTTTAAGTTGTTCTGTCCTTTATTTGATTTGTTTACTGATTTGAAGAACAAAGCATGATCCCTTCTCGTTAGCTGGGCAATCTGCCCACATTTTAACTGGCTGACACAGTTCTTCCAATAACTTCTTGGTACCCTGTGGAGCTCACTCAGCCTCTGTTCTCCCTAAATCAAATTTTATCTTTAGGCCTGAAAGTGAGTGTAACAGGATTATTCTCCACGCTGTGTTTTTTGTGTTCTTTGCATACTTAATAGCTTATGATTTTAGGTTTCAGAAAATGGAATTGGTTTATTTCTTAGTTGAATCAAATCCTAAAGTCAACACCACAATACTCAACAGGATGCAACTCAATTTAATTTAATTCGTGTTTTTTTTTTTTTTTTTGAGACAGAGTCTTGCTCTGTTGCCCAGGCTGGAGTACAGTGGCACGATCTCAGCTCACTGCAACCTCTGCTTCCCCGGTTCAAGCGATTCTCCTGCCTCGGCCTCCTGAGTAGCTGGCACGTGCCACCACACCCAGCTAATTTTTGTGTTTTTAGTAGAGACAGGGTTTCACCATGTTGGTCAGGCTGATCTCGAACTCCTGGCCTCGTGATCTGCCCACCTTGGCTTCCCAATGTGCTGGGATTACAGGCGTCAGCCACCGCACCTGGCCTTTATTTTTTAAAAATAGAGACAGGGTCTCACTATGTTGCCCAGGCTGGTCTTGAACTCCTGGGCTCAAGCAATCCTCCTGCCTCAACCTGCCAAAGCATTCAGATTACAGGGGTGAGCCACACACCTGGCCACAACTGAATTTTAAATGCTGCTACATGAATCCAGATACCATTTTTTGTTGTCAGTTTACGTGATAGGATTATTTAAATGCTTTGGCATTTTCTTTTTCTTTCTTTCTTTCTTTCTTTTTTTTTTTACTAGTGATTTTACTCTAGAGTAAGATTCTGTTAATATCTAACCTGTAGCTCTGTCCTTTTTCCGCCATTTGACAGATGGGCTGGTTTTTATCCTCTTTCTTTCATTTGGATCCTTATCTCTTAGCCTTTATTGCTGGAACTAGGGCAAATGTTTCCAAATGATGTAAATATATGAAAGGAAACACAGTGTTAACAATATAAAAGCAGTGACCAGACCTAATGTTGACCATATAGCAGATCTCCTGTCTTCTATTTAACAAATATAACCAAGGGAAAATATGGCTCATGACATCTACTGTGTCAAACAAGAGAGAGGAGACAGTCTGGTTATTACATTAACTGTTACCATCTGCTTCACAGGGTAAACAAAAGCACTAATATTTAGAAGTAAATTGAGAAGAAAATGCCGACTTTCACCAGGCAGGGAGTTCTTGTTACTAGACAAAAAAGTCAGGGGAAAGACAGCAGCTAGGAGAGTGGGGAATGTGCGAGAGGTGGAGCACAGGAAACAGAGAAAATGATGCCTCTTCTTTCTTTTTGGAGCATGAAGCATTAGGCTACAGTGAAGGTGTAGAATGACACATCGATTTTTTTTGTGGGCTTATGAATGCCTGGCATTCATTCATTCATTTTTCTGCAAATGTTCATTGAGCACTCACCATCAGGCAAGTACTGTTCTAGGTGCTTAGGATACATCACTGACTATAACAAACAAGCATGCCTGCCCTTGTGGAGCTTACATTTTAGCAAGGGGAGGCACACAACATGCACAATAAATAACTATATAGAAAGTCAGAAGTTGATAAACATTATGAAAAAGACAGATTAGAGCAGGGGATCAGGGTGTGAGGTTAGGTGCATGGTCAGAATATTATATTAAAGAAGGTGGCCAGGGTGTTTAGGTCTCTTTGAGAAGGAGGGATTAAGCAAGGATTTGAAGGAGGTAAGGAAATTCAGCCATTCCAGGCAGAGGGAACAGCTGATACAAAGGCCTCAGGCAGGGAGGGAAGCTAGAGTGGTCAAAGAACAGTAAGGAGGCTAGTATGGCTGGAGTGGAGTGAGAGAAGGGGGAGTAACAGGAGAGGAGGCAGATCTAAGAATTGCATGAGGTTCTATGTATTCCCTCTCTGTCTCCTATTCCATCGTAACCTTCTCCCCCACATAAAGATGTGCTTCAACTTTTCTGGATAAAAAGGGACAGATTTAGTTGTCAGAGCCCTTTACCTTTGCCCATCTTGTCTTAGCACTGGCGATGTTGCTTTGACACATCTTGGAGGAGTTTCTCCCCTTAGGCTGCTAAGCTATCTACAGTCAGCACAGGGATTTCTTTAGATCCCATTGTCTACCTGCTCTGTGCCTCTGCATGCCTAAAATTCTGTGTTAGGAATGTGACTGATCGGAGCCCTGGAGATGAGGAATCTGCTGAGTTGTCTTTCTGGATGGATTTTTATATTATTTTCCCATAAGAGGCATGGATTTTATTTATTAATTTTTAAAATAGTTTTTGCACATTAAAGTAACACATACTTAAAAAAATTCAAACAGTACCAAAGTTATTAAATGAAAGTTGTCTCTTTACTCTAGAAGAAAATTTTTCTTTGTTTTTTCTTTTTCCATTAGAATACATTTTTTAAAAAAATTTTTTATTTCAATAGGTTTTTGAGGAACAAGTGGTGTTTGTTTACATGGACAAGTTCTTTAGTGGTGATTTCCGAGATTTTGGTACACCTATCACCCAAGCAGCGTACACCGTACGTGATGTGTAGTTTTTTGTCCCTCACCCTCCTTCTGTCTTTTCCCCCCGAGTCCCCAAAGTCCATTGTATCATTCTTATGCCTTTGCGTCCTCATAGCTTGAGCTCCCACTTATAAGTGAGAACAAATGATATTTGGTTTTCCATTCCTGAGTTACTTCACTCAGAATAATGGTCTCCAATTCCATCCAGGTTGCTGCGAATGCCATTATTTCATTCCTTTTTATGGCTGAGTAGTATTTCATGGTATATATATGTATTTATATATATATATATGTATACCATATTTTCTTTATCCACTCATTGATTTATGGGCATTTGGGCTGGTTCCATATTTTTGCAATTGCGAATTGTACCGCTATAAACATGCATGTACCAGTATGTTTTTCGTATAATGACTTCTTTTCCTCCAGGTAGATACCCAGTAGTGGGATTGCTGGATCAAATAATAGTTCTACTTTTAGTTCTTTAAGGAATCTCCATGCTGTTTTCCATAGTGGTTGTGCTAGTTTACATTCCCACCAGCAGTGCAGAAGTATTTCGTTTTCACCACATCCCCGCCAACATCTACTATTTTTTGACCATGGTCATTCTTGCAGGAATAAAGTGGTATCACATTGTGGTTTTGATTTGCATTTCCCTGATAATTAGCAATGTTGAGCATTTTTTTCATATGTTTCTTGGCCATTTGTATATCTTCTTTTGAGAATTGTCTATTCGTGTCTTTAGCCCACTTTTGATGGGATTGTTTGTTTTTTTCTTGCTGATTTGTTTGAGATCCTTGTAGATTCTTTATATTAGTCCTGTATATTAGTCCTTTGTCAGATGTGTAGTTCGTGAAGATTTTCTCCCACTCTGTGGGTTGTCCGTTTACTCTGATGATTATTTCTTTTGCTGTGCAGAAGCTTTTTAGTTTAATTAAGTCCCATCTATTTATCTTTGTTTTTGTTGCATTTGCTTTTGGGTTCTTGGTCATGAAGTCTTTGCCTAAGCCAATGTCTGCAAGGGTTTTTCTGACGTTACTTTCTCGAAGAAAATTTCTTATGTAGTCTTCCCCAAACTTTCAATTATGTGTACATATATTTATTTACATGAAAAAGATCATACTATATGATGTTTGCAACTTATTTTTAAAGTTATTTCTTTCTCAGCACATGTACATATACCATGTTCATTTTAATTGGCACATGGAATAAAACACAACATAGATAAATCATAATCATTAGAGAAATACAAATTAAAACCACAGCATGATAGCCCTGCATACCTATTAGATGCATTATGAACAATGCTGCTATGAATGTGGATATACAAATCTGTCTTTGAGACTCTGCTTTTAGTTCTTTTGGGTAAATATCCAGAAGTAGAATTGCTGGATAATATAGTAATTCTATTTGTGATTTTTTGAGAAACAACCATAATGTTTTCCATAGTAATTGCACAGTTTTTTTTATTACCTTCAACAGTACACAAGGGAGTTTTAAACTTTTTTATTATTTTGTTTTATTTTATTTTTTTGAGACTTTTTTTTTGACAGAGTCTCACTCTGTCACTCTGGCTGGAGTGTAGTGGTGACAGCCGGACTCACTGCAGCCTTGACTTGACTTCCTGGGCTCAGGTGATCCTCCTGCCTCAGCGTCCTGAGTAGCTGGGACTACAGATGCATGCCACCACACCCACAGCTAGTTTTTGTATTTTTTGTAGAGATGGGATTTCACCATGTTGCCCAGGCTGGTTTTGAACTCCTGAGCTCAAGCAATCCACTCGCCTCAGCCTCCCAAAGTGTAGGGGTTACAGGTGTTATCCACCATACCTGGCCTTTTTTTAAATATTTTTGATACAAACTTTTATGAACACCTATTGGATCATTAGATACTACAAGATATAAAACTTAATTTATATAACTTAGTATAAATTTACTATATATTATATTCCTGGAAAGAAACCTTGTATTGATTAAAAATAAATAGAATTTAAATATGTACTAAAATTTTTTTCCTATAAATATGGCATCTAGAAGGCCAAGTTGTGCAATGTTCAGGAAAAAAACATCCATACTGAAATGAATCAAAATTATGTGGGGCAGTTACGAGTTTGGCTGGAAAACACAGTACTTAAACCACTGAACATGATTACGTGTCTAATGTTGACATTATTAGAATAGAACAATTACCAAATTCAGAGTTAACTAAAGAATCTGTTTTGAATTGTGAAGACAAAAGTGAAGAAAGGGAAATGTTAGACATTTCAAAAGCTTGAAATAAGTATGTGAGCAAGCTGGCGCAGTGGCTCATGCCTGTAATCCCAGCACTTTGGGAGTCGGAGGCGGGTGGGTCACTTGACGTCAGGAGTTCGAGACCAGCATGGCCAATGTGGTGAAACCCCTCTCTACTAAAAATACAAAAATTAGCTGGTGTGGTGGCACACACCTGTAGTCCCAGCTACTCGGGAGGCTGAGGTGGGCGAATCACTTGCACCCTGGAGATGGAGGTTGCAGTGAGCTGAGAACACACCACTGCACTCCAGCCTGGGCGACAGAGCAAGAATGTCTCAATTAAAAAAAAGGAAGCAAAATACCTTGATTTTTATTATATACCAGATGTAGCCGATTGTGAACAAGTATGTAACATTATTAAGTATGTTCACATTAAGAATGATGTTATATCAACAGAAAAAAGTTATACTGACTTTATTGAAATGTGAAAGAAAAAACTAGATATGATCTACCTCGTGAAATTATTAATGAATTGGAAACAGATAATATTGACATAAAAATGCTAATTGCCTGGGAAATGATAATAGAGCAAATATGGCTTGTGTATACAAAGATGTGTGGCCATTATTTCCACCAAAAATGATTATGTCAAACATGTGAAGTACTCAGCTCATAGTCTTAGTTTAATACATGAAAACATTGCTTCTGTGAATAGAAATATGATAACCATTTTTAGTATTGTACAGAGGATATATACATTTTTTGGAGAATTCAATAGACAGATGTAATATTATATGTCTGTTCTAAGAATTACATCGTGGATACCTGATGGGCATCAAGATTAAATGGAATCAAGACATTTTGTATGCAAATTAAAGACACTTATCAAATATTAAAAGATGTAATATCAAATGACAGAATACATGATTCTATAATTGAAAGTATCTTGGTGCAATAGATTATACATTTTAATGAAACATCTGTATGGAATAATGTTTTAAGCTAGTGGAAAAAATTAATAAAGCTCTATTTTTTAAAAAAAATTATATAAAGTTATATGCTTAATAGAAGACCTATCTCTTTGCTTATAATAAATAAGAAAAAATACTTTGAAAAAATATTTGATTAATAAAAAGGTCTTAGCAAGAGATGAATATACCTCCAAAATTTGTAAATGAATGAAAAAGAAAAAATTTAAAAATTGGCAATCTGTAAATCACTGCATGGAGATATTATTACGGGAAAAGTGCACGTCAAACAAAATTCTGGAGACTATAGCTATCTTAATTTCACATTTAAATGAAAATGTGAAAAAGCAGGTAAAGCATCTTAATATTTTGATTTTTTTTTTTTTTTTGAGACAGGGTCTCACTCTGTTGCTCAGGCTGGAGTGCACGATTTTGGCTCACTGCAGCCTCTGCCTCCTGGGTTCAAGTGATTCTCCCACCTCAGCCTCCTTAGTTAGCTGGGATTACAGGCCTGTGCCACCATGCCTAACTAATTTTTGTATTTTTTGGTAGAGACAGGGTTTCACCACATTGGCCAGGCTGGAACATTTTGAATTTGTAACAAAAAAAAAGTTATTTTCTATGATTACATTTGATGTACAAAAGGCAGTCACCCACTTGACTCTTAAACATTCTGACAACTTAAGGTCTGTAGAAATTTCATCCAAAATAGTTTTAAGCAGTGTACAATTTCAATGATTTGTAATATAAAATCAGTATAAGGTTCAGATTTTCTGAAACGGACGCAAGTATTTTACTTGGTGCAATCTTATCCAAATTTGGAAGTGGCCTTGAGAATTTTTTTTAACAGCAATCACAGTGGTGCCCCATAAAATAATGTAAGATAAGCAAAAAAGTAGATTTTGAAAATATTATGGATGAGTTTGCTTCCATTAAATCCAGGAAAGTAAGATTATAATGAATTGTTTTGTTGTAAATAAAATCTTTACACTGAACATAGTATTGTGGGTTTTAATAATAGGTATTTTTAAAATTTTTCAATATTTTTATTATTTTAGTGTTTAAATATCCACAAAATACATAAAAAACATATATAGAGGGGTGCAATTTTTGTTTTCTGTTTTTCTGCTTCGGGCTCCAATATGGCTCAGCGTGGCATCTCAATGGATTACAGTAATAAAAAGGAACGAACTCCTGAAGCATGCCACAGCATTGATAAATCTCAAATGCATTGTGTGAAGTACGAGAAGCCGACTCAAAAGGCAGCACTCTATATGATTCCATTTGACCTTCCAGAGTAGGAATAATGATAGGAATGACCTTCTAGAGTAGGAATAATGATAGGAACAGAATACAGATGTTTGGTTACCAGGGACTGGGGCAGGGGTTGTGGGAGTGGTACAGAAAGGATTGGCTACTTAGAGGAAGGGGAGGATTTTTGAGATAGATAGAACTGTTCGATATCTTGATTGTGATTGTGGTTACACAATTGTATGTTTTTGGAAAACCTCATAGGATTCTACATTAAGAAGAATCAGTATTTCTATTTCTCTGTAGGTACCGTCGTGAGCCTTAGATAATTTTATAGCAGGGTAGCATACACAAATTTTTGTTTGGAGAAGATTGCTTTGGCTATGTAAGAAACACAAATTGAGTCTAGGATAATAGCCCTTGTACAAATTGTTGACTCTCTGAAGTTCTCTTTTGTCCTTGGTTATTTTGGAGTTCTCCAATTTGCTCTACATTTATGGCCTATTATTTAGCTAACATCTTGTTTGTTTGGGGGGCCTAAATGTTCCTTGCAAGTAATAGGCCCAGGATGTTAACTGGTTTCTCCAGAATTGCCTAACTCCACTTGAGGCTGAGAGTTCAAGAGTCTCTTGAAAACACATGTTTTCTCAAGGTTGGGCTTAATCACCTTTTAATAAAATCTTGGCTTGGAGACAACCATGTTCAGGGTGCATGTCAGAGCAAAGGTTTCTAGTCTTTGGAGGTTTTCACCCACACCTCAATTATATTCTTCATTATCCTCTTGGCAAGCTGGCTAGATTTCTAAATCACATGGAGTTCCCCTAAGAGTTTGTATATCCTGAGATGTACACTTGGGAAGTGACTAACTTCCAAAAGTGACACTTCCCAAGTGACTGACAATAGTAAGCTTTTATTATTTTATGTTTCCATAGTCCATTTCACATATACATTATAGCTATCCTTTTATAAAGGATTTTGAAAGTTTAGAGTTGTAAGAAGCTTTAGCATCTTGCTACTCAAAATGTGGTCCACCAGTCAGCATCTGTATCACCTGAAAGCTTGGGAGAGACGCAGAATCTCTGGCCCGACACCAGGCCTACTAAGTCAGAATGCATATTAAAAACTCCCCGCCCCCAACCGATAATCTGCAGGCACATGAAAATTTGAGAAGCACTGATGTAGTTATTGTCTGACTTAATCACTTACCTGGGGCTTGCACAGCAACCCTGCAGAGCTCTCCCACAGCAACCCCGCAGAGTTGAAGTATGGTTAGTTTATTGTATTTTTGTACCTTACAATACTATATTATACAGTATTTGTATAATACAGTGCTTGTACAGTATAACATGAATATTGAAAAGATAATACATGGAACCTTTTGGTTATCATATTTATCATATAAATAAATGTGTTTAGCTGAAATTTGATAAGCACACAAAACATTCCTAGGGAACTGTTAAATATCATTTGCATTGCAAAGCTGAGAAAAGTATCTGCTTAGATATTTTCAGGCAGAGGATCATCTCAGAGTAACAAACAAGAGCAAAGATGTTTTGTGCAGCTGCTTTACCTTCTACCCTTGTGATATCCTGCAGCAAGGATGCCCCTGAGAGGGCAAATACTAATATTAAATCATACTGGTCAGTGATATTTTGGGGATGAATCCTGGGACTAACTCAGCATTCAAATGTACATAGTGTTTAGAATTTAGGAAGAATTTTTGATGTCTTCATGCTGAGTGACTAATTTATAAAAATGGTTTAAATTAGTCAAATTTAAGCAACATACTTATCTGATATTATCCCCGATTCTTAAAGTTTCAGGATTTCTTTTTTCATTTCTGCCTGCATTCATTTAGTTGTTTATATGATTCCCCTAAACTTTCTGCCAAATTGTATATTTACATTGAAGTCATCTTTCTAACCACAGTTCTTCAATTCCCTATTTAAACCATTGGGTTTAGAGGTGTTTGAGAATTCAGAACTTTTCAAAGTTAGAAGATCCTATTTATTATGTAATATCCCAAGTAGGGTCTGGGGCAGTACTCTTTAATCAAACATGAATATTTCTGCAACATATAAACAATTTACACTAAATCATATGAACGAAGACTTCAAATAGCCTCTCCTTGGGTCACATCAGGTTTTTGTCACAAAATCAGTTACATAAACTTTTCTGTTTTCATAGTTTTCTTTATTTTGTTTTTATATTTTGCAATTGTGGATTTAAAAAGATGGACCTGTGTACAATAACAATATGAGAAGAAATTTTAGAAGTTCTTTAGTTTACCTTTTTTCTCAAAGTAGTAGTAAGGACAGCAAAAATTAATGTGAATGGGTATTTATCCAAAACTAAAATTTTTCAGTATTCCATAACTTTCTCAATATTTAACAAATAATACAGTCATAATATCATGTGAGGCTGAGGCTATCCTTATATCTGCTCATGCCAATTCTCATCCCCTTTCTTTCTAAAAAATAAAGGCTAAACTAAAAATATTTGCTTCACCACAGTGTTGTGCAGCTGGAGGGGCCGTATGATTCAGGAGTATGATCCCATGAGATAGAAATAGAGGGTTTCTGTGAAAGCTTTTGGTTTCCTAACACAGGTCTCTCCCCTTCCCAACTCCCGCTTTCTTCTTCTCCCTGTCTTGAATACAGATGTAATACCTGGAGATGCAGCAGCTATCTTGCAACAAAGAAGTAATAAGCATTAAGACAAAAGCCTCACTCTAAGGGTGGTGGAGGTAAAAAAACAGAAACAGCAGCCTGTTGAACCTCCTTGGACTGCCCCAGACTTCTTGTTTCGTGGGGCAAACTTACTGTTTAAGCCACTGTTTTTGAGTTTCTGTTATTTGTAGCTAAACATATTCCTAAATGCTATAGTATGTCACTACCTTTTTTTTCTCATTTATTTAAATTTATTTATTTATAGACAGGGTCTCACTTTGTTGCCCAGGCTAGATTGCAGTGCACAGTCATAGCTCACTGTAGCCTCGACCTGCTGGGCTCAAGGGATCCTCCTGCCTCTGCCTCCCAAGTAGCTGGGACTACAGGAGCATGCCACCACACCCACCCAGCTAATTTTTTAAATTTTCAGTAGTGTTCCAAACTTGTGTGAGAGTGTAACCACCCAATAGTTTCTTCCTGCCCACTGCACAGACAAAATCAATCCACCAAGGCCAAGTCATTGCAATAAAATTTAATTGACACGAGGCCAGCCATGCCACGTGGGAGATGGAGTTATTACTCAAATCAATCTCCCTGAAAATTTGGAGGCTAGAGTTTTTCAAGGGTGGTTTGGGGAGCCAGGGAGTCTGCTTCTGGGTAGGGCCACAGGACTGGCTAGTGGGGTTTGGCAGGCCTGGGTGGAGACGTTGGTTCATTGGTCGTCAGAAATGCAGAAACCTGAAAAGACATCTCAAAAGGCCAATCTTAGGTTCTATAATAGTGATGTTATCGGCGGGAGTAATTAGGGGAGTTGCAATTTTTGAGACCTCCAGACTAATGGCTGGTAATCGTTTAAGTCTACACCTTAGCAGAATTCAGGCTCCTCTCATCCTAATAACCTGGTGGATGGATTAGCTTTCCTTAGCTTTACAAAGTGGTATAATTTTGGGGAAGCACTATTACCATTTAAACTCTAAACTAAATGTCTCCCAAAGTTATCTTGGCATAAGCCCAGGAATAATTAAGGCCAGTTTGGAGGTTAAAGGCTAGATGGGGGTTGGTTAGTTCAGATCTCATTCACTGTAATAATTTCCTGATTGTTATAATTTTTGCAAAAGTGATCTCAAGAGAAGAAAACTATGTATATGCATATGCATTTTTGTGTATATGAGTAAATATTTCTGTAGAGATGAACAAAAAGGTGATACCTAGCCTGGGCAGCAAAGTGAGACTCTGTCCAAATAAAAAAGTTAAAAATTAGCTGGTTGTGGTAGTGTGTACCTGCAGTCCCTGCTACTCAGGAGGCTGAGGCAATAGGATGGCTTGAGCCCAGGAGTGTGAGGCTGCAGTGAGCTATGATTGCACCGCTGCACTCCAGCCTGGGCAACAGGGAGAAACCCCATCTAAAAAAAAAAAAAGAAAGGTAGTATCATTGGTTGCCTTTGGGTAGAGAAAACAGGTGGCTGAGGATCAGAGCCAGGAGTGAGGCATGGCTTTTGTACATTTTAAATGTATTTTTAAAAATTAAATATATGTATCTTACTGTATGATTTAAATTATATACATTTCAAGAACAGACAAAATGAATTACGGTGATTGAGGTCAGAATACTATTAACTCTATGGGGAGATATTTACTGGAAAGTGGCATGAGGCGGTCTTCTCCAGCTAAGAGATCAGAGATATCCTCTATCTTGAATTAGATGGTGGTAACATAGGTACATGTATATGGAAAAAAAACATCAACTCCATACTACTATTTGTGCACTTGATGTACCTCAGTACAGTTTTAGAGCATATACTTTGAATAATAAGAAAGAAAATTAAGATAATTATTAATATTCTGTGGGCTTCTTGTTCACTATCATCTTAGTTCAAATTTCAACAATTTCCCTAATTTAAAGTTTTTTTAAAAGAGTTTTCATGTGAGAATGTGTATGTATACATATGAATGTCAATGCAGAGGAGATTTGTGGCCAATCTGTGGGTTATTTCCTATATAAAATAACCCTTCATTGACCTCACTTCATTGTCCAGTTATCACCCCAGTTTTTTACAGTCACGCTTTTTCAGCACTGCTGTGTGTAGGTGGGTATATGTGCCTAAACTCAGGACTAGTATACACCCAGGTATGAATAGATCAAGTCACATACTTAAGGATTTGATGTTGGAGTTTGCTTCTATAGCAAATGAATTTCTAAATATTAGCTCAGTGCAGCTTTGATGAGTGCACGATGAATCAGCAAAAGCTTAAATAAGGGAGTGTGCACCAATGACAAATTCCCTTTGCAAGGGAACTTTGATCTCTACTGGATGACTACCTGCTTCTGCTGTGCACTCGCTCTCTCCCTCTTTGCTTCTAGCATAACAAATACGTTCCCCTGCATTGAACGTGTTTTCCTAACAACAGTGGCGAGATGTGACAAGGAAACTTGTTTGGAGCAACGTCTGAGTCACAATAGAATTAGTATCAGGTACAAATGACCACAAAGTACAGGTGCTGAGTCACAGTGATTTGGGATTCTCTAGTAAAAAGGACATGTGGAGAACTTAACTTTTATTTCCTCTCTTTTGCTGGTGTAAGTTTGGAGGTATCGTCACACAATCACCTTTCATTCACTAACGCTCACATTTTAGGTGCTTTTCCTTCTTACATAATAAAATAGCAAAGCACATAGGCCTGGGGTCCCTGGGGAAAGCCAAGTCTGCCTGGCTGCCTTGAGAACTCTGGACTGGATTTGACATGGAGGAGTTGGGGATTGTTGCTCAGGGATCAGAACAGTGAAACTCAGGTTAATGAGTAAAGAGTGAGAATATGTGTTTGTATGTTTCTTAATCCCATCTACTAGGTGATTACAAAACTCATTCAAAGTTGAACACAGTAGAGGTATTTCAAGTTGCTTTAGAGAGAGAATTACACACACACAAAAAATCTTTAGGAGCCAGACAACCACTGTGGACACCAATAAGAGAGCTCCAACATTGGTGAGGTATAGACCCGTCAAAGTTGTTGGTAATAACAGCAAGGTCCATCTGGCAAGATTGGTCACCTGTGGTGGAAGTGGTGGTGACAGCAGGGATGCAACTGCAGCAATCAATGATGATGATCTCACTAGGGTGGGGAGGTGTTAAAGGCATCTTCACAGCAGCACAGTGCCCAGAATGCCAAAGAGCAGCAGGATGGATCCAGCATCCTCTCCTGATAAAAGAGGGCTAGAAGACGGGAGGCTCCGGGAAGTCTACTGGGTGAGTATTAGTCCACTCTCACATTGCTATCAAGAAATACCTGATACTGGGTAATTTATAGAGAAAAAAGGTTTAATTGACTCACGGTTCTGCAAGCTGTCCAGGAAGCATAGCGGCTTCTGACTCTGGGGTGGCCTCAGGAAGCTTCCAATCATGGAAGAAGGCAAAGTAGGGGCAGGTATCTCACATGGCAGTAGCAGGAGGAAGAGAGCGAGGGGGAGGTGCCACACACTCTTTAACTACCAGATCTGACAGATAACTCATTGTTCCAAGGGCAGGACAAAGGGGATGCTGCTAAACCATTCATGAGAAATCTGCCCGCATGATCCAATCACCTCCCACCAGGCTCCACCTCCAACACCGGATATTACAATTCAACACAAAATTTGGACAGGAACACAGATCCAAACTATATCAGGGTGGAGCCCTACATCTAATGTTTCTTGCCCTTGCTCTTGGTAGCTAGTGTCTCATTGGACTCTAGTGTCTGCTTGTTCTATTGGATCAGGAGCTCCTTGAGGGGAGGAGCCATATTAAATTCATCTCTGTACCCCTAGTGTTTAGCAGTGTTTTATTGAGTTAGTAAATAAATCCATCTCTATTCTTTATCAAAACTCTGAGCTGTGATGAAAAAGTCACTGTCTCCACCTGTGCTTTGGATCTGTCAGTAGGGCCTTTGCTTCTACAGTAACATCATCCTACACAGAGTAAACACCTACTGAGTGCTGATTATGCCTGCTGTGGTTACTACAATCTCTTAAGTTTGCCTTTAAGCTTTGTATGTAAAATTTTTAATTGCTTTGCTATTTTAATCTGATCACATTCCCCTGGTTCCTCCCTTTTAACTTTAAGCATATGCAATGTGCCCGTTTGCACAACAGTCTGAAGTTTTATTTCTATGATTCCTCCTTTTCTGCACAAATGTTCATGTTTCTCATACTTCCTATTACTTCTGAACATTTTCCTAATGACAGAAGTCATAGAAGCACTCCTTAAAAGTTGATTTTTTGTTTGTTTGTTTGTTTGTTTGTTTTGAGACATTCTGCCACCCAGGTTGGAGTGCAGTGGCATGATCATGGCTCACTGCAGCCTCGACCTCCTGGGCTCAGGTGATCCTCCCACCGAAGCCTCCTGAGTAGCCGGGACTACAGGCACCTGCCACCACACCCAGCTATTTTTTGTATTTTTTGTAGAGATGAGGTTTCACTATGTTGCCAAGGCTGGTCTAGAGCTTCTGGGCTCAAGCAATCTGCCCACCTCAGCCTCCCAAAATGTTAGAATTATAAGCAAGAGCCACTGTACCCAGCCGAGAGCTGATTTTATATTAATATCTACAGCTCTGGTTAGACACAGTCTCAGGGAATTTGTGGCCAGTCTGTAGTGTTGTCTCCTTACTTAAAAAATACTCCTTCCTTGACCTCACTTCAGTGTCTAATTATAATTTCATTTTCTACATCTATCCATGAAAAAAATGTATAGAGTGGGGGGAAATCTACCTTTCCACCTCCATTTCCTCATCATCCACTTCCACCTGAACTTGCTGCCACCTGACTTCAGCTTCACCACCTGTGAACACATCACTTTCTCTAAAGCCTCCCACGCTTTCCTTCTGACCTTGAGCCAGTGGGCTGTTTTCATACTTCTCTTTCATAGTTACTTAGTTGCGTTAACATTGTCAAAAAGTAAAACAAAACTCCCAAGCCTAAAGCCTCCCCTGCTTTGAGACAGTCTCCCCATCCTGACACCTGTGACCCTGAGTTCATCTGCATTATTCCAACCCATCTGGTGAATGAGTTAATGCTGATTTTTGATCATCCAACATGGTGTCAGCCTCCTTCAGCCTTCCAAGGTGAGCCTATGAATTTCCTCCCTTCTAAGTCCACATACGTTTGTTTCCTCCCACTCTGCATCTTTACCCCATTCATGGCACTCTTAACTCCACATAGCCCCTTAGTTTTCTAAACCCATTTAAAACCTTACACCATCAAGGAGAAGCATAGCTTCTTAAACTTTCCCTACTGTAATGGCTTCTCAGGGTTTGTGTGAACAGTGGGGGTTTTTAATTTTTTGGTATAATACTAATTTATCAACACATGTATACTTCTTGGTGAATATGCTTAAGGTTATTTTTTTCATGAGTGTATATTGCTCCCCGAGATCCTTTCTTGCATTTGGGTTTTTTCCAAAATGCTTAATATGGTCCTCCATATGCAGAGGACACTAGCTAAATATTGGTTAAAGTGGGTAACAATTAAAAATGTAATACTCCTGCCAGCTGAGTAAATACTTAACTTGCTTAATATGACCGTGACAATTTGTCCAGACACTGCCATTTCCTGCTTTCAGGGCACTGTTGTCTGTTGCTAACTTATTGCTCCTCTGGGTCTCCTTTTCCTACCTGGTTCAGATGTAGAATGTGGGGCTTACAAAGTTAGAGGAGGACATTTTCTTATGGGTTTTGTTACCTATACCAGTAAGTTAGAAGGAAAAACTCACTAAGGAAAAACCAAACCTAACCATTTTTTACACAGCCAACACAGAGCATTTCACCTCTAGTCTCCAAAATATATAGGGATTTCTCCCCACCAGCAACCAATAAATTCCCTAGCAGATATCAGCTATGTGTACTATAATTTAATTCAATTCTGACACTATCTATCTGGAGATAGCATCAGATCCCACAGAATAAGGGTTCTACCCCACAGGACTGCCCCCACTTCAGAGGCCGATCACGAGTTACAGGTTGTCACCTCTGCTTCTGCTGATCAGCTATAAGTCAAGATTCCCACTACTGTCTCCTTGGGTTCAATTAATTTGCTAGGATGACTTACACAACTCAGAGGAACACCTATTTTTGTTTACTGGTTTATTATAAAGGATACTAAAAAAGATACAGATGAACAGCCAGGAGGAAGAGATGCATAGGCAAGGCATGTGGGAAGGGGCATGGAGCTTCCATGCCCTCTCTGCATGTGCCACCCTCCAGGACTTTCCACACGTTCAGCTATCCAGAAGCTCCTGAACCTGGTCATTTTGAGTTTTTATGAAGGCTTCATCATGTAGGCATGATTGATTAAGTCATGAGCCATTGGTCAGCCCCTGTTTCTTCCCTGGAGGTGAAGGTTGATTGGTGGGACTTTAAGTCCCAACCGTCTAATCATGCCTTGGTCTTTCTGGTGACCAGCCCCCATACGGAAGCTACTTAGGGGTCCCTAGGCATCAGTAATCTCCACAGCATATCAAAGACACTCATCACTTTGGAGATTCCCAAGGGTTTTAGAAGCTGTATGTCAAGAAACAGGAGCAAGCCCAAATACATATTTCATAATATCATAACCATGTGACAACTTATCATAAAGACCAGGTACTCACTTACCAGACTGAATGCCTGTAAGAGTTGATGAAGTTTACTTGAGCGGAGAAGGAACTGATGGAAGCCTCTCGTGCCAGACAGGTTGAAGTTCAGGTTTGCCATACTCTAGTAGTATGATTTTGGCAAAGTTACTTAACTTCTCTGTGCCTCAGTTTCTTGTGCCAATGAAAGGAGATTGAGAAAGTGAATGGGGCAAAATACTAACATTTGATGAATCTGGGTAAAGGGTATACAGGCTTCTATCTACTATTTTTGTAACTTTTCTATAAATTTGAAATTATTTCAAAATAAAAAGTAAAAAAAATACTCTTGTGACTTGGAGACTCAATTTTTCCATTTGCAAGATAGTTGAGTTTTCACATATAGTCTTAAAGAATGATGCTAACATTTTCCGAGTGGCAAACTGGGACATTTTGTCTGAGGAATCTCTTTAAATTTTTTAAAGATAAAAGTCTTTCAAAGATTATAAGTTAAAGCACATTAATAAACAGACTTTTTAAAGAAGACTAAAATATATGACAAGAAATAAAAATGTAATAAACTACCTTTATTGGTTAATAAAAGACTTGAATTTTAAAGTCAGCAGTATATTGATCCACTAGTATTGTTTGAAGAACTCAGTTTGCTCAATAACGAATTTTTTTCCCCAAATTTCATTGCAAATCTTCATTGAAATTGAATTATCATTGTTGACACCTCCAATTCATCCAAAGTTCTTAACCTAACAATATTGCTTCTCAATGTGCCCAGAAGTGAAAAGACAAAATCATGTGTTTTTATTAGGTATGAAATATTCACATTCACAGAATAAAAATCTGTAAGTAAATTTTATCATCTCTAATACAAGGAGATTTTATCATCTCCTTTTGTGTGTTACACTCAGCTAGTAAGTTCTCTTTAAAATACAGTTTTGTGATACAAAGTTAATTTTAAAACCATATTACCAAATAGCAGAGAATGTCAAAAACATGATAAGTTGGCTTTCAGTTTAAAATGGAAATGTACTCCATTGCAACTTTTCCTAATTTTATACAGAGTCATGAAGACACTGAAAAGTGATGAATCCACATAACCATGACACTGGAAATGAAGTTTGAGTGGCAGTCAGAATCTGGGAGGAAGCATTGCTAAGTGAAAATCTTATGGAGCTTGACTAAAAATCCCTGTCAGGAACCGTCAAAAGCTGTGTCCCTGACATGAAAAATCTTGCTGGAAGTTGAGAGAGGTTTATGCCTACTCCGTGATCCGGGAACACAAGACCTTTACCAACCAAAAAAGTGGATAGCTGTTCTTCTGCTGTGAAGGTTAATAAAGGTAAACATTATAATGGCCAGGGCTGGGGTTGAGGCAGAAAGAAGGAAGAAGGAAAGAAAGAAAGAGACAAAGGTAATAATATTAGTAAAGGTAAATAATGTTAGTGTCTCTCAAAACAAAAATAATTTGACAGAAAAAAGAATCATTTTATATTGATAAAAGATGTAATCCATAAAATAGATGTAAAATTCATGAGCTTCTATAGTATTACAATCTTTAAATGGAAAATTGACAGAAATATAATTGTTATAAAAGACATTAAAATATTTTTCTCAAGATTTGGGAAAGACTAAAAAGTAAAACAAGATTGAATGAGTAGGCAGATCTTGAATTTTGTATTTTAAAAGTGGAGAATATACCTTTTCATGCAACCATGGATCATTTGCAGTAGCTGATCATACCACTGGGACACAGAGAAAATTTTACTATGTAATAAAAATGAGAACATGTAGAAGCCACATTCATATGATCAAAACTAACATACACTAAGAAAAGTTTAAACAAAGTCTTCAATCCATGAGTTATCTAACAATTTCTAAAATGAAGTCAGAGTATTTGTTTTTGAAACTTTAAAGTTTATATGTAATCTATAAGACAATATTCATAACAACACTTTATAACAACAAAATGGTGGAAATAACCCAAATGTTTGTTGGTAGAACATACCTATCAATGGAGAACTGTGCAACTATAAATGAGGAGTCTCCAAATATGTTTCTATTTTTATATACTCTGCAGAATGCATTGTTATATGAAAAAAGCAAAAATGGAGGTAAATATACAATGTGCTACCATTTATCCAAAACAGGTAACAAGAATATGAATATACATATATTAAAAATCACAACAGTCCAGGAGTGGTGGCTTATGCCTGAAATCCCAGCACTTTGGGAGATGGAGGTGGAGGATCATTTAAGCCCAGGAGTTTGAGACTAGGCTAAGCAACAGAGTGAGACATTGTCTCTACAAAAAAAAAAAAAAAAAAAAAGTTAGCTGGGCATGGTGGCATGCACCTGTGGTCCTAGCTATTTGGGAGGCTGAGGTGGGAGAATCACTTGAGCCCAGGAGGTCATGGCTGCAGTGAGCTGGGATCATGCCACTACACTCCAGCCTGGGTGACAGAGCAAGACCCTGTCTCAAAACAACAAAAACAACAAAACAAGGGTATAACAAAACAAACAAAACTGAACAAAAATTAAAAATTGTTTACCTATATGGGAACGGAGTAGAGAAAACATGGATTAAAAACAAAACTTCCTGATTATACCTTGTTTTGTAAGTTTGACTTTGGAATGGTGCAAAGATTTTACATAATTATCAAATCAAATTAACAAAAAATTTCTAAAAACTGAAAGGAAAATAAAAATTACTGTATTGAACTAGTTGCTTAACTACACAGAGAGGAACTATATTAAGTAACTTTAAAAAAACAACAGAGATTTAACATACAAACCTAGTGGGATATACCCTAAGAATAAAAAAAAATGCAAATACACTTTATGCCACTTTCAATTATCATGCTGTTTATAATAATACTGGCACTGCTATTCTGAAACTATGGTATATATTACAGGATATGGCAAATAAGTACTTATATTGTTAAGAACTAAGTTGTAAGTATGAGAAAAAAATATAAAAGCGAAGAAGCGCAAACCCTATAATCCTAAACTTGAATTGAAAACATCAGTATGAGCTCATGATATGTTTTCTCTTAACAAAACAAAATAACAACTTATTTCCTAACTCTGCCTGCTAAAAAGGCCTAGAAACAGTGACCAGCTCAGCAGCAATGAGTTCCCATAACACCCAGACTGTAGTTTCTAATACAATTTTTCACTAAAAGGAATCCATATTCTTGGAAAGTCAGCTAATTTGAAGACTGGGGAGCAAAAAATTCAAGAAGGCCTTTATCTTGGTTCTTTTGTGCTGTTATAACAAAGTACCTGAGACTGGGCAATTTATAAAAATCACAACTTTATTTCTCACAATTCTGGAGGCTAAAAGTTCAAGAATAAGGCACCAGCAAGTTCAGTGTCTAGAAAGGACCCAGCGTTTGCTTCGAAGATGGCGCCTTTCTGCTGCATTCTCTGAAGAGGATGGATGCTGTGTCCTCACATTGCAGAAGTCAGAAGGGGAAAAAGGGCCTAAGCTAGTTCCCTGTAGCCTTTTTGCAAGGTACTAATCCATGTCTCGTGGCTGAATCACTTCCCCAAAAGTCTTAACTCCCAACATCACCACAATAGAGATTAAATTTCAACACATGAATTTTGTGAGAACACATTGAAACCACAGCAGTCTTGGAACACATTGTCACACCACAAAGCAAGAACATTTCATTGACCACTAAAGTCGTGTCAGAAAGGACTCAGAATCCAATTTGAATATCTGGCCAAACTTCAGTGGCCAAAAAAGAGACAATTTGAATCAGGGATTGAGACATGGCAGCTTTGTTTAAATCCATGCATTCATAAAAGAACTCTTGGTCACCTATAGAGGGTTCTGGGAAATGAGCTCATTATTTTGAGAACTGGTAAATACAAGGAAAGGATCAAATGTGAATCCTACCTTTCCTGTACTAACTGTACCACAGAGTAACCAAATAGTTGACAAAGGAAGTTTCTCTATTATGAAGTATTCTTGCTAATACATGATTAAGGAATGAGAATTCGAGTATTTGCACATTCGAATGAAATAGTGGATTTAGGCTAAATGTCTAACATCACACTAAGAGAAACAACTGGGCGCCTGCTAACAAAAGTCCTGTCACTATCACCAATGGTGTCTTCTTGCAAAAAATTCCAATTATAAGTGATCAAATTACCTATTAGGGAGTGAGGGCACAGGTAATGCAGAAGACAGCAAACATATGAACAATAGACACCACATGGATGCAATTAGCAAAATCCACAATTCTGGAAATTCTGCAGGGCAAACTGACCTAGTTTCTTCACCATATACATGGCAAGGAGGGACTAGGGGGAGGAAGTGGCAGATGCTCTTGGTGCCCACCCATATCCTCTGTGCCCTTCACTGTGCTCAGCCTTGCTCCCAACTGTCAGTAGCTGCCTTTTGGTGCCTAAGAGCTTTTTTTTTTTTTTCTCCTGAACTGCAGAACGCCAGAAGTGCCAAGCAATTAACAACCCCAGAAGCAACCCTTAACCAATGATTAAATAAAGTGGATGATTACATACCCAAGCTCCTTCAACTCCCAGGGACATAATTCTGAGGTGGGTGTATGTTTATCCCTTTTTCAAGAACTTCCCCGAAGGATTAAGCTTCAGTCACCCACTGGTAAATTGCTTAACAGCTCAACCTCTATGGGTTTGGGTTGCTTTTTCTTGTATCACATGCTGTCTCCTTTATGGTGTACACTGCACTTTCCAAATTGACTACCTATACTTGAATCCTGTCTTAGATGTATTTCTGGAGGAACTCAAACTAAGGCAGATGGGGAACTATAGATTAAATGAAACTTAAGAGATGTCAACCAACTGCAAAGTGTGGAGCTGAGCAAAAAACAAAACAAAACAAAACAAACAAAAAAACTGTTCAAAAAGTTTATGAGACAATCAGGGATATTTAAATACTGACTGAATATTTTATAACATTTAGAAATTATTGGGGTTTTTAGGTGGCATAATACTGATAGGCTTATCTCTAAACCCATGATCAAATATTGGATATTTATAGATGAAATGTTAGGATGTCTGGGATTTGCTTTCAAATTAATATGGAGTGGAGTTGTGATTGGTGATGAGTTGACAATTATTAAAACTGGGCACTAGTATGTGAGACTTTATGATACCATTCTGTCCACTTTTGTAGATGTTGGAAATTTTCCCTAATTAGATACAAAAATGAAAAAAGCTGAAAGCTCTATGGGGATTGTTAATAACTATGTTCTTAGTGCTTAACAGTGTTCAGTACATAGTCAACAAAGAAGCACTCAAAACACTATTCATTGAACAACTGTTTTGTCTTATGTTGGGGATACCAAGGCAAATATTGTTGACATTGACATTTTTAGCTGACATACTGGAAATCTTACCAAGAGTTTTATACAGACTAGAGGAAAAAAATCATTTTATCAATTAGTACAATGTCGGGTTCAAAAAATGTTATACTAGGTCTACTTCTAACTAAAGTATTTTTCAGCTTGTGATTCATCACCGTCTGTGTCTTGAAGGTATATTTGAGTTAACATATATTTTATTAGAATGTGCTGTTTTTTGCCAAAATGCTGGAATTTCTGGGATACTTTGATGATTCAGTTGGACAGAATATGACACTGAATATTTGAAAGCAGGACTTGGTTAGAAAATCTAAGATTGTGAGTGCCGAATTTACCTAGTAGATATATGTTTCTGAAATTTACAAGGTAACTGCTTTTGTTGGGACCAAAACCACACAGCCAATAAAACTAAAACTGTACTGGGAAAATCATTTAAATAAAAGAATAGTATATTAAGTTGGAGGGTAGGGTATATTTGAAGTCTTAGAGGCATGTAAACAGGAACTTGCAAGAAATTCCAGCAGAAATTTTCCACTTTAAAAAATATAGATAAAGCTGGGCACAGTAGGGCATGTCTGTAGTCCCAGCTACTTGGGAGGCTATGGCAGGAGGATCACTTGAGGCCAGGAGTTCAAGGCTGTAATACGCCTAGATTGTACCTGTGAATAGCCACTGCACTCCAGCCTGGGCAACATAGCAAGATTCCATCTCTAAAAAAATATAAATTTGATATAGATGTATCTATATATCTGTCTCTAAAAAATTCTGTCACTTCCATGAGTTCACATTATTGCTGAGATTTATTTTCTTGCAAGATTTTCTAATAACATGATAGTCCTTGTTTTCAAGCTGTCAGGTAGTAAAACAGTAATTTAATTTGGCAATAACATATGACATTCTAAGAAGACGCATTAGAAGGTTTTTAAGAAGTGTACTGAAATATTTTTGGAATGTCCTTCAAACAGGCAAAGTTTAAACTGGAAAGAGCAAAAAGTTAAATATTATATATTTATAAAAAGTCAAACTATTTTTTCCTTACCTGGTTAAAAAGGTGTTACCAAGGTCGCAAAATAGCTTTGTATATTAAAAATTTTTTTTATTGGATTAATTCCTAGTTGTAGTTTAGCTACTTATTTTTGTTTTTCATTTATCTTTTTCACCTCTATGTAGCTTATGTTATTAAGTTATGTTATTAAGTTTTTAAATAAAACCTAGGAGGCTTCTTAATTCTTTATGAAAAATTCTGTGAGAATAACTAGCTAAATTTTAAAACTACAACCAAATAAGATTGACATAATAATATGCATATACATTGCTCTTCTCACATTAACAATAATAGATTTGTATCTTCTAAGATATCTCTGAGAATAAAATTTCCAGCCATATCATCAGCTAAATTAACTCAAATTTACTATCTGGATTTGGCTGTTTCACTTGTAGGTTAAAAGTTAAAAGGTTTGCTATTTCTTGGAATCAAAGGTTATTTAATGAAAGAAGATTAATTTCAATAAATGATGCATTTAAAGTTTTTTCCAACAAAGAGTGTAAGAGATTTATCACAGGTTCTAAATAACAAATTTAATTTCCCTAACATGTTAAGGAGAATTTTGGTTCCCGCAGAGGACTGAGTGGACTAATCATTTATAATAAGACTGACTTTAAACTTCCTTTTAACTTGACAGTAGTTAATTCTAACTTTATTAAATTAGAATCCCCATTAATTCACCCATTTTTCTTTCACCAATTTTGTTTTACAATTAAGGTTTATCTGCAGAGTTCTGTTTTGACCATTATGCTGAAAGTGCTGAGTTCTGCTGTTTGCCTTCCTTCAGCCTTTCTGGCTGAATGGCTTCCTGAATCTTCTCAGAGGTTTCCCTCTGAGCCCATGATGGGGTTCTAAAAGCACATTCTGTTCATGTACTGGGATAGTGGGATGTGAGGGCAGAGAAGTTCTTCCTGAGCATGAGTCCTTCATCCTCTACCCACTGTTTTATAAACCTGTCTCAAATTCCATGCACTTTTGGACCCAGTTACTTGAACTCTCAGGAGCAGGTACTTTGTCACCTCCAGAGGGAAGGCCAGCATCCTCCTAGCGGGTACTGCTGTGTGCTTGCCCCTGAGCCAGGAGCTTTGCATTTGCTCTCTCATTTGATCCCCTCAACAACCCTAGTAGTGAGGAAATATCTATTTCATACATGAGGAAATTGAGGCCCAGAGAAGGCACTGGCTGCTTAGCTGTGTGCTGTCACCCTGTTGAAACCAACGCCTCCTGCCTACACTGCCACTGCCTGTATAAACTGGTGCCACCCACGGTTATATGGCAGAAAGCAGTGCTTCGAGAAAATGGACCAGCAACCGCCATGTGTTGAACAGGCTATGGGCAGGAGGAAATAAAGCAGTTATAGCACCTGGGGGTGGAAGTCAAGGCAGTAACCAAAATAAAGTGGGAGCACGGAAAAAAGCTGGGGAAATAAAAAGGTTCAAATTTCACATTTCCTCATGAAGTCCAGATCAAGTTGGAGCTTGTTTAATAGCAGAAATTAGGCAGCCAGACCTGTCTGTAGGGCAAAGAAATTTTTGTTGAAAAGCCCAGCAAGTATTTACTCCGCTGTAACAGAGTCTTTTTCTAACTCCAGGATCTTTTCTTTGTGTGCTCTGTAGAATGAAGTGTGCTTGTTTTGGTGGGGATACATTTACACAGTTCTCCATGTTTTGTTTCATCTTTCCTCTCCGTGTTGTTGCTCTCTTTTTCCTTTGCTCTATCCAAAGATATCAGCCAAAGAAGCCAAGAAAAATGTTATCTTTACTTTAGAATTAGGGATTTCAGATATGGGTAGATGGCTCTGTTAGGCAGAAGTGTCAGAGCTGGTTATAGGAAAACCAGGCGGCACATACATGATCCCAGACACCGAAGTAACCTCTGTCTCACTCCTCCACTTCCAGCAAGGTATTGTGCTCTGAGGGGCTGATGAGAGAAGGTAGATTATGGGTCTGCCAAGGCTTTTTACTGGTCTCTGTTTATCTTTTTCTGAGTGCCAATTCAGCATGATCTAGACCAGGATCATTTGTTTGCAGGGATGGAAAACAAACTGAAACTGGCTCAAGTGAATGCTCACTGGAAGGCTTACTGGAAAACTTACTGGAAGGATGTGAGGACATGTTCGGGAATCTATTTGCAGAAAACATATTCAGGTATACTGGGAGCTCTCCCTCTCTCACATTGTCTCCCTCACTGAAACCAGGATTGCTGTCTATTTCCTTGGGGCTGTTGCTGTCATGCTGTCTTACTAACTGTAGTGTTGTGTTAGCTACACGACTGCTCAAGTTTATTTTTTTGAAAAATTGTGTTCCATTTAGCCAGGATGATGCAAGTTGTTTCAAGAAAGGCTATAAAATGCTTGCAATAAAAGTCATGTTCATTCACATTCATTAGGAAAAAATGAAATAAATCTATGCTGCATAACTTTTTTCATGCCAAGTGCGGGAGTGGAGGTTGTCAAATCAAGACTGGATCATCAAGTACATAATGATAGGGTGCCAAAATTCCAAGGAGGTTGGGAGTCACTGTTGTTGAGGGTGGTCAAAGAATTTGTTTCCCCACAAGGCATGTGGCTTTGGGCCAGCACACCTCATAATTCGTTCTCTTCTATTTCCCACATCCGTCTTATAATGTCTCAATTTAACCAGGGGAATATGGAGCGTGAACTCTTTCTATTTACCCTTTTAACATCCAGGTAGATATTTCTGAGATACATGGCAATGTATCAGGGTTGAGTTTGCTGCTCTGGTTCTTATCCTTTTTTTTTGAGACAGGTTCTTGCTCTGTTGCCCAGGCTGGAATGCAGTGGTGCAATCTCAGCTCACTGCAGACTCTGCCTCTGCCTCTTAAGTTTAAGTGATCCTCGTGCCTCAGCCTCCTGAGTAGCTGAGATTACCGGCACCTGCCATTGTGCCCAGCTAATTTTTGTATTTTTAATAATGGTGAGGTTTCACCATGTTGCCCAGGCTGGTCTCGAACTCCTGGCCTCAAGTGATCCACTTGCTTTGGCCTCCCAAAGTGCCGGGATTACAGGTATGAGCCACCATGCCTAGCCTCTGGTTCTTATCCTTTTGAAAGTCTTAAAGTCTCCTCTTCATTCATGTATCAAATATTTGATGAAATATTTGACCAGATGTCAGAGTCTAGAACATCAGACCGAGATAGTAAACCAGTGGGTCGTAAATAGCTACATGAAGGGCATAGAATCTAAACAGATCCAGAGTGAGAGATTAAGGTCAAGGAACTGGAAGGCATATCTGGATTTATTTATTTTTTTTAAAAAAATACAGTATTTGTTTGGATGGAGAATGGAAATAGAACTTGCAGTTTTGGTTCTCTGCAATGCAGGTTGGCCACTGCTATTGCTGTAACTCTGTCCTATTGTCCTACCCATACTACTGTTGTAACTTCCATAAGGTGGGACCTGATGAATCACGCACACTTCCAGAGTGTTTGGTCAGGGTGACCCTGGGTGCAGCAAGGATGGCCAATGCTGTTGGCATCAAAAGGCCAAGAGATGACTTTGGTCAGATTAGATAAAGACCATTTAGGGCCATGGAGATATGGAAGCAATTTTCTTCTTTCCTAGAAGATGATGCAATAGATGACAATAAGCATTTGGGTGAATCTCTCCAGCCAGGTTTGAAGGCAGTTTGTGTCACGTAGTGGGTGGGTGGATGGGGAAAGTTAGTTCTAATTACTATTCCAGGGCCCTACATCCAGAACCTTTCCATTTTAAGACAAGAGGGGGACTAACATTCCCAGCTCATTCGCAAATGACTCAAGAGAATGGGACAGAGGAAAGGGAGATACCATTTTTAATTCCCCCTGGAGGAGTCCTAATGTCCCATTAGTGTTTCAACTGTTTGGTCTAATTCAGGTATGAAGTACAGTGGTTTGTTTGTTTGTTTGTTTGTTTTGTTTTTTGTTTTTCATAAAATTGGTTGATTGATTAATAAATTGCTTGCTGGGCATTGGGGAACTATACATGAAAATTATATGACTTTAACCCTGAAGGAGCTCAGAATCTAATGCGGAAGATGGATATTTATGATATATAACAAGGGCAACAATAAATCTAGTACAAGATATGAGGAATCTTCCAGGCTTTGTATTGGACAAAATGTCTCTGGGATGTCCTTTACCTGGAGGCATATATGGGCCCAATGCCAGCTTCAGCTATTCTAAAAGAGACCTGAGTCTAAAGATCACACATTATCTCATATCAGGAGCCATGCTCACTGACTGAAATTTCCCAGTGGCCACCAAGCTATCATTATGGTCCCTATAGTCCCACTAATTATTATCCATCCCACTTTGCTACTTCTGGATCGGACACTTGACAGATAATGTCAGGGACAGTATAGCGTGTGTTTTGCCCAAATGATCTTTAAGACAGCCTCGTTCCCAGTCTGGCGGTTGTGTGGGAATCAGCATCTTCACTTCCTGATTTCTATTACACTCCTTCCTACAGCCCTGTCCACCACAGCCAGCTGGCTGAAGAGCTCAAAAGGCAAGAAATCAGCAAGAGAGAGAGATGAAGCATGAGAAATGAGCAAAAAACACCCAGCACATCATAATCTTGGACAGTTTAGCAGTACATGAAAATAGATGGTCCTCGCCCCAAGGGACTGCAGTAACCCTGAATAAACAGGATGTCTCTCACTTTTAGCAGTTCTTTCTGTGCTAGTATTGGGGAAATATATTTTTGGCTGCATGCAAAATGGTAAAAGACATCTATTAAGAAAATGAAAACAATGCTTCTGTTTTAGACGAAGCTTTTGAAGGTTTAAGGATCACCTATTTATTGACAAAATTGTTTCCGTGGCTTAAAAATAAAATACAAACAAATACTACAGGTATTCTTGCCTTCTCATTCTACTTAAAATCACATTTCCAAAGACTTTCTTCTCTACTTAAAAACAGGAATTAAGAAATACTCAAAAGAGATCCTAGACAAAACTAACATTTCAGCAACCAAAGATAAATCATGCTTTTAGAGGAAGATGCTAGGTTCTAGAATCTCTCTGAACACCGTGTAGCACTAAGAAACTACAATCACTGGCTGAGACCTTGATCAAATAATGGCTAACATATAAGATGCTTATTCTAGTCAGGCACACTTCTAAGAGCTGTATATCTGCTAATTCATTTATTCTCCTAGGATATAAAGGATCAGCAGATCCTTCAGGCTCTGGTATGTTCTGAGATGAGTTAACCCAGAAATTGTCATCAAAAGACAGATTCAGCAAAACGGAAACAGCCACCATTTTATGTAGATGTCCCTGTGGTTTAGTGCTACAGACCGGACATTTGTGCCCTTAGGGGAAAAATGATGAGGTCAGAGCAGACTGGGATAGATCAGGTCTGGTGCTTTTATTGTAGATCCTGGAACCAAAGATGATCTTATGGAAAGCCAGGTAGACAGTTCAGCTGAGGTATTCATCCATAGAGACTGGCCAGAAAGGCACAGTTTGGGTTGAAAGTGTGGGCACATGAGACCAAAGCAAGAGGGCTTGAAAATGGGGTAGACGCAGGAGACTGGAGAGAAGCCTCAGCCCCTGGGACAAAGTGGCAGGTTCTTTATCCAGGGTGCTGGTGTCTGGAGCGCTTTGGGAGGACCCTGTGAAGGGCATGGTGTCTCCAGCAATGTTGGGTGTACCCTCCCATAGTTCAGTGTTCCAGAAAAAGGATGGGAAAATTACAAGAATAATAGCAGGCAGAAGTTGTGCCAAATTTCATCCTAACACAAAATGTGGTTATAAACAAGGGTAAGGAGAGGGTTTTCATCTCCTGCTTTAATCCTGGAAAGCTCTGCTAGACTGTGATTCAGTCTCTCTTTTTCTAGCAGTTCTGGGGTTGTGATTCTTAGTCTAGGGATTTTCAGTTGTTTAAACCCTACTTGGCTTTTTCTAATGAGCACTAATGCCAAGTTTTTATCACTAAGCTCATAGATTTGCCAAAGAAATGGTGATACCAAGAAATTCATTGCAAGTTACTACCTGTAATCCATGTGTAGGGTGTTTGGTGTGTTGTGGTGTTCTTTAGTTTCTAATTCCTTATGTAGATGTCTAAAAAAGTGTGACCTTTATTTTTCTATTAAGGGCCAGATAGTAGATACTTCAGGCCCTTTGGGTAACACTCAACTCTGCCACGATAGTGAGAAGCAGTCATAGACAAAAACATCTAATAGGAGTGGCTGTGTGCAATAAAATCTTGTTCACAAAACAAGCAGTAGTAGGATTTAATATGTGCTCCATAACTGGTGATTTTTGATATGAATACATAAACAAACAACCAGAAAAATAAATGTCATACTATCCATGAGCAATGTGGCTTTTTTGTTTTTGTTTTTGTTTTCTTTTTAACTTAGTCAATTAAAAACATTTTCTTTTTGGAGTCAGGGTTTCACTCCCATCACCCAGGCTGGAGTGCAGTGGCACAATCATGGTTCACTGCAACCTTGACTTCCCAGGCTCAGGTGATCCTCCCATCTCAGCCTCCTGATTAGCTGGGAGTACAGGTGTCCGTCACCAAGCCCCACTAATTTTTTCTTTCTTTCTTTTCTTTTTCTTTTTTTTTCTTTTTTTTTTTTTTTGAGACAGAGTCTTGCTCTGTTGCCCAGGCTGGAGAGCAGTGGTGCGATCTTGGCTCACTGCAACCTCTGTCTCCCTGGTTCAAGTGATTCTCTTATTCTCCTGCCTCAGCCTCACCCAGTAGCTGGGATTACAGGCATGGGCCACCACTCCCAGCTTTTTTTTCTTTTTTTTGTATTTTTAGTAGAGACAGGTTTTCACCATGTTGACTGTGCTGGTCTCGAACTCCTGACCTCAAATGATCCCCCTGCCTCAGCCTCCCAAAGTGCTGGGATTACAGACATGGGCCACCACTCCCAGCTTTTTCTTCTTTTTTTTGTATTTTTAGTAGAGACAGGTTTTCACCATGTTGACTGTGCTGGTCTCGAACTCCTGACCTCAAATGATCCCCCTGCCTCAGCCTCCCAAAGTGCTGGGATTACAGGCATGAGCCACCTTGCCCAACTGACTTTTATCTATTTTTAGTAGAGACAGGGTTTCACCAAGTTGCCAAGGCTGGTCTCCAACTTCTGGGCTCAAGCAATCTGCCTACCTGGACCTCCTAAAGTGCTGGGATTACAGGTGTGAGTCATTGCGCCTGGCCAACTTTTTTTTTCTTAATGGCCTTTTGCTAAAGAATGGGGAGAGGAGGAACCATTTGCCTGCATGGATCTGTAAGCCACTGCCCTTCCTCTCATATCTTACCTTTACAACTTTGGAAGCCAATATTCTGAAACCAAAACTTCGTTCCTACTTTAAAGATACAGAGAGGGCTGGAATGTCCTATTCCAGGTTTCCTTGAAAGAGGAATTAGCTACTTTTCCCCTCCCATCTAGTGAACTTCTTTGTACACAGCGCCTCTGGTAAGAATTCAGTTACTTCTCCCAGTGGCCTCTCTTCTTTTGTCTTTCACTTCATAGGCAATAGTGACCAACTAAAAAGTCTTAGTAATTTTACTTTTTTGGGGGTGACACGCACATAAAGAGTTAATAGATTTAAAGACTAGGCAAATACCATTTCTTTTAAAACCTGAAAAATATCAAAACAAAACTTAAATGAAAAACTACTAGAAGATCATTATCCCAGCCACAATCAAGTCCAAAGGTTAAACATGTTTGCCTTCCTTATCTAAGGAATGAAGATGTACAGACCAATGGGAAGAACCTCATCAACTCTAAATTCTCTTTAGCAATTAGCAAATTTGCCACCTGCTATTGGTGGAATCGTGTCCCCCAAAGAGATATGTTGAAATCCTAACCCTTGATACCTGCAAATGTCACCTTATTTGGAAATTGGATCTTTGCAGATGGAATCAAGTTAAATTGAGGTCATTAGTTTGGGCCCAAATCCAGTGTGACCAGTGTTCTTATATCAGGTTGGTGCAAAAGTCATTGTGGTTTTTGCCATTACTTTCAGTTACTTACTTACTAACTACTTTCATTACCACAATTATTTTTTTCTTTTTTTTTGAGATGGAGTTTCGCTTTTGTTGCTCAGACAGGAGTGCAATGGTGCGATCTCAGCTCACTGCAACCTCTGCCTCCCAGGTTCAAGTGATTCTCTTGCCTCAGCCTCCCGAGTAGCTGGGACTACAGACACATGCCACCACGCCCAGCTAATATATATATTTATTTTTTGGTAGAGATGGAGTTCTATACCATGTTGGCCAGGCTGGTCTTGAGCTTCTGGCCTCAGGTAATCTGCCCGCTTCAGCATCCCAAAGTGCTGGGATTACAGGCTTGAGCCACTGCACCCAGCCACCACAATTACCAACCTTATAAAAAAAGAGAAATTTAAACACAGATGTATACACAGAGGAGAATGCCATGTGAAGACACAGAGACAAATAAGGAGAAGATGACCATGTGACAACAGAGGCAAAGATTGGAGTACTGTCTCTCTAAGCTAAGGATCACCAAAGATGGCTGGTAACTGGCAGAAGCTAAGATAGAGGCAGGGAACCAACTCTCCCTCACAGCTCTCCAGAAGAGACCAACCTTGATGATATCAAACTTCCAGCTTTCAGAACTGTGAAATAATAAATTTCTGTTGTTTCAAGCCACCTACTTTGTGGTAACTTTTTATGAAAGACCCAACTAACATACCACCCAGGGGCTGAAGTGAAATAACTCAAAGACATTCTGTAGCGTGTTCCCCTCAGGCCATTTTTATGAAATGTCCTGCTCCTTACTACTTAGATATCTCAGTAATGAAACAAAGTTAATGATCCTGACTGTCATCAGGAATCCATACCACACACAGGCTACCCTTTGGTTTCACTTTGATTTATCTTTTATTTGGATAATCTGGGAGTTTTAAAGTCAAATGGAGAATGATCATTTTAATACTTTTCCTCTTCTAGTTATGTGAATTCAGAGTCAATGCCCGGGGCAGTTTGGCAAGCTGTCAGTAACTGATAACATGACCGAAAAACCTGATACATCAGCTGTTGTTCTACTGTACTAGCTTCTTTGGGTACTATGAGCTCATGAAATACAACAAAGCACTGTTCTGTCTAAACTCTTCTGAATATATGGCTCATGTTCATGGAACTCCCATTGTCTTAGTCTGTGCCTGTCAAAGGGGCAATTCTCTGACATCTTTGTTTTCTTTTAGAGCGTTCTCCCCTAATTTGATCTATACTTGACAACATGGGTGTAAAGAGCACCATGTCCCTGGTATAGCAGAAGCACACACAGGCACTGCAAAAACCATTCTTCAGTGTTGGACTGTTCCAGTGGGCCTACTGTAGAGCCAAAGGCAGGGAATTTCACAGGCGGAAGAATTATAATAGCTAACATTTATTGAGTGATTCCTATGCACCAAACACTCCTTTGGGTGCTTGCTAAAGGATAACTCCTTTCATTTTGACAACAAATCTATGAGGCAGATACTATAGGTATCCTCACTTTAGAGCTAAGGAACCCGAGTTAATGTGATAAGTAAAACTTGCCAAGATCACAAGACTGGTGAGGGCCAAGATATGAGCCCTGCTGCTCTGGCTGCAAAATCTTGTCTTTAATAGTTACCCTGTTGGCTTTTTACCTGGGAAATAAACTCTCATACGTTGTAATGTTTTCCTCACCAAAACTGGTGTTTTTTTATGTCCTTTTCGGCTAATGCAAAATTTGCATCTATGTATTTGCCCAAGATGGCAGGATCATCCTTGCAGGAAAAGCACCGAATCAGACAGCCTCTGGATCCCCGCTCTAGGGGATTCATGATGTGATCATGATATAGATGTTTATATATCATGATCATTGAGCACTGTGATGTCAGAGCCTTAATCCTTTAATATAACTTTAAGTACAGACTCTTAAGCACCAAGTATGGCTAAAATACATTGCTTACTTACTATCTCGTCAGCACTGTTCCATATGCTTTAGTATAAATTATTGCCTTTAATTTTCATATTATCTCCATTTTATGGATGTGAAACTGAGACTTAAACTAAATGGTAGGCCAAGCTTGCAGAGCTCATAATGGCAGAAGTGAGATGTACTTTTATGCAGGAGATAAGAGGGGCAATGCAACCAATTCCTGATCTTAGAGAACTGGCTACCAAGTACAGGAAGAAAAATCTGCATAGGAATAGAAGAAAATTTGATAGCTAATATTTATTAGATATTTCCATGTGCCATCAAGTGTACTTTACATGATTATCTTTTTAATTTTTAAACATTAAAAAATTGATAAAAATTACATATTATTGTATATATTTTAAAAACATGTTTTGAAATATGTGTACGTTGTGGAATGATTAAATCAAGCTAATTAACATATGCATTACCTCATGTATTTATCATTTTTTTGAGATAAGAACACACAATCTACTCTCAGTGATTTTCAAGCGTAAACAATACATTATTATTATCTGTAGTCACCATGTTGTACAATAGATTTCTTGACTGTATCCCTTCAATGAAATTTTGTATGTTTTGGCCAACATTTCCACAAATCCCACTCCCCTGCCACCACCAAGTCCCCAGCCCCGGTAGTCACCATTCTTCTCTCTACTTCTATGAGTTCGACTTTATATATATATATGTGTATATATGTATATGTGTGTGTGTATATATATATGTGTATATATATGTGTGTGTGTGTATATATATATATTTATTTATTATACTTTAAGTTCTAGGGTACATGTGCACAATGTGCAGGTTTGTTACATATGTATACATGTGCCATGTTGGTGTGCTGCACCCATTAACTCGTCATTTACATCAGGTATATCTCCTAATGCTAGCCCTCTCCCCTCCCCCCACCCCACAACAGGCCCCTGGAAACCATCATTCTCAGCAAACTATCGCAAGGACAAAACACCAAACATCGCATGTTCTCACTCATAGGTGGGAATTGAACAATGAAAACACTTGGACACAGGAAGGGGAACATCACACACCGAGTTCGACTTTTTTTTAAGATTCCACATATAAGCGAGATGATGTGGTATTTGTCTTTCTGTGCCTGTCTTATTTCAGTGAACATAATGTCCTCCAGGTTCATTCATGCTGTTGCAACAGGATTTCCTTCTTTTTAAAGGCTGAATAGTATTCAGTTGGGTGCACATATCACATTTTCTTTATCTCTTCATCCATTGATGGGCTCTTAGGTTGATTCCATGTCTAGGCTATTGTGAATAGTGGCACAATGAACATGGGAGTGCAGATATCCTTTCCACATACTGATTTCATTTCCTATGGATATATACCCAGAAGAAGCATCGCTAGATCATATGGTAACTCTATTTTAATTTTTTGAGGAAGCTCAAAATTTACATTTTCACCAACAGTATGCAAGCATTCCTATTTCTCTGCATCCTTGCCAATACTTGTCTATCATCTTTCGATAGTAGTCATTCTAGCGAGTATGAGGTGATATCTCATTGTGATTTGAATTGGAATTTCTCTGATGATTAGTAAAGCTGAGCATTTTTTAATATGTCTGTTGGCCACATGTATGTCTTCTTTTGAGAAATGTCTATTCAGGTCCTTTGCCCATTTTTAAAATGGGTTATTTGTATTCTTGCTTTTGAGCTGTTTGAGTTCCTTATATATTTTGGATATTAACCCCTTATCAGATGTATGGCTTGCAAATATTTTCTCCCATTCTGCATGTTGTCTCTTTACTCTGTTGATTGTTTCCTTTGCTGTGCAGAAGCTTTTTAGTTTGACATAATCGTGTTTGTCTATTTTTGCTTTTGCTGCCTGTTATTAATCTTTTTAATAACCTTGTAATGACCAAGTATTATTAGCATGATCACCACAGCATCCCACTTACAGACAATGGATCAGAAGTGGAGAGGTTGTTAATAGTAGCAGGGCTGAGATTTGGATGCACACAGACTGCCTTGGGGGCCTGGGCTCTTACCCATCAGTCTAAACTGAGTGACTTTCAAGTGAGGGAGACATTTCTGGTGGCTGGGATCAGTGGTGAATGGCATTTTGAACTGAGCTTAGGGATGGGAGGAATTTCTACAGGTAGAGATGTGGAATCTCATTGTGTGCCCAGAATGGCTAGAGCAGAAGAACAGAAGGCTCCCACGGTGTGCAGACCATTGAAAGAAAGTTGGAAGCCCCAGGCACAAGGAGGAGAGGTGCTCAGTCAGGAAGTGCTCTCTTCTTTTCAATTTTAGAGGCATGATTGTTTCTCCCAGTTGAATACTGAAAAGGATGAACTTTACTGTTGAGCATCTGTGATTGGAATAAATATATCCTTATCTGTTCTGGGCAGCTTTCAAAATAATTTGTTAGAAAGCACCACTGTCATTTCTACATGGTGCTCTGGGTACTATGTGTGTAAAGGAAGTCTGAAGACAAGCACTGGAGCTCAAATCCTCATTCAGCCATGCTACCTTGGGCTTCTTACTTCACGCTCTTCAGTCTCCTGCAATCCTGGAGTAATAATGCATGCCCCAGCTTATTCTTCAAAGAAATCAGGAAGCCAAAGAGGGGACAAATGTGCAGAGCTTCAGAAGAAATGTGCCATGGGACTCTAAGGAATCACATAGTTTTATTACTCTGATTAATTTCCTATTTTAATGCATAGTAGTAATTAATATTGGCCACAGACAACTCAAGATAGAAATGTCATGACCTAGATGAATGTGTAGAATACCCTGGTGTTTTCAGAGTGTTTTCACCTACATTATCTAGTTTAATCTTTACAACTGTCCTATGAAATAAGCAGGGTGGTTATGATTCATTGTTATGTTTACAAATGTGGAAACTGAGGCCCAAACCATTTGTTTAGCATATGTTGGATCTAGGTACAAAATTCCAGTCTTCCAATTCCCAGTTTAAACTGCTTTCCAAAGGCCACAGAAGAGGCAATTAGGTCATAGCACTTGCTAAATTTCTCGGCAAAATTCGAGAGGCAAGGGTATAGACTTTATTATACTGCTTTCTGAACACAGTACACAATCCGCAATAATCCCGAATTTCTAAATCTGTAAAAAAAAAATCGACTCAGAATTTTTCCCTTGCTTTAACTCCTCCAGAGAGAATCTTTCTGCAGCAATCCCATGAGGCTCTGTGCATATCCCTGTAATTACAGGTATTACATCATAGAGCAATAATTTGTTTACATGTCTGTTTCCCCAGCCTCTCCTTCTTCACTTCCCCCTACTCCCAGAGACAGTGAGAAAAGGTCTATTCATCTTTGGAACTCCAGCATCTCACAGGTTGCTAGACATAACAAAAGTTCAAGAAATTTATCTATCTATCTATCTATCTATCTATCTATCTATCTATCTATCTATCTAGACTCCTGTACATCCACAGCCACAGAAGTTTGCCTGCATTATCTCTACTTAAAAGTCATTATGTTTCTTTTAAGTTGAACTCCTGTTATTTAATTGATGCTACATTTGTTGTTGTTGAGGCTTGATAGTATTATAATTTCTAAGGTAGTGTTTTTAAAATCTAGGTAATACAATTATAGAATAGTTTTCCATATATATGATATATATGGAAAATATTTTATTTCACTGCATAAAACAAAACCACTTAAACAGCAAAGAATACACTAAATGAAGTAACAAAGGTTAAAAATAAATTACAAAATAAAAAACAAATGATTGCAAAATGTCAACTCCCCTAAATTAATATATGCATTTAAATCTAGCCTACTAAAAATATTACAAAGTTTAGTTGACAGTGTTGTTATTGTTTAAGATTTTAAAAAATGTATATATGTGCATTGTTTTTAAAAACAATCAAAATGTATTGAAGAAAATATTAATTTATCGTATTGATTTCTAATAACAGCTCATAGAATATAGAAATGGTCTTGATTCTTTCAAACGTCTCCACCTGGTCATGTCAAAGTTCAATGATCATTTAAATAATGATGGACTTTCTATTTCACTAAAGATACAAATTTTTTTTTTTTTTTGAGACAAGGTCTCACGGGTTGCCCAGGCTGGAGTGTAATTGTGCAATCAGGACTCACTGTAGTCTTGGCTTCATAGGTTCAGGTGATTCACCCACCTCAGCCTCCCAAGTAGCTGGGACTACAGGCATGCACCACCATGCCTGGCTAATTTTTTGTAGAGACAGGGTTTTGCTATGTTGCTCAGGCTAGTCTTGAACTCCTGGACTCAAGTGATCCTCCACCTCAGCCTCCCAGAGTGCTGGGTTTATAGGCATGGGCCACTATGCCTGGCTAAAAATACAATATTTATGTGATCTAATTCTGTAGGGTCCACTGAAGTAGAAGTAATGTATTTATAAAAATAGTATTTAAAGCATTATATTTTAAAAATACTATCTTAAAAATTATAACTTTATCAAACCTCAATAAGAGGAAATATAGCATCAATTAAATGATAGCAGTCCAACTAAAAAGAGATAAAACAACTTTTAAGGAGAGAGAACACAGGCAAATCTGTGGTGGTGGATATGCAAAAGTTCATTGCTTTGAAAATGGAATCAAACTGCATGTGACCCTAAATTCCCGAGTACGGTTGAAGAGCAGGGACATGCGTGTTCTACTGCTGCTAGACAAATCACCACAGTTTAGTGTATTATAGCAGCACATGTTTATTATCTCATAGCTCTGTAGGTCAGAAGTCTGGGTTGGCTTGACTGGTTTCTCTGCTTCAGGTTTCACCAGGCTATAATCTGTGTTGACAGCATGGGTTATAGGGAGATTCACTCAAATTGTGGGCACAATCCAGTTTCTTGTAGTTGTAGGACTGAGGTATCCATTTCCTTGCTGGCTGTCACCTGGGAACTTCTATTAGCTTTGAGAGGCCTCTTTTTAGCTTTGTATCTGGGCAACTGTATCTCAGAGCCAGTGATTGCACATCAAATCCATCTCACACTTGAAAGCTCTTAGATTTCCTCTTCTGCTGCACGTCTGACTTTAGCTGGAAAAACTTCTCTGCTTTTAAGGGCTCAAGTGATTAGACTGGCCCCATCTGGTTAATCCAGGATAATCTCTGCACCTTGAGATCCACAACCTTAATTACAAAAAGTCCCTCTTGCCATGTAGAATAACATATGCACAGGACCCAGAGAATAGGGTATTGGACCTGTGGGGAAGGGGTGGCATTAATTGGCCTACTAGGAGGCTACTTGGGAAACCTGGATTTAAACTCTGCTTTAGCCAATTTTAGTCTTTCTATTTTCTTAGCTCCTTGAGCTTCTTTCTTCTTAGTCAAGAGAGCTGATAAAAAGAAGTTGTTCCTTGCAATTCTTTCTTCAAGTCTTTATTCATCTTCCTGTAGGAGTTGTGTTTTCCATTTATATTGGTGATGTATTCCTATGTTTCAAAAAGTTTATTCTCTATTTCTAAGAGGTAAACTATCTCCTAAATTGATTTTCTGCCAAGTTTCATGACATATTCTCTGTGTGTGTGTGTGTGTGTGTGTGTGTGTGTGTGTGTGTGTGTGTGACAGAATCTTGTTCTGTCACTCAGGCTGGAGTGCCATGGTGCCATCTCCGCTCACCGCAACCTCCACCTCCTGGGTTCAAGTGATTCTCTTGCCTCGGCCTTCTGAGTAGCTGGGATTACAGGCACACGCCACCACACCTGGCTAATTTTTGTATTTTTAGTCAAGACAGAGTTTCACCATGTTGGCCAGGCTGGTCTTGAACTCCTGACCTCAAGTGATCCGCCCGCCTTGACCTCCCGAAGTGCTGGGATTACAGGTGTGAGCCACTGAGCCCGGCCCACCTGAGGCATTTGAATCTCACCTTTAAGCTCTGAATTTTCAGACTACATGTTCAGTTTGGTGACTTTTTATTAGATCTGTAAGCTCTTCATTTTATTTTCTTCACATAATTTAAAAATAACCTTGTTTTTCTCCTTCAAGCCTGTTAGAGGAAACATTTATGTTAGCAGCATCAGTGAGTCTCTTCACACTGAGTCCTGGTTGATAGTCTATGTGGTTTCCATTTTCTGATTCACTGTCTTTGTCTCATTCCAAGTTGCTGTCATCCATGTACTCTCCTAAATAGAGCAGGCAAATTTATTGTTTTCAGCACAGTTTCCGGCAGAGATTTTAACTGGCTGTCTTTATTATTTACAACCAGTTTCATTCATGTGTTTTAAGTTTTTTAGCATTTTATTCTTGTTCTTTGATTCCTGAACTCTTTCTTTTCATCTCAGAGCTTCTTGGGAATGTCATTTTAGGCTTCCGCGAAGGTGAGCATTTTCATCCAAATCACCCATTATTGCTGTCTAAAGTTGTTCTACATTCTTCTGAGACGCCTTTAAGGTATTTGTGGTGTCAGTCACTTGGGATTGGAGTGATTTTGCTGTATCTTCCAGTGACTGTGTCTTTCCTTTAAGGTGCACCATCCTCATTTATGAAATAAAAGCTTATTAGTCTCGGTTTTCTATGTCGTGAAGGTCTACTGTCCCCTCAAGTGAAGAGATGGACTTACTCAGATTCTCATCAAGTGCTACCCAACACAGCGCTTGTAACATCAGAGGATTGGCGTTCACTGAGAATGACTTGAAGGCTTCTTAGTCTGGTGAAATCAAGTCTATGTTCTCCCTGACTTTACCATATTCTGTGACCCAGGCAGAAAATCGTTTGGCCAGCTCTTTTCCCCTCCTTAAAGTATGTTGGGTCTTTATTATAAAAACAGTCACAGTCCAGGCATGGTGGCATGTACCTATAGTCCCAACTACTTGGGAGGTTCAGTTGAGCCTGGAGGTTGAGGACACAGTCAGCAGAGGATAGCACTACTGCACTTGAGCCTGGGTGACAGAGTGAGACCCTGTCACAAACAAACAAAACAAACAAAAAACAGTCATAGCAGCAGATACTAGAATCTCTGGGAAGTCTAAAAAGAGTAGAGTGCTCTCTCTAGCATTCAGACACTAGCAGAGCACGGCACAGATACTCAGGACTGCTGATTTTTGAGGCAGTCAGCAAGCTCTCCACGGTTTTAATGAGTACTGCAGCTCTGCCCCTGGTTGCCTGTATTCTGTGAGCCACAGCCAACCACACTGAACCTTGCTGAGTGTTCTGTCTTTGACCCAAACATGTGACTAAGCAAAAGGCATCAGTGGGGCTGGGAGAGGGGGAGGCCAGGCTTTATAAAGTAGTGCTCTGTAACTTTGCTCTACCCACTGCACAAATGGAAAGAGATAATGTTTGTACAATGCATTAGGGAAAAATGGAAAAGGCCGGCCACAGCCAGAGGAACCAGCCTGTGAGCTCTGGCCACTCTAGGCCCTATTTGGCCCTACATTAAACCTGGGAGACATCAAAGCAGTGCTGTGTAATACCTGTTCTCTGCATAGCGCATGTCAGGGAGTGACAGTGGCACATGCTGCAGCGGAGGACCCATGTGCCTAAAGCCCTGGGCAAGGTCATTCTTCCCTTGATTTAAAGTTTTCTTCTGCAGCCTGGAACCCTGATCTTCCTGCAGAGGTCACAGGGCTCTCCTTCCCCTCAAGACTCCCTCTTTCTTTTGTATTTGGTCAGTGCCGGCAGGCAGGGGCAGAGGACTGGATGGCTTCATCAAAGGCACTAATTTATCAAGTGGGATTTTAATTTAAGAATTCAGGGGGAATGATGGAAATTGGCAATGCCTTAACATTTCATGGATTTTCGGTGGAGCTAGTTTGTCCCTGTTCAAAACAAGCAGTCCCACATGGGGAGGCTCCCCTCCAATAGTAACTCTTTCCGTTTGTCCATTTGTGGCCCTGCCATCTCCAGCAGGCTCCCAAAGCTGTCCCAGGATCAGTCTCCATTACACCTCACCATCTTCAGAAATGTGGCTCTGTGGAGTGCCTCCAAAGCAGGAGCCGGTCCTTCTTTCAGCTGAATTTGCCACCCCTTATTTCTTTATGCAATATCTCACTCTCCTTGATATGGCTTGGTTATGTCCTCACCCAAATCTCATCTTGAATTGTAGTTCCCATAATCCCCGGGGGAAGGATCCGGTGGGAGGTAGTTGAATGATGGGGGCAGTTCTGGTGATAGTGAGTGAGTTCTCACGAGATCTGATGGTTTTATAAGGGGCTTTTCCCCCTTTTGCTCAGCACTTCTTGTTGCTGCCGCCATGTGAAGAAGGATGTACTTGCTTCCCCTTCAGCCATGGTTGTAAGTTTCCTGAGGCCTCCCCAGCCATGCTGAACTGTGTGAGTCAATTAAACCTCTTTCCTTTATAAACTACTCAGTCCCAGTTATGTCTTTATTAGCAGCATGAGAATGGACTACTGCGCTCCAAGTGTCTCTGGAAGACTCAGGCCCAGAGATTCACTGTCCATCTCCAAGGACTCTGCATTGAGTGACTTGTCCTCAGTATTTTTACCCATGAGGGAAATGAAACACCTTCAATGGAGACTGGTCTGGGGTTCCGAAGGGCACCAGGGATTGGGCTGCAAGGGTTCTGCTTCCAGGAGTCCCTGTTTATCTCTCATTTTTGAGTCAGAAAAAGGCCCCTGGGTATCTGTGTGTAGGCTCTACCTTCTCAGGTTTCCCCGTGTCTCTGAAAACATGGCTGCCCATGAGAAGTATTTAAAGAAATGAACTTTACCTATTAACTTATTTAGCTCTCATATGAGACAAGGTGATGTAATCATAATGGCTCTTAATTTCAGAATGCAAGCATAAGACCATATATTTTACACACACACACACACACGCAGAATATATGTATATATGCACACACTCACACTTAAATGATGTGTGTGTGTGTGTGTACTTAGTAAGCACTGAATAAATGCTTACTAGCTAAATGATGAAGCTAGTCCTAACCTGTTTTTGAAGAATTGGCAATTATAGAGAAGATGCATGCAATTTAAAAAATTTTAATGGGGACATAGCTATAGAGATATCAATCTTTTGAGTTTTTTTTTTTTGAGAAATGGAAAGTGTTGGTTGCATAACTCCTTCCACCTGTAATGTGTCTTAACAATTTAATTTTTGGCTTGCAGCAAGTTTGGAAAAGTCCTAGTTATCATGGTTGTGTACTTTAATGTGCTTCCCTCTAGTGATTACTGGGGTAAGGGAAAGTGTTTTGCATGCAGTAGATGCTTAATAAGTATTTGCTGATTAAATAAATGAGTAATATTGGAATAGAGATCAGCAAGCAGTAGGTCATGATGGTTTTATTGTTTCATTCACTCATTCACTTATTTACTTCACACACAAAAAATTGATCTCCTGCTATACACCAGGCATGACTCTAGACACCGGAGGTACATCTGTGAACGAGACAAAATTTTCACCTTTAAGGATGATATTCTAAAAGAGATGGCAGAACATAAATCAACAGGAAAATATCCAGAGATGGTAAGCTATGATGGCACGTAAGCATGGCGAGATTTGAACAAGGGAGGAAAGGCCACTGGGCTGGAGTTGTTGAAAGTTACAGCCTAGGCCAGAAGCACAGTGCTGAAGCCTGAAGAGGGCAGAAAAAAATATCCCAACCACTTGCTTCTGCCCTCTGACCTCCTTCTGATACCTCCCGTTGGATGAATAAAATGTTCAGCCAAAGAGCCTGAGTCTGGATGATGTAGTCCCTAGGGGACGGAGCACAGAGCAGGGCAGAGAAAGACAGAATATGATCAGGGGCATGAGGCTGGGAAATAATTATGTCTAATGAACATTTGTTAAACAACAAAGGATTCTTTTGGCATACAGAATTTTCTTTGCTACTTATATGCAGAATTGTAATGAAATAAAGCATTTTTCAGTTTGGAACTCTGCAAAAAATGGAAACGTTTCATTAATATTGCAGAATAAAACTTGAGAGACAGATTACCACCATTTAGCTTCCTTCCCCCTCTTCCTTTCAGGAATACTCTTCTGCTAATGGGGATTAAGAACAGATGCGTGTATGTCCTCTTTTAGACTCTACATGTGTTCTCTTCTCCCCAAATCGTCATGTATTGGGAACCTGCTAGTATGGCTAGAGTGGCAGGAATTAAGTCACAGATGTATCATTTTCACTCAACATTCTTTTAGAAGAGGTTAGATCAAGAAGAATTAAGACGATTCCAGAAAGAGAAGAACAAGGAGACCCAGGGAGGGAGGGGTGAGGAGGGCAATTCTTAACATTAAATGGGTTTATTTGATGGCTGTTGGGAACCAGATTTGTGCAAACACTCAAGGCTGGCAGAATACATTTAATACATGCTCTTGACCTGTAAGGGCACTGAATTGAGAAAAGGCTACAAGAGTTGTCTGGGCTTGTTCTTCAGAAGAAAAAAGGCAAGGTATAATAGGGGAGCTGAGTACATGTCTTGTGACCCAGGAAAGGGAGAGAAGAGCATTGTTATGGTGTGATCAGGGCCAGAGCAGTGTGGCTGAGGGGAGGCAGTTTGACTGGGAAGCTCTTTGCTCCTTTGGTAACCAGGTATGAAGATGACTAGCCATTCATTGTGCAGAGACAATGCTATATGAAAACTTTACTTTTCCTCCTGGACATGAAGACCTTTTTCTTAGCTCCCTTTCATCTAAGTAGGCCAGATGGCTGTTCTGGCCAAAGAGATGTAGACAGAATTCAGCACAGTGCTGAAGCCTGGAGAGGGCATACATCATGTCTATACCTGGCCTAGCGAAAAAAGATCCTGCCTAGTTTCCCACTGTAATTGAGAGTGGAGACATCCCCAAGATTGTTGTGGGAGGCTGTACAAATCTGTAGGGAAGCTTGGAGTAATGTGGGAGTTTAAAGAAAATGCAAAGAAACTCTGAGGCATCTGGCTGGTCTGCTCAAAATTTGGACTGTGGCACCAGTTGTTTTGTGTTTGAGGCTATCTAGTCTATTTATATGATTACAGGGCTTGGAGAAGTTTAAGAAAAGCATTGCTGCCATTTAGAATTTCCTAGATTTGATGGCCTCAACTGAATGTTATTATTTAAGTACTACATTAGATCAAAGGTTGAGCATCTTATGTTGGTTACATTTTACTTGCTCATTTGGAGGGGTAAGGTAGAAGAGAAAGGCTATAAGGGATTGTCTACACAACAATGCGATTTTATTTCCTAAAACGTTTTGTTGCAAATGATGATGAACCTGTGACAAGCTGGCTGTGGTCAGGGTGGAAACAGGAAGAGAAACCACACTTAACCTACGACTTCTAAATAGTCGGGGCTGAGCTAGACCAGAGTTGGGCTTTTCTTTGAGTTACAAAGCAAGTCTCTACTGATGTTTTATACCTTTTTCTTTCACTAGTCTTCAAGCTGTTGAAACATTTTTTCAATTACTTGTCATTTGCTGTTGTTTTGTCTAGGTGAATCATCACGAAAACTAAGTAGAGAAAAAAACAAACACCCCAATCATCAGAGAAAGGATATTTCAAAACTGTCCATATTTAGTCATTGACTAAGGTCTTATTGAATGCAGCTTTATTGATAGTGATGAGATTACAAAATAACACTACATACATTTTAGTTTGTTGTTCCTTATATAGTACCAGAATGTTTTAAGCAAAGAAAGAAATTTTTTTGCCAAAATTTGCTGAATAAATAAAAAGTTTTTAAAGAATATCCAGGACAAATAATTTATTTCAAATTCCCTGAGAGGGCAAATTAAATGGTCTTTACCCAGTGAATGTGCTGGAGGGTAAATCTTTAATATTTTAGATTGTTTAATTCTTATAATTACGAATAAAGGACTGTTTGGAAAATTATTCTGTAGGTTTTTTGGCATGAAAAGAAATACTGAAAAGTATTTCCTTTTAATGCTGCCTTGTGCTGGAGAACATATTCATCAGCGGCTGGAATAGGGATGTAGTTCATTCAGAGATTACATAAATTCATTTGGTTGTAACTAAGGGAAAAAAATTAATGAGGTGATTTTAGTTTATTTCGTCTCGTAACTTGGATGAGTTCTGAAGACACTTGGCCAGGATAACCAGCAAAAAAATAAAATTAAAAAATTGACCTTTTAGAACGTACATATTTCCAGGTAAACCTCTATTTACATGTGTATTTGTAAAATACACTTACTACAACTGCTGCTTTACCTTAAATCATAGAACCATTCAGTACTCACTTCCTCATGACATCAATTATACCTCCTCACTCATAACACTTCACTACCATCTAATCATGTTTTAAAATTATACGAATCTGTACCATCACTGACCTTCTATTCAAAACCATTCTTACAACATAGGAAGTAAAAATAAAATTCATTCAATGCACTGAAAGCAACTAATGCATCAGGGATGACAACTTGGCACCAAGAACCTAACTAAAAATGGACAAAGTATGTTAAAGTTTGGCTTCCTGGAGACTTTCTCATCAGGTCTCTGGCCCATTTAGAAAAAGAGAGCTTGAATTTTATTATTTCAGTTGCTGGGTAACATGCAATTTCCCTGATATATTGAACTGATGCTTTTATTTGATCACAGGACTCAGCCGTTACAAAAATAACAAGTCATTTTCTTTAATAAAAAATAAAAGGAAGTATATGGTTGGGTCCTAAGACTCTGGAGTAATTGAATGTAAGCTTAAAACATACTAAATATTTTCCACTTGGGAAATCTGGAGAAACTAGGTTTCTAGGAGCAACTGCTTCAATAGTTGGTGTAAAGAATATGTTTCACTTACACATGAAAGTGGACACATATTATTTTGATTCTGCATACTTTTATGTCTTTCAATTGGCAATGCAAGATGTTCCAGGATATGAAACTTTCACCGACCCTTACATTCCATACTCCTCGCCAATGTGTTATGTCAGAAATTCTGACATTCCAAATTCATATTGGTCTTTATTTTCCTAACTGTTGAAGCAGAAGATAGAACAGCAATGCACCCAAGAGTCTGGTAAGCTCAAATATGTGGATTTTCTGAGTCTTCAGATAAACAATGTAGAAAATAAATTAAATGGTAATTTTAAATGATTTATCCAGCACTAACATGTCTCCAGTTTCATCTCTAGAAAGCCACTGCCAAGTTTTTGCACAACCTAATTTATCAAGCTTTGATAGATGAAAAATCCTCTAGTTTCAGTATCTCTTCTCATTATTCCATCATGTAATGTTGCAATTGATTGATTCTCATTTCATTTCAAGCCCTAGGTCCTCCTCTTCATACAATACTTCTAAGATGTCAATGGGAACACATCTATTGGTGTGCATCAAGGAATTACATCTATTCACTCACTTATGATCTGTAACCCACAATAAAACACCCTTTTCTCCAAAAATTAACCATATACTATAGGCTTCTCAGTTGTATGAGTGTGTGCGTATACACACATATACATACACCAAGGTAATATACCATATCCACATATACCAAGGTAAAAGATTCTTTGTGTGGGATAAGGAAACAGCCCAGCGCTTTTACATTAATAATATCTTGTTCTTAATTTACAGCGTTTGTAGCCCTTACCTGAGTGTTATCATTAAATATCCAGAGATTGAACTTTTCATCGGGGTAATGATATAAAATTGTTCCACAAAGTGTACTATATGAACCACTTTTCACAGTTCAAATAACATATTTTAGAAATAAATATCATAACTAGCAATAACCTATCTACACAAGGTGGAGAGGATGAGATTAACAAAAACCAAATTATATTTCCATATATCTCATGTTCAATTCCTAAATAGCTTGTTTTATTTTTCAAAATCCAATTGCACATAACCCATAATTGATAGGCCACTTCCTCTCCAAAACAAATAAACTGTCAAAGAATAAAGTGATAAATTATAAAAAAGGAAAATATGTATCATTTACTACAGTCATTCCCTTTCCCCAAAACTTGGCAAACATATAGGAAAAGTGCTATCAAGTGGGTACACTTTGATTATAAATCCAAAGCTCATTTGGAGCAGATGAGATTAATAAAAATAGGACAGAATGAGTATATATTTTTATATACGTGAGATGAGTGCTTGATTTTTACTTAAGAAATCAGGAGGATCCATATTAAATGGGAAACAATGGCATTTATCAACAGGAGAACCCATTCATCCAGTTACTACCAAATCTACAAATTCCAAATGTTTCTATCATTCTTATCATATAAAAGATTGGGGCAAATAAAATTATTGTTATTGGTTGTGTAAACTTCAAGCTCTCTAAGCTTAAGGCTAATGGTCCTTAGGGACATAGTTTTATTTGGTGATCTTCGCGGGGTGTACATTAGGGCCAAGGTTGCCTTTAACCAGGTTGGTGTAGTTTTTAGGGTGAGGGTAAGGCTCCCAGGGTATGTGAAATTCTTCTTTAATAGAGGACAAGGGATAAAATGCAAATCCTTCTAGTTGAAACAACCAAATGACTTAAATTTATGCTATAAATTAAATGATTCATATCAATTACTTCATTGAGAGCATGATTTTATGGTAGAAAATAAACTGGGGCCTGAGGCATGGAGGAAGAGGAATGTCCGCTAACACAAAGGTTATCAAATTTAGGGTCCCTGGGTGGAATCCCTATTCCTTTTCGGTCAGATCTTGTTTTAAGCTTTATTACGTTGTCATGGGATATCTTTCAAAATCCTTTACTCAATCACATATGGGGGGAAAATTGCGTTGAAATACAGAATTAAATCTTAAGTCTTTATGGAGATCGACAATTTCCATTTTTAAATAAATAAAATCTATATGAATATCTTCAACTTCCTAAAGAAAAAAGAGAGAGAGGAAAATAAACTTTTGAACATGAAATCACTTACATAAACCTCAAGTGTACTAACGTGTAGAGGAAAAAATCTCAAATGTGGGTGTAACCGCTATACATTTAGGAAACATGCCGCCTTGGGAGAGTGCCTATAACGAATTCCGTCTGCCACCCAGTGGCCGCTGAAATAAATTGTTTCTTTTGTTGGCCATTGCCCTGTATTTTGCTAAAAAAAAAAAAAAAAAAAAGAGGTAGATTATGCCATACCAGGAATTTAAAGCCATCAGGACATGTGCCTCGACATATTTTACAATACAATCAGTGTAGTAAATGTTAAATATTTTCCTTTTCGCGAACTCAGAGGTTAACCACGTGGCTCTACGAATAAATAACGTGTTCTTCCTGCGTCCCTGCATCTACCTGGGCTCAGATACTGACTGGCACAGAAGATACCGAACTGGCCCGGGATTCCCGAGTCACGTTGTTGGGCATCGAGAGGGTGCAGCAGGACACGCCGACAGTGGCCTCGGGTAGCTCGTCGTCCTCCGTCCACTCGTTGAGCTCGGGGCTGAAGCACTGGATGCACTTCTTGTACTTCTTCTCGCCCTCGTTCCAGCCCCCCACCAGGTAGGCGCGGCCATGCAGCGCCGAGACGCCCGCAGTGCTCACTCCCACCTGCAGCGGCGCCGCGTAGCTCCACTGGCCGGTCGCGGGGCTGTAGCACTCCACGGTGAGCACGTCCACGCGCTCCCCGCGCGGCCCCAGCTGGCTGCCGCCCATCACGTACACTCTGTCGCTCAGCGTGACCGCGCAGTGCCAGCCCCGGGGTGTGCTGAGGTTCGGCAGCTCCTGCCACGAGTCGCTGGCCGGGTCGTAGGCGCACACAGAGCGCGAGTAGGCGTTGGCTATGTAGCCTCCGGTCACCAGCACGCGGCCGTCGGCGACCGCGCTAGCGTGGCAGCAGCGCGCCACCTCCAGGGGCGTCTTCGGCTGCCACTGATTGGTGGAGGGCACGTAGCACTCCAGCGAGGCCAGGCTTCCTTCTGCGTTGCGGCCGCCCGCGGCGTACACGAGCCCGTTGAACACGCTCAGGCTGAAGTGCGTGCGCTTCTGGTTCATGCTGGCCAGGTGTATCCAGGTGTTGAAGCGGGGATCGTATCTGGAAATGATAGAGAAGGTGTAACAGCTTTGTCGGCGGCAGCTGGGGACCCCATGTTACTTTGCAAATCATGAGTGGGAAGCCTGACACTACCCCTGCAAGGAGGCGAGGGACCTGGCCCAGCACCTCACCTGGAGGCTGGAGTTTCTCTCTCAGCCAGTAAAAATGTGTGACACTTGGAAAAGACAAAGCAGGCATTGACCACCCCTCGCCCCCGTTTATAAGCCTCTCCTCCGTTTATAAGCACTCCCTTTATGGGGCCACTTGGAGAAGAGCCCACAGAGACTGAGCTTTCAGTCCCCCTTTCCTCCATATTCAAATATCTATCATCCAGTGGGATTTACGAGATGTGCACATGGGGGAGGCTGGGCATTTGTGACGATCAGAGGAGTGGCGATCAGAGAAGGGCATCGCCATATTAAAGTCAATTCTGCATATCCTCAGATGCCAACCATTCCTAGCTCCCTGTCACAGTTTAAGATACGAATTGACTGACTGGATTTCTCCATTTCTCACAAACCCCTTAATCCTACACCTCTCTTGGCCATTGCGACAGTAAAGCCAAGCCACTCAGCAAAGTCTTCTCTTGTCTGTTAGACTGAGACCAATAGAACTGTCTAAAAGCATCAACAAAGGCTTAACTTTGGATACTCTTCTATTTTCCAGCACTTGTCAGTAGAGAAGACTTTTTAGTTTAGGGATAAATATATATTTTTTTCAGTGCTCGGAACTATCCATGTATAAGCACTGCAATCAATACCTCACAAAGCGACTCGAGTACTAAAAGGTGTCTTTACAGCAGGAGGAAAATAAGCATAGTGAACTGATGCTTTCCTGTTGACATAGTTCAGAAGTATTGTAAATACAGAACTCACTCCTTCAGTCTGATGTTCATCTTTGTCCCATTTAACTCCCAAATTAAACTCAACTATAGTTACAAATTAAACACTAAAAATCAGTTAATTGTGTTCTTTAAAATGCATACACACATAATGGAATAATAAAGTATATTTTTCATGAAATACTACACAAATTTTCAGATCTTGCTCATTAGTTATGTTTGACTTTGTACTACTACCATGATATAAGCATGATTTTCTGAACATTTCATATGAATGGAAGTTTAATTTTTAATCATAAATATATAAAATAATATGGCATTTGAATTCCATTTTTCTGAAGGATGTGTTTTACTCTTTTACTCTTTTCTGTATGTATCAAAAATACTGACACATTTTCTGTTATTCGGTTTTCAAATAAGTATTTCAAATTAATTAGCTGCCACATTTTTAATGATCTCATTCTATTTGCCAATTATGAATTTGACAGTTGTCAGTAGCAGTCACTTAAAATACATTTTGTATTATTCTATTCTTTCTTACTACTTAGTGTTAAAAACTGAATTTGTATCTAATTTCTATCAAAAGTCAGTGTATTGTGAAGAGTACCCAACTAGAAGTGAGTAAATGTGAATTGCCGCTTACTGGTGTTATAACTTCTCTAGGTATCAGGTTTCTCATATGTAAAATCAGAATAATTATATCTTCCCCGCCCACCTCACAGGCTTGTTTCAGAAATCTATAGTGCAAAATATAAATGAATGTACTTTATATAATATAAAGTGCTGAACATACGTAAGGTGGCATTATTATTATTTTTGATTTACTAAGCCAATGGACTAAGTTAATAAGCAAGATTAATTTACTTCTATGTTAGGGCTATTTCCCTATAATATTGAGCCATTTCAGTTCCTAATAAAAGATCAAGTACCTGCAGAAATTGCTGACTGCATGCTTGGCTTGATTTCTTGCATCATTCTGGTCTTCACCACCGGCTACATAAAGAAATCCATCCATCACAGCCACACACTGATTAAAACTTTTGGCTGGCATTTCCGTAAGCTTGCTCCATCCATTTTCAGGGTCTCTATACAAGATGTCTCTGCTAAGGGACTTCTCAGTAAGGCCTGGGCGTCCCCCAACAGTGACGAGGACTCGGCAGCCACCTCGGATTCTTGTTCGCCTAGATTGCAATGTGTTTTGATGATATGGAAGCAAGTGGTAGTTCATAGCATCTACGAGAAGTCTGTGACAATCAGCATCTTGCATCATTCTTGGTACGGATTGAACATAATTGACCAGGTCTTGTGCAGAGATGGTACCAAAGCGAATATTGCTCAAAAGATCTGCAGCGTATTTTACTCTCTTTTGGTCAAATTCTAACCATTTCATTGCAATCTGGAATGCTACTATCTCAGAAGGCAACTGTAAGTCATCATCTATAAGAAGTTCATTAATTTGTTCAAATGTAAGTTTCATAAACTGATCCGATTCTGCAAATTCAAGGAAGTTATCCCGAATAAATTTCTGGGCTGCTGCTTTTGCATTTTTTAGGGAGTATGTTTCAGCAATATTAACAACATACATGCAATTCTCAACACTCATCTCCCGTATCAGAAAATCACTGCACATCTTTACAAGAGTATGGATCTGAAGATAAACAGCAGCAGAAATAATGCTTCCTATTGTATACAAGGAGAGAGTGAGCTTTCCAGTGTAGGCATATGCAATGACAGTGGCCAGGCCTAGTGGTGAGATATCATTGAGATCCACCCTCTGAATTGACGGGTCTTTTTTTAGGATGTTGTAAAAATACTCACTGCATGAAGCCATGACTGACTTATGAACATCAAAGGATTTGGTTTTGGTACCAATGACTAAGTCACATAGGAAGTTCTCCTGCCGCATTTTACTTAAACCTTCCAAGAGGTTGGGGCCATAAGAAGCATCTGTTAGTTCAGAAGAAATGCAGCTAAGGCCATTGCCTCCCTCTAGGAGCCCATTCAAAGCATTCAGTTTGTTTAGGGGGCTATCTTCTACGATTATAGTCATCTCATTGATATCTCCTTTGTTCTTTTTGACAATCTTCTTTTTGGGTGCCATGTTGGCAAATACACTGTTACAGGCAAGAGCTTGCTAAAAAGAGAAAAAAAAAAACATGGTTTTGTTTTAATTGTGCTTTAGACTTTGAAATACTACATTGAGAAACTTTTTCAAAAGATAATAGTTTTCATGGCATAAAATAGATTAATTTTTAAAATAGATTTAAAGACATATTAAACTAGATGTACATTTTACAGACAGTTTACTTCAGCATGAAGCATTGAAGACAATTCTAGGAAGATTTATGTTATCAAATGAAATCTCTCCATAACTGTATTGCCAAGTAATTATATAGAAAAAGTGACCACATTTTCTTTCTTTCTTTTTTCTTTTTTTCTTTTTTTTTTTTTTTGAGACAGAGCCTCTATCTGTCGCTCAGGCTGGAGTGCAGTGGCATGATCTCAGCTCACTGCAACCTCTGCCTCCCGGGTTCAAGCTATTCTTCTGCCTCAGCCTCCCAAGTAGCTGGGACTACAGGTGTGCACCACCATGCCCAGGTAATTTTTGTATTTTTGGTAGAGATGGGTTTTTACCATGTTGGCCAGACTGGTCTCGAACTCCTGGCCTCAAGTGATCTGCCCACCTCAGCCTCCCAAAGTGTTGGGATTACAGATGTGAGCCACTATACCCAACCAACATTTTCTGATTGAGCTATATAGTAGAATAGTAGTTAAATATCATTTAAAGGGCTTAGTTTACTGTCATGAAAAAGTGAATTATAAACACTCTGAAGATTTTCCTCAGTAAAATACTAAAATTCAGGAATACATGTGAAATGTAGAAAATATTATGGAAAGATTATTTTATTTGCAGTAGCAATGAAACCTGTTATATTTTAAGAGATATATATACTTGACTCTAATTTAGTGAGACACATATAAGTACTATAGGATTTTGCCAGAGGATTTAACAGACAGGGACTCTACATTCCTGTATGAAGAGATGGATGTCATTTCAGTGAAATTTTAGTTGCTACCTCTATAAGATATTTTTTCTTTTTGGAACTTAATAAAATGATTTCAGAGTTTAACTGAGGGAGTGAGTATAAAAGAACATCTAGGAATTTTGTTTAAAAATAAAGGAATTCTTACCAGATGCAAAAAATTAGAGGAACTAAAAATTTTGGATCAGGAATAAAAAGAAATTCAGTGGAATAAGATAAGAGGTAGAAACCTATAAATTCAGAAGAACAAAATAAAGGGTAGAAACCCATATATGTATATGTGTGTATGTGTGTGTAGATATATACAGTATATATGTGTGTGCATATTTATATATTTATATAGTGTATGTGTGTGTAAGTATATATATTAAGATAAATGTGGCACTTAAAAATCAATGAGAAAGAACTTGTAATGGCAGCATTAGGTCAACTGATTTGCTACTCTATATATTCACTAAAATAACTTCCAGATGAATTAAATATCTAAGTAACATACACACATACACAAACTTATATAAGACCAGAACAAGCTAGGGATCTTGTTTTTGTTTTTGTTTTTATAACTTAGGTTAGGGAAGGCCCTTCTCAGCTGACACAAAATCCAGAAGCTATAAAAGAAAAGACTGAAATATCAGAATATAGAAAAATAAAAGCCATGAAACAAAACTGACTCCTTAAAAGGCAAGCAACAGACTGGGAAAACAAGTATTTTTAACTTTTTTTTTTTTTTTTTTTGAGATCGGGTCTCATTCTATCACCCAGGCTAGAGTGTAGTGGTGTGATTTTGGTTCACTGCAGCCTTGACTTCCAGGACTCAAGCAGTCCTCCCACCTCAGCCTCCTGAATAGCTGGGGCTACAGGTGCATGACACTATCTATGCCTGTCTACCTTTTTTGTATTTTTTGAAAAGAATGGGTTTCACCATGTTGCCCAGGCTGGTCTCAAACTCCTGGGCTCAAGCAATCCACCTGTCTTGGCCTCCCAAAGTGCTAGGATTACAGGCATGAGCCACCTTGCCCAGCCTAATCTGATGATTTCTTTGGTGCAAATACTCTCATCATGACTGATTTCAAGCTATCAACTGCTTAACAATTAGTTTACCAAATTTCTGAAAATTCATCAATCAGCTCTTGTGAGCCAGTGCAAGCCAGCTCCAACATAACACTATAGAAAACTTATATCAAACAGGTTTATGCTAATTATTCAACAATTTTCTCTTTTCACTAGTAGTAATTCATGTACACCTTTCTATAGCAGTACATGTATAAATCCACCTCATTCCTTATAATCGGTGCATAGTAATGCATAGTAAGGGTATATCATACATTGTTCAACTATTATCCTGTTGATAAGCATTTATGTATTTAGGTGGTTTACAATTTTTTGTTTTTGTTTTGTGTGTGTGTGTGTGTGTGTGTGTGTGTGTGTGTGTGTGTGTGTTTTAAATCCCATTGTAATTTCATCCTGAGGGGTAAAACTCAGCTTTGGCTCTCCTTGAAGGGTTTTCAATTTGATGGGTGGTGTATGTGTTAAAGTAATTTTGTAGCCCTTCTATTGTATTTGCTCCTGTTCCTATCCATGCAGAAGAAGAGTAGCAGGTAGGCAGAAAATAGAGATGGTCTAATTCTTTTCCAGTGCTTTTGTTTTCCTCTTTAAGCTCCAATTATCATATTCACATTTATATTTTTTACAAGGCTGTAGCACATACATCCTTCTTCTCATTCTTTTTTTGCAAACAATGCAAAATGCATCCTTACCTTGTGAAAATAGATTATGAACCCTCTATCATTTTAATGCTCAAATGCATTAGCTTATGTGTTGAGTGTCTCTTTGTTGGATTTTCTGGGAGAAACTTTTGAATATTTGTCAGCAAGCAGTTATCAGATATCCATCTTGGTGTGGGCAGCCCAGTGCTGGGAATGATGGAGCAGTACAAGATGTAATTTATATTAGAGACACAAGACATGGCAAATGCAAAATATCAATAAGGAGCTAGGTTAGCACAGCAGAGAAAATTTTGGGGGGAAAGTCCTGTCTGTGTTCCTGGAAGAACTCCTGTGGCCATTTTTTTTTATTCATGTAGATACAGGGCTTGCAAATGCTTATTGTTTTAGAGGAAATCCTGAGCCTGGGGAGTAATCTGAGTGCCTCAGACTGAAATTCTAAATACTCTGTTATCCATCATTAAGATGTTGTTTCATAAGTAGCATGTAAGGGTGATATTTAAAATATTAATTTCTGATAAAACAGGATATCTACTAACCAGAATGGATTCAGGCCACAGTGCTGGACCTGGGTCCCAGCAGTCCCCCTAAGGTACACTGTGTAATTCTTCAGTTACTAGATAATAGACCGAGGAGAGGGTGGAAGGGTGGGAGGGACTCAGAGAAGTTCAGGGCAGTAGCTATTTGACTATTTCAATTTGTTTGATATACATATAATATTTAGAGAGGGATCTTAGTATTTCAGCATACTTTGTGATCCGAATAGAATTAAATTAGAAATTAATAACAATAAGCTATCTAGGAAAGCCATTTAATTTTCAATACTTGAAAATTAAACAGTTTCCTTTTCAATTATCCATGAGTCAAAAAAGAAATCACAGGAGAAATTTTTATAATATTTCAAATAGGATGACAATGAAAATATAACATAAATACCAATTTTACTACTTATCTACCGTGTGACTTTTGGTAGATTACCTAGCCTCTTACAGTCTCCATCAACTTATTTCTTAAGAGAAGATAATAATAGTGCCTGCCTCTAGGTTTGTCAGTGAAGTCTAATGAGGAGCCTGTAACAGCATTTTGCAGAGCACCTGACAAAAAGTGAATATTCAAAAAAATTTGAACCATTTTCATGACAAGCAATAGCCTTTGTTAGTTGTCTTTGGGAATAGAGAAAGGAGCCTGTTTAAGCTTTAGAATGAAGTGAATCAGAGAAAGCCACCACATCATGGACAAACAGTCATGAGGTGCAGGAGGCAATATGGGACAGTCACATAGTGACTCAGAAAAGAAGTGGCAAACAGCAACAAAGGGAAGATTTCTGGAATGTGTAAATATTTCTATGAGATTTTTAAAAAACACCAGGGAGAGAAAAGAAATACATACAAATACACAGCCTGAGAAACAGATTATTTTTATTTTGATAGGTAGGGCTAACCCCGAAAGTTCAGAAAACTTGGGGCATTTGGTTATAGGTTAGGTGAGCAAAACAAGAGTACATGGAACAGATTGTGTGTCTGGATTTAAGGATTCAAATAAAAAGGACTATTGTGGTGGGGTGGTGTTAGAATGGGAGGTTTTGCAGATAACATGAATCTTGTTGGGTCTTGGTAACTGAAGGGTCTTAAATAGCAGCATGTATAGGAGGGAGAAGGTTATTAGAAGTAGAGGAAATGTTTCAAGTTGAAGCAAGGAGGTGTGACTCAGCCTGTCACATGCATTCAGAGATGGCTGAGGTCATGAGGGAGACAGTTGGGCAGGTAATATTCGGTCAATACATACAGGAGGTTGGATGCCAGGAAGGCTTGAACCTGATAAATTCATATGCAGTCTAGAAGGACTAAGAAATCTCCAGGAAGAGAGAGTGCAACTTGAGGCTAGATGAAATAGTGAAATCAGTAAAAGCTCTCTCTCTCCATTTTCTTTCTCTTACTTCCTATTGATGGCTTCTCTTTCCTCCATTGCCTGACCTTCATGCTGCTCCTGGTGTTCCCACTGTTGACTCAGCCCTGGCCTGTTCCACCCATGGGAACTTCCATGCCCTTCTTTTTCTTTATAGTCTCTTGCGCTTGTCCTATTTCTGTAAGACCCCTCTGGGTGATACATTAGCTAGTCTGACAAATGAATCCGAGCTAACCAGTTAATGGGCAGATCTACTCTTTTTCCCGGATATGCATGGTTTCTGTTTTGTAAATAAGTGTCCTTCTATAATTCACATACAAATTTCTATCAGAGTAGCCTTTGTAGAATACATATATTTATATATATGTATATATATACTGACTTGCTGAATATACCATGTGCATTTCAGAAGAATTTGTATTCTGCAGTTGTTGGGTGTAATGTTCTATAAATATCAATTAAATCAGGGCAATTGATAATGTTGTTCAGGTAATCTATAACATTACTGAAAACTTATAGATAGATACACATGTGCAAACACTTATGTATTTATATATTTTTTTAATGAAAAGAAGGCTTTTAAAGCCTGTGAAATCACTCTTTAGAGGTAACTGGCTTATTTAGCTCTCTCCAAAATGAGGAGAAGGAGAGGAACAGGCAGGAGACCATTTAAGAAACTTGAAGTCAGGCTGGGTGCCATGGCTCACTCCTGTAATCCCAGCACTTTGGGAGGCCGAGGCGGGTGGATCACTTGAGGCCAGGAGTTCAAGACCAGCCTGGCCAACATGGCGAAACCCTGTCTCTACCAAAAATACAAAAATTAGCTGGATGTGGTGGCATGCACCTGTAATCCCAGCTACTCAGGAGGCTGAGGCAGGAGAATCACTTGAACCCGGGAGACAACAGAGGTTGCAGTGAGCTGATATTGCACCACTGCCCTCCAGCCTGGGCAACAAAGCGAGACTCTGTCTCAAGAAAAGAAAAGAAACCGTTGAAATCAAAGCCTGCAAACAACTTTCTTGTGGCCGAATTTTCCTATGTAAACTCATAAATTCAGTCTTTCTTTAGAGCTACCATGATATCTCATTGCCGGGTCTGCAACTCATAGGTAAGGCTGTCCATCTACCCACCCAAGTGTTCTCAGTCTGTGCCATGTTCCTCCAATAAGGACACTGCTGCAGATCCTTCAGAGGAACCTGGGGATCAGGATCATTGCTTTGAAGCTGAACAAAGCTCTGATGTTGACTTCAGGGCTGCAGAGTTGTTCATTTGTTCCTATGTCCTAATAAATGCTCTGCCTGTGGCACTGCTCCTGCATCACCGAAAGCCACTGCTTTTCTCAACTTAAGGAGAACCGTAGTCTAGTAAGAATCAATAAGCCACATCTTATGCTCCAGGCCCTGTTACAGAAAAGACTAGCTCCCTCTTTATGGGGGATCAGAACCCAGAGGCTATGTTGTCATGGGGCATACAGGAAAGGCTTCAACAAACTCTCCCGGCCTCTCACATTGGAGCCTTTCTGGGTACAGACACAAGGTACATCACACTGGGTGCAAACAAACACACACCCACCCAGACACACAGCATGCCACTTGACCAACCATGAGTTTTCCACAATCATGTTTAAGTTAAGAGCAAGGGCAATCTTTAAGGAAAGAAGTCATAAAAGGCCAGCAAAGTAATATATATGTACAGGAAAGGAAAGTGGAACAATTTAATTCACTTCAATTTACTAATTTGGTCATAGTGCTGGGCTTCAAGGCTGATGGTATGGGCTAATAGAAGATGGCTGGAAAATCTGAGTATTTTTAAAACCATATTATCCAGTAACCAGGTCACATATTAACATGTAGTCAGAGCAATTCATACAGGAACTCTCACTGTTTTATTCTACGATGATACAAATGTTCACTGTGCACTTCTAGGTCATCATCAATGATAGTCACAGTGACAGTCAAAATGTGGCTGTGAGGAAGAGGTGTTACGAAAATGAGTTACATGTGTGTGTTCATATATAGAGTATAACCTACATGCTGAGCAATACATTTTGAAAACATTCCATTCTTTTTGATTCAATTGATATTTTAACTTTGCAAAGTTGGATGAGGGTTTTACTTACTCTCTCTTTTTTTTTAAAGCTCTCTCTCTCTTTTTTCTTTTTAACGGAGTGAAGGTCTTATTGTCAGCTGCTCAGGGCATCCCCAAGCTTGGTAGCCAGGGTCCAAGCTCAGTAGCCAGGGCCATCAGCCAGGATATGATTAGTATACCCTAGGGAGGGCTTTGACTCAGGTTATGGTCTGCATGGCCAGGCATGCATCTTTGTTAAGCTGCCAGTGGCTAGGAGAGTGTGAAGGCCATTTCTCCATTTTTCCTAAATGACAGCAGGCTTGGTTCTCCCTGGCTGCCTAAGGGGGGCTCTAATATGTTACCTTTTGGGATCAAAGGAAGGAAGAACTTTACAAGCTTCCGCCAGGACTGTTGGTGGCTTGCACTTTTCACACTGTTCCTGCCAGTAGGAATTCTGGAAGGAGGAGCAGGTTTAGCCAGAGCAGCTGAGGTTGTGTAATGGGATGAACAGCTATTTGGAAGCACTGCCAGTCCCTTCCCTTTTTGGGTCAAAGAAAAGACTTTGCACAGGATGCAGAGGGTTGTAGAAGGGTCCCTATGCTACTGGAGCTATCCTTTCTTTCTGTGGAGGAAGCCCAGAGCATTCACCTTCCCTGGCTATGGACTCCACAGCCTCCTCTCCCTCTGCTGTATCTGCTATCACGTAGAGCAACCTCTTGACTACCCTGGAAGAGCTGCCCATTAGAAACTGGGCAGAAGGGTAACAGAGATGCAATTGCACACTCCCCTCCCCATGCCTACTGCAGATCCTGGCTCTTGGGCCATTTCTAGTGCCATGTATTCAACACCTGATAAGCAGCTGGGCAGAATTACGTAAATCATTACATTTTTCCTCATCTTTTGTATTTGCCAAATTTAAGTATATTAATTCTTAAATATACATCACCAAGCAGGAAACTGTTTTATGTATTTAATGTGAATGGATAGCTCCATTTTCACCTAAAAAACAGCTATATAGCTAGCATTTATTGATCGAGGGTGTACTATGTGCTGGGCCCTGGGTTAAGCACTTTACATCATTTTAGTTTTTAAATTTAAATATTACAGATATCCTAAAAGGTAGGTTATATTATGTTCATTTTACAAATGAAGAAATTAAGAATCAGAAAGAGTAAAAAAAACTTGTCCAATATCACATAAGTAAGTGTGCAGTGTGTGCTGGGGCAAAATTCAAACCCATGGAAACCCTGGGCCCCTATATTGTCTTCTTTAAATCCAGGGTAGGGTAAAAACTGTAGTAGGTTAAAAGTTAGCTTTTTCTAACATGGGAAGATAGAGACAGTGCAAGGTATAGCTGGTGTTTATAAATTTAAAATTTTGATATGGAGAACATGAAATGGTTCGTTCTGGTTCCAAATACTAGAATAAAAGAGTTACCTTTTTGAATGTAAAATAAATTTGTTTGGGGACACATCGATCCTGTGGATTTCTTTATCCTATTAAGGGTAGTAAGAATGTGAAAATCCAATAGGTTAGGTAAGCCAAATAAATAGGGACAAGGAGGGCTTGCATGAATCTGTTTATCAGATAATCAAGCACTTCCTTTAGAAGTATTAGATTGAATATGAAATTATCATTTTTTGTTTAAAAGCAAATACTTTCAATCTCATATGGTTCAACTTAGCTAGAGGCTGTGCCTAACTTTTATCTATAAAGTATACAGACTCTATGCACTAAGTTAACTACAATTCTATTCTCTAAGGCTGTATATAGGACACAAGGACACAGTACAAAGTTTTTGTTTGGGTTTTGTTGAAAACTTTAGTAAACTGGCTCTTTTTCTTTCCTAGTATTTTGTGTGTTGGAGGGAGAGGAGGTTAGAAATTGAGTTTTAAGACTGATGCCTTTTTGATTATCATAGAACTGAAAATTGGGTTTCGGTGTTCATTCTGCTCTAACCACTTGATAGACCTATAGCAGAACGTCCAACCTATCAGGATTTCAGTATAATCAACTGTCAAACAAGGAGATGCATTACTTTTGCTTCTATAATTTTGCAGACAGTTATGAATACACAGCTGACTTTTGCTGTCAGAATTGTCAAAATCTGTTCCTACATTAAATCTCCCTGTAATATGGCCTTCCATATCTTTAGAATCTACTCATTATCAGATAGGGATGAACGAACTGAGACAAGGTTTCTTTACATGGGATCTATATGTCTGGGTCTGAACAGCTAGATTTAGCAAATAAAAATACAAGATGTCAAGTTGCATTTGCATTTCAGATAAACTATGAATCATACTTTAGTATAAGTATGTCCCAGGCAGTGTTGAGGACATACTTATGCTAAAAGTTGATTTGTAGCTTACCTGAAATTCAAATGTAGCTGGATGACCTGACTTGTATCTGGCATTCCTGATCAGGGCTGGGTATCAGGTGAGTCCATGAGTCCTGCGGAATAGTCTGAAACATACTGTGTGCATATGTTTATGTGTACTTTCCACACACTGGGCTCAGCGTTTTCATGAGATCCATAACCCGAAATAGATCCAAAATGACTGGACTGAGAATAATGCTGCCAAGCAATGGTACATAATTGGACCCTTGTCTGTAAGTGGGCAAGTCCATGTGAAAGTATTGCACTTAAATTCTTCCTGGCCCCAGCTGATCCCAGATGAAGACCCCCAGAACTGGTTATAGAAAAGAGTTGTTACTTCATATTTGAGAACATTTTCCTTCCCACTGCCCTGCACCCATGCTTCCTGGGAGTCCACAACAGGGTAAACTGGAAAGCCATGTGTGCTAAAGTGTCACTGTCACTCTCATGCCAGTATGAACTGGGATCCCAGAATGTCTTTTTGCCAAAGGGGCGAATCAGCTGCGCCTGCTCCCTGTCCTGGCCACATTCCTATCGCTGCATCTGTCGGGGCTCATCAGCCCTACCTCCAGGAATAGAAACCCTCCTGGCTTCTGTGGCTTGCCATTTTAAGTCCAACCTCGGGGTGGGGTGTAGGGGGGTGGTTTCCACTTCACCATTACACTTCCAACATGATTTTTAATATAAAATATATGTCAGCATAATGATATGTGCACATTTAAGACAAAAACCTATTTTTTAGCCAAATAACAAATTTTTTTTTTTTTTTAGGAAGGATATTTCCATTTCATCAATAGGTTATATTTCTGGGAATTCAGAGTTGTCTGAGTTTTGTGCTACAGATTTAGTTAAAACTGGTAACATTTCATCCAAACTGATCAGTAACAAATGTTAAAATGATTCTTGATAAAAATAAAGGTAGAATTCTAAACTTTGTGAACAAAGCCTAAGAATTTTCTCTCCTTCTCCTTCTCTATAAAGTAGTGAAAGAAAAATATATCTTAAGCTTTAGAGATTTAGAATTTTTGTTAGAAATTACAGGTGGTTTTACATTTGTAGGGCATCATTGTCATGCATTTTGTTACCGTGAAGTTCTCCTAACACGTTACATTTCTCAGATTTCAAAAAAATGTTTTCTGTCTCCCAACTTCAGATTAGGGACATGAACCACCTGACCCAGCTGTAGACTCCCTTCAGTAAAATAGCTCTACAACCACAAACACTCAGCCCACCCTCTCCCACCCACACATCCACACACACCCCAGGATCTAGAAGGCAGGAATTGGCGACTCTGGTCCCAGCTCCTTACCCTCCTTGGGTGAAGTGGCAGGTCAACTTGAGATGATGAAGTTTTAGCAGGAGACTCCTCTTGGGAAGGGATCTGTGGAGATAGAGAGAGGGAGAAGGAAAATCCGGTGGGGAGCCACCAGCAGCCACCTGACAAGACCCGGCTGCAGCAATTTTTAGAGTGACCCTTTGCCGTCCCACTGGATAAGGCAGGCCGAGCCTGCGCTTTGGCCCGGGAGCAGAGCAGCGAGCGCCCTCCTCTCCGTCTTTGGCCTTCAACTCTCCAGCCAGCCGGGGGCAGGGGGCGGGGCTCCGGTTGGTGGAGAGGGGTTGGGTTTCTTGAACTGACCAGCTGCTCAAAATGAAAAAGAAAAGAAAAGAAAAGAAAAGAAAGAAAGAAGGAAAGAAAGAAAGAAAGAAAGAAAGAAAGAAAGAAAGAAAGAAGGAAGGAAGGAAGGAAGGAAGGAAGGAAGGAAGGAAGGAAGGAAAGAAAGAAAGAGAAAGAAAGAAAGAAAGAAAGAAAGTCAAGAGCTCAATCAACCTGTGTGAGAGGAAAGAAAATTAATTCGATGGATGTTTAATTGTTGGAAGCAGGGATTCTAGTAGAGTAAGGAGAAGGGAAGGCTGTGGATTAAAAATTAGTTTTTGGAAAGGTAATTAGCCTGGTCACCTACGGTCTTTTGAGAAGATAGTGGTTATAAATAGCCTATTCTTTATAAGAGGAGCACGTATCTACCAGATATGGTACTTTCTACAGCACCTCACATGTGGTTCTAACATTATTAGGCTCATTTTAGAGTTTAATAAAGTGAGGTTTATGGCCAGCGATTTTCCAGTGATCACAGAGAGGTCTGAGATTAACACACACTCTAGCACACATGCAGGTTGGGAAATATCTACTTTGGCAACACTTCATGAGAAAAAAAATTCAATGATTATAATTGACTACAAATTTTAATGGGCACCAAGAGTGTGAAATGGTTGCTTAAAAAGTTAACATGATATTAAGCTACAATAATAGAAAAATAGATCATGGAAAATAAATGTTCTAATTATTCTTCATTAGTCAGATGATGTGTTAAGCATCACTTTGCTATCTTGGCACTCTGAGAACTTACTCTTCATCCTACAGAGATGGCTGGAACAAAAAAACTTCAGAGGCGGTGCATGTTGGAAACATCTGAAGAGAAGTATGACAAAGAGAGGACTTTTAAGATAAGTGAGACACCTGAGAGCAAGTGTTGTGGGGGCTGTTGTACAGCAAGAGGATTCAGTCAAAATTTCTGTAGCCTAAAATGTCAAAAATTTTAATGTGCAGTAATTCCGGGGAAATACCTTAAAATAAAGAAGAAGAGTGCAGATAACAGCTGGGCTCTAATGATGAAAATGGCAGCCTTGTAAAAGAGCCAGTTCTCTATAATTAGAAGGGTGGAAGTAAAAGAAGTTGCAGGACTGGTGTGACATTGAAGGGACTCTGTCTATGGCTGGGGGCTTGCACTGCATCATCTCTGAAATCTTTCCAACTCTAAGGCTCTGATTCTATATGTGCCAGTCTCCAGTTCACCTGAGACTCTCAATTCACTGGATAGCATCTGTCTATTGACTACTTCTGCTGGAATTCCCACCAATTTTTTAGTAGGAAAAACTATTTGGATTTTTTTTTTAATTCTTTGCTTCTACCCATAGATCTCCAGCACAGAAAGCGCCAGGAGCAAATCAAAGAAGCTTCTATTATGGTTTGCTTCTAAGAAATTCTACTTGGTCCCACCTCCTTGACTCAGGTAAAGGGTCAGAACCTTCCATCTTTGTTTGTTTGTTTGTTTGTTTTTTGTAGAGACAGGATCTCAGTATGTTGTCCAAGCTGGTCTCAAATTCCTGGTCTCAAGTGATCTTTCTGCCTTGGCCTTCAATCCCGTTTTAATTGTAATAAAAGTCAGCCTTATATCAGTATTTATGATAATGATGATATAATGATGGAAAGGGCCTTCAAGAAGATGTTGGTACCAATATTATCTTCTTCAAGGGTTCAAGACTATTAATTCCAGTTTTACTGGAACATCACTGAGATGCTCCTTTCAATATAATATAATGTTAAGATATGAACACAAGTGGAAGAATAAAAGGCAAAAAATGGAAAATCTAAGACACTTTAAAAATCATTTTCAGAGTAGCTAGTCTGTGTAACCATTCGACTACTGCTATGGTAGATACACTGGAAACACAGCATGGGACAGTAGGTTGTAGTGAATATTAAGAAATTTTGTCTTTGTCTTTAAAGCAATGAGTCTACCAATTGGAGCATATTTAATAAAAAAGAGGGTCATGATGAGATTGGCATTTTAGAATGAACATTCCGTAATTTGGGGATGTAACCTTAATGGAATTTAGATTTGTTTCTATTGCTAGTGCCTGTCTCTCTTCCACCAACCTCCTGATACTCTCTGCCATACAGCCAGTTCAAATGTAAGCTCCATGAAGGCAGGGATTTTTATCTGTCCTAACAGCAGACTTTCTCTCTTGGCTTTGATGAAGCCTAGTGCCAGGTTGGAGATGCCCAAGCAAGGAACATCCAGTTAGAAACTAAAGCCTTCAGTTCAATATCCCAAAAGACAGGAATCCTGACAATCATCATTTAGTGAACCTGGAAGTCAATCCTTCCCCAGTTAAGCCTTCAGATGAGGCCCCAGCCCTGTCTAACATCTTGATTGAAGCCTTGTGAGAGAGCCTAAAGCAGAGGACCTAGGGAAGCTCTGCCTCCATCCCTGATCCAAAGAATCAGTGAGATAATAAATGCATGTTGTTTTAAGCTGCTAAGTTATACAGCACTAGGTGACTAACATAGTATGCTTCTATTTGCCTTTTACTAATTTAATTCTTGCAGCATCTTTACCAGATAAAATTCCTGTTTTATATATAAGAAAACTAAGGCTGTTTTAACTTGTTCCAGATCATATGGCTGGTAAGGGATGGGGTCAGAATTTGGACCCAAGTTGTCAGGATCCCAGGTGTGCTCTCTTAACTACTTGACTTTACACAAAGGCAGTGGCTGAGTCTGATTTGTTCACAGTTGTCCCATTCTCCAACATAGTGTATGGCACATAGTAGATTCTCAATAATGGTTAATTAATTAATTACTTAATCTAGAACACTGCTAGATGAATGATGAATAGATTTATTTTGTTCACACAAGATAATTTTATAAGTGTTTTCAAAAAGTGTAACTGTGACTGTTTGGTCTCAGAGGCTTCTTGTTTTGTCTCAGAGGCTTCTTGTTTTGGTCTCAGAGGCTTCTTGATTCTTCAGGGCTATGTACTAATTGACTGAAATTTACAGGTGCATTTCAGTGTGTAGAGTAGTGTAATATAAACATGATGCAAGCCACATATGTAATTTTAAATGACCTAGGGGTTACTTTTAAGAAGTAAAAAGAGGCCAGGCTTGGTGACTCATGCCTGTAATCCCAGCACTTTGGGAGTCCAAGGCAGGCAGATCACGAGGTCAGGAATTTGAGACCAGCCTGAGCAACATGGTGAAACCCCATCTCTACTACAAATACAAAAATTAGCCAGGTGTGGTGGTGCGTGCCTGTAATCCCAGCTACTCAGGAGGCTGAGGCAGGAGAATTGCTTGAACTTGGGAGGTGGAGGTTGCAGTGAGCCAAGATTGCACCACTGCACTCCAGCCTGGGCAACAGAGCGAGACTCCATCTCAAAAAAAGAAAAAAAAAGAAGTAAAAAGAAACAGGTGACATTTATTTTAATAAAACATTTTATTGAAGTCAATATATCTATATTACTATTTTAATACATAATTAATATAAAAATTAGTAATTAGATATTTTACATTCAGAATAAGTACTACAGCTTCAAAATTTGGTCTGGCTTCTACATTTTTTAGTATATTTCAAGTGATGAAACTTGGATATTCCCTATTACAATCACTCAATAGCCATAACTGGCTAATATTGGAGAGTGCAGGTGTGTGGATGGTGCAAGTGTGTGAAAGGTGCAGGTGTACAAACAGTGCATGTGTGTGAATGGTGCAGGCAGTGCATGTTTTGATTGGCCCAGGTGTATGGACAGTGCATGTATGAGAATGGTGCAGTTGTATAGACAGTACATGTGTGAATGTTGCAGGTGTATGGACAGTGCATGTATGTGAATGGTGCAGTTGTATGAACACTGCATGTGTGCAAATGTTGCAGATGTATGGACAGTGCATGTGTGTGAATGGTGCAGTTGTATGAACAGTGTATGTGTGTGGATGGTGCAGGTGATAGTGCATTTGTGTGAATGGTGCAGGTGTATGGACATTGTAGGTGTGTGAACAGTACAGGTACATGGACAGTGTCAGTGTATGAATGGTGCAGTTGTATGAACAGTGCAGGTGAATGGACAGTGCATGTGTGTGAATACTGCAGGTGTATGGACACTGTACATGTGTGAATGGTGCAGGTGTATGAATAGTGCAGGGCAGGCGTGTGAATAGTGCAGGTGTGTGAATGGTGCAGGAGTAAAGCTTGGATGGAAGATTCAACCTTTGGGAATCTATAGAATATCCATTCCCCTTGTGACCGCTCTGTCTGTTATAATCCCAGGATACATCAGAAATAGCTCAAAATAAAAACAATTTTAGGGACAGAAGTTGTCTGAAAGTTGCTCTTAGATAGTTGCTAGAACATAAATGACTCATCACCTTGGACACCTGAGAAAGGTTTCATTAATTTTGGGCATGGACCTTCATGTTTTTAAAATTGGGGTTAATGAAATGGGTAATTTCATTTCAGGCAAAAGAAAGGAAAGGTTAAGAGAACAAAATTGCCCCAGATTTGGGTTCTTAGAAGGCGAGACTTGAGAAGATGACCTTTTAGCAATGACTATATTAGGTCTTTGGTTGTACAAAGTCATTAAGGAGCCAGAAAGGCCAGGAGCCAAATAGGCAGTGGAAAGGTGAAGGAGACGGATTTTACTTCCAGCTGCCCCACATCTCAACCCCTTTCCTATGGTTGTGGATTTTCCCACTGTGTGAGGTCAGGCAGAAAGCAAAGTCTGTCTTTCACCATAGAAGCCAAAAACCAGATGCTTCATTTGTCAGGCTGCTGTGCAGCTATGGCAAGAATGGGTACAAGACATAGGCTTGGCTGATCAGATGCCTGCATCCAGACTAGAAATGAGGAGCTAGTGATGCAAAGAAGCAGGCAGAGAGGACGTTGTTTTGGCAGTGGGGATTGCACGGGCTGAGCAGTATCAGCAGCACTGGTTTGCATGAACAGCACTGGCAGTGGGGCAGTGGTGGCATCCCTGGGTCCAGAGCAGGAGGCTTTAGGACATGAAGCTGTGACATGGAGGCAGCTGTGGTGTCTGGAGCTGTTGGTCTTGACCCTGGCTTCAGAGTTTTCTCTTTCTTTTGCTCCCTCCCTTTTTCTGGCCTGGTTCTCTGATCATACAGCGGAGGTTCTATGAGCTGCCCAGCACCCTTTCAAAGGATTCTTTCCTCCTTGGTTGTTCAGTTGGCTAGCTCCAGAGCTCAGCTGCTCTGCATAATAAATTGCAGGGGAATTGAGGGAGAGAAGCTGAGAGGAGACAGCCTGGAAAACAGGGAAGCATGGAGATGGTAGGAGTCTTGCAGAAGACAGGGGCTGAGCTACATCACAGGAAGATGTTGTGTGTGGGAAAACAAGGAATTACTGATGGCTGTGTGGTTGAAGGGCCTGCCACCACAAAGATGCCTAATGATTCATTTTCCGCCGTTTGCATTCTGTTTCAACAAGTGCTCTCCATAGCACAAAAGTTTCAGTAAAGTCTGCCATACATAAATGCCTGGGCGGTGTGTTGAGTGGAATCAATGAAAAGTCACCCCAGTTGGCACAGAGCAGACATGAGGGGAGAGCTGTGGCTGGGCCATGAGGGGGAGTTCAGCAGAGCAGTAACTTGGAGTCAGTGGTGACAGACATGAGCCTACGACCTGGGAAATTCTCTGAAATCCTGGCAAGGACACAGAGGTCCCCCATGGCTGTGACTTAGAAAGGTCAAGCCAATTTTATGGGAGACCTCAGCTGACATCTGGGTTACACCAGTATTTATCCATCTTCACTAAGAATGGCTGGCTCAGGGATCGGTCACACGGGACAAGTGCCATTTTTCATCTTTTATGTGGAAGAAGTAATCTTTGTCTGAAAAAGGAACTGTTAGTGACTCCCCAAACAAGTGGGAGGAAAGTCTGTATTCCAAGAATTTTCTGATAATAGAAATGAAACATTGCCTTTTTTTTTTTTTTTTTTTGAGATGGAGTTTCGCTCTTGTTGCCCAGGCTGAGTGCAGTGGCGTGATTTCAGCTCACTGCAATCTCTGCCTCCTGGGTTCAAGCGATTCTCCTTCCTCAGCCTCCCAAGTAGCTAGGATTACAGGTGCCCACCACCATGCCCAGCTAATTTTTTGTATTTTTAGTAGAGACAGCGTTTCACCGTGTTGGCAAGGCTGGTCTTGAACTCCTGACCTCAGGTGATCACCCACCTTGGCCTCCCAAAGTTCTGGGATTACAGGCGTGAGCCACTGCACCTGGCCAAAACATTGCCTTTTTAAGGAGAAACAGAGAAATATGTTTTATTATTTCAAACACATGAGTTTTAAGTGAGAAGCATTGGCTAAGATAACTCCAGCAACAAGACAATGTGTTCAAAAGTCTGATCGAATTTTTACTTTGGAAAAATAACAATGGGTCCAATCAATGAAATAAAAACTTTGATGGAAACTGCAGCTAATTTGGTGAATTCATACAGCCTATCCCAATAGTATCTAGAAGTGCTAGTTGTACTTGTTCTGTGCTCAATATAGTTAAGAGGTTCTTGACGTAAGTGGGCACTTGCAAACCACATGCTCTGTTGTGACATTTTGGAGGCAGCAGCACCATTCTAGTGTAAAGACACACTTGCAAAGGAGAAAACATATTTATTGCAAGCACTTACACAGTATGGCATAGTTTTCAAAACGTAGAAAACATGTCTAAAAAAAAATCTGCATATGAATGCCAAACTCTCATTTGCTGTAGCACCATTGAAAAGTCAACCCTCAGGCCAGGCATGGTGGCTCATGCCTGTAATCCCAGCACTTTGGGAGGCTGAGGCGGGCGGATCATGAGGTCAGGAGATTGAGACCATCCTGCCTAACACGGTGAAACCCTGTCTCTACTAAAAATACAAAAAATTAGCTGGGTGTGGTGGCGCACACCTGTAGTCCCAGCTACTTGGGAGGCTGAGGCAGGAGAATCACTTGAACCCAGGAGGCGGAGGTCGCAGTAAGCCGAGATCGCACCACTGCACTCCAGCCTGGGTGACAGAGCGAGACTCCATCTCAAAAAAAAAAAAAAAAAAAAAAAAAAGCAAAGAAAAGAAAAGAAAAGTCAACCCTTTTAGCATGTAGAAGCCTATTATTCAGAGAACCTGCTTTCCTGGCAGAGCACTTGTCTTAATAAAAGTTAGAGACTGGCTCATGTGGCCACATTGAGTTAAAATGATTTAACTTTTCCTTTTTAACAAGTTTTGAATGGCGTACCTCCCCTACCAATTGCCTTCTCCTTGTGTCTCCTTCCCTGATCTGCCTGGCTCTCCCCCACCCCTGCCCATCTCCCAGGCTGTGAAGTGCCTTCTTCTGTAATGATGTATACCTGTCTATCCTGGCACTTACTACATTTTAACAATGTGTTTGTCTCCTTCCTCGTCTTCATTTTTTTAACATCTCTATCCCCAGCATGGTGCCAGAATACTTGGGCAATGCTCCAGAAAGTCTGTCACTCTAGTGATGAGTCATTTGCTTGCATTAATGACCTTCTAACTCTGGAATTCAACAATATTGAAGTAACATTAAACAAGACCCCAAAGATCATCCACTCTTTAGTTGCACTGTCAAATTTTCTTAAAAAGGTGATTAAACGACTAAAAAATCCTTTTCACTCACTGCCCTAATGAAGAGATGGCCCCATCCAATGCTTGCCTGCCACTCTGTCCCATTTCACCCACTTAGCTACAGTCTGACCTTTGACTCTATTAAAATATTTCTGCTTGCTTCACTCTGATCAAGAGCTACATGATTATGAAAGATTTATAGAAGCTGAGAAGAGATATGCAATCCCTTTTAAGTGAAACCTTAGTAATCATTTTTTATTCCTGTTCTTTTTTTTTAAGACCCAAATTCATAAAATCTTGAAACCATATTGGCTTGTGTTTATGCATGTTGAGATCAATTACATGTTGTCTTAAGACAGTTTTAAATTGCAAGAGTTATTTCTGAACAGAAGACTATATTAAAATTACATTCTGAAAGCTTGATGGCAGTCTGTGAGTACTTTCAGGCAACACAGTGACTCCTTACTACCTGGAAAACAGCTGGGAAGAGCACAATACTAAAAAAAAATGCCTCTGAGCTGCTAAAATAGATACTATAAATTATAATATCTATTATTCTGAAATCCATGCTTTCTCTACATAGATGTCCCTTCATGTCCTCACTCAATGCCTTTTCACTCTTTTTTTTTTTTTTTTAACATGTTCCAATCGATCTGGTTCCTAAGCAAGCAAGGAGACAGGCATAACAAGAGGTGACCAGGTAACCAGAATGGAGGAAAGCTAGTGAAAACTAAGCAGAGGAAATCTGACATCTTGTCCGTCTCAGATTATTTAGGGTAGGGCTACCCATTTCTAAACACAGGAGGACTCCTAACTATTGCCCTATGGGTCAAACTTGGCCTACAATGAGTATTTTGTTTGTCTTTTACAGTGTTTTCATTTTCTATTTTATTGAGCTAATATTCAAAATTAAGGGAGTTTTCCATTGACATATAAATTTTAGGCTTTTCATGAATCATCACACTATCTAGTAATGCTAGGCTTGTTCATCTACATGGGAACGGCAGCTGAAGCTGAGTGGTGATTGCTCCCGTTAGATAGGGCAGTTGTTCTCTCCCTTCACAGTTTCCATCACCCACCGACGGTTTGTACTGCACCAAGGCCCTGAGTGATTTTACTTCTTCTTGCCTGGTCATGAAGGCAACTGAGTTTGCCATGAAGGGCTTCCCATCAGGGCACATTTTCTAATTGTCATACCATTTTGAAATTAGAAGCACCTTTATAAAAGTGACTTCCTTGGGTAGGAGACTGGACTAGAATATCCTCAGCAAGCAGCCACCTAACCACTTCTGGTTTTGCAATGACAGGGAGTTCTCTGCTCCACCAAGAAGATCTTCTTGCCTTTTTTTTCTTTCTAGAATTAATAACTTGTATTTATGTAAAATCAGTGTCTCCTAAAGTATGTTCTTAGAACGCTTTGTTCTAAGCTATGTTAAAATTGATAATAAATTTTTTAAAGAATCCAGCAGTCAGATATATATATATATATATATGTATGTATATATGTGTGTATATATATTTATATTTATCAGAACAGATAAATTACTACTTTTTTAGTGAAAGACTTCCCAGAGCCTTTAGGTGCTATTCTGCATTGTTGATCTCTAAGCCAAGGATAAATTCTCAGTCTTTTTTCACATATATTTGATCCTAAAACTTAATTTTATGGGACTGTCATGTGGCCCAAGTATTCTACAGAATAATCTTGGAAAATGCATATAGGAATTCTTAGTTTTGTCTTAATTATTCATCAAAGTCAGTCATAAGCAAAGTAAAGCAATTTGCCCAAGAATACAGGAATTGTGGCTGTTATGAAATGGGGTTGGAATTCCAGAATACTGTCTCCTAGCAGGATTCAGTGGAGTGTTTCATAGAGTATAATGCACTGATCACTAAATTTAGGGAAATATCCAGGGATAAATACACTTGGTTAAATCCAAAATTGTGGAGGAAGAAAGCATTGGTATCCTTAAAAGAAGAATACCAATGTTAAGATAGAATCAATGATAATAAAAATACATAGTAATCATAAAAAATGGGAGACCATAAAGAGATTAAGGGAGTAATTATTGGGGTTTAGCCTTATTTTCATAAAGAGCCTTTCACATTACTTCCCTCAATGTTCACATTTTACATAAAGTATAGTATGTTATCAGCGTATCCTTTATAAAAACAAGCCATATGATGATTTTGGTCTAATTTCCAGCTCCTTGAAAATTAAGTCCCAATTAATGAGCGATTGAATAGAACAAAACAAAATTTTACAATATCATCATTAAATTATCATTATTAAAAATCAGCAGTCTAGTTAATGATGTATTCTTTTGTATTCAAAGTTTAGTGTTAATCCCAAAAGCAATGGCAACAAAAGCCAAAATTGACAAATGGGATCTAATTAAACTAAAGACCTGCACAGCAAAAGAAACTATCATCATAGTGAACAGGCAACCTACAGAATGGGAGAAAATTTTTACAATCTATCCATCTGACAAAGGGCTAATATCCAGAATCCACAAAGAACTTAAAAAATTTACTAGAAAACAACAAACAACTCCGTCAAAAACTGGGCAAAGGATATGAACAGACACTTCTCAAAAGAAGACATTTATGCAACCAACAAACATATGAAAAAAAGCTCATCATCACTGGTCATTAGAGAAATGCAAATCAAAACCACAATGAGATACCATCTCATGCCAGTTAGAATGGCAATCATTAAAAAGTCAGGAAACAACAGATGCAGGAGAAGATGTAGAAAAATAGGAATGCTTTTACACTGTTGGTGGGAGCGTAAATTAGTTCAACCATTGTGGAAGACAGTGTGGCAATTCCTCAAGGATCTAGAACTAGAAATACCATTTGACCTAGCAATCCCATTACTGGGTATATACCCAAAGGATTATAAATCATTCTAATATAAAGACACATGCACATGTATGTTTATTGTGGCACTATTCACAATAGTAAAAACTTGGAGCCCAAATGTCCATCAGTGATAGACTGGATAAAGAAAATGTGGCACATATACACCATGGAATACTGTGAAGTCATAAAAAAGGATGAGTTCATGTCCTTTGCAGGGACATGGATGAAGCTGGAAGCCATCATTCTCAGCAAACTCTCACAAGAACAGAAAACCTAACACTGCATGTTCTCACTCATAAGTAGGAGTTGAACAATGAAAACACATGGACACAGGGAGAGGAACATCACACACCGGGGCCTGTCGGGTTGAGGGGCTAGTGGAGGGACAGTATTAGGAGAAATGCCCAATGTAGGTGACGGGTTGATGGGTGCAGCAAACCACCACGGCATGTGTATACCTATGTAACAAAACTGCACGTTCTGCACAGAACTTAAAGTATACGAAAAAAAAATAAAAAAAAGTTTAGTGTTAGCCTATATGTATGTATGTATGTATGTATGTATGTTTTGAGGCCATGTCAAGAAAAATGGAATTATTAATACCATAATTCTTAATAATTATTACTGTAGTTACTAATAATTGCTGCTATCAGGTTAGGAATACAATACAACCATGGTGGAGAAAGTTTGGAAGCTAAAAAATATATTTGATGAAATTCTACCTCCATATCACAGGAATTATCAACATTTGCATTTATTTCCTGCCAATGTTTCTTTATGACCATTGTGTTTTTTAATGGTTATGAATGTATTATACTTATAATTTTATAGTGGTAAAATATCCATATCACAAATTTATCATTTTAACCATTTTTAGTATACAGTTCAATGGCATTAAGTACATACCCACTGTGCAACCATCCTCACCATCCATCCCCAGGAAGGTGGAATTTTTCATCTTCCCAAACTGAAACTGTACTCATGAAAAAACCCTCCTCATTCTCCCCTCGCCCCAGCCCCTGGCACCCACTGTTTTCTTCTTCTTTCTTTTTTTTAAATAAGTGAGTTCTTTTAAATGGATTCTTTGGGATAGAAATGTCTCTCACACGTTTCTACTGGAGATAATTCTGTTCTCAGGAGCTACACAAATGCCAATAATCATTTACGATATTTTTGGTGACCCAACTATGCTTATGTATCCAACATGGTTATAGTTTTATTCATTCACTTGGTCATTCAACAAAAACTTGTTGCATCATGTCTTGACCTGAATATCCCTAAAAGCAGAGCCAGAGACAGGTAGTTTATTTGAGAAGTGATTCCAGGGAGCAAGAGTGAGAGACCAGGGACAGAAGGAAGGAGGGAAAGACAGTACAAGGATGTATTATGAAGTTGGCCAGTATTGTAGGCGACCATGCTCCAACCGCCGGACCTCCTGAGAAGCTTTCTAAAGTGGGTCTCGTAACTGTCCACATTGGCCAAGGATGGCCCCACAAATATTAACACTGTGCAGACTGGCTTATGCATGCTTGTGTGGCCAGGGTGTTCTCACAGGGTCCCACTCCTCTGGCTGGAGAAACTCAAGGACAGGAACAGAGAGGTACATGGCCTAGACCCAGGTGAGGCACTAACAGATTGCACCTACACAAAGTGGGTGTAAGTTTGCACAGAACTGGTTGCTGAGGTGGTGGCTGGAGTGGAAGGTAGGGCTGAGAGGGTGTGAAGTGGTGCCTAGGAGATGTCCCATACACACAGGCCCTGAACCAGGCACTGATTTGGACACACTGTGATAAGCAGGAGGAGGCATGGGCCCTTCCTCATGGAACTTGCAAACACAGGTAGGTGGTGGTGAATAGGCATACAGGAGCAAGTGGCAGCTGCAGGATCATCATGTAGGAGGCTCATGACCCAGGACTGTTGTGAATGTGCCATCTGACCACATGAGAGTAGCTGCCTGGCACTGTACTAGGCAAAGGGGGGAATATAGGGGAACAGGAAAATACAGACCCTGGCCTCACGGATCTGGTAGGGAAAGCAATGATAAATAAATAATTTCCCTAAGACAATTACCCGTCATGTAACATTAGGAAGGAGAAGTCTATTCTATTCTGAGAGGCATAACAGGGATTCTGGGAAGTTGATTGAGCCAGGAAAGTTTCTTTTTAGAAATGGTATTTAATCACAGACTAAAGGATGATATGCTATTAAATAAACATTAATCGGCCAGGCACAGTGGCTCACGCCTGTAATCCCAGCACTTTGGGAGGCCAAGGTGGGCGGATCACAAGGTCAGGAGTTTGAGACCAGCCTGACAAATATGGTGAAACCCCCGTCTCTACTAAAAATACAAAAATTAGCTGGGCATGGTGGCATGTGCCTGTAATCCCAGCTACTTAGGAGGCTGAAGTGGGAGAATCACTTGAACCCAGGAGGCAGAGGTTGCAGTGAGCCAAGATCACGCCACTGCACTCCAGCCTGGGCGACAGAGCGAGATTCCATTTCAAATAAATAAACAAATAAATAAATAAACAAACAAACATTAACCAGCTATTATGGCTCAGCTGCTAGGAACACACTATATAAATTACCATCTTTTCCCCTCAAATTGCTCACAAGTCAGTCGTGGAGACAAATGAATGATGACTTCTGAATCAGAAAAAGGTAAGTAGTATTTCAGTATAATGCAAACACAGAGAATTGGCCTGGGGAAACTGGGGCAGTTTCAGTACAGGGGACAGTGCTTCTGGCTGGGTCCAGAAGGAGTTGGAGGAATTTGCCAGGTGAATGATGGGGACTCTGACAGAGTATATTTCATCCTGGGAAGTGAATCTGCAATGCATTATTGGGAGTCTTCAAGTCATCAATGAGAATTTTAAGTTTGACTTTTACTTTCAGGATAATCTTTTTAAAGTTACTTTTAAGTTTATTCATTCAACTTATCACTGGACACTGCTGTACAATTTCAGGGTTCACATTTTCAAATGCATTTATTATCACAGGATACCAAGAAACACTTTAACTATCTTTTGCCACGCAGGAATTCAGGCCCAGAATGTGGAGAGAGATTCTAATTTCTAGATTATAATACAAGTTGGAAATTCAGCGTTTCATGTGAAATGTTCTAATTTTTAAATGTTGGCAACTAATTTTTTTTCAACATTGTCCATGGTAACAAAACAAAAACACAGGTCACATGTTTGCAGCTCCTGTTCTTTGGGTTTCAGGGTCATTAACAAGGTATTGTTTTCCACCCAGTGGCCATGTAGTTTTACTGCAGTTTGAAGGGCTTCAAGGAAATTTGCTTCCTGCAGTGCTGACCTTGAAACCCCCAACATGTAAAGCCCACCAAAAAGGACAAGGGCCTAACGAGGAATTCAGCAGGAGAGAAGAGGTGGTCTGGCCACTGGGTTGAGCTTGCACCACGGGGAAGCCGGTTCTGGAGCAGCCCAGGAATGAGGGGTAAAGCCCATCAGAACACAGTCGTGGCGCTCTGCTTCGGGATACGTGGCTGAGCTTGTGGAAGGGGAACCATCTCATAGCTCAAGCAAGGGTGTCAGTGAGCAGTGGTTGAACGCAGGATGTGTTCGACTGCAGTATCATATGGCTGCCACCACAGCAGTGATTGTCATGGAGACTGGAATTTTTGGTTTTCTCTACTGGGTTGTGAAAGTGATGCTTTTTTGAGTGAGAAAATCCTTTTGATTTGGCAAATTTGGAGGTCTGGATGAGGAGAGGGCTAAAGAGGGAGAAAATGGATTGTGGCAGAGGTTGCTAGTTGCTTCTCTTTAACATCTGTTTTCCTTCTTTTCCTTAGTATTAGCATTCTCCAGTTTTCAGCCGGGCACACAGCCACCTCCAGGTGACTGTATCACTAAATGCCTTTTAAAGGGCAGAAGAAAACTAATTTTTAAAAAGTTCAACAGCATCAATAATTTCACCTATTTATATTTTAAATCAGCAATCAGTGTGAAAACTCTAAAAAGGTCTAAAGGCATTACCTTGGTAGTTCCCAAAACTAGAGCAGCAGAGCAAGAGCCAAAACCTCCTCCGGTACGAAATTTGCAAAAATAATAGTTGACAGGTAAAATGTCACCCTTTTTAAAATTCTCTGAACAAAGAAGGCTATCATTTGTCTTACATCTAATCAAAAACATTTTGTAAAATTATGATACAGAGTCTCCTCTGTAGGGAGGGTACAGGTAGGCTTGTAGAATTAGAGAGACATGGATTCCAATGAGCAAATGAGATTACTTGACAAGAGAACAGACAGAATTAATAAGACTGGCTCTTGCCGCATCCTTGGTGGTTTAGGGACATGGTTCTGATAGAGTTCAAAGCTCTTGCATGAGGCAAATTGGTAAATATTCGGCCTGACACTTCTTGCACAATCATCTTAAATTATAAAGCAGTAAAAAAAAGCTAAGACTATTCCATTCTTGTGACTTTTTGATGTTTTCCAAATTGAGTTTTAACAGAAATAATAGCAAATGTGAACATTCAAAGTCAATCTCTATACCAATAGCACCCCTCAGCCCAGCTTCCTTCTCTGTCTATTTAGACTTGTTCTGATAGATATTTCAAGGGTGATCTCAATTGTACTCATGGAAAATAGCATTTCTGGGAAAGATTTCTACAAGGCTGAATTCTTCCTGTTGACTAATTCTCCTACATATAGTATTTCCATGTATAGCAGCAACTTCATCCACAGTTGCTCAGATAATTTTAAACGCCACTTAAAGGTTTAACAGGAACACTTTTGGTCCCATCTGTGGGGGTGGGAGGGCTAGGCTCTAAGAACAGAATTAAACTCATATTTTGAAGTGTAGTATGCAAATCAGGTTGCCAAAACAACTGCTTCTGTGACTCTTAGAAGAGATTTAAGATGGAGCCAAGAGTTGAGACAAAGGCTAAAGAGATCAGAGAATGAGAATCGAGGATTCCTAAGGTGAAAGTTTTTGAAGGATTGTGGCATTTTCCCATTCTTTTGGTGAGGGAAGAAGTGTGCTTCCCCTCTTCTTAATCCAAGTGAGAAAGACTTTGGGGGAGTCACATAAGGAACTTGATCTATGTCCTCTGGAATTCAGTGGACTAGTGTCTGAACTCTGAGGATGGCTGTTCAGGTTGTACAATGCACAACTCTAGAAGGTCCCATTCACATAGACAACAATGTTTAGAAATCTGCAAACTATATTTGGAGACTCTGGGTGTCTGACTCTCCTAGAGGTAAGCTATGGTGGTTGGAGCTGCAGTTAGTTAATTGCAAAGAGGAAAACAAGGGCACTAGGAGCAAGTTGGAGTTTCACCAACAATGAGACAAGGATGTGAGAGTTTTTCAGCTTGGCCACGTGGGTCCATGTAAGGAAACCAGCCTGAAGCCTTCTTGAGAAGGTCCTTAGGGGAAAAAAACCTAGAGAGGACCCCTCCAACTGAAAGCCAGAGGGCTGAGTGTTGGCAGTGAAAGTGGCCAGGCATTGGAGTGGCTGTCCTCATCATGGACAGTGCAGTGGGGATTTCCCATGGGGCAAAGAACCCCATGAGAGTCCACCCTGAGCACTCAACCTCAATGAGCAGCAACGCCAGATCACAGAGGTTCCGTCCATGTGCCCTTTGCATAACCCCAGCCCTGGGCCCAGTCCTGGAGGGAATAGAAAGACAGCTTGTGAGGGGAAGCATCGGAAGAGGAAAAGATGCCAACCATGCCCTAAGCCCCCAGCCCCAGACTCCCAAGACCCTCACTCTAGGCTTGTAGGCCAAAGTCAGGTGTCAGCCCAGGGAGGGTAAAAAATTTGGAATTTGGTTATTACACTAAATTGAACATTTTAATTACTAAAATAAGACTTCTGTTAAGACCAAAGGTGAGCTCAGGATATTTAAAACCTTTAAGTGACTGGGAGATCTGCTTGAGACTTCATATAAGAACAGGGAAAGAATCAGCCCATTCAGTAGGTATAAAGGAGGAGGGATTGGGGAGGAGTCGATATTGCTCTCTTTGTAGCCTGTTGAGCTCCAAACCTTCAGTAAGCAGGCCTGAAGCATTTTATTTTAACGTGAGATATATAAATGTACACTTATCCCCAATCTTTTGATGTAGAGCCAAGACCTTTTGTGCAAGCACAGGCAACTGATCTTTCTTAAACTCACCCACAAAACAGCAACTATGAGTTCCAATTTTGGCTTCCTCACATTGGATTGAAAATGTTAAGAAATTTGCAAAACAACCCAAATATAGTTTAAAATGTATACGATTCATTTTCTCTTGTCTTCTACAGTTGTCTCACCCACACCCGTTTTTTGAAATGAAAATGGGTGTGGGTGAGACAACTGTAAAAGGCCTTTTGAAAGCATTTAGTTTAGTGGTTCATAGAAACAACCACTCTTTTTATACTCATATGTCATTGGTTTACATAATATTTAATTAAATTATGTAACTCAGCAACAAGTACTATTGGCATAAACAGCAGAGCACATGCCCAGCTGACCCTTGGTAAAGGCACGCTTGAATTTGTGGGAGCAGAAGCACATGGCTGTACTGGAGAGTAGCCCGCTCATGGTGAGCTTTCCATGTGTCCTGATCATCTGTCTCCAGATCTTACTGAGAGACAGAGCATGCAGGATTATCTAGGGAGCTGGTAAATGGACAACAATCTACTGAGGCGCCATTATTTTAGGTCCAATATTTGAGATGTAAACACCATCATAAAAGCTACCATTGACTGAGTATCTACCATGTGCCAGGCAGGGCACTGGGCACTTTACACACACTTTAAATGAATAAAACCTCATTTAGCTTTCACAGATAATACTTTCCTTCATTTTACAGTTGAGGAAACTGAAATGTACAGAAATTAAATAACTTACTCTAGGTCACGTAGGCAATAAATGAATAATCAGTGCTTCTCAAACTCTAAAGTGCAAACAAATCACCAGGGGGGTATTATTTAAATGAAAACTTTGAAATAGTAGGTCTGGGGTGGGGCCTGAGATTTTGCACTTCTAAGAAGCGCCCAGATACTGTTGCTGCTGCTGGTCTGCAGACCAAATCTTGAAAATCCTGATATCCTAACTTAACTGCTCTGAGATGGAGCCCAGGCATCCCTGTTTTCTAAAAGCTCTCCAGGAATCTTTCGTAAACAGAGTGGAGATAATTGTTCCTCCAGGAAAGGCAGAAAAGTTGTGGAAGTGGATTGACTTAGTGATACTTGGTTTCAAATACCTTAATTTTTAAAAAAATGTGTTTTAAAAATACAGTAGTGCCCAGGCGCGGTGGCTCACGCCTATAATCCCAGCACTTTGGGAAGCTGAGGCAGGCAGATCACCATAGATCGGGAGATAGAGACCATCCTGGCCAACATGGCGAAACCCCATCTCTACTAAAAATACAAAAATTAGCCAGGTGTGGTGGCACGCGCCTGTAATTCTAGCTACTCAGGAGGCTGAGGGAGGAGAATTGCTTAAACCCAGGAGGCAGACGTTGCAGTGAGCTGAGATCACACCATTGCACTCCAGCCTGGGTGACAAGAACGAAACTCCGTATCAAACAAAACAAAACAAACAAACAAAAAATAGTAATGAATTTGAACCAATATACAAGTTTATAAAATAAAAGGTAAAAATCTTCCTCCTTTAACAAGAGTTTTTGAAAATAAAATATAATCAAGCTATTTACTGCACACACTTATGCAACAATTTTCTAACTCCATGATGTATCATACATTTCTTTTGTAGTAAGTATACACTACTATAATCTGCTTCATCTTACTTCATCCTTATTGATAATGCATTGTATTCCATAGCACAATGAAACCATAATTTATCTATTCCTTCATAGGTGGGCATTAAGCTGACTCTAATTTTTTTCAGTTTTACAGATAATGCTTTGTGCATATATCCATGGGCATGTGTATAAGTCATTCTGTAGAATCAACTTCTAGATGTGAAATTGCTGGTTTATTTAAAAAGCTATTCTCAAATACAAGGTTCACTGAATTACACTTGTGCCATCATATATAAAAATGCCTCCTTTCCTCCACCACCTTGAAATACTGGGTATTATCAATCTTTTGTGTATTAAGCAATACAATATATGAAAGGTGGTTCTCAATGATTCTTAATTTGTGTGTCATGAATGCATGAGGATGAAAATCTTTTAATATGTGCATTAGACTTAATATTTCTTCTTTTATGGCTTGTATGTCTATATCCTTTTGCCCTGTTAGTTATTTGGTTGCTTATCTATTTTATATTATTTGTCTCTTATATATGCTGCAAATGTCATCCTCCCAGCCTAATACTCGCTTTTTTTTTTTCTTTTGAGACAGGGTCTTGCTCTGTTGCCCAGGCTGGAGTGCAGTGGTACAATCACAGCACACTGCAGCCTTGACCTCCCAGGCTCAAGCGACCCTTCCACCTCAGCCTCTCAAGTAGCAGCTGGGATGGTGCATACCACCATGCCCAGCTAATTTTTAATCTTTTGTAAACACAGGGTCTCACCATGTTGCCTAGGCTAGCCTCAAACTCCTGGACTCAAGCCATCCTCCCACCTTGGCCCTCCAAAGTGCTGGGATTACAGGTGTGAGCCACTGCTCTGGGCCTACGGTTCACTTTTTAAATTTATTTTACAATATTTTACAGAATTGTTTCATTTCTTTATGTCAAGTCTGTCAATTTTCTTCCATGATTTATTTCTGTTTTACTTCTTATTTAGGAAAGACTTCCTCATCCTCAAATTATAAAATACATATCCCTGTTTTTTCCATCTGTCACTCATTAATTCATGTGATCATTAATCCTTATGCAAAATATATTCTGTATATAAAGTAGAATTATGACTTGAAGTTAGAGGGGTTTTTTTGTGTCTTTTACTCCCAAATACCATCCTCAGCACCATTCGTTGAACAGACCATCATTAATCCTGGATTTGAAATGCCCTCTTTATTAAACGATAGAAGTCTCATCATTAAATTTATTAAACGATAGAAATGTCATATGCACAAGTCTCATCTTCTCCTTTCATCCCTTTTCTTCCATGCCTGCCTCAAGTTGTTTTAATTTCTGTAGTTTTATAGAACTTCTGGAAAGACCAGTCTGTTATTATTTTTTAGTTTTTCTTCCTTTTTTAAAACCAAATTTTTTTTCTACTTTTCTTTAGATGAATTTCAAATGCCCATATCCGGTTCTAAAGCAAAGTTGCATTGGAATTTTTACTGAAATTTTATTCTAATGATCCACTAGTATGGGGAAAATTGACATCTTTATAGTATTGAATGTTCCATGCAGAAACAAGGTATGTCACTTCATTTATTCAGATAAAATATTTTATATAGTCTTCACAAATGTAGATTTGCACATAACAAGAGTTAGGTTTATTCCTGGATTAATATATATAAGGGAATAAATAATCTTTAAATACATTTATCTTTTTTTTTTTTTTTTTTTTTTGAGACAGAGTCTTGCTCTGTTGCCCAGGAGTCCAGTGGCGCGATCTCAGCTCACTGCAAGTTCCACCTCCCAGGTTCAAGCAATTCTCCTGCCTTAGCCTCCTGAGCAGCTGGGATTACAGGCACATGCCACCATGTATGGCTAATTTTTCTATCTTTAGTAGAGACGGGGTTTTGCCATGTTGGCCAGACTAGTCTCAAACTGTCAACCTCAGGTGATCCACCAGCTTCGGCCTGCCAAAGTGCTGGGATTACAGGCATGAGCCACTGCACCCGGCCTATATTTATCTTCATATATATATTTACATATATACACAAATACATATACACATATTTATATATATACATATATTTACATATGTACTATATATGTAAATATATATATCCTTTTCCAAATCATCATTCTAACTGATTATTGCTGATATATGATAGCTACTACTTTAAAAGTATTTTTCTTCCAATTAAGCGGCTTACCAGAGTCTCATAAGATCTAATCATTTTATGAATTATCTTTGGAGCTATAGAGCTTTTATTTGGCAAAATTCATTTATTAAAAATTCTACTTTCAACTATGAAGCTAATAAGCACTCAATAAAGAAAATTAGAAATCTAGAAAAAAATTACCCCAACAACTGATAACGACTAGTATCATTTTGCTTGCATCAGTTTTCATTCTTTTTATATTGCATAATTTCTTTTACATAATTGTAATCACACAGTATAACTAACTGGGTGTACTTTCTAAAAGAATAAATGCCTTCAATATGCAAAGCTCTTTTGCTGGGAGTTTGTTTTATAAGGAGCTGTGTGCTTCTCACTAATGTGCAGAAATGCTAATGTAAGTTCTGCTACTGAGAGTTACTGAGTTCAGTTTGGTCCCTTCTTTTGCTGCAGGCCTGGCTTGGTGACATTTCTACCACCCAATTATAGTTCAGCGTAACAATCTCTCTCTCTTTGCACCACACATAGCTGCTGACCTCACTGCACACTCAGCCGTTCCATTTTAGGCTTCAGCCAGAATCACTCTTACAGCACAGGTGAGGTGGAGATTGCTAGGGGTTTACAATTCCATTTAGAACGCTGAATAGATCTCGATCCACATAATTGAGATTTCTTAAGATAATTTTCTAAGAACATTTCTCATGTGACTTGTTTACACAAGTGTGTACACAGTTTGGGTTTGGATGGGTTGATTTGCTTTTTCTTCTGGATTAAAATTTTATATCCTCACTTGTTCATTTTGTTACCTATATGAAATACTCTTTCTTTCCATAACTTTCTACTTATTCACCTTAACAGAGGATTTCTCTGCCTTCTTATATAAAATAGAAACCCCAGCTCTAATTCCCCTGGCCAGACCCACCTCAGGCTTATTCAGGGCTGGACAAAGGTAAAAATGGAGGCCCATATATCCTATGTCTAAGGTCCAGTAGGGCTTCATGAATGCACATGTTAACACCTCAGTCAGTCCGTCCTAGCGCCCTCAACATGCCTCTTCCAAAAGCTGCCTTTGACTTCCCACGGGGCCTACAGGCACACAGACCTGTGGTGAGCTTCATTTTGAAAGGATGAGGCCAATCAGGCCCTCTCTTAGTGCAGGTAATTCCATGATCCTGGGCAACTTGGAGCATAATTGTCAGGCAGTGCTGTGGGCTACATGTGGGCATGTGTCCTTCGCTCTCAGAATTCCAGCTCCGTGAGGGGGGTCATGGCTGGAGGAGGCATGTGCGGGGCCCAGGGCTCCTTTTGCCTGTATCTAAGGGTCTTGCCCATTGGCACACCCTATTTCCCTTGCTTGACCAGGTAGTTTTCCATTGTAATTATCACCATTTATTTATTTATTTATTTATTTATTTATTTATTTATTTATTATTTGTCTCTTACTAAAGCAAGCTCCACAAGGGAAAGAACTTAATTTTGTTCACAACTTTACTCGTAGCACTTAGAAGTGCTTTGATCAGGAAATAATAAATACTTTTCAAGTAAGTGAATGAATGGATTCTGAACTATTGTGAATAACATATATAGCATTAGTAGAGGGGATAACACAGAAATTATGTGTCTGAAAATTTACTCCTCTTTGTGAGATAGCAACAGACAATATAATTAAATATGTCAACAGACAGAACTGTGCATTATATTCCCTATTTCTTCACATCTGTCGTTCCCTAGTTAAATGCTCTAATTTCTATATAACATTAACTGGTGAAGTTGTGAGAATTAAACAAGATAGCATGATGGGTCTAACCTGATTTTTTTCTTTTTTCTTTTTTCGAGACGGAGTCTCTCTTTGCCGCCCAGGCTGGAGTGCAGTGGCGCAATCGCGGCTCACTGTAGCCTCCGCCTCCTGGATTCAATCGATTCTCCTGCCTCAGCCTCCCAGTGATTTTTTTCTTATTGTCCCAGTTCATTTGCCAAAAGTCCAAGCTTTCCCATTTGTTAGAAATGCTTCTTTACTAAAATAAATTAAATTGAATTTACTTAAATTGATTCTTGTTCTATTAATTTATTTTTTTACTACTGAGCCAAATACCACACTTTTTTTTTTTTTTCTTTTGGGACAGTCTCCCTCTGTTGCCCAGGCTGGAGTGCAATGGCCCGATCTCAGTTCACTTCAACCTCTGCCTCCCGGGTTCAAGCAATTCTCCTGCCTCAGCCCCCTGAGTAGCTGGGATTACAGGCGCCCACCACCACACCTGGCTAATTTTTTGTATTTCTTTTGTAGAGACGTGGTTTCACCATGTTGGCCTAGCTGGTCTCGAACTTCTGACTTCAGGTGATCCACCCATCTAGGCCTCTAAAGTGCTGAGATTACAGGCGTGAGCCACTGTGCCGGCCTACCACACTATATTAATTATAACAGCTTTAGAGTATGTTATGATATCTGGAGGACAATTGACACCTCACTGTTTTTTCTCTGTCAAAGTTTATTTGTCTAGTCTTGTGAATTTTATCTTCCATGTTAACTTTACAATCATCTTAAAAAATTCTCTAAAGTAACCTGCTTATAATTCTGATTGGCATTATATTTACTTCACTGATTGATTTGTGACATGTTGACATTTTGAATATTGAAGCAGCCAGTCTTTTTATTAGGTCTTCCTTTTGTTCTTCAACAAAGTTTCATAATTAAAATAATACAATGTGCATTTGCTATTGGTGTGGTTTTGTGACTTTTAATTTTTTACTACAGAATCTTTCTTCCACTACTTTATCTAGTTGATTATTGCTGGTGTAGCAAATATTTCTAGCCTCCTCCCAACAACTATTCTCTTCTTCCATTCCACCCTTTCTTTTCCTTTCCAACTATAAGATTACCTTTTCCAAACTCTCTTAACCATGTGACTAAATGAGTTGTTCTGGGAAATTTACAGTGAGACTTCTAGGAAGTCTCCTTTAATGGGAAAAAATTCATGCTTCATTGTGAAGTCCTTATTAGTGGTAGATGAGTAATTATTTTTGTTTTCTCCTATGGTTATTGTTCTAGTTACTATTCTGTCTTTTTGAGTTAATCTTAATAATTTATGTTTTTCTAGATAATTGATAAAAATATATAGATTTATAAACTTATTGGTATTAAGTTGACTATAGTATGTTCTTGTAATTGTCTACTTCTCCACTGTCCTTGTAGTTATAGACTCCATTCTTCTTTTGGTCTCCCTTGCATTACTCATAAAGTCTAAATAATCAAAATTATTAGTCCATACAGCAGATTGACTGTCACACTAAGATCATAGAACCTAAGTTCTGAATTAATATGTATTAAAAAGGGCCAAATCAAGAAATATCAGTTACTGAGAAACTTTGGTAGGCACACACAATAGTTCAACCCAAGCTTTCTCCTAACTCTCTCATGCTACTGACTAAGTCCTGCTCTATTATACAAGCATTAATGATTATTTTTTAGTCTACACAGAGGATATATGGGAAAAAAATGTTGATTTTTTTTTTAAAAGACAAAAGTGTGCCTTACTTGCAGAACAGGCATTATGTAAGGTAAACATCATATTGGTCCATATCACAAAATCAATTTGAAAAGTTAAAATTATAATATTTTGTGTGAATTATTTTCAGATCTGTATTTGTACAAATATACAGAATCTGTTTCTTCAAATATGTGTAGAAATATATGCTATAAATATCTTCCATACACATACGCACGAGCATGAGTTTTACATACTGAGTATGGCTTGCGTTCCTGACTCCAACTCACAATTTATGTGATATCCAAACTGTTTTAATTTATCCATAGAAATAATGCAATGAATGTGACAAGCCTATGATGAATGAGATGTCAACATGATGGCGGTGACATGATACAAAAAACTCCAACATGTACATCGAATTGTACGTATACGGTTGAGAGATGATCCAATTTACAGAACAGATATTTTTCAGTGGGACTTGTTTGGTCTTTTCATTGACACCAAACATTAAAATAGCAGTAGCACGAAGCCACTGTCATCTAAAAGTTTGAACCTGAAAAGCTTACCTTCAAAGTGCACATTTAACCCCAGAATGTTCTTAACAAGGTCATAAGAGAAAATCTTAGGTGTTTCATGTGTTCAAACACAATAAAAAGCTTCAAGAAGAATTTTATCCTGGTAAAGGAGATTTCAGTTTCTTGGTCACAAGGAAAAATTCTTTGGCACTAAATAGCACTTGCTCATTACCATATATAAAACCGTTAGGGGTGAGTATGGAGATGCCCTTATCTATAAATTGTTTAGTATCACTTTCTTTAGTATTTAAATTATTTAACCATCTAATTGAAATATCAATAAATACTTTCTTCGTCCTAGTCACTTTTTACCCTCCTACTTTGTAAACATCCTAGAAGCCCCATATTCTAATATTTATATGTTTTGAGTTTACTGAGGACTACCTGCATTGCAATAAAATTAACACCTATGATGTACTTTCCAATGCTTACTCTATTTCACCCCTTGCCACCTCTTGCCAGTGGGTGGCTGTCTCTTGGGAGAACTATCAGAAAGACAGTCAGTCCTAGTAAACTTCCACGTTCCCCACCATTCAAGGGATACTTATGTATCCTGCCACGCCAAATGGTGGATGTGTAGGGTGTTCCTCTGCTGCTCCCTCTCAGCCCTGCCATCTCTCTCAATTCTCCTTTCCCTGAGTCAGCTTGGATAGATCTATTGAAACAGAGAAAAGAGAATCAAAACTCCCTTTCTGCCCAGAGTTTGGGGAGAGGAGACTACCTTCCCCTGTGCTACCTGATTGTCTTCGTATAATGATTGGGATTGGGGTGGGTGGGTTGGGGCACAAAAACTGGTTCTTCAATTGGTGTTACTCTATCAGATCTGTGGCTGGCTTCAGCTGCTAGATGTAGGGTGTAGTAGTGCCTTTTTTCCACCTCTTTGAGCCTTAGCAAAATTCTCTACAACAGGAGAAAGCATTTGCCTAATATCCTATTACTCTGGTACAATACCTATCACTTTGTGAGTTGGGATGGTGAAATCTGGGGTGTGAGGAAGTGTTTGTGAGTCTTTCAGGCATGAGAAGTAGATGATTTTACAATGTAGCTGCACTCACACAAGGGACTAACACCAGGAGTAAACTTGGGATGTGAGCCTGGGCCTTGCTCAAGTGGAAATGAGCTGATATGTCTGCAAATGGCAGCTAAAATGTTCAGTTAAGATGAGGCTTTTGCCATTTGGAAGTGGGCCAACCTCAATAAATGGCTGTGCACCTGTTTATCAGAAGAATCTTAAAATGATAATACCAAGAGAGCAGAAATATTTACACAGTTGAATAAGTCAGGGTGAGGTTTTTGTTGTTGTTGTTGTTGTTTTGTTTTGTTTTGTTTTTTTCCTTCAAGTCAGTTAAATAGGCTTTTACTTTTTGTTTCAATTGTAAAGGGTCTCAATTCTTAGTGTAACTACATAGGACTTGACGTGTAATAAGTGGTGAGCTGAGCTTTAGATTTGCATACCTAAAAACACTGCATAGAGCATGCTCAGACCTGTACTTTACAAAAGCAGCAACAAGGTAATCATTTCTAAGGAGCTGACTGGACTGAGTATATCCCCTACTAATAGCAGACTCCAGAAGAGTCCTTAGAATCTGTGCCGCTCCTCTCCAGCAAGTAAAATTTTCAGTTGAGAGTGCTGAGCAGTACAGCTGGACAGAGTTTAACAAGGACAAGACATTCCCAAGCCTTATCCTGGCTATTTCCTATGAATTTCTAGATTAGCACAAATTGAGAACCGAAACTATTTGCTCACAGCTGGCACTGAGCTAAGGCATCTTCATTTGTTGCAAATGCCTGCCAATACTAAAAAAAGAATTCATTTCACCAGTAGCTTAGATTACTGATTAAGTAGGTTCCAATTTAAGCTGTTTTAAACAACCACACTAAAATTAACCAAATAGCTATGTTACTTTAAAATAGTGCCTGAAACATATAGGCAATCAATAAACATGTGCTCGATGGGAGAATAAAGCTTTGATATTTATGAGATAAGCAGGGAGATACAATGAGAAGATTGGAAGAGCTATTGGATTTAATGCCTGTGACTTGAGGTTCTGCTAATACCAGCCCATGTGAAAACAGCATTCATTCAGTTCCTCAATCCTAATACCCAACAGTGATTCTGAATGACTCACTTTCTTCCCCCAACCCAACAATCTTTCAGCAAGTCCTGCCAGGTCTACCTCCAAAATATAACAAATTTGCCTATTTTCTCCAACTCCACTGCCCCAGACTCCCTGCTGCCATTCACACGCACTTAGCAGACACATAGAAAGTTCCATGTCATTTCTCTGTTACCTTCCTCCAGTGGTCCTATTGTCAGGGTCCGCATAGCCCTTCATGATCCGATCTCTGCCTCCTTTGCTCACCTCCTTTTGTGCCTTCTCCTGTCTTGTCTAATGCATTGCAGACATACTGGCCTGGTTTTTTTCCTCAAACATGACCTGTGGCCTTTGCATTTGGTGTTCCCTGTGCCTTGAATATTCCTTGTATGGCTTGCTGCTACTTCTCACCCAGGTCATGGCTCAAATATCATCTCTTTTGAGATGCCCTCCCTGGCCTCCTTAGTCCATGCTCAATCACTCTTCATTGGACTAGCATGCTTTACTCTCCACAGAGCACCTACCACAATCTGCCATTCTTCGTGTACTGTGTCCCTCTAATACAGTGACCTTATCTGTCTTATTCATCTCTGTATCCCCAGCACTTACTTTTTTCTCAATTAATAGTTGTTGAGTGAATAAAGTAGATGTTACCTTTTCTCTATTGTTTTCTTTTATTTGGATTGCAACCAAAAAAAGTCCGAGAGGGCCCCATGTGGCACTTGGTAGGAAATCGAGATCACCTGTTCCCATCCCTTTACTTTGGGATGGGGAAGCAGATGCTGGAGTTCCACGTGACTTGCTCGATGTCACTCAACCCACCAGGGAAGAGTCCAGAATAAAGCCAGGTGTCATGATTGAATCTGGCTCCCTCTTTACAAAAACTGTGGGCAGAGCCAGCTCTAAGACAGTCGGATTTTGTGGCTAAGTAAACAGTAAAAAGGAATGTATGATAAAAGGTGGAAGGAGAGGCAGAGGAAAAAGCATCTATAAGACCTCTTAAAACAACAGGGATGGGTGAAAAGATCGTGTAATAAATAAAGGAAACTATGTGTGTGGTTCTATGTCATGTACCCCACAACAGACAATGTATGTAGAGAGGGTGTGGTGGTTGCTGCGGGACAACAGAAATGGAAGGCACTGGACCAGCCTCGGGAGGGCACACCCTATCTGCAACATTCACATTCACTTCCTAAATGCTTTGCTGGACACATGCTAACATTTTTAAGGGGTTGGATTCAGCCCATAGAGCCCGTGAGAGAATCCTGACTTAAATCCTCAAATTTGGGGTTGATGCTTGGGTAACATATACCACATCTATGATGAATTTAAATTGTGGTCCAGTGCTGAGCAGGAGAGGCTTCTAAGTCGTCTTTTCTTTCTCTCAAAGTCTTGCCCAGGATATGGCAAATAAGGGACTTAAAGTGACTCAAGCAAAGATAAGAAGAGAAGGCTGGCAGGCTGGGCACGTGTAATCCCAGCACTTTGGGAGGCTGAGGTGGGAGGATCACTTGAGGTCAGGAATTTGAACCAGCCTGGCCAACATAATGAAATGCTGTTTCTACTAAAAATACAAAAATTAGCTGGGTGAGGTGGCGACCACTTGTAATCCCAGCTACTTGAAAGGCTGAGGCATGAGAATCACTTGAACCCATTAGATAGAGGTTGCAGTGAGCTGAGATCATGCCACTGCACTTCAGCATTGGTGACAGAGCAAGAGTCTATCTCAAAAAAAAAAAAAAAGAGAGACAGAGAGAGAAAAGCAATGTGGGCTCTCCACAAACACACCTGTGCACACATACCCCATTCTTTTTCTCCATATGCGCTCCAGGCTGTGACAGATGATGTCCGGGCCCTGAAGACTGTCAATTACACTAGGAAGAAGTCATCGTTGGTCTCAGGTGGAATCCCAGAATTTATAATTATATTAGGAAGGAATTCCAGGATTAGGTTGGAGAGCAAGGTCAAGGGAAAAAGTCAGGGGCAAGGGTTCTCAGGCATTCATGTCAAGGACGGCTATAGTGAGAGGAATCAAAAGAGTAGAATGTCATTAAATAGAGGAATCAAAAGGGTAGAATGTCATTAAATAGAAAACCCTGCCTTACAAAGGATCTTTGGAAGGTGAGTACATTATTTATGTCTCAGGGTTCCGTCAATCAGTCTACTTTCAGTAAGTTTTAACTTATTCTCCTTATGTAACAAGCTCTGCGGAGTCTTCCAGATAAAAATAAAACAAAAGCAGCCAAACAAAAGACCTTTACAAGGGGCCCACTGAAGTAGAACTAGCTTTCTTTGTAGGTCAACCTGACCCCAGAGGAATTTTCTGAAAAATAGCAACACAGGATCCTTAGACCTGGCTTATTTTTGATGGAAAAATGTTTAGAGTACAATAGAATGTCCTTTAACTTATTGCCCTGGTTACCAATGATCACTGCTGTTAGTTAAATTTCAATTCGATTAATAGAAGATGAATGTCTTTAATAAACCGGGGCAGTACAAAGGAGAAAAGTTAAAGAGTAAAAGGTTGCTTTGTGGCAGGAGGAGCTGTTTGACATCCAAAGTTTCCTCTCCTGCCCTACTCCCTTAAATAATGCATACGCTAGCTTTCTGGTCTTTGTTCTTTACTTGTATCACCTATTTGACAAGGTAGATAAGATTGCAGGCTCAAAGACCAGTGAAGAGGCTGTGCACTTGGAAGAGTGGCCTGTTATGGGGTTCACATTAGAGCTCAAGAGGAAGGAAGAGGTACCCATGGGAGAGCAGCCTGACTCAGGGTGTTGAGGCCAAAGCAGGGTGAGGAGGGTGCCCATGCAGTGGCTGGCTCAGTGCAGGCCATCAGGGCACAGGTAGAGTGAGGAGGGCTCCCACTCACCAGCGGGGTCTAGCGTGGATGTGGCAGCGTGGGGGTGGCGTGAAGGGAGCATATGTGGTAAGAGAAAGTGGCAGCAGCAATAAGAACTTGGTGATAGGGAAGGATTGATTAGGTAAGTAAGCAGATCAGGAATAATGGGTGCCAGGTTTCTCATTGTCAGTGAAGGGGGATATAAATATGGAAAGGGAGAAAAACAGAATGAACCCTGTGGTGTTTGAATAGAGTTGGCATTATTGGTGTAAACTTATTTTGTGTGCATGTGCAGATAACGAGATAGAGCTCTGTGTTTACTGAGAGCCCCGTAGCAGTGGCACTCTTTTAGCAAGAAGGCTCTAAATTCTACTAAAAGGAATCACGGTTCCTTGGAGAAATGGCTGATTCCAGAGCCATTCTGGAATCCAGAGCTGTATTTCAGGAAAATATAGGTGTAAATAACCACTTTTATATATTCAGTTTTTTTTTTTTTGAGATCTCCCACCACGAGAATGCTCTTGTACCAGAACAGCCTGTGCTCTATGTGTTTTGCTCTGTACCTCCAGCTTAGCACACAGTACGTTCTCAGTACAAATATTTGTTAAGTGAATAAATGAATGAATGAATGATATGTTTACTTTCATGTTTTATATGCTTACTTTTAAAACACAGAAAGCTTCAGAAAACTTTTGCCTTAAGTCATTGTGAATTAATATCTCCATGCTTAATATTTTAGCAGAAATTTTATTTTCAGCCAATTTATTACTATGACCCAGACATTGAACCTGAATAAGTCTCTATTGAGTATGTTGAGGGAATAGGAGAGGTACACAAGGCAAGATGTTTTCCTTTCCTTATAAAAGCATTGGGAAATTCTCTAAAATTTAATTTTAGTGGTAAGTTAAAGAATAGCTTAATTTAATTTTTCTATTACTCAGTTATCAGTCTGGGTCAAGAGATTTCCATGGAATTTTTTACATGCTCAACTCTTGCATATTATTCAGAAATCTTTTGCTTTTCTTTGAAAGTCAACTGTCCATTGAATATGGAAGTGTACTCAGACAACAGACAAGTAGAGAAACTGAACCGAAGGAGCCAAACACAGAAACTCTCTTCTTCCTCCCTGCATTCCCTGTCTGGGTAATGGCACCAGCATCCGTCTGTCACCCAAGACAGAAAACTACTGGTTGTCATAGGATCCTCTCTCTTCACAGACCTCGTGCCTCCCACTAAATACATAATACACAATGAAGCCTGACATCTTATCATTCTTACCTCCTAAGTACCTCTTATCTCTGTCCAGGGCCAGCTTCATGGGCATCCAACCTGTGCACTTGGACAGGGCCTCTCTCTCAGCAAGGTTACATACTTGGGGTTTAATGCTCTGCAGTTATCTTGAAATTCTTAATAATGTTTACTTCACATTTCTGCTTTGTAAGTCAAGTTCAATGGGGCAATGGAGCATGTGCCAGGGGCTAAGAGCCTAAATTCATGCATGATCCCACCTCCCGCTGTCTTCAGTGGATGAGTTTGGGGCTGTTCCCTCCTGTGCCTCCTAGTGCCCTGCCTGCCCAGCCTTCACCCTCCTGCTCAGGGCCAGATGGGTCAGGCACAAGCTGTGGCTGCTGTCCCTGTCCCAGACTAGCAGATCTAGGCTAGCAGGTCCATGGGGGGCTGCTGGAAGTTGTCTCTTGGTGGGAACACGCTCCCCTCCTACCCCATCCAGTACCCAGCCCATACTGACACAGAGGTTGAAGATCCTTGGGAGTTACCTGTCTGCCAGGGTTTGAGGCTCTAGGCTAGTGGGAAGGGAGCCACCTGGTTTGACTTCTCCAGATCCCACCCCTGATGGAGGTAACACATTGACTCAGTGGCTGGTGGGAGGGGGAGCCCAGAAGCCAACTGACAGAGCAAACGCACTCATGCTACACATTGTGGGATGAGGCCCCTGGGCAGCTGCGGGAATCTGCACTGGCCCCACTAGTGTTGTGGTGCCCAGGAGTGCTCTCTCAGCCAGCTCTGTGCCTTGGGACCCTCTTCTCTTTCTTCCAGCCTTCCTGAATCTGACCTACAGTTGTCTCTCTGGCCAGCTCCAGGCACCCACCAGGATAAGACACAAAATACGAATTGTGTGATTTTGGTGATTCTACACACGAGTCGAATGCTCATAATTGTATTTAAAACTGGCATTTGCACAGTTTAAATTGCACGTTGCATGCTGCCCATCTGAGAAGACAATTCAGGTAAGATCACCTGAGCTGAGACGTGAAGGGTGAGCTCCTAATGTGGAGCCAGTGCCATGGAGTGAGCACTTAAGGCAGAGAAAGGAGCAGTGCTGGGACCCAGCTTCAGGAGAGCGTGGAACGCACAGGCAGTGAGAAAAATCTTCTGTGGGTGGGCACAGGAGTCACTGGAAAATAATAGGGCTGGAGCAGGGCAGAAGCTAGATCTTACAAGGACTTTCTAGGCTGGAGGGCAGGTCACTAAAATGGTATTATGTAGTTTACACACGGCAGAGAAGACATTAGGAGACTTTGCATTTTTAAAGATTCCTTTTGCAAACTGGAGACTGTGTTGTGGTGGAAGGGTGCTAAGATGGGAGGCAGAGAGATGGTAAGGAGGCTATTGAGCCTGTCCTGGAGGTAGATTTCAGCCTGAACTGTGGAAGTAGCAGTGAGGATGGAGAGGAAGAGGCAGAGACAGGACCATCTTCATAATCTGTGGGGCCCAGAGCAAAATGAGAATGCAGGGCCCATTGTTCAAAGGAAAAAGTGCCATGAAAGGTTCAGATAAAGCTTATCCTTTCTTCCATGATCTCTCTCTTCTTGTCATGGTGTTTTTATGTTATTTTATACCTTTCTCAGTAAAGAAAAATGAAATCCTACATTATTAGCATGAATTTTACCCCTCAGCATGAATTTTATCCTTCCACCATCAAGCAGAATTTAAGCACACTTCCCACTGGTAAAATTAAAAGCATTTGGACAATACCAGCCAGGGTGAGAGTATCAGAAACCAGTGCTCCTATAGAAAGCTGAGGCACACCTTTCTGGAGGACAATTTGGGAATGTGTATTATAAGCCTTCCAATAATACTCTTTGGCACAACAGTTCCACTGCTAGGAACTTATAGTAAAAAAAGTCAGAAGAAAGCACTAGGATAATGTCATTTAGACTTTATGTGAAAGAGAATTTCACAAAAGGGAAGTTGTTACTTTTTCCCCCATTAGTGAAAGAATTCCTCTTAATTTTTCTTTCTTAGTATGCAAATAAATTTATTTACCTGAATAGATTTTTTTTTTTTTGGCCCATGTCTAAAACAAAGTACTATAATCTCAGATGTGTGTGTATGTGTGTGTGTGTGTCGGGGTGGGGGGGCGCCCATTCCCTTTAAACTACCATAGACTGGATGGCTTATACACAACATAAACCTGGTTCTCATGGTTCTTAAGGCTGGGAAGTCCAAGATCAAGGTGCTGGAAGATTCAATGTGTGCTGAGCCCCACTTCCTGGTTCATTGTGTCCTCACATGGTGCAAGAGGTGAACGAGCTTCCTTGAGCCTATTTTGTGACTGCCCTAAGGCTTCATGACCTAATTACCTCCCAAAAGGATCAACCTTCTAATACCATTGCCTTGGAGATTTGGGTTTCAAAATATGAATTTTTGGGAACACAAACATTCGGATCATAGTGCCTTCATTTCATCAAAAGAATCACATAATTTAATGCACATAGAAAGGCAATGCTAAGTCATTTGGCTTCCTTGGGGAGCTGTGGTTTGATGAACTTACACCTTACTACACATAAATCATTGTTAGTTTGACCAATATCTGAATTGATTCAAAATATGATAAGGCCATTTTTTGAGAATGTTGAAATATTTTAAAAATATTTAAAAATTAAATGAATCCAATTAAACCAAATGTCTCAGAGGACCTTGTTATTTAAAATGCTGTTTGGCAGTCACAAATCACTGCCTGGCTGAGGCAACTGTTTTAAGTAATATGATTTTGCAAAATCGTAGCTTGGACACTGTGCTGCTTATGCCTGCAAGTAATATGGGTCATATAATATGTCACATGTGAGATGATGCTCCTGTCAGAGAGATTATAAGCCTGCAGCTCTGCAAATCTGACTTTTGAAAGTGGCTTAAGTGTGTTTCCATGAATTTTGGAATGTTATCAAACACTAGCGTAGATACAACCATGAAATTAATATTCTGTATTGTGGAACTCAACAGGGTTCATAAACGAGCCCTAACTCAACCCTAAGATTTAAGAACACATGTTTTGGCTGCTTCTAACATTTACCTAACTAGGAAATAAGTGATAAATTAATTTCTCTGAACCTGTTTCCCAATCTCCACTGCAGGCAATAATACCATCCCATGAAGTTATTTAAGAGGATTAAATGAGCTTATACAGAGATAAGGAACTAAAAGCCATGCCTGGCTCACCATAAACCTCAAACAACACCAATGATCCCTATTCACAATAGAGAGGTGCTATGAGAGATGGAAATTTTCCAAATTAAAACAAGCATTTAAACCCACTGGGAGAAAAATGCAGTTATTGGGAGGGAAAAAGAGACATGTCTAAGTCTGCCCTTAAACTTCTGGCTTCAAGCAACCTAATCTTTTTGTTGCTAGCCAAAAAATAGAATCAGAACTGCTGGTTTCCAGATACTAGAGGAAGAAGGTAGCTGTAGGGGTCTAAGATGGGGAAGGGGTCGGAGCTAACACTATTGTCCTGGTGGGGAGGCCATGGGGGAGAGTTCGTGGAGGCCAAATGAAAGGAAGCAAACTCTGACTCAACATAATGGATACATGTTACCTTGGAAGAAGTCATCTCTAGATAGTCATTATTACATATATTTCACTGAGCTTCTATAAAAATTGAGACAATCTCTATAAACCATTACCAAAATGCTATTATTAGTAGTACTGTTATTTCTTATTTATCCTCCAGTACCGAAACCCCTCACTATTTATTTATTTATTCATTCATTCATTTTTTAGAGATCTGAATCTCACTCTGTCACCCAGGCTGGAGTGCAGTAATTATAGCTTACTGCAACCTTGAACTCCTGGGCTCAACTGAGCCTCCCGCCTCAGCCTCCCAAATAGCTGAGATTACATGTGTAAGACACTGTGCCTGGCCCTCACTATATTTGTTGATGGTCAGCACCTGTTTTTTTTCTCCTTACCTATCCTGGAACCCAATCTGTCATTTTATAGAAACAGCCTCCAACACTCTGGATCCTCTACCACCATGACCTAAACATTGGTTGCTGACATGGAGTGGAGGCCATGAGAATTAAACTGCATTTCTATGTTGTCAAACAAGACATCAACATTTCTGCAATGATGCTGAAGCTAATATTGGTTGACAGTAACAGCTTTGGACTCAGATGGCCCTGGGTTCAAATCCTAACTCTGGTATTTGACAGTAACATAGCTTTAGACAACTTAGTATCTCTCGGCCTCAGTTTGCTCATTTATCAAATTGGGCTCTACTATCTACTGTGCAAAACATCTTGCATGCGCTCTTCCAGATATTGCTTTATACTTCACCCTGTTTGGTGCTCCTCAAGGCATCAAAAGGCTTCCTTGTCATCTGGCTTCCATATGGAGTTATACCTGGAGATCAGCTCACATACTGGTTCGGATTTTTTTTTTTTTTTTTTGAGGCAGGAACTCACTATGTTGCCCAGGCTGGCCTCAAACTCCTGGGCTGAAGCAATCCTCCCACCTCAATCTCCCAAGTAGCTGGGATTTGACGCATGCACAACCATGCCTGGCTTGCTTCAGACTTCTTCAAACAAAGCTCTAATGTTACTACTGTGCACAAAGATGCCCATGGAATAATGTCTAAATGTATAGCCTGTAATTGAACAGAATCTGACTCCTGATCTAACAGGAGTCTCACCTTTATCTCCTCTTGTTCCTCCTGATGTACCCTCATGCTGAGGAAACCAGATAACTCATTCACTATTTCCTGCCAATATTCATGCAATTTCTTACCTTCATGCTTCTGCTTCTGCTATTCCCTACCAGGACCTGACTGTACATAATGAAATTCTACCCATTGCTCAAGGCCTAGCTCCAATGCCTCGAAAATATCCTCCCTGGCTCCCAAACTTAGGAATTGGTCTCTTGCAAGAATTCCTATACCACTGCATGTGTATCTTTCTTTCTGCACTTTATCACTTCCTGCTTATATTGTAATTATATGTTTCATCTTCCATGCCTTTTGTAAGGTCTGTGGAGGATGTCAGTGTTTTACTCATCCTGTGGCTCCCCACCATACCTGCCCATAGAGGCTGCTCAGTAAACACTTCCTGCATGATGTATGTGGATTCTGTTGGTGGGTGAAGATCATCAGGTAGTTGAAAGAATGATGCAAGCTGGCATTATGAATTTACATACTGCACTTTTTCACAAGAACTTCTTTGCTGGGGGTGGTTCTTAGCTTTATGACTAAATGTTGCATTTCTGTACTGTACTGCTCAGGTGGGGTAGGGAGGAGAATCAGTAAATTCATCTTTAATCTCTCTTCTGGATCATTGCTACTTATAGTTCATGACAAAACATTGTCTAAAAAGACTCACTAGGGGTAACCCTGCATGAATGTTGATATTCCAGAACAGATGGCAGGCTCTGGGGGAGGGGAAAGTGTGAAGGGAAAGTGTAAAAGGAAATTTTCACTCTCTGCCTGCCAGGCAGAATAAATAGAACACATTCTCTACACGGATGTCTTCTAATTCTGTCTTAACATTAGAATGCACCACGATGAATTAACAATTAAGGTTGACTCAGCCAAGCTGTATTGAACTTGCACTGTGTCCCAGCACTGCCATGTGTTTGGGGAGGCACCAAGGACTTAAGGCAGGGTCTCTGGTCCTAATTTATTTCTCAAGTTTATGTAGGAGGCAAGATCTAAACACTACCATCAAAATGAGGAGACATATGGATGGCTGCATCACTGCTCCAAAGCCCTTCAAGAGTCTAATGTATTTTAATATAATTTGAGGTCACAATATTGTGAGCCAGATCCTCCATGCCTGAGTTACTCTCTGGGAAGAAGAAATATGGTTCATTTCATGGAGCTGGGGCTAAAAAATTGCTTACCATAGGCTTGTAAGTGGGGCCAAACGTTGGATCTCTTCTGAAGCAAGCTTTGGTGACTAGCTGCTTTCCTAACTCCAGATCGGCCTTTACCTCTGTCCTTCACCTTGTAAACTCAAACTGGCACTGCTGGTTGTGGCCATTTGGGGGAAGTGCCCAGAAGAGTCGTGGATCTTGTGGATAGACTTCAGAGGCACAGGCGGCCTGCTGTGGCTGCTGCTGGCAAGAGAGAAGTGCAGGTTGGGTTACCAAACACCCAGCAAGGGGAGTACACGTCCTCCTTTGCCCTGAGCTTCCTTTTAACTAGTGTTTAAAATTAGATCACATAGCCTAGGACTAGGAAATTATGAAATGACATTTCACATTTTTTAGTGTCACTTAATCTACTGGTAACCAATTCTTGCTGTCCTTGTTTGTTTTCCCAGCAACCTATGTCATTGGGTGGTTAAAAGGATGTGATAAAGTAGATGAATGTGCTTAGTAGAGTGAGAGTACATAGCATGCAAAAATATTAAGTATTACACATAACATGTATCACTTGCTCTGTGCCTCAGCCTATCAACTTCCTAAGAGTGGGATCCATATTTGAATCCCTTTTAATTAAAATCTAACACAAGCATAAACAAATTCTTCACTTCTATTAAGTCTTTAATATTCTCATATAATATGTCATTAAAAGGTAATTTTTAATATTAACTGCTGTAAATTATTCTTCTTCCTTTTTTATGCCCACAAATTTATTGTAAATATTTCTAAATCTGGCACCAGTTGGTGGAGAGGGGACCCTCCATCTCTCTACCAGCAGGGCTCACCAGCTTAGGGATGCATTCAGAGTGGCTCAGGGAGGGCCTTGGTGTCCCTCACATGTGAGGACTTTTTGTCATGCATGAACGAACATCAGCTCTTGCAGCTGCTCTAATGGCCCTGTCCAAAGGAAAGCCATTTTAAAAATAGAATTGAAGGGAACAAATGGTTTGCCTGATAGACTATTTTGAGGTGCAGGAGATTGGAGGATTCAAAAATGAAAGTATGTTATCAAGTGGGATAGAAACATAAAATTTGGAGAAGTTTTGGGGTGTGATGTTTACCAAAAGGCCATGACAATTGTATGCATTTAATTTAATCTCTAAAGGTGACACCCAGCCATGAATTGGGTAAATGTAAACCCGTCATAATAAGCCTTAGAAGCAAAGGTGAGAAATACCAATAGCGTGTTCTCAACACTAGATTACACATATAGCAAAGTCCTCGGTACCTTAGAGACACAATTTTAAGTTTTCAGAATAAACCACAGGCCTTTAAAATAGTGTCAGGAGTCTTCAATTTTTCCAACTCTTCTGGGGACATTTACCTCCCGGGGACTCTTGGTATTACCACGGTAAAAACTGAGCATTAGCCCAATGCATAATGCCAGCCTGGACTTGATCCATGAGCTCACAGCCTAAGGCCTTACTTAGGAGTTTCTATCTTTTCTGTGGGCTTTCAATCTTCCCTTCTCTCAGTAAATTGGAGATAACCTAAACGAGCAGTAAGTAAGTCAAACAGCAGAATCAAATACGTACCATTTGAGTGGACTGACATTATATGTGGAAGCCCCTAGCACCATGTCAAGAATCAGTTAATTTTTTTTAGTGTATATTCTTACATAGGATATTTAATAATTATGGATGTAATTATACTGTATATAGTTTTACCTTTTGCTTTTTCCTTATTTTACAAGTATATTCTCCCATATTACATCCATCACATCTTTTAAAATGCTTTGTCACAAAATCTGCTTAATTTTAAAATGTAAATAACATAGAAGTATGTAAACTAGCTGAGTAGTGTCTTGCCTATAATCCCAGCTACTCAAGAGGCTGAGGCAGGAGGATCCCTTAAGCCCAGGAGTTCAAGACCAGCCTGAAAAATATAGCGAGACCTTGGTATCTAATAAAATAGAAAAAAATTAGCGGGGTATGGTGATGCATGCCTGTAATCCCAGCTACTCCAGAAGCTAAGGCAGGAGCATCCCTTGAACCCAGGAGTTCAAGGCTGTAGCGAGCTATGATCATGCCACTGCACTTCAGCCTGGATGAAGAGTGAGACCCAGTATCTTAAAATTTAAAAAGTGTGTAAAGTGAAAAGTGAAAGCTTCTTTCCTTTCTATATTCAACACTTAAGAAGCATGACTTTTGTGTATATTCTTCCAGGGCTTTTTATCAATGGGAGTGTGCGTGCATGTGTGTAAGCATGTTTATGTATAGAATAGTTTTTTCTTTACATAAATAGAATCAATATAAGCATAAGATTTGGCAATTTGCTTTTTTTTTCGCGTAATAATGTGCGTTGTCATATTTAGAAAATAAAAATACAGGATACCTGGTTAAATCTGGATTTCAAGTAACTAATGTTTTTTAGTGTAAATATGTCCCAAATATTGCATGAGACATACTCATATAAAAAATGATTTGTTGTTTATCTGAAGTTCAAATATAACTGGGTGTCCTGTCTTACGTACTTCAAACAAGTTTTTATATCTGCACATCTTGACCTACCTGTTTGCTCAAGCCGCAGAACACTCCATGTGCCCGAATGTTGCCAGCTGATAGCTCTTGGTAGTAGAACTAAAGGCAACTTCATCTTCTTATTTTTTCTCACTTGACTCTGTCCAAAATTTATCATTGCAAGTGCCTCATAAAGAGATTAGATCCTTCTAAATGGCAGGCACCTTTGTCTGTGGAGTAACCTGATTTTCTCAGGAAGCCTGGGAGTGGGAACTAGAACATTAGCTTACTCTCCTTTCTAGAGGGAGAAGACTCCCTGGGGCAATCAAAAAGGAAGTGGGCAAGGAGACCAGCCCTGCACCTCATAGGAGCCCAAGCTTTGGTGATTTCCTCGAAAATCTTCCAAGTCATCCTTTGGTGTCTGATTGATGGGTTGGCAGAGACTTCTGGGTGGGCTGCACTGAGGCCAGACCAGGAGGTGCATGAGGCCCCAGGCTCTTTCCTCTGGGCCCTGGTCTCTGTTTCTCTTCTTTGGGGGCACTCTCTGACTGTCTCTCCCACACTCTACACCTGTGGGGTTGACTAGATGCTCTGAGGAGCTCAGAGGACTGTGCTTACAGAGTCTCCAGGGTCGCTGGGACCAGGCCCCAGTTCCAGGAGGGAGGCTTGGAAAGTGGATCATCCTTGCTGTCCAGCACAGTATTTCCTTTGTGGAATTGCATGAGATTGAGCAGCCAATATGAGGTTGACACACTGATTTTGATTGACTCAAATTGTTTACAGAGATAGGACCATGGCAAAAAACATTTGCTGCTCTTCCACCCATCCCAGGGGCAGCTCAAAAGAAAACAAGTGAGAGGAAGGAGACAGGAATGAGAAAGCTGGGAAACAAAAGTTGCAAGTTGATATAGGCCCTAAGGGAAACCAAGAAATCCAGCTGAGAAGGATTTTGGAGAATGTCTAATAATAATAATACAATAAATGATAGCTGATACTTTACACAGTGTCCTTAATATGGCCAGGCACCTAAGAACTGTACATCACTAACCTGTTTAATCCTCACAATCCTAGATAAGAGCTATGACCACCTCAGTTTACAAAAGAAAGAGAGAGAAATAGGGGAGTGAGGAAAGGTGGGAGAGAAGAAGGAAGAAAAAAATGAAGGAAGGAAGGAGGAAGGGAGGGAAGAAGGGAGAGGAGAACTGAGGCCCAAGGAAAATATATAATTTGACACAAGATCACATAGTGGCAAGGGAGTGGTAAAGCTTGGTCCATGGAGTTAACTCCAGAATCTATGGCCCATACACTAGGCTAGATGTATCTATGTGGATTTTTAAGTTGTTGACTGTGTGGTATGTAATGTGACCACTTCATATTGTCTCAGCTTTCCAGTGAATGCAAATGTAACTCATGAATGATTTCTTAAAATTTTGCTTCGCTTAGAAACTAGTAGAGAAGCTGCTTATTCTTTAGATCTATAAGTGAGGGAGCAGGAATGCCTGGGTAACAATGAATATATGACAATAAGACCTTTAGGAGTCCAAAGAAATCTATGGGAAGGTGTATATATTCATCAGGATACCAAGAGGAAAAGTTGACACCCTCAGAGGGTTTAACCAAGAAGTGTTTAATGAAGAAGATGGAGGTAGGGTGGGGCATTAAGGGAAACAGTGAGGGAAGGTGAAGCATCCAGCAAATAGCAATAGAGAGAAGCCTTTACAATCCTAGCCCTTGAGGGGTAAGGGGCAATAACTGTGTTACCTAAGTCCATAGAGAGCTTGGAATCTTGGAAGCGAGGCTGCCTTCCAAGAGCCATGACTGCAGAATGTGCTTCTGCTGGAGCCATGGCAAGGCAGTGAGGAAGTACAGGAAATAAATATCTCTTCCTGTTTCCCTGTCCAGCATCTGATACCCTGCAGGTGCTTCCATTAGCCAAACCCAACTCAGAAGCCAGAAGGCAAAGGAGCTCAACTGATGCAACCTGCAAAGTCATCCTCTGGGTGCAGAGCAAGGCAGGGAAGGATGGAGAATGAAAAGCAACCAGCACCAGAATTGGGACTTCCATAAGCTCTGAAAGTGGAGGTTCTAGGAAATTTCCCCATGTTTGCAAGTGGGGAGATCTCAGTTGATACCTGAGTTATATTTCCCTTGTGATATTTCTACAATAAAAAACTGTGTGTGTGTGTGTGTGTGTGTGTGTGTGTGTGTGTGTGTGTTTTATTTGTGCATTGGAAAGACAGTAGTTTGGGTTCCAGCTTAAGTGTTATTTAGGTTGGGCTTCAGATGTTCCTAGATTTCACCAAAAGTCCAGATGTATCCTAGAGAGACAGGCAGAACACTTGAAGGGATGTACATGGTCTCTCCAGAAGCCTGTGCCATCCTCAGGCCGCCCCACGACTGAGAACACCTCCTGTGGCTGCCCTAGTCAGCGTGCTGACCCCAGGGAGTGGCTAGGGCTATTCGGCTTCCCGAGGCCACGGCCAGGCACCGGTCGCCTCTCTGGTGTCTGTCTCACCGTCTCTTGACCAGGCCCACTGTCAAAGCAGCTCATCCCACCCTGATGCCAATGATACTGATGAGCGTGGGATCCACAGACTTTTTCTAAGTACAGCCAAAGTGTTCTCCAGAATGCTGTGCAGCTCTTATCAGGAAGACAACTTTATAATTCATTCTTTTTTTAAAGTTATATAATGTAGTTTATCATCTTGACATGCCATGTGAGTAACGCATGATTCTCATCTAACTGGTTGTTTTTGGTGAAATCTTCACTGGAAATAGTGTTGTTACATTTCACTAATCTTAACAAGAGAGAGAGAGATTTGGAGTTGCAGGGAATGTTTGTTTTCACAATAAATTCCTCCTACACAGGCTCTCATTTATGATCCAGAAAGTCCAACAAGATTTAATTGTTTGGACTTTAAGTAATATGATACAAAACCACAATTTCCACCTCTTGGAGTAGGGTCAATATTATATTGATCACAATAAATGTGAACTGCCATCTCGTGGTTTTCTATCTACTCTGTAAACCTGAAAACTGGAATCAGGGAAATAGTTAACCATTTTTAGGAAGCAAACTATCATTAAAGCCACAGCAAGTCACTGGCAAGAATTTACTTTACCAGAAAAGGTCAGGTGTGTGTTGACTGTCCTGTCACTGGAGGCAGAGATGATTATTTTTTCCTTGAGGACAGTAAAGTGAATGAGGGTGAAGTGCTGATGTGACCTGAGTTGGGCAGGCTCAATCCAGACTCCAGTGGCCGTCTTGGAGTCTCATGGCTTTGCTGAGGCCTCCTTGTACCTTCTGGTATTACTTTCATTAATTAATTAATGCAAGTGAGTGTTCCATGTGGTTCTGATCTTAGCTTCTGCTCAATATGGAGGCAATCCATAATGTAGCCAATACCATGTTCCATGACTTCCTGCTGCAATATGATGCTGTACTGCAATCTATGAAATTGTCTTTGAAACACGTGACATGTCATTTCAGTCTTACCTTTTCTCAGAGAAGGGATGTTGGCCCTTTATGCTGGGGAGTTCTTGCCTTCAAAACAAATTCCTTTGTTTCCCAGTGTTCCTTATCATCATTGCTTTGGTTCTGTGGTTATTTTAAGGCCACTGTTGTCTGAACGCTTTTCAGTGAACTAACCAAGCCTCACATCTCCCAGGCCCAGAGACCTCCCAGAAAACAGAGGGCTGAGTGTAGAACAGGCTGGAGAAACCAGAAAACAGGATGAAAGGACCAGATGTCCTGAAAATGCCATTCCGCTAAAAACAGCCACATGAAGGATAAATTCCAGCAAACATATATTTCAATGCATTGCTGAACTTCCAAGGTATTAAGGCAATCCCTAAGGACAACAAATTTCAGATAAAAAACAAATCAGAAGCTAGCATGGAAGCCAGGGCTGTCCTGAGAGCCGATGCAAGGCTGGCCTGTTGGGCTATAGTGCATGTTTCCTGCCTTTGAGTCATCTCAATGTCTATCAACAGAAAAGTGTCAGTAAAATATAGAAATCTCATTGGCTTATACACAGTTTCCCCTCCAGAAAGTGACTGCTTTGTGCTGCATGCATTAGCAATTTCCACTGGCACAGCTATGGAGGAACACCATAGTGTACATGAAATGCATTCAACCCCAAATTTACACTCTGAGCTCAGTCTGGTTGTTTGTTCTGTCTAAAAATCCTAACTGCATGAGTCTCCTTAATCTTTGTGCAAAATAAAACCAGAGCATCCACCTCTGGTACCAATGCATTTCACACAGAGCCTGCACCTGCTCTCCACTGGCAACCTCTGAGAATGTCCCTGTCCTCTCTCCTTGCACTGTAGACTCAGCCTTTCTTATCCACAAGTCCTTCTTATCTTCTTCCATCAAGCTACTTACACCTTTGCTTCAGTTAAAGCCCTGTATTTACTGTAGTATTTATTTGCTGGGCATATAATATGTGGTTCTAATTGCTAATATTTTTGTAAGACTTAGAATTTTACTAATTCCCAGCGTATGGAGTTGTGTTGATTGAATTGCCTGTCTCTTCCCCCAACTCCCCTCCCCCCGCCCCCATAAGCCATTTTTTTTCATGTATGAGTAAAACAACAGAATATAAGGTGTTTATTTTTGGGAATATACGTGTATTTCAAGTTTGGGTGAAAACACTGGCCCAGAATTAGAACAATGGGGATTAAGGACCATGGGGAGGGGAACGGGAAGGGTAAGCCTTGGGTCTACACAAAATGGAGGAGGAGCTAAACCTGAAACCCCCTCCACCCCCTACCCCACAAACAGGTTATTTGCAGAGGTCACAGTCTCAGTAAAAAGGCTGGGGAAAATCTGCCTTCAGCTAAAGCCACCAAAAGAGAAAACTATTCATAGAAAAAAATGATGTTAACAATAATAATAATTTCCTCCCTAAGAATCTATAATTGTAGGTATGCTCTTTCAAGGACGTGGGATTCTACTTCACAGCACCAACTCAGTCAGGGATACGGCCACATCTGGAGTGGAAATGACCCCAAGAGAGTGGCACCCGTGGTACACATGTTTATCCTCCCTGGAGAGAAGTATCTTCAATCAAGGTCCCACAGGTTACCAAAATATGAGCTTATAATGAAAAGATTCCAAAATGCTTTAAGAAACATGTTATCATGAGTGAGACTTATTAATAGTAGCAGAAATCACAAAAAGCGGTTCTAGATCCCCACAGAATTTCAGATATTGAAATTATCAGATACAGAACACAGAATGATTATCTACAAACACATACTTACAGAGGTGTTACATATTTTTACATATCAACTTTTAAAATAGCAATTTTCCAACTAAAAATATGAAACCAAAATACTGGATAATAATAGTATGCCAACTGGAAGTGATTTGAGTTAAAGCATTTTAAGATCTGTGAAGTGTTTGGAAGCAGAATCATGTATATTTGATTTTACTAAGAGCTTCCCTAAATTACACACAACATTTTAAAGGTAAACATTAAAGGAATAAAAATACAGTGTGTAATGTACAAAGAGTAGGTGAAAAAATATCCAGAAGACATCAGGGAGAAAAAAAGAAGCAAAAGCATAGCAAATAGAGGTTGTACAACATGGCAGAAAGAAATAGAAATTTATCAGTAGTCACAATAAATATATACAGTGTTTTTGAAAATCTCCCCAAAGTCTCACGCCTGTAATCCCAGCACTTTGGGAGGCCGAGCCAGGTGGATCATGAGGTCAGGAGTTCGAGACCACCCTGGCTAACATGATGAAACCCCGTCTTTACTAAAAATACAAAAAATTAGCTGGGCGTGGTGGCGGGCACCTGTAGTCCCAGCTACTCAGGAGGCTGAGGCAGGAGAATGGCGTGAATCCAGGAGGCGGAGCTTGCAGTGAGCTGAGATTGCACCACTGCACTCCAGCCTGGGCGACAAAGTGAGACTCTGTCTCAAAAAAAAAAAAAAAAAAAAATTCCCCCCCATAGTGTTTCTAATTGTGAAAGTACCTCCCCTAGGTGTATGTGGCCTTGAACAGGCCCTGAGGATGATGGCAGGGTGGCTTCCTCCCAGGCCCTGGTCTGTCACCAGGCAGGCACTAGGGGCCAGCCGTCACCTTAGGGAGTCTGGCCAGCCAGTGGTGGCAGAACTCATCTTGCTGGCAGAGCACCATGGCATATGTTTCTCTATGATAGTGCCTCTTAGGATGTTTGTTTCTTAGGCCGCATTGAATGTGAAAAAGGAAACATTCTCCTGAGGGAGATAAGGAAGGCTGAAGCATGGAATTTTTGTTTCCAAGGAGGAAATGACCCAGAGGGGTGTGGAGCAGCTCCCAGAACACCCAAGGGATAAGAATCCTTCAAAACCTGGGAATGAATGTCACACTCAAGCAGAGCATAGAGAGAAACTGAGGGACGGTAAATCTTTACAAAGTGGAAGAAATGAAATGGTGGCTATCCAGAAAGTCAGGAAAAAGGAGAAAAATTCCAAAATAATTTTTGTTAAAATTTAAATATACTAAAGAAAAAGAAGAAAAGAGATGCAATATTCTGAAGAAGCCACAAGTTTCTGAGCCTATAGAAAAATATTTCCAGAGCTTTTACATAGATTTTCAGAAAGCAATGCTTTCTGGTGCTTTTTCCTTTAACCTGTACTTAAGATAATGCTTCTAATAAAATGGAAGAGGACAGCCTATGCAAATGTAAAGCAGAAATGAGAAGTACAGTTCATCTCATTTTAATGAATTCACTCTGGTTCCCAGAGATTTAAGCCATAACCATGTATATCCCCAAAACAACCTGAAATACCTGATAGAGCACAGAGCTATCACCATCTGGTAGAATATATTTGGTCTTGTTCTGTTCTCCAATAAATGTAATTAACTTTTGTATTTTCAGTGCTTCACACATTTGTAAATTTCTTCTTTTTTGAGCTCAAAGCTCAAATCCAAAGCCATACTTTAAACACCGCAAACTGGCTTTGCCTGTTGCCATTTCCACCAAATAAATAGCTGTTGGAGCTCACAGCAACTCAACCCTGTGGTTGGTTTCTTGAGAAAAGGGTTCAGTAACTATCCACCATCTGGTCACCATTGGACTAATCAAGAGTCCTTCCATTTTAAGGCAAGAAGTTCAACTCAAGCTGGCTTATGTCCAAAATCTAAATTTATTAATATTTGCTTCTGTAACTGGGAAGTCCAGCTGTAGAGCTGGACTCGAAGACTCCAAGCACTCAAGCAATGTGTGGTGGGACAAAACTGAGTCATAAAGCAAGGTTTTGCTTTGCTGACCCCTTCCCCTCACACCATTGATTGAGAGATACCCCTTCCCTAGGGAAGACTAGATTAGTATAGGAGGAATGCAAAGAGAAAAAAATGCTATTTACCTTTTCAATTTCTAAACATATTTCAAAATCTTCTAACAGAGATTTCAAAAGGCAGAGCTTTAGATTTGCTGAAGCAGCGATTTTGGAAAGAAGAAAAGCTTTTGAGAATTGAAAGAGCTAAACCCTGAAAGAATAAGGGGATAGAGCAAATGCCTTAAACAACATATTGGAAAGCAAATTAGGGTCTTCTAGATTTGGAGTTGGAAGGGGGATAGAAGGGGCATGATCAGGAAGGATGCTGGTGATCCTATGAAGGGAACAGTGTGCCTGGAGGGGCCTTCCCAAGAAGAGGAGTCAGCAGCGGGAGACAGCATTGCAAGATTTTAAACTAGCCGCCAGAAGCACTGATGACTTGAAATAAAGAGAAGGGTATTCAGGAAAAAGTCAAAACAGAAATGTAGAGGGGCAATAAGAGCATGTAAGCTGTTCTTACCAAACTAGTAAATGGGAGCTTTGAGTTTGGGGGATGTGCCAATTACAGGGTCAGGAGAAAAAGTCCCATCCAATAGGTAACCTTGCCTTAGACAGCTGGGATGCCCAAAGGGCCATACCCCTTGCAGGACCCGCTGGATAACATAGGGGGCCCAGGGCAAAATAAAAATGTGGGCTACTTGGTAAGACGATATTAAGATTTTCAAGATGCTGTCATCAAGATTATTAAACCAAGTAAAAGGCTGTTCTGGACACATTGTCTTGACCAATCCCTTATGAAAGAGTGGACTAGATGTAAGCCTGAGTCCCATCAACTCTAGCAGAATCTTTCTAAGCATCCATAACCCAGCCTTCATGTGGATTTGCAGCCTAAATTCATATTATCTGGGTCATCCAAAAATACCTCCAGCCAAGTATTTAGTATAAAGGATACCTGGGTTGAGAGTGCTACAAGGAGCCAGACAGAAGCAAAGGCAGTTTTCTTTGTTGGAATTAGCTTCAGTGCAAAGTCTAAATCAGTCCCTCCATATAAAGTTTCAAGAAAAAAACCATTTCCTCATGAGAAATCATAAGTTACCCAACGAAGAAAGACACTATGAATAAGAACTAACAGAAATAAGTACATAACTTTAAAAAAGACCCACAAAGCATTTTCTACTATTGCCATTATCAGACACACAATATTAAAAGGTAGTTTAATGTTTTAAAAAATTAAGGTCCTAGGTTGTGTGCGGTGGCTCATGCCTGTAATCCCCGCACTTTAGGAGGCTGAGGCGGGTGGATCACTTGAGGTCAGGAGCTTGAGACCAGCCTGGCCAACATGGTGAAACTCCATAAAAACACAAAAATTAGCCAGGCATGTTGGTGCATGCCAATAATCCCAGTTACTCAGGACGCTGAGGCAGGAGAATCACTTGAATGGTGGAGGCGGAGGTCGCAGTGAGCTGAGATCGTGCCCCTGTACTACAGCCTGGTTGACAGAGAGAGACTTGGTCTCAAAAAACAAACAAATAAAACAAAAACAAAAACAAAACAAAACAACAAAAAATTAAGGTTCTAGTGTGACACTGTGCTATAATTTTACAACACATTTTATAGTTTCATTACCACCATGCGAAACTGGGTAAATGGCACATGGGAGCTCTCTGCATTATTCCTTACAACTGCGTGTGAGTCTATAATTATCTCGAAATTAAAAGCTTAATTTAAAAAAATGAAGGAAAAACTGAAAAACCTGAATAATGAATAGGATTATAAAGAAGCTGAACATCTAAGTTTGAAAAAGAAGCAAATACAACCACAAGAAATGAAAAAAAAAAAAAAAAAAGAAAAAAATTCTGCAGGCTGAAGAATTAGTGAACCACAGTGTTCTGAAGAAATTTTCCAGAATGCAGTAAAGAGAGAAAAAGAGATGGAAAACCTGATAGAGAGATTAAGACAAAGTAAGTAGACCTAACAGACATCCAGTTAGCGTTCTTGATGAAGAGGAGACAGTGAAGATGGGGAAGAAAAAATACCTGAAGAGATGATGGCTAGTTTTTCACAGTTGGCGAAGGACACTAATCCACACAAAACATGTCATAATGAAAAAGTAGCCAGGGTGAAAGAGGATTACCCTCAAAGGGAAAAAACTAGGCTGCTGACTTTTTGACAGCGTCTTTAAAACCTTCCCACACATAGTGAAAACCTTTCAATGATTTTCTGTCAGTTTCTGGATAGAGGCAAGAACAGCATAGCCTACAATTCTGTGCCTAGCCTTTTTCGGGGCCACTGTCCCTGCAGCGGTCTGAGCTCCATGGCTTTCTTTCAGTTTCTTGTATACTGCTGTCTTTCCTCATGGCTGGGGACTTCAGACAGGATGTTCTCTTTGCCTGAAATATTTTCTACTTTTCCCCTCCTTTAATCTAGTTAGCTACCACTCGTCCTTCAGGACTCTGATAAAATGTCCCTTTCCTGGAAAGCATAGTGAAAATTTGTTAGTTTCTGTGTTTGTTTGCTTTCCTGCCCAACATCTGACCTCCACGTCCTACTTAAGGGGACTCTTATAAATTATATCCTTTGACTGATAAGGTTTGAAACTTAATATTCAGAATAGCTATTAAAAGGTATTCAACATATGCAATAGGACCACATACAAGTAAAACGTACTTTTCTTATGTATTTCAGTGAAATGTCTCGTTACTTAATAAGTAATAAGAAAACATAGTATTTTTCTTATGTGAAGTATTTTATCTTCACATCTTCTAAATTCCAATATAAATTCAGTTGAAGTACTTCCACAAACACCTTTATAAAGCTGCATGGCCACTTTTAAGAAAATAGATAAAAAAGTCTGTCTTCCTTGACAGGTGCAAAGGGTGAAAGGCACCCCGTCCATAAGAGTGAGCTAGGGTCATATTGTTTCTCAGTGGTGAAGTACTGTAGTCAACTCTTTCTCTGAACTTCAAAGCAAGCTGACTTTGTCTTTAACCACATATGGGTTTGGCTCAAGGACAAAGAAGATCTTTGTTTATGGGACTCTGGGAGCATTCAGTAATTTTTCAGGTGGAGGGTGACCTGCAGAATTGTTCATTTAAATGACATGCCTTATCAGAAGCCAGAAAGAAGACTTCCTCATGAAATGCTCTTCAACCTCTGCACTTTCCTAAGATGTTTATTGAAAAGGCTCTTTGTAGAAAAATAGTTTGAGAGTGACTTCTAAAAGGTAGTTTTTAAAGTAATAAATATTGATTTTTTTAATCCAAAGAGGTATAAAAACAAGCCAAAACATGGACCACGATCCCCCCATCCACTTAACCCACTTATAAATTTAATCTTTACAGAACTGTACAAAACCAATAGGATTAGCTGCAACCTCATTCCCTTCTTATCCCCAACATTCCATTATAAAAAAGCAAATATCCTAAAATACTATCTATTTATAAAGTACATATTTTTGTACAAAAGTAATTATGCTATCCAGCACTTTGCTATTTGTGCTTAATATATACAAAAAGGAATTTAACCCTGGGTAGTTCTAACTGTATGAATCATTGCTTTACAATAAAACAGAATAAAAACTATAGGGCAGTTAGAATGATGCTTTTAGCCCAGCCTAAAAAACTCAGAGGGATGTAGCATCATCAGATAACTTTTTGGACTACCTTTGTGACCAAAAAAAAAAGGCTTTGGCTACTGTCACGGATCAGGCTACAGGTTTTACAGGTAGACTTGAATTCAAGCTGTAGAATTGACAAGTTAGGTTGTCCTTGGGCAAATAACCTCCTAACCCCAAATGTCCTTATCTAAACAGTGGAGCAAACAACACTTAGATTACAGGGTTGTTGTAAGCAATTTTTTGTTTGTTTCTTTGTTTTTTTGTTTTGAGACTGAGTCTCACTCTGTCACCCAGGCTGGAGTGCAGTGGTGAGATCTCAGCTTACTGCAACCTCTGCCTCCTGGGTTTAAGCAATTCTTGTGCATCAGTCATCTAAGTAGCTGGAATTACAGGTGTGCACTATCACATCTGGCCTTTTTTTTTTTTTTTTTTTGTATTTTTAGCAGAGACAGGATTTCACCATGCTGGCCAGGCTGGTCTCAAACTCCTGACCTCAAGTGAGCCACCCACCTTAGCCTCCCAAAGTGCTGGGATTACAGGAGTGAGCCACCATGCCTAGCCCTATTGTGAGCAATAATGAAATAATATATATAAAGCACTTAGCACTGTGGTCACATAGGAATCCTGCAGAAATTATAATTTTTTTAAAACTTTTTTTAAAAAGGTTGGTAAATAGGTAGCCTCCAAGTTTTCGTGCTTGCCTTAATTCCATCTTCTGGGAGAAGCCTGTAGGTCTTCTGTAAAAGGGAGTCCTTTCAGGCCCCGCTTCATGGTTTAGTGTCCAAGGTAATGTCTTGGTCCACCAGACAGCGCTTTCCTAGCCTGTGCTCTTCAGTCATGACTAAATCTTCTTCATTTGCATTGAAATCTTCTCTTTTATTTTTACATTTTCTACAAGAAGCAATTCCTCTTGTTTGGCAGAACATTGGCTGCACTAATTAGGATGACTTCAACGAAGGGCAAATCACAGAGAGCAACTCGAATAGGGTGTCTACTTGGGCATGGTTGTAGTTCATATTGACCGGAATACATGACCCAAAGCAGGTTTGGAACAGAGAGCACAGAAGCAAAGCGAAAAGATGGAGAGTTTCGTTTTAGTGAGTTCAATGCATCTGTGAGGAAATGTCCAAAAATGCGTTGGACTGTTGGTCATCAGCCTATGAGAAGGACTTGGGGGATTGGGGATACAAATTTAGAAGTCATCAATGCACAGGAGATTGGACCTGGGAAAAGACACCTGGAGAACTATTTTAGGCACAAAAAGATAAAGGAGAGCCTGCAAAGGAGCCTGGGAAGAGGTGGTCAGAGGTAGGAGGAAGGTGAAAAGTTTAGTTTTCAGGAACCAGTAGAGGAGGGTTTTAGGAATGAAGACTGGTTGACCATGTCCAGTGCTGCAAAGAGATCAGGTAAGTAAAGAACTGAAAGATTTCAGATTTCCATCACTCCACAAAGGTTCCTCATATTGGATTGTGATAATGGTGTGTATGCTCTGACACTGATTCTATGACTTCAACTGGGTGCCCAACACTTCAATTCCTCTCTGATACTAAACACCTGGAGTTAGCACAGACCCCACATGCGAAGGGCTCAGTCCCCAAATTGCCTTCACATCTGACATCAGCCACCAATCTCAGGTATCCCAAGCTACCTGTACTTCTGCCTAGCTGACTACAAATTTGGGGGATCTCATGACCTCCCTCAGGTTCAGTAATTCACTAGAATGGCTCACAGAACTCACTGAGAGTGCTACAGTTTTATAATAAAGGAAACAACTTAGGAATAACCAAATGGAAGAGATGGATAGAACAAGATATGAGGATAGGGGAATACAGGGCTTCCATGTACCACCCTCCTAGCACATGATGTGTTCACCAGCTGGAAAGCTCTTCGAGTCTCATGGTCCAAGGGTTTTATATAGGTTCCATTATGCAGATATGACTGATTAAACCACTGGTCACAAGACTGAACTCCATGTCTAGTCTCTTTCCCCTTCCCACAGGTCAGAGGGTGGAGTTAAAAGTTCTAACCCTCTAATCACATGGCTGGCTTCTCTGGTGACCAACCCCCATCTGGAAGCTAAGGGCCTTGTCATGAGTCACCTCTTTAGCATAAACTCAGGTACAGTCAAAAAGGGCTTGTTATGAATAACCAAATATCCTCCTATCAGGAAATTCAAATTCCCAAGCTTTGTGCCAAGAACCTGGGGACAAAGATCAAATGTATTTTTTAAATTAAAGCATAATAAAATAAAATAAGAATTATTATTTATTTTATTTTTTATTATATTATTACCAAATTATTTTCGACCTAGCAATTCCACTTTGGAAATTTTTTCCTGGCATACACATGAAATTATCTATGTGCAAGGTCAGTCACTGGAGCATTGTTCGTTAGCAAAAGGGTGGGGAAAAACATTTCAATAGGGAACTGGTTAGAATTTATGATATGCTCATAGAAAGGAATGACATGCAGCTTTAGAAAAATAGAATGAAGAGGCTTTCTACCTACTGATGTGAAAGGATCTAAAAGAGACACGGTAGCAAAGTATAAATACTTTGTATATTATAGTATACTTTGCTTTGTATAGTTTGTTTCCTTTTGTATAAAAATGGGGAAGATGGTAATTTATGTTTGTATTCACTTGTATCAGCAGAGAAAAACCCTAAGAGGACAGGACACCACCTTGGACAAATGGTCCCTTAGTGGACATGTTTATGGGGGACTGGACAGATGCAGAGAATTGTAGGAAAATGTTCTGCTGGATACGTAAATATTTGTGTTTTCTATTTTCTGATTTTGGGATCACATAAATTTAAAAATTAAAATTAAAATATTTTTAATTGAAGAAAAATGGTGAGGCAGAGAATGGCAGGCTTTGACCTTTATAAGGGTATTAGACTCATACGTGGATTTCTGAAAATAATTCTCAGATCCCGCCTAGAGATTCTGATTCGGTCTGCTTGGGGCAAAGCCAGCACCTGTTTTTTCATTAAGCCCCACAGTAATGAAAACACCTGGCAAGCCACTGCATTGCTGAGTTAGATGTCGGTGCAGTCGGCACAGGTAGAGGGAAATGAGGGGCCCATGATGGGGTGAGAGCTGGCAACATTTGAAGGTTTTCACTAATAAAAGTTCCTGATTGATATGAATAAAAGAGATTGGAGAGGAAGTATGGAGAGAAAGGGTCACTTTTCACATTGCCTCAGTTATGATTCTTGGAAGAATCTGACAATAACTCCACATCAAAAGAAAAAATAAAAGAGCTTTTACCATTCCATGATTGACCTCCACTTTGAGCATTAGGCTTTCTGGCTATGTAGTGTCCACTAGAGGTCACTGTGCTCATGTTTCTGTGGAGACAGAAAACATTGGCACCTGCTGCTGCTTAGCTAGTCAGTCATTTATCTTAACAACGGCTTGTTGAGCTTTGGTTTCAAAATGAGTCTTCCTCATAAAAAACTAAATCCAAAAAGCAGTACACTCAGAAGTCTCTCAACATCGGAAAGGAGAACTCAGAAAGCAGAGAGAGAAATACTTCCAGAAATATCAGTGAGTTGATAATAAATTAGAAGAGTCTACTTAGTCCTGAAAGATTTTTTTTCCCAAGGCAGTAATAAGTTAGGAAGGTATCTGAGACTTATTCTCAATTTTGAATCCTTTTTCTTGACTTTTGAACACGATGGGGTCAATTCTCACTGATTAACCAGATATAGGTCTACGGGTTGTATATATTTTGGGATACACATAGTGGCTAAGGTGGCTTCACTTAGGCAAATAGGAAATTTGACTCAAGTATTTAAGGTAATACTTATTATTTAACTTTTCGGAACTTGTTTCTATGAAGACCAAATTACTGAAAGCATTAAAAAACAAAGCAAAATAAGAACAGGGCATAAGGACACAGAATACCCACAATAAGACTATTTGCCTATAATGGTTTTAACTCGAGGTAACCTCTTTATGGATCTTGTCAGATGGAACTATAACTCATTTCAGGGTTCTCAGAATGGGAGTTATCTTAAGTCTGCAAATGACAGTATTTAAAAGTCTTTCAATGTGTAGCTCCTGAGTTTTTCTTAGACAACAGCGAGACTGTCTTGTGGCCTAATGGTAATTAGCTGATTGACAAATACCAGGCCTAAGTTCAAAAGTTGTATTAAGCTTTGTGTCATAATTCCGTTGGTGATAATAAAATCAAGTGGACTTCCAAATACTGTGTTCATTGATTTTTTTTTAAATCAATCAATTTTTTTAAATTTTTTTGAAAGGTAATACTGTGCTTTAAACATGTATTTATTATATATAGATAGATTATATTATATATTATACATAGGGAGATGCAGATGCATCTGTCTATCTATCTGTCAACTATCTATCTCAATAGCTTTTGGAGTATAAGTGGTGTTTGGTTATATGGATGAATTGTACAGTGGTGAAACCTGAGGTGTTAGTAGACCTGTCACCTGAGTAGTGTACATTATACTCAATATATAGTGTTTTTAATCCCCTACTCCCTTCTCACCCTTCCACCTTCTGTACTTCTGAGTCTACAAAGTATTATATCAGTCTGTACGCCTTTGTGCACTCATAACTTAGCTCCCACTTATAATAGAGAACATAAAGTTTTTGGTTTTCCATTCCTGAGTTACTTCACTTAGAATAATGGCCTCCAGCTCCATCCACGTTGCTGCAAAAAACAAATCTAGTTCTTTTTTATGGCTGAGTAGTATTCCATGATGTATATATACCACATTTTCTTTATCTACTCATTGGTCGATGGGCACTTAGGTTGGTCCCGTGTCTTTGCAATTGTGAATAGTGCTGTGATAAAAATATGTGTGCAGGTGCCTTTTTCTTTTTCTTTCTTTTTCTTTTTTTTTTTTTTTGAGACAGAGTCTTGCTCTGTCACCCAGGCTGGAATGCAGTGGTGTGATCTCGGCTCACTGCAACCTCTGCCTCCCAGGTTCAAGTGATTCTCCTGCCTCAGCCTCCCAGGTAGCTGGGACTACAGGCACGTGCCACCACGCCTGGCTAATTTTTGTATTTTTAGCAGAGATGGGGTTTCACTATGTTGGCCAGGCTGGTCTCGAACTCCTGACCACAGCTGATCAGCCCGCCTCAGCCTCCCAAAGTGCAGGGATTACAGACGTGAGCCACCGGGTCCTGCCGAGGGTGTCTTTTTTCTTTTTTTACTTTTTAATAATGGCCATTCTGGCTGGGGCTAGGTGGTATCTCATTGTGGTTTTAATTTGCATTTTCTGATGATTAGTGATGTTGACCATTTTTTCATATGTTTATTGGCCATTTGTATATCTTCTTTTGAGAAATGTCTACTCACATCCTTTGTCCACTTTTTGATGGGACTCTTTTTTTTTTTTCTTGCTGATTTGTTTGAGTTTCTTTCTTTTTTTTGAGACAGAGTCTTGCTGTGTTGCCCAGGCTGGAGTGCAGTGGCACAATCTTGGCTTACTGCAAGCTCCACCTCCTGGGTTCACGCCATTCTCCCGCCTCAGCCTCCTGAGTAGCTGGGACTACAGGCACCCGCCAACACGCTGGCTAATTTTTTTGTATTTTTAGTAGAGACAGGATTTCACCATGTTAGCCAGGATGGTCTCGATCTCCTGACCTCGTGATCCACCTGCCTCAGCCTCCCAAAGTGCTGGGATTACAGGCGTGAGCCACCGCACCCGGCCTTATTTGAGTTTCTTATAGATTCTGGATATCAGTCCTTTGTCAGCATAGTTTACAAATATTTTGTCCCATTCTACGGGTTGTTTACTTTGATGATTATTTCTTTTGCTGTTCAGAAGCTTTTCTAGTTTAATTAGGTCCCATTTATTTTTTTTTAAACGTGTATTTATATTATGTCCCAGACATTTGAAGGGCCACCTGATCTAGATATCACAGAGATGTGTGCTGGATTGTCTGCAGACAGGTCAGCACTGCTTCTCCTAAGGCGAGGGGCTGTTTACCACGATCCTCTTCTGTCTATGATTCTGGGTAAGAGTTGCCAGGAGAAGAACTCGAAGGAAGGCAGATGTGAGCAAGAGGCCGTTATCCCTGGAAGGTTATGGGGCTGACACGGTGACCTATAGACACAGAGGGGCCAGCAGGCACCAGCTTGGCCTGGCTGTTCTCTGCTCATTGTCCAGCCTGTCTTCTCAACTTGTAATCTGACCAACCAACAGCAGCCCAAAGCCCACCAACCAGCACTTGGCTGAGGCCCACAGCACTGGGAGTTCCATGGAGGTGGAAGTTTCCACAGGCCTCTCTATGAGCTCTTCCTTGGTGGTCCCATGTTGGTGGCCCATGTACACAGCTTCTCCACATCTTTCCACAAGCTGTCACCCTCCCACCCAGCTTGCTGCAGCCCAAGGAGGTTAGCAACTTTCTCTGATCCTCCAACTCTCCATCCAGACCTCCTGTACTACCCAGCTCCTCTCACATTCTGTAAGCTTCAATTTCAGTATTAAACCCCAAATCCCTATAAGACTTGGAATGGCTCTGTTTTCCCGTGTGAACTCTAACTGATACAGGCTGTTTTAAGTTTGGCTGTGGTTTAAAAAAAAAAAAGAGCTTGGTTGAGCACTTAGGGAAGAAGAGATGTGCTAACATTTACTAAATAGTCTCCAAAGCTTTAAGATAGCACCATAATAACTGTTTATTGTGGATAAAAACATGGACTTGGTCATCAGACAAATTGGTTTCACCAATTCATAACTATGGCATAACTCCTGGCAGCTTAATTTCTCAGAACCTTATTTTCCTCCTTTATAAAGTGTGGAATTGATTATTCCTTCTTCGTAGTATTGTTCTGAGGATTAAATGAGATAAGATATTCAGCGTTTAGCCAGTATCCAGCATAAAGTGATAATAATTTTTAAAAAGCTACTATCATAGATCTCTTATTTAAGATCTGAGAGTTTCTGGGAATATTGCAGAAAACATCCTAAAAATATCACTGCTAACCTAACTACAAATGCTAGATTAAGACTTAAAAAAAATCTTTTAAAATAGACAGTTCACAGTGACAAGGGAATAAGGTCTTCAAAGGCAGTCCATGCATGACTACGGACATGGCACAGATGCAGAGAGGACATGGCATCAAGGCCGTGGATGGGTTAAAGGGCATCTTTCCATGCACTGGGACCTGGAACTCTGATTTCAAGAGCTACATGGGATGCAGGGCCACATGGGAGGCAGGGACCTTGCAAGGTGATATTCAGTTCAGAAAGCCCCATTTAAGCTACGATTTCAAAGGGCTGCCCCACAAAGACTGAAAGTAAAAAACTTTGCTGGTCTTGACCTTTCCTCTAAGTAAAATGGAAAACAACAACAAACGAACAAACAAAACCCACCTCTCCTAAGAACGCATAGTAAGAACAAGCTCCTGGCGGCTGGGTGTGGTGGCTCACGCCTGTAATCCCAGCACTTTGGGAGGCTGAGGTGGGCCAGTCACCTGAGGTCAGGAGTTTGAGACCAGCCTGGCCAACATGGTGAAATCCCGTCTCTATAAAAAATTACAAAAATAAGCCAGGTGTGATAGTGCATGCCTGTAATCCCAGCTACTTGGGAAGCTGAGGCAGGAGAATTGCTTGAACCCGGGAGGCGGAGGTTGCAGTGATCCAAGATTGTGCTCCAGCCTGGGAGATAGAGTGAGACTCTGTATCAAAAACAAACAAACAAACAAACACCAAAAAACTTCTGTGCAGGTTTGGGGCTCCAACTCACACTGCTTGCATGGTCTCTCCAAATCCCAAGCCAAGAAGGTAAAGTAGTAGTACCAGGCTGGTAGCATTCTTCTCCCTTATGCTCCTGGCCAAAGCAAACATAAATTCTTTCTGGGTAAACCAACAACAACCCAGACATACAGCATTCCTGCAGATAATGCTCCAATAACTATGAACTCACAGAATCAAATAATTTTTTTTTGTAAAAAAAGGAAACAAAGTCCAATAAGCAGGAGTTAGCTAAGAAAACCTGCAGAGGAATCACATTTACAAAGATTTCAGATGTTAACGTTAGTGTTTGCAGAATATAAATGATTTAGAAGTTTGAGGAAGAAATTAGGAAATCAGAATTACATACCAGGAAGAGACTGTTAACTGACTAGGTAGATTTCAAAAGAAACAATTGTACGCTCACCCCTCCCACTGCCCTCACACAAAACAAATGAAAACAACATTCAATGGATGGACTGAACAACAGATTAGGTGCAGGCAGAGAGTATTGGTGTACTGAGAATTATCTGAAGAAATTACACAGACTATAGTACGAAGACACAAAATAAATGGGAAATATCACAGACAAGCTAAAAAAAAAAAAAAAAAAAGAGGAGATTTAATATTAAAGTTCCAGAAGGACAGAAAAGAGAATGGGGAGAAGATACTAGCTAAGAATTTTCCGAAAGTGATATGATATGTGATGTGGTGTGCTGTTCCATAGATCCAGGACGCCTGAAGGGCCCCACGCAAAAAATAAAAAAATAAAACTACAAAAAAAACTCTCACCAAAGTACATCATAATCAAATTTCATATTATCAAAGATAAAAAGAAGCTCTTAAAAGCAGCCAGAGAAAAGACATATTTACAAAGAACTGCATTTAGACAGAGTTCAACTTTATTTTATTACCATGATTGCTCTGAGGAACTGATTCCTACATGCCAGCCATTAGCCCTCGTTTCTTTGAATGCTGCCCAGATGGGCCTGCAGTATTGCCAGGTGGACCTCTGCACAAGTAGTAGCAGTTACATTCATGTCTTATTTCAGGTAAGTGGGATTATGTCCATTTTGATGTCTCCCCTGGAAGTCTGACCTGAAAGGATTGTATCAACCAATCCTCTTATCCTCTGGGAAAAGGAGACAAAGGACAAAGGACAGGAAAGGAAGGGGAGGGGAGGGGAGGGGAAGGGGAGGGGAGGGGAAGGGGAGAGAAGGGAGAGGAGGGGAGGGTGTGGTCACCTGGGGCTGGCTGCAACCTAAGATCACTGTCCTTCTTACAAGTTGGACTTCTCTCCACGGACTCTCTCTTCAGCAACCCCATGAGTACTCCCTCCCCTCCCTCAGATTCAGGTGTAGTGACAGCTTGCTGTTAAAGCTCTGAGCTACTTTCTGCACCATCTCATGAGGGTCCCTTGCACTCTGCCCATGCATTAGTAAATAAACCATCCCAGAATGATCCTACCTTGGGCATGCCATCTGCTTCCTGTTAGGAACCTGACTGAATAACTTTCCAGCTTCTTCAGGACTCTGGAAACTCTTTGAGAGCTAGAATCCACTTTTCTTGCTTTTGATTCTCTCTGCATTTAGGGGAGAAATATTCCAGAAAGACTGATAGAAATACCAGCATTATGAAATAGAAATATAAAACACGTGCTCACCAAAAGCCTTCCTTAAACTCACTCTGTTTCCATCAAAATGAAACGATGGAGGTTGAGTACTGTCTATCACTCTTGGAGATGCTGTCTGTGTGGTCCACGTGTAGTTGGTTTCTTGGGCTAGTTCTCATGTGAAGCAAATCCCTGTCCCTAAGTGTCTCTTATCGTTTGCTGCACAAAATTAGGGAAAGCATGGAAAGTTTTTGGAAGTGTTTCATGAGACTTAGGAAGGCCACTGTAGCCCCTGATTAGCTCATTTTATATCCCTGAAGTGAACATGTGCCATGTCTGTACTGAGATAAATCACCGTTTCAAATAATCTCAAAATTCCCTTCTCTCGTTACCTCTGAAGCAGCCTATTTCCATGTTCACTGCAGAAAAGTCTCATTACTCAGCCGGGCGCGGTGGCTCACGCCTGTAATCCCAACACTTTAGGAGGCCGAGGTAGGCGGATCACTTGAGGTCAAGAGTTCAAGACCAGCCTGGCCAACATGGTGAAATCCCGTTTCTACTAAAAATACAAAAATTAAATTAGCCGGGCGAGGTGACGCGGGCCTATAGTCCCAGCTACACGGGAGGCTGAGGCAGGAGAATCGAGAATCGCTTGGACCCGGGAAGTGGAGGTTGCAGTGAGCCGAGATCGCGCCACTGCCCTCCAGCCTGGGAGACAGAGAGATACTCTGTCAAAAAAAAAAAAAAAAAGTCTCATTACTCAAAGTTATTAAAGCAATTGTTACCTTTGGTGCCTACCCTTTTCCTGGTCATATTTCAAAGCAACCTTCCTTGCTAGATAATTTATTCTATGCTTGTTTTATGAATGGCTTCCCTGTGACTCCTCCAGCTGCTGAAATCCTGCGCTCCCCAAATGGTGCGCTTGAGTAGCTGCTCTGCCCTGCGCTGCCCTCTAGCGGCACAAGTGTGTCAGAGCAGCGGCTCCCCTGCCTTCCCGCAGCAAGGGGCTGCCAGTATTGAATTCTCCAGCCCTCACCATTTCTCGGCCTCCAGTTTCCTGTTTCTTGCTAGAGTTCTCCCTCGCTGCAGCCTCTTGACCAGAAGAGGATCAACTTGAATGGTCAGCGGCTTTCCTGAACCCTAGTTTGAGTCAAAGTGCCCCCGAAATACAGAAAATCTTGCTGTACACCCTACACCACTTTGGAGCAACTCGTTCGGAATGCAGCCCTTTTGACGTTAACCTCCCATTCAGCACCCTTGGCAAGCTGAAAAAAAGATGTGGCTGGGCCAGATTCACCACCCTTATCCCCACCTCCTCTTACATCTTTCTCCACCCTCCCATCACACTCTCTCCTGACGGAGAGGAGCTATTTGGAAAGACAAAGTAACATGACAAAATTAAGTAATATGTCAGCATAATAATTGGAGGTGAGTGGTACCAGCAGTAAGGGTTGTCAGTCGTGTGGATGCTTTTTTTTTTTTTTTTTTGACGGAGTCTCGCTCTGTCGCCCAGGCTGGAGTGCAGTGGCGCTGGATCTTGCCTCACTGCAACCTCTGCCTCCCGGGTTCAAGCAATTCTCCTGCCTCAGCCTCCCGAGTAGCTGAGACTACAGGCATGCACCACCATGCCCAGCTAATTTTTGTATTTACTTTAGTAGAGACGGGGTTTCACCATGTTGACCAGGCTGGTCTCGAACTCCTGGCCTCAGGTGATCTGCCCGCCTCGTCCTCCCAAAGTGCTGGGATTACAGGCGTGAGCCACCGTGCCTGGCCCTTGTAGGTGCTCTAAGATGAAGAATTCCAAACTGCTAACCGTCAGCACACGTCGTTCATAAGAAAGCACAGCAGAGGATGCCATCCAGAGTCCAGGATGAAGCCAAGAGGGAGCCTCTGGAGCCGGTAAATCTGTCTCTGTTATTCAGTGATGAGGCTGGGACTCTCAAGGAAGGGCAGAAAGGCACCCAGAGGATTCTGAAGAGAGAGACCAAAGGGAGGGGCTTTCCAATGCCTATCTGAGGGGGACCCTTTACAAATTACAAAGTGACTAATGAAAAAGGTAAAAATGAACATTTTGCAACATTATCTACCCTCTGCATACTCATTTCTATTTTCATATTGTTTTCTTTGTGATAACGTATTTTACCTGCGAACTATCTCAGGTGTTGAAGTGCAAGTTAAAAAATTACATAAGTTGGGGCGCGGTGGCTCACGCCTGTAATCTCAGCACTTTGCGAGGCCAAAGCTGGTGGATCACTTGAGGTCAGGAGTTCAAGATCAGCCTGGACAACACGGTGAAACTCCGTCTCTACTAAAAATGCAAAAGTTAGCCTTGGTGGCGCAGGCCTGCAAGCCCAGCTACTCAGGAGGTTGAGGTGGGAGAATCGCTTGAACCCAGGAGGCAGAGGTTGCAGTGAGCCAAGATCACCCCACCACACTCCAGCCTGAGCGACAGAGCAAGACTCCATCTCAAAACAAACAAACAAACAAAACTGAGGTGTAGATTGTAATCTCAGAAAAAAAGTCACATAATATTAAAGTAGAAGGTTCAATTATTTCCTGGTGCTAAAAGAAAATGATATTGCCCGCGTCCCTAGCTGTCATCTTATGTTTCCCCTGTGAAATATCACCAGTGTATAACTCAGTAGGCCTCAACCCTGACTGCACTGTAAAATAACCTAGAGAGTTTTCAAACATTGAATCAGAACAGGGAGGTAGAGAGAGAGCTGGACATCTGAAAGTTCCCTGATTGATGTGAACGTGTAGCATGGCTTGAGAACCACATTAGCGTTCATCATTCCAGGTGCATTTGGTGGTGTGTCAGAGGAATGGGGACATTCCAACAAGATTGCTGTGAGGAGACCACCCTCACATAGCAGCCATCAGCCCTCATCATTCCTAGAGGACTACCCAGTCTGGTTCGTGGCATTCCCGGGTGTAACTCTGCTTACACAATAGGAATGATATTCAGATGGGCTCATTTCAGGTCAACGTGGTTATGCTGTTTTCTTCCTAAGTTGTTTTTACCCCAAATCTTCTGAAAACTAGAAGTTTATGGTTAAAAAACAACAGGTTTTAGTACTAGCTATTGGCTTTTTTCTTTTATTTTGCATTTGGATATTAATTTTCTCGGTTATATATTATTATACAGAAAACAGTTTCTCAAAAAAAAAATTCCCTCTTTTTCTTTTCTCTCTCCTTCACCCAGTGACTTCTGATTTGGCCTTTGAGCCTCCAACACTCTCAGCCATCCCATCTGCTCACCCCACCTGAAATCCCAGTTCCCCTCCTTTGAGCTCATATTGCATTTGGGACATTATTGTCTCTTGATTAATTCACTTGTCTGTCTGCCCACCTACACCGTAAACCTATAGAGGAAAATAACAAAGAAATACTTGTGTTTATATCCCCAGTTCTCAGTACAGTCTCTGGCACATGGAAAGGGCTGAAATATTTTAGTAAATGAAAGTTATCAAAGTTATGAAACTTCAGATTTCACTGGAAGAGTGTTTTCTTCCAATGAAATCCTGTTTCAATGCAATTTACGTAGTAGTGCTTGCCTGCCCACCCACTGTTCTGCTCCTAGAAGGGTGAAGTGCAGGGGTGGAAATGCTTTTAAGTGTGAAGGTCTGCTCAGCATTCAGCTCATCCTTCAAAGGAAACTTTTCAATTTCCCCTCCGGAGAAAGCGTCTGAAAACAGAAGTGGTCTGCTCTGCCCTCTAGCGGTGGCCCTGTGGCAGAACACTTTTAAAGATTGTCTTTGGAACTGCTATGTCAACGCTCTCCAGAGTGGTATTGGAATGCCAGTCTGTATAATAACCTGTATATTACCCAGTTATTATTTCAGCTTTTCGCCACTGTTTTCTGTAAGGGAGTCCTTTGCTCAAGGGTCTGTAGTTATATTCAGCAAGAACACCTCCCCAGAAGGAGGTTTGTGTGTTGAAGAACAGAGTCCTCAGCACTAGAAATCTCGGAGGGGTTCCTGGCAGCATCCCACAGGCCGCTTGAAATGTGTTTTTTTCTTTCATACTCCAGATCAAGGGTGTCCAATCTTTTGGCTTCCCTGGGCCACATTGGAAGAAGAATTGTCTTGGGCTACACATAAAAGATACTACACTCACGCCTGTAATCCCAGCACTTTGGGAGGCCGAGGCGGGCGTATCACGAAGTCAGGAGATCGAGACCATCCTGGCTAACGTGGTGAAACCCCGTCTCTACTAAAAATGCAAAAAAAATTAGCTGGGCGTGGTGGCGGGCGCCTGTAGTCCCAGCTACTGGGGAGGCCGAGGCAGGAGAATGGCATGAACCTGGGAGGCGGAGCTTGCAGTGAGTCGAGATCGCGCCACTGCACTCCGGCCTGGGCAACAGAGCAAGATTCCGTCTCAAAAACAAAACAAAACAAAACAAAACAAAACAAAACAAAACAAAACAATAAAACCACTACACTAATGATAGCTGATGAGCTAAAAATAAATAAATAAATAAATAATTTCATAATGTTTTAAGAAAGTTTACGAATTTGTGTTGGGCTGCATTCAAAGCCGTCCTGGTCTGCATGTGGCCTGCAGGCCGGGGACTGGACAGGCTTGCTCTAGATATTTTTCCTTACGGTACTGGAGCATTTGGGGAGATCAGGGCTGAGTAAGGCTCTAGGCATTACAGTCCCTCAGGGTTCATATTAAAATAAAATTCTACAATAATGACCCAATGTGGCCCAATACAGCTGACCCACAGTACATTATGAGGTATTTAATCAACTCTCTTTGGCTTAAAGAAAATATTTTTGTTTCTGAGTTTTATCGTGGTTGATAGTGGTGGTGTAGCAATTTGCTTATTTGTTTGCTGGGCTTTTTAATCAATCATGACGATAGAAAGCTGTTGTTGGGGCTTAAGGGAAGAAATGACAACCTAATCTGAAATGTCACCAAAGCCAGCAACTGTGGGGAACCTACCAAATAAAATCTGTTGATAAGATAAAAGGCTATTCGGATTCTGATCTGACAACCTTTTTTTTTTTTCTTTTTTTTCTTTTTTTTTTTTAGATAGGGGCTATGTGATGCGGAAGGTAAGGGAAGGTAGAGAAAAGTGTATAATATCTGCAAAAAGATCATTCCCATTGCCTGTATACACCACTGTTTCGTATGGACTGCATTTTTGCTGGCAAACTGCAAACACTTTCTCCAAACTGCAGACACATTTTGAGTCCCAACAATGTGCATGGTTCACAAAGCAATTTGTAGTCATGGTTTCTTTTACAAAATGATGATGTTTAAGAACATCTTGTAATTAGGTCAAAGGAAAACAGTGTTTATTCTATGAGCTGAGGATAGGCTGCAAGTCTGAGTTCTAATTAACACAGTGGTTGATTCACTAATGCCAAGTGTCTGTTGTTAATGAAGACATGAAAGCAGTCCCGCAGGTAACATTTTGTAAGGGGCTTCTTTACAGCAGCAGTTCACTTGGGCAAACAATGACAGCAATCCACACCCTCATCCAGTCTAATGAAATGCGTAGCTATTTACTGGATTCTTTTTACCTCAAACCCACTTGGGAGAAAATAGAGATTTTTCCCAATAAATGTGTACGGTAAGGCCTTTGGAAATATGCAAGTATTCATAGCTACAAGTATTAAACCATGCACTTTGAGCCAGTACGAATAGCAGCAAGGCTTAAGAGAGAAGGCTTTTTAAAAAATTTTTTTTATTTTTTATTTTTTTTCTAATGCTAGATCACAATGGACTTCATCAGAGCCCTGGAGAGCTAGAGTCAGAATAGGCCAAAGCAGGAACTCTTGCTCCACATTATGCTTTCTTTTTGCAGCATTAAGGCTTTGGCTGAAATGCTAATGATGAAAACAATCTCCTTGGGAACCTGTAGGTTTCCACCTTGTCCCAGGCCTGGAGAGATTAAAATGTTATGACAGTTGTGAAGTCCCTTTCTGGCAAAGCTCCATGATCTTGTGAAAAGTGTCAAAGGAGATGAATGAAAACAAAGAACTTCACCTGACCTCCAAGTGGAAGGCTGAAATAAAAAGTTAACCCTAGTCACTCCACTGTGGCAGAAATGTTACATATTCCTGCTGCCAAAATTCCTCAGTCCACTCTTGAAAACACAACAAACACATTCTCTCTCTCTCTCTCTAACTTCTTTTAGTCTTTCTGCAGAGCATGTTTTCTTTCTGGTGTTTCTTTATATGGGAGACAGGTAAAGGAGAGAAAGGATTGTTTAAGTGGATGAACCAGGCTGTATTTAAGAATTTTAGGCCAGGAAGGATGGCTCATGCCTGTAATCCCAGCATTTTGGGAGGCCGAGGTGGGCGATCGCCTGAGGTCAGGAGTTTGAGACCAGCCTGGCTAACATGGTGAAACCCTGTCTCTACTAAAAATACAAAAAAAGTAGCTGGGCGTGGTGGTGGGCGCCTGTAATGCCAGCTACTTGGGAGGCTGAGGTAGGAGAATCAATTGAACCTGGGAGGCAGAGGTTGCAATGAGCTGAGATCGTGCCATTGCACTCCAGCCTGGGTGACAAAAGCAAAACTCCATCTCAAAAAAAGAATTTTAATCCTCTTGCCAAAGGCATATGTCTAGATATCACATGGCTCTGACATCAGTAAGTTTATTATTTAAAATTTAAGAAAAAAAAATATATATATTTTTAGAAATAGAGATGGGGCCTCGCTATGTTGCCCAGGCTGGTCTTGGACTCCTGGGTGATTCTACTGCCTTGGCTTCCCAAAGTGCTGGGATTACAGATGGGAACCACTGTGACTGGATGATTAGTAAATTTAGACATGAACCCAAACTAAACCCACTCTCAGCTCCTACCTTTCCCTGTTGTCCAGAGCTGCCTGCACTCATTCCTTCCTCCCTTTACTGGCATCTGTTACCTTTCTACTCTTGAAGGAAAGCTTACTTCGCGATAATTTTCCTTCTCCATCTGTTTCTCTTGGCTCTGCAACTCATAAGACAGGATTGGAGAAAATATCACATGGATCACATAGTTTTGCATTTCAGAGACTCTAATGCAGTCATCTGGTGCTAGTCAAAGAATCTCAAAAGATCCACTTCCTCCTGAGTCTTCAATCTTGATGTGAGATAAGGGAAGGTCAAATGTGGTTTCCACTTTTAAAATATGGGTTACTGAGGCTGAAAATCTGAAAAAAGCCAGCTCCAAGCATTTGCTATCTTCACCATTTTTTTTCTCTACTCTCCCTTCAATTACTTTTCCTTCCTTGCTATTTCAATGCAGAATTTTCCGTGAGGAAGTTCCCAGCCCTTCCACCTTCCACCCCTTTAGCAGATCACCAGTAGGTTCCTGTATTGCAACAAGGGATATTTGAAGGTTTTACTTCCTAGCAGTGATAAGCTGGTGGGTGAGGGCCTTCTCAGTTCCCTAGGATCATGCCCCAGCAGAGACTACCTCGAGGTGAATGTGGTCAAGTTTTCCCTGGAAAAGGCAGTCATTCCAAAAGCCTGTTCTGGGACTTGGCTCAGTCACTAGCACAACCTGCAAAGTGTGGATTTTTTTTTTTTTTTTTTTAACAATAGACTGACAACGGTTACTGGTATGAAATTTCTTTCCCTTCATTTGCTTTTCACCTCAGAGTGATTTCTTTTTGCTTTAATCAAGCAGCTACTGTGTTCTTGAAATACAACTTTTTTTTAAAATGCAATTTTTTTTTTCAGATTGTGTCAAAGGATGGAACAAACCTGGAAGAGGTAAAATCTGGGTCCCTGTTTTTTATCTGCCACTTGAGAGCTGTGTGAACTTGAGCAAGTCATATCCATTCCTTCTTCAAACATGAGAGTGCCTGGTATATGCCAGGCACTGGGACACAATGATGAGGAGGCATAGGAAATTGACCCAAGAAATTGGCCATTACACTTGCTCTAAAGATTTGGCCAAGATACCCAAGAGCAGAGAGGAGAAAACCTCTAAGTCTGCTTGGAGGATGGGGAGGATCTTTTATAAAACAGGTAGAAAAACGTTGGCTCTGGTGCTGTGAAATACTTTGTCAACTGCACTAGAACACAGAGCTTTTTAAGAGCACTTTATTGGTTTGAAAATTATACAGTTCATTTGTATTAGTGATGATACTTACAACTTGATCATGCAAATGTGAATTTCAAAGTCTAAAGTTAACAAATATCTCTATCTACCTCCCAAAGAATAGAAAGACTTTAGAACACTCTAAGCCAATAATCTCTTCCATTTTGTTTTAATTCCATCCTATTGTATAATCACAAAATCAATCACTATCATGATGTTGCTGCTTATAATCAAGATCTATTTAGATTTATTTACATTTTACTAATATCCTTGCCTACTATACCTTTCTGCATCTCACTCCTTCCTTTTTTTTTTTTGAGAAAGAGTCTCACTCTGTCACCCAAGCTGGAGTGCAGTGGCACGATCTCGGCTCACTGCAACCTCCACCTCCCGGGTTCAAGCAATTCTTCTGCCTCAGCCTCCCGAGTAGCTGGGACTACAGACGCGCACCACCACGCCCTGCTAATTTTTGTATTTACTTTAGTAGAGATGGGGTTTCACCATATTTGTCAGTCTGGTCTCAAACTCCTGACCTTGTGATCTGCCTGCCTTGGCCTCCCAAAGTGCTGGGATTACAGGCGTGAGCCACCACGCCCGGTTTCACTCCTTCCTTCTGAGTTCAACTTTGTTTTTCCTGAATTGCATCCACTAGTAGGGTCCTTTAGGGGTGTACTCTCAATTATTATTATTTTAATGATGGTTTAGTTGGACTAGAACTTTAGTCAAGATCTATTTAGATTTATTTACATTTTACTAATTTCCTTGCCTACTCTACCTTTCTGCATCTCACTCCTTCCTTCTGAGGTCAGCCTTGTTCTTCCTGAATTGCATCTACTAGTAGGGTCCTTTAGGGGTGCACTCTCAATTGTTATTATTATTTAATGATGGTTTAGTTGGGCATAGAACTTTAGTTTGATAACTATGCATCTCAAAGATATTAGTACACTTACAGTGTTGCTTATATCAATGTAATTATTGTTCATTTTGGTTAACTGACTTTTTGCTTATGAAGATCTTTGTCTTTGACATTTTGTTGTTTCATTACATTTTGTTTTGTTGTTGACACTAGGAATGAACTTATTTTTATTTTTCTTGATCAGGACTTTTTAAACTTTGTGAATCAGACAATTTATGTTTCAAAAATTTTAGACAATTTAGTCATTGCATCTTCAAATTTTGCCTCTTCCTCATTTTTTCCATGTTTTCCTTCTGGAACTTTTACTGGACATCTTTTCATTTTATCCTCTACATCTCTCCCTTTTTATTCATGTTTTTTGTCTCAATCTCTTTGGAATTCATGCTCAGAGCTATCTTCCAGTTTGCTAATGCTTACTCCAGTTGCATATTCCAACTAATGCTATTCCAGCTAATGTTATCTTCCAGCTTCCTTTGCTCTTTCTAATGCGTCAATTAAGTTTTCAGCTTCAATGAATATACTTTTCTTTTCTAAGCACTGTGTTTGTTTATTCCGTCAACTTTGCAGTTGCATTTTTCTCCTTTTTTTTTTTATTGTGTTACGTCTTTAATCATTCTAAAGATACCTGTTTTATTGCCTATGTCTGACTCACCGGAAATTCCTAGGTATCCAGTCATGCTGTTTGTGGTATCTGCTGCCTCTTGCTCCTGGTAGCTTGAGTGTTTCATAAATATAGATTGCGAATTTATCAACACTGAGCCTTTAACTGTGAGGATCCTGTGAGGCCTGGATCGAAGGTGTGATTCTGCAGCAAAGTTTTACAACTGCCTCCGTCGAATGCCCCATGGGTAGAAAACCAGGCTTCATTTTTACATGAATTGCTTGATTGAGAGTTCTTGAGCTATAAAAGATAAGCCCTGAATCCACGTGGGGGCAGGTCTTGATCAGGAACACTCAGGGCAGACTTTCTTTTTCCTCACTCAGAACCCAGACTGAAATAAACAAAATACCTTGTCATCTCCCTGTCAGTGGGTGGATTTATTTAAGGACCTCTCTATTACTGAAAATAGAGTCCTTCAAGAGTCCCCTACTGGTGTTTCAGTTCCAGCTCCCAGCCTTATATATGTGTGGAGCCAGGACCTCATCTGCCATCTCCACGCATGCATTGGCTCTGAGCTAGTGCGATGGCGCCCCCTTCCTGTCTCCCACTTCCCTCCCAGGACAACCGCAGGCTTCCTGTCTCTGTACTGCTCTGGTTTGTGACCTGTTTCAATTTTAGCTCCTGAACATTTCTTGTACTATCTTATAAAGTCAGTGCTTTTAAAAGTATGTTTTGTATATTTTTTTCCAACATTTCTAGATGTTTTATAATGGAGGCTCTACATTTTTCTATATTGTTAGAAATGTAAACTCTTATATATACTTTTACGAATAGATCCCAAAGAAGTTTTTAACTTGGTGAAATCATCTTGTTATGTGAAAATGTGGCCATCATAGCTGGCTAACATGCTAAAGAGGATTAGCCTTGGTGAACATGCTACTAACTCAAAAAGTTATAATAGGGTGCTTGAGATAATACAGGGGAAAGGTAATGCCTTTTGAGGGACTAGATAGTCAAGCAGAATATCGTAAACTGAAGGAATCTTGGAGATTAATGTATTCATTCATTCATTCATTCATTCATTCATTCATCAGTTACCTGATGCATGCCTATGACCCAGAAACTGTTGGGTAACATGCAGTTTCTTCTCATCAAGATCATCTTCTGTAGCACACGGTGAATAATAAACAGATGATTAAGTAACATAGTTATAGACGGTGATAAAAGCTGCACACTTTTAAGATGAAGACTGGGAGGCATCAGCCTCCATGAAGAAGTAACAGTTGAGCTGAACCCTAAATCATGAGAAAGAGTTAGCCATGAGAAGAGGAGGAAGCAGCACCTAGACGGAAAGGCAATGTGATTCGGTTGGCGGGCGGAAAGCACAGGAAACCCCAGTGAGAAACCAGAGCAGACAGAGGGTTCTGAGAACACAGAAACCAGCTTAGCCAGAGTTGGCCCTGGTGGGACTCTGATTATACCTTCTGTATTCTCCAGTCCTCACCCATCACATACCACTAATGCCCTTGACAGCTGTCCTATTCAGCCTTGTCTTTAAGCAAGCTGTTATCTACCACATCAAATACCTCCAAGTGCCCACATGAGCCATAAGAAGACCTAGAACACCTGCTTCTGGGGTATTTTAGACATCTTGCTCCAAATCCATAGAGCCTCTGCAATTAATGAAATTATCTAGGAGTTCTTGCACCTGTTGTTTTTATGTAATTCTGTCTGTGCTCACTCGAATAACTACTAATTATGTTCTAGCATAATAAATAAAAATTTGCTGTTATGGTTTTAGAAAACAAAGAAAGTGCTTGATATTTAAAAAGTGCTTTTTATTAGAAAAATCTCTATACTAAATTGTCAAATTTTCATATCTTTTTGTTATATAGGGAGCTATCTATACAGCCCTGCTCAAGTTGACAAGTATATATACATGTATGTATACATATATGTATTTATACGAGCCTTAAAAGAAGAAAACAAATTTTATTGTCTTCCTTCTAATATTACTGATGAGTAACTGCATCCTCTCAATAGTTTGAAAACTATTGTTTACTTGATTTCACTTTATTTTCATAATAATCATGGGAGGTTAATAGTATTATTTCCCTTCTTTACCAGAAAAGGAAATCAGTTTCCTTTTATGACAATGGTGAAGCAACATAAAATATTACTGAGAATAGATTAAGGATAAAATGTGCATGTTAAGAGTTAAATGTTCGTCTCTGTTCTAAGCCAATAACACCAACATTTGCATCTCAATTTGTGTGAATTGGGTATTTTAAATAGCTATGTAATTTCCTACCATTATTAGTAGAAAAGCTGTTGTGCATGCTTTCTTTTAAAATAAACATGCATTGACCAAAATCTGTTATCGAATACAATATCAAAATCAACATTTCAATTTTTATACATTTTCTTTATCTTATTGTTTTGAAGGCCTTTCTATAGGAAGCCAGAGTCTTGTGAACACTAGGATGAGATAGATTTCTGAGACATTAATCACATCAGATGGAGTTATTTTCATTAATCCTTTGTAGAGCAACTGAAAATAGACCTGGAAATGAGTGTTGAAAATGTAAAGCTTAGACATGAGAAGCATTCAGTAGGAGGAGAGTCCTGGCATAGTTGTGTTTTCCCAGGGCACTGTCTTAATTTAATCTTAGTGCCACAAATGGAGTGGCTCTTTGAAATATTAGGATTTGTCAAGTGACTTTTCTCAGTAATGGTGTTGCCTCTGCCCATCTGTCAAACTCTTTTCAACACATGTTTAAAGGCAAATTAGAACACAAATGCAGAACTGAAAAGCATTCTGATATATGTACATTGCATTTCGGGTGTTGTTTTACTTGCTCTAGTTAAGTCTCTTCAGTTCTTGATGATAACATACTTGGCCCATGCTAGCTGCCTATAAAACACATCAATAGGAAGATAAACTGTTATAGAATCACACACATGTGATTTCTAACCATCCCAATCATTCCTATCCTTCAAAATCCCGGTTATTGCCACATTCCTACTTGACTGTACAAAATTTTTGACAGGTTGTATATCAAGTGCTTTATATGTAACATCCATCAAACCTTTACAATTACCCAGTGAACCTGCTACCTTGATTAACCTTTTTTTTTTTTTTTTTTTTTTTAAACAGATAAGGAAACAGAGGTGTGCAGAAGTTAACTACCTTATCCAAGGCCATACAGTCAGGAAGGAATGGGGCAGGATTTGAACCCAGGCAGTTTCACCCCAGGGCCGGAGTGTTTAGTCACCAATAAATGGAATGTTGTTTGCAGATTACGTGCAGAACATGATGCTGGGCATGTCCTCAGAAATCTCATATTCTAGTCAGGAAGTAAGTCACCAGTCTAGGAGGAGGAGGCAGGATGCAAAGTCCAAAACCCTTTGCCTACTCCTCATGGCCCTTTATTTTGGGATTCAATTTATTTTTCTTACCTAACTGCCTACCACGTACCATTTTCCTGCTTGAACTCTGGACTCATTGTGAGGTGTCTAGAGAAACCCTCACCTTCACAGCTCCATGCCTTTGTTTACTTGATGATAATACGTTCTTCTCCATCCCCTACACAAATCTGCTTTTCTCTAGGTGAATCCTAACTACTCTCCACGAAGCTCTTCTTTCACTTGAACTCATAACATTTCTTCCCTCCTTTTTCAGTAACCATATATGCTAGGTATTATTTCATGTGCTTTACATCTATCCCTGATGCAAGCCTCAAGTTTACCTAGAAGAGGATACTAGGGAGAAAGAATGGAAAATACAGAGGCCTCAAGTCTGGAGTGTACTAAGCATGTACCAAACCATAGGGAGGTCAGCAGCATTTAGGAGATATTTTTTAGCTCCCACTGGGCAAAAATGAGCTATGTGGGTGCTCAAGGCCAGCAATCTATTTCTCCAAGCTGTCTTTGATGGCTCTACACTCAGGCTTGCCTAGTGGAGTGGCTGTCTTAGTCCATTTGGGCTGCTGTAACAACATACTGAAAACTGGGTGGCTTATAAATAACAGAAATTTATTTCTTATAGTTCTAGAGAATGGGAAGACAATGCTCAACCAGTTTGGTGTCTGGTGAGGGCTCACTTTCAGGTTCATGAATGGCACCTTCTCACTGTGTCCTCACATGGTGGAAGGGGAAAGGCAGATGTCAGGGGTCTCTTTTATAAGGGCATTAATCCCATTCAAGAGGCAGAGCCTTCAGTCACTTTCCAAAGACCCTACATCCTAATGCAATTACCTTGGGGGTTAGGATTTCAACATATAAATTTTGGGAGGACACAGACATTGAGACAACAGCAGTGGTTCTTTGGAATCCTATCACTCTAGTTTTTCAATATCATATGTAACAAAAACTGGGCACAGCTATCATCTAGTAACAAAGCCTTGAAATATATAAAACAATATTTTCAGAACTAAAATGAGAAATAGACAAATCCATAATCATAAGGGGAGATTTTGGCACTCCTCTTTTAGTAAAGAATATAAATAGAATGAATAGACCAAAAAATAGTAAAAACATAAGGGTTTGAAGAACATGATTAACAAACTTGATCTAATTGATACACGCATGTTGAAAACTGATACCCAACAAGAGCAGACTAGAATTTTTTTTCAAGTACATGTTCTATAGAATTTTATTTAAAAATTTGACCATATGCTTGACCATAAAGGAAGCCTTAACAAAGATTAAGAAACTGAAATAATATGGAATATGCTTTCTGACCACATATAATTAAACGAGCAATAAATAACAAAAATGCCATACTAAAACCTCCCAGTTTTAGAAGTTAATAATGTACTACTAAATGATTCAATAGGTCAAACCAAAATCACAATAGGAATGAGAAGACATTTTATATTTAATATATTAAAAATGTAACATATCAAAATGGGTGGGCTGAATCCGAGTCTATGATTCAAGGGAAATTTATAGGCTTAAATAAAGCATTAGGGAAATAGAATCATGTAAGTATCCATTTCAAGAAGTTTGAAAAAGAAAAGCAAATTTTAACTCAAAAAAAGTAAATTAGGTAAATTATAAACAACAAACTAGAAACCAATGGAAAAAATACAAATACATGTATAATGAGGTTTAACAAATCCAAAGGTTGTATCTTTTTTTTTAAGAGCCTTAAATTGACAAACATCTGGCCAGTTTGATCAAGAAGAGAGAGTGAGAATGTGCAAATAAATAATTTCAAGAATGAAAACTCATTTAAAAAAATCCTAAGAGGTCTATGTGACTTTTATGTCAGTAATTTTGAAAATTTAGATAAAATAGACAAATTCATAGAGAATCTCAATGTGCCAAAATCAGAGTGTTGGAAATAGAAGGATTTGAATAGTTTTATATCTATTAAAGAAATTGAGTCCATAACTAAAAATTTTCCCATCCTAGATGCTTCCCTAGTGAAGTTTACCAAATATTTAAAGAAGTAATCATATCAAATTTATAAAAACTTTTCCAGAAAGTTAAAAAAGAACAAGTACTTCCCAAATAATTTTGTAAGACCAACATATCCTTGATTCTCAAACCTGACAAGAACATACAAGAAAAAAATAACAAGTCACTGTCTCTTGTGAACATATAAGCAAAAACTCTAAAATAAATAAATAAAAGAATCAAATCCAGTGTTACACAAAAAGAATAATGCATCATGACCAAAGTGGGTTTATTTCAGATATGTAAGATTGTTTTTAGATTAAAAAATCAATATAATTTACTGCAGTAACAGAATTTAAAAATCATATGACCATCTTGATAGATGCAGTAAAAATTTTTTATAAAACTCAAGATTCATTTATTAAAAAAACTCTTGCCTTCACAAAGATCTCTAAATAAACCCCATTAAAAACATCATAGTTAATATTAAGAGCTTTTCCTCTAAAATCAGGAATGAGGCAAGGATGGTTGCTTTTTTTCCACATTATTTTGTAGGTTCTAGCTAGTGCATCAAAGTTAGAAAAAGAAATAAAGAAACCCTATTAGAGGACTGGAAATTAAGAAATGAATCTGTCATTATTCATATATAATTATACACATAGAAAAATCCAAAAGAACTACAGAAAAACTATTACAATTAAAAGAGGAATTAACCAAGGCCACTGAATACATAGTCAATAAACAAAGTCCTGTACTTAGTTTCTATATGTAATTAAGTTTCTATATGCTAGTAACAAGCAATTAGAAAATAAAAATTTTAACAAAATATCATTTATCAACAGCATAGAAAAGTCACATGTCAAAGAATCAATCTAAAAAATTTGTAAGACCTCTACACAGAAAACTACAAAACATTATTGGGAGAAATTAAAGATGATCTCACTAAATGGAGGGATGTATCATATTGTTACTTCTGTCACATTCTGATAGTTAGAGAAAGTCACAAAGTTAACCCAGATTCAGTGCGGGAGGGGACTATGCAAGGACATGAATTCCATGAGGTGTGGTTCACTGAGAGCCATCTTTGGAGATTAGCTGCAGAGTTCATGTTCTGGCCTTTTATGTTTTACATTCTTCACCGGTGAAATACACTTACACTTATCTCCCTTTGGACTCCCAAAGCCTCATCCCATTATGGCACCAGCTCAAAGTCCAGTATCTTATCATCTAAATCATGTTGGCAAATCCAGATAGGGCTCTTCAGATGTGTTCCCTCTGGTACTGCTCCTTGGGTGTGGGTCCTTGGGTGCAGATACTGAATTGTACAGATTGTGAATTAAAAATTCTAGCTCTCTCAAACCTCATCACCAACACACATATACACTCCCATATATACATAACATACATTCATAAGATAGGGCTAGGATAAACAAATAGACACTTGCATTTAAAAGGGGGGCATGAATAGGAGGCACAAAGCAAGCACCCATCCACAGCAATTCCAACATCCTCTGAGCACATGTGACCAGCCCTGCTACTTGGGAGTGATTCTCCGTGGCTCTTGGCTCCGCCTTCCATGACATCCTGCCTTTTTCATTAGAAACGACCCACGCTTGCAACTGAGAAACTTTCGTAACCTGCTTAAGAAAGCAGTGGCTCTTGCCTCCGCCCTCCGTGACATCCTGCCTTTTTCATTAGGAACGACCCATGCTTGCAACTGAGAAAGTTTCTTAACCTGCTTATTCCCCATAGAAGTTTGAGGACCCAGAAACTTCTTTCATTTTGAACTGTCTCAATCTTTTTCAGCTCAAGCTGATACAGTTCTTTTGGAAATGTTGTGGTTTTCTGAGATATCCAATGATAAATCAGCTCTCTTAGATAAAAGCCCCTCTGTACTTTGCTGCTTCACTTATCTATTACTCTGCAACAAACTCCCCAAACTAAGTGGCCTAAAATAACAATATATTTTTTATGATTCTGTGAGCTTTCTGGAAAATATTGAAAAATTAGACTACATTAAAACTATAGGCCAAGCACGGTGGCTCATGTCTGTAATCCCAACACTTTGGGAGGCTGAGGTGGGTGGATCACATGATGTCAGGAGTTTTGAGACCAGCCTGGCCAACATGGTGAAACCCCGCCTCCACTAAAAATGCAAAAATTGGCCAGGTATGGTGGCGTACCCCTGTAATCCCAGCTACTTGGGAGGCTGAAGTGAGAGAATTTCTTGAACCTGGGAGGCAGAGGCTGTAGTGAGCTGAGATCGTGCCACTGTACTCCAGCCTGGACTACAGAGCAAGATCCCATCTCAAAAATAAAATAAAAATAAAATAAGTTATAAAGAACTCCTAAAGAATCAGATAATTTAATAGAAAAAAGGGGAAAAGATATGAACAGGCACTTCAGAAAACAGAATATCTAAATGGTCAATAAATATATATTATATGAAATAATTCTCAATTAGTCATCAGAGAAAATTCAAATTGAAACAAAAATGTGATACCACTGCATACTCAAAAAGATAGCTTAGGTTAAAAAGCCAATTACAAGCAAAGTTGCTGGGGGGAGTATAAATTGATACAGTCACCACTTCGGGAAACTGTCAGTATCTACTAAATTTGAATATAATATACCTTATGACCCAGCAATTCCACTTTCAGGTATATGTCCAACAGAAATGCATACACACATATGCACCAGAAGACTTGGGTATAAATGTTCAAAACAGCAGTATTTGCAATGCCTCAAAATGAAAATAACCCTAATATCCATCCACAATCTTAAAAAACACACCAACACGTGGTGTAGCCATAAATCAGATACTACACGGCAATGAAAATGCATGAACTGCTGTATACGACACAAGTAAATCTCACACATATAACATTATGCAAAAGAAACCAGACACAGAAAGCGCATGATATGATTTCATTTATATAAAGTACTATAAAAAAAGGTAAAACTTTTTTTATAAGGGAGTGATAATGTTCTGTTTTGACCAGGGTGAAAGTTGTACCAGTAGTTCTTTTGGTAGTAATTACTGAACTGTGCACCTTGAATGAAAGTCCACTTTACAAAGGGGTACATGTTTTGAAATTTTAATTTAGCAGAGCATACAAAGGGGAATAATCAGTTGTTCCTGGGAGAGTCCTGATAGCTGAGTTATGAATGAGGAGGAGAAGTGTATCATGCAACCAGGGAGGGGCAAGAAGGAATCCCAGGAAGAGGAAGCATCTTGAACCAAGGAATGAAAGTGCAAAACAGTTTGACATAAACTGGGACTCTCCAAGCAATTCATATAGGCTAGGAGGAAGGAGGGTGAGATAGGTGGAAGAGGGAGGAAAGCCCCACGCCAAGTATTTTCAATTTTATTATGCTTTCGGAAGATATTGATAGGTTTTAAGCATGGAAGCATAAGTTCTGGTTGGCATTTTTTTTTTTTTTTTTTTTTTTTTTTGGAGACGGAGTCTGGCTCTGTCTCCCAGGCTGGAGTGCTGGAGTGCAGTGGCGCGATCTCGGCTCACTGCAAGCTCCGCCTCCCGGGTTCACGCCATTCTCCTGCCTCAGCCTCCCAAGTAGGTGGGACTACAGGCGCCTGCCACCACGCCCAGCTAATTTTTTGTATATATATATATTTTTATTTTAGTAGAGACGGGGTTTCACTGTGTTAGCCAGGATGGTCTCGATCTCCTGACCTCGTGACCCGCCCGCCTCGGCCTCCCAGAGTGCAGGGATTACAGGCGTGAGCCACCGCGCCCGGCCTCTGGTTGGCATTTAAAAAAATATCTCAAGTGGCCAGGTGTGGTGGCTCACGCCTGTAATCCCAGCACTTTAGGAGGCCGAGGTGGGCGGATCACGAGGTCAGGAAATCGAGACCATCCTGGTTAACACGGTGAAACCCCGTCTTACTAAAAATACAAAAAATTAGCCAGGCATGGTGGCATTTGCCTGTAGTCCCAGCTACTCGGGAGGCTGAGGCAGGAGAATCGCTTGAACCCGGGAGGCAGAGGTTGCAGTGAGCTGAGATGGCACCATTGCACTCCAGACTGGCAACAGAGGCAGACTCCATCTCAAAAACAACAACAACAACAACACACACACACACACACACACACACACACACACACACACACACAAACTCTCAGGCTGAGGCAGTGTGAATTACAAGGGGGTGCCTGGACCTACACCCTCCCACCTTTTTTTCAGAGTTCTTCCTTCATCCAACTCCAAAGCTTAAGAGAATGAGAGGTCAGATCATGGAAAATAATGAAGCTCATGGAGGCACTCAGCCTCTTCATGTCCTTGATCTCATTAGAACCAGAAAATCATCGATGATCAAAACTGGAAAACAGGTACAAAATTCTTAGTGAAAATTGCTCCACTGAAACGTCATAATGGTGATGGAGGGATTGTCCCAAAACCAAAATACCGGAAAAGACATGTACTCTAAAGTATCTGTCCATGTACTCAATTGCTACAACTGGTTTTTCCTGTCCTTCATCAAGTCAAAGCTAGCTGTTCCTAGGCTTTTCTTCTTAAAAACCAGTTTTACCTGTTATGATACTTTGCCTGCTATAGCTAGATTTTTAAAGACATATTTTCCCCATACTTGCAAACTGGAAAACCTGCCTTGTTAAAGTCAGGTAACTGGGAATGTAATTAGCATATAAATAGATGTTCAACGTCACTATTTATCAGATAATTGCTAGTTAAATAAAATATTTCATAGCTATCATATTGAGAAAAGATTTAAAGGTCTGATAATGCAACTGTTGGAAAAGGAAACTTATACACTGCAGAAGAGATTGAAAATTGGTTTGACCATTCTGGAGTGGAATTTGTTTATATGTTTTAGAGCTAAAGATGCACTTATTCATCAAGCCAGAAATTCAACTTGCAAGTAGAAACCATGCAGAAAGTCTCAAACTATCTGTAATAAAAAGGCAAGTTTTCTAAAAATATTTCCATGCTGCTGAGGATCAATATGTTTGTAAAATACAATGAAAATGAATAAATAAAATTTTGGCTGGGGACAGTGGCTCATGCCTGTAGTCCCAGCATGTTGGAAGGCTGAGGTGGATGGATCACTTGAGCCCAGGAGTTCGAGACCAGTCTGGGCAAGATGGCAAAGCCCCATCTCTATAACAAGTGAAAAAATTAGCCAGGTATGGTGGTGTGCGCCTGTAGTCCTAGCTCCTCAGGAGCTGAGGTGAGAGGATCGATCACCTGAGCCTGGGAGTTTTGAGGCTACAGTGAGCTGTGATTGCGCCACTGCACTCTGGCCTAGGAGACAGAGTGAGACCCTATCTCAAAAAAATAAAATTTTAAAACAGACATACAAAATACAGAACTCAATATTCTGTATTATTGGATTCAATAGACATAAAAGTACTCAGTTGGATTGCTATTAAAGTTTCTAAATTAATATTGTCAATTTCTGTACTTAATTAGTTATGAACTGGTAGCGATCTTCAGGTCATGGTTTGAGAAGCTCACAGGAACAAGCAGATAGATATAAGGAAAAATGTTCATTGCAGCACTGTTTAAATATTAAAAAAATTAAATTCACAATCAAAAGAAAAAATAAATGTTATGGTCATACAATAAAATATAACACAATAATTAAAATGAATAAACTAGACCTACACATATTCACATGGATAAATCTTGAAACCAGAACATTCAGTGAAAAAAAACTGCTGAGGGTCTTTATTGTATGATTCCATTTATATACATTTCAAAAATACTTAACACAATATTACATAAATGTCTTAAGAATATGAATAAATGTATTACAATTAAGAAATAGAAGTAACTAACTTTAGAATAGTCATTTTCCTCTGGGAAGTGTGAGAAGAAATATAAGATTAGGAAACTTTGATTGTACCTGTGATGTCTTACTTCTATCAAAAAATTGAAGGCCAGGTGCGGTGGCTCATGCCTGCAATCCCAGCACTTTGGGAGGCCAAGGTAGGTGGATCACGAGGTCAGGAGTTCGAGACCAGCCTGACCAACATGGTGAAACCCTGTCTCTACTAAAAACACAAAAAATAGCTGGACTTGGTGGTGCGCGCCTGTAATCTCACCTACTCAGGAGGCTGAGGCAGGAGAATCGCTTGAACCCGGGAGGCGGAGGTTGCAGTGAGCCGAGATTATGCCACTGCACTCCAGCCTGGGTGACAGAGCAAGACTCTGTCTCAAGAAAAAAAAAAAAAAAAGAAACAGATACTGCATAATGTAAACATCTATTAAATCTGGGTATGGGGTACATGCATATCACGTTATTTCCTATTTTAAAAATGTTTGAATTATTTCATAATTTTTAATTTATAAAAAACAATAAAAAAGGTTCAAGGAAATTTACTACATCTTTGAAATATTGAAATTGTTTTAAGTGTCATGGTTTATTTGGCTAGAATACACATAGGCATAGACAGATAAACTTAACCATTTACTTCTGGTTTCAAAGTTCTGGCTTAAAAACTGGGATACCTCACAGACTCAGGAGGGATGATGGAAAAGCTATCCCCAGGTGAACATAGAAAACCTGTATTCCAGTCCCAGCTCTTCATGTAGTAACCTGTGTGAACACCAAAACGTCTCAAATTACAAAGAACACAGAGGTCACCTACTCCAACTTGCTTACTCTAAAATAAACTAGCTCAGACAGGCTGTGAATTGTCCAAGGCACACACTCATTGTTGGTGGAATTAAGATTTGGGTTGAGTGTTTTCTCCATTAGAAAAGTCACAAGTCATTTGGAAACAAATGAACAAACAAAAATAATGGTGTTTGGTTACTGCTAGTTGTTTCTACAAGGCTTGAATTCAGACATTCAAATGCAGTAGCCCACATTGCCTCTTCAAGAGTAAGCTGAGGGATTACCTGTCTCGTGGGAAGCAGGGGAAAGACCACTGACTTCGAAGTCAATCAGGTCTTGCTGTGAATTCCAGCTGTGTGCTCTGTGATCTTGGGCCCAGGTTTACTTACCTGTAAGTATGGGGAAGAAAAAATTACAAATCACATATAGAGTTTGTGGCACATGTTGAACATAATGAGTGGCTAAGGAATGTTATTTTCTTTCGCCTTCTTTAACTACTAAGGCAAGGAGCATAAAATGACTCTATGTCTGCCTTAAAGTGGTGATACAGACATGTAACAAATACATTAGTAACCCTTACTCCCTCCAGCCATCCAAGGTTTCACTTTCCAAGGTTTCAGTCATCCATGGTCAACTGTTGTCTGAAATTAAGTGATTATAGTACAATATGATATTTTGAAAGAGAGAAAGTGCATGTTCAAGTAACTTATTTTTTTTAAGACAGAGTCTCACTCTGTTACCCAGGCTGGAGTGCAGTAGCATGATCTTGGCTCACTGCAACTTCTGCTTCCCAGGTTCAAGCAATTCTCTGGCCTCCGCCTCCTGAGAAGCTGGGATTATAGGTACCCGCCACCACGCCTGGCTAATTTTTGTATTTTTTTAGTAGAGACGGGGTTTTGCCATGTTGGCCAGGCTGGTCTTGAACTCCTGACCTCAGGTGATCCACCCACCTCAGCCTCCCAAAGTGCTGGGATTACAGGTGTGAGCCACTGCACCCATACATAACTTTTATTACAGTATATTGGTATACTTGTACTATTATTAGTTATTATTGTCAGTTTCTTACTGTGCCTAATTTATAAATTACCCTTTGTTGTAGGTATGTACATATAGGAAAAAACATAGTGTATGTAGAGTTTAGTACTATCCTCGGTTTCAGGCATCCACTGGGAGTCCCAGAAGGCATTCCCGGATAAGAGGAGGCTACTGTAATTGCAATAGAATGTGGTAAACACCAACCTAGGTACATGTGGAATATTCCAAGGCAATTGAAAAAGCAGGAGGTAACTACTATGCTATACTATGTTGCCACTTAACATATCTAGAGCTCCTTTTGTCCACCATAAAATTATTCTCTGCTTACAAAAGTGAGATCATTAAAAAAAAAAACAAAAAAAGAAAGTGTTTGGCTTGTAATAAGGTGTAATATTAATATGAGGCATTGTTATTTTTTTCCCCCAAGAACCATGTGGGGGAAAAACCAGAATAATGGGCAGAACCAAAACCAGAATAATGGTCTCTCAAAGATGCATACATCCTAATCCTCAGAATTTGTGAATATGTCATGTTATATGTCAAGGAGGAATTAAGGTTGCTAACCAGCTGTTATTAAAATGAAATCATCCTGGATTATCTGGGTGGGCCCAATATAATCATAAGGGTCCTTTACGTGTGGAAGAGGGAGGCAGTGTTCAGATTCAAAGATCTGAAGATGTTACACTGCTGCCTTTGAAGACAGAGGAAGGAACCACAAGCTAAGGAATGCAGTTGTACTCTAGACTCTGGAAAGGGCAAGGAAACAGATTCTCTCCTAGAGTTTCCGGAAAAAAAAGCAGACATGCAAACAGCTTCATTTTTAGCCCATGAGACTTATTTCAGTATTCTCACCTCCAGAACTGCAAAGTAATACATTTGTATTGTGTTTAAACCATTAAGTTTTTGCTGATTTGTTTACAGGGACAACAGAAAATTTATATAAACTGCAACCTCAATACTTTGAAGACAGTAGCACGAGGAATGAATTAGTGCTGAAGACAGCATCGAATGTGAGTTCCATTTTTTCTTTAATGTCATTGTCATCACACTAGAGACACTGGGCTCAAATGGCTCCTGCATGATCAATATGGGCCTACCGTCAGCAAGATGAGGTCTTTCATTAAATTTTCTCTAGATCTATTTAGCTGTGGCACGCATAGGCTGTGCTCTTCTCTATATACTAATGGCCCTGGTGCATTCCATGACAGACACTGAGCATGCACCTTGTATAACAGTCCCAACTACTTTCCCTCAAAACATTTCTGTTAGGCCAAATGCTGTGTATTAATATTATTTCTCCTGATCCTTATTTCAGATGTTTAGATCCACCTGATAAACTTGCAATCATCTTTCAGGATGTATATCAAGGGTTCTCTCTTGTGGTAAATTGAGTTTTTTGTCTTAATTCCTCACTTCCCTCCAGTAGCATTCATACCCACACATAGCTGAATGGTAGGTGGAGTATATGTCCCTGTCCCTTGACTTTGGGCTTGGCCACGTTACCTGCCTTGACCAATGGAATTTTTATGGCTGTAGCAAGAGCAGAGACCTGAACTGTTTTTGCAGAGTTAGGTTCTCTTGCTTTGTAGTGACCCACAGTGAGCACATACTCTGGTCCAGGGGGGATGAGAGCCATGTTGAACGGACCTGATCCCAATCTGCAGCTCACAGTTGGAGCCCAGAGCCTGGCGCCCAAATCAAGCACAGCCCAGCAGATTGGTTGTTGATTTGCAGACATGAGCCTGAGGATTACTGTTCTGAGTTACTATGTCTTTGAGTGATTTGTTGCACAGCATTATTGTGGCAATAGCTGACCAATATACCTCCCAGATAAATGCTTTTTAACTACTCTCGCCCAGTAGAACTAACCACCTCCTCCTAAGCTTTTTGTGCTCATTGTGCTGTTACAGATTTATATATCTGTCTTTCCCAATGGACTTAAGTCCTATGAGGGCAGGTGCCAGGTGTCACTTAATTTTGTATCTATGACCTCCAGCATGATGCTGAGAATACAGTAGGCCCCTAATACCTTACAAGTGAATAAATAAATGAATACAAGGAACACACTGTCCCAGGCCTGAGACTCTTAGGTGGGGCGGGTGAGAAGGAATAGGAAATTACAGATTTCTGAGCCACTGCAATTGTCATCAAATACAAAAGGGGCCAAGCTTTGTTGGTAGACTGAATAAATAATATTTTAAAGCACATACGTTTTGTTTTTCAGGTATTTATAAATGCTATTGTGATTAATGAAGGTAAATAGCTTATTTCAAAGTAATAAATTAATTGCATATTATCACCATATATTTCCTCAAATGATGGATATAAAAAGAACAGCTCATCTCAAGTAAGGAACAAAAAGTTTTGACATTAAAAAGAACCCTCATATTCGGAAATGTCAGGAAATACCATTCCAGACTATTTGAAGAAGTCATAGAGAATTCAGCATTATGCTGAATCTTTTCTTGCTTGTTTGCTGGTGGTCAATGTGGCGGTGACTTGGCATGTCTCTCTAGCTTCATCTTTCCTGAAACTTTAGGTCACTGCAGATTTACATCATAAGGGTGGGGCTGCTGTCAGACTTTGAGACATCTCAAAGAAAATTATAAGCTTTCATTGTTTCTCCACCCTTTCTATCACAAAAGCTGTCATATCACTGCATTTTACAGCTCAGCTTTGGGTTGTAATTATAGTCATTGCCATGAGAATTCTTCCAAAAGAGAGGGTTTATTTAATAGGGAGAAACTCACATACACAAAAGAAAGGACTGCCAGCACAACAGTAATGATTGAGCATTGATAGTTTAAAACATGAAAACTACACATTGAGTGTGGCAGGGAGTTGGCTTAAACCATATGCCTTCCCGTCCTAAATATTTATAGTAGCAAGGAGGCTTCTGTGCAACTGTCAAGGCCTTTTTTTTTCTCTTTAAATGTATTTTTTCCCTTCCTTCAAATTCACTTAAAGGATGATATTTCTCATCTGTGGCTAGAATACTGCAGAGGAATATTTAAGAGTTTAAAGGCATGTGAGGAGAACTGGAAGTGGAGGTCAGGGGAGGGGGAAGCAATAGACAAGTGGTGACTTCAGTGAGAATCTTTAACTGCTCATAGGCAACTTTCAAGGTCTCAACTTAAGCCATGACCCAGGCATAGCTCCATGGGGCTGACAGAACTAATAGGAGACTCTGGACAGGATATTTGATAAATATTTGTTAATGAACACGTGAGTAAGTGAAAAATGAATGCTTCAGCATTCATTATTGATAAATACTGATAAATATTTGTTAATGAACATGTGAGTAAGTGAATGATGAGTGCTTCAGCCTGCCCCTTCACTTATGCTCCTTTCATCATCCTCCGCTAAGCACTCTACACTCCTGTGGCAATGAAGTATTTGCCATTTCCCAAACATCATGCTTCCTCTTGCTGTAACTCCTGGATCCTTTATCTCCTCATGCAGCCCACCATAGCCTATCAAGCTCCTACTCAACCTTCAAGTTGTAACTCAAGCTGTCATAGTTCCATGCTCTAGCAATACTTTATACATGTATAATAACTCAAAACTCACTATGTTATAATTTCCTCAATTCATGTGCAGGAACCATGTATTTTAATCATTGCAACCTAAGCAACTGGCTTGGTGCGTGACACATCATAGATATTCAATAAGTGGTCACTAAATATCTTTTATGCTGTTTGACCCTTCCGGTGCCTTCCAAAACAGACAGTAAATTCCTGCACTGTGGGATGGTTTCTTCTACAATTCTTTGTGTAAAAGAATTCTTTATTCTTTATTCTACATGTCCTCCTTTCCTAGGACGTAGCAATGTTTCACTCTACCTCAGAACTGATCAAGCAACAAGATAAGTAAGACCCAGTTCTAGATGCTAGGGTTAAGAAAAGGGAAGAGAAACAATTGGAAGAAGTTTAGTGGGAATGACATCATGATATTTACCTGTAGGAATGACACATACAAGTTTAGAAAGCATATTTCAAAGTAGACAAGAAGGTCATTGTAATAGTTCAGAATAGAGAGTTGGGGATATGTATACATATACATATATATAACATATATATGTGTATTTATACTTGTGTATCTATATATATAGAGGAAATTATATATGTTATATAGATAATTTCAGGAATAGCACTTCTAGGATTTGGTGGGTGATTGAAATGGCACAGAGGATGAAAGGAATCTAAGATTATTCCAAGAGAGCTTGGGCAAATCCTGTATTCTGCCACTACAATGGGAAATGGCAGGAGGAATGGCTTTATTAGCAGAAGGGAGGAGGACCCTGAGCTCAATGCTGCTTTTATCACAAACGAGGGACCTGTGGATCATCCAGAAGATAACTGTTCATCAGTAGACAGTTGTTTTGGAGCTCAGCAGAACAATCAAGACTGAAGATACAGATTTCAGAGTCATTAGCAAGCAAGTAGAAGTTGAAGTTTAGGTTGTAACTTACATTGTCCAACGATGTTATATGGAGTAGAGGTTCTAGGGGGTTGGGGTAGGAAAAGGTTATGTGGGAGTTTCCATCTCTGAAAATGGGAGACAGTTGACTAAAACCACATGCCTTCCATTGCTAAATACGTGTAGTGGCAGTTTTTAAAAAGCGAGAATTATTGAGAGTCTTGTGCCCTGATCCTGTGGGTGGTTTTGTGTATAATTTAAAAAGCTCCCTATGTGTGCTGATATAATCTCACATCTTGAGGATGACTGTTGAATATACTTTTATAATTAGACTTACTTTGTACATTTACATATTTGACTCACCTATGAGATTTGAATCACCTACGAGATTCTGCGCTACTTGAGGGCAAGACTTTATCTTGTTTAAATCTATATCCCCAGTGCTTAACACAGTGTCTGTCACACAGGTATTCAAATGTTTCATGAGTCAAATGATCTAATTGATTGTTTATTTCACAAGGTAGGGTTTGTCACTGACTTTTTAAATGTAAGAACATGGAGGCTGCATAAGATGCAGTAACTTGGTCATGGCACACAGCTAGTAAGTGGTTCAGCCAGTTGCCCCAATGCCGATCAGTGTTTTTCAACAATAGCTCACTGCCTCTGCTCATTCCTAAATCTGCCACCACCATCAAAAGACAGGGAAGCAGGGTATTTAGGAACTGGATGTAGCATTACTGGAAGGCCCTGTTAAACTCAAAGTGCTCTCTAAGATGTGTGCAGCTTACCTTGTCACTCCTTACTAACCGACTTCTTAAACTATCCGGTGAAAAGAACATTAAAGAAAGAGCTATTTCGTATTGGACCCATGTAGAGAAATATTCAGATGAGCCAGGAAAGTAGGAGAAATGACTAACTGAAGGAAAATTGCATCACAATTCTTTATATGCCTCACCCCTTTTATCTGATTAAACAAGGAATTTGTTTTCACATGTTCTTTGCATGAATAATATGATCTTCCAAACAGGAAATTAAAACCTTTGCTATACTCTAGGCCTCTCCTTAACCAAAAACTTGATACGTGGATGCTATATTTAATATGTAGAACATGTGGTAAAGAAAACAGGAAAATGCTGAGAAAGGAATGGGGTTAGAGAGGACATTTTATGATGGAAAAATATAGAGGGGACAGTATGGAAACTCTAGTGACTGTGATTTCTGACAAACAGTCCCTGAGTTGTAAACATCTAATACCTATAAGGTAACCTTGACTCTTAGCTGGCCAGAGCTCCTCCAGGAAAGCTGTTAATGGACTCTCACAGCTTCCAGAGAGCCTATGGATCTAAAAGTAAAGATCCTAAAAGCCAGGAAAGTTTGTGGGAGCCATTTTAACGAGTTTATTCTCATGAAGGATGATTCTGATTAGACATTTGTCTTTGTGAAATAAGCTTCAACTAGGCAGAGGTACAAAATATTAGGAAGGTAAAGGTCCAGCAGTCACTTGAACTTGATTTGGGTTTGGATAATCAGTTTGCTTTCTAAAGAATCATAGCACCTCCAAAGGCAAGGGAGTTGGGTTGGGAAAACGTGGCACCCCTGCCTGCTCCTCCAAGTCAGGAAATGCAGGCAGGCTTACAGCCAGGTGAGGAAACAAAGGATGAAGGCAGGAGAGGGATACACAAAGAAGGAAGGTGCCAAAGCCCAAATCCGCCAAATAAATTTGCGCAGGGCTTGACCATGCACCAGGAAAGGGAAAGGAATTATCTTTCTGTTTTGCCACAGACCTGGAACCTTCTCTGACCTTCCAGAGGCTAGTTCCAAAGGCTAGGTTGGAACTAGCCTTTCCCTTCTTGGTTCCCCATGGCTCTTTGCTCATCCTTTGCCTATAATGGCTCTTTTTGAGACAGAAACAACAGTTAGCATTAATCAAATGTACCAGCTACTCTAAAATTGTGATTTCATTTCAATCTTATAACAATACTATAAGGCAAGCACTCTTATTATCCCCAGGAAACTGAGGCTTAGAAAGTTAAATATTTTGTTCAAATTCACAGAGCATAAGGGGCACAGCAGAAATTCAAGTCCAGGTGTCTAATCCAAAATCTTTCCTCTGGAGACTCCCTGTTTTTCATGAAGCCCAGAATCCTGTCTTGCACATCACTTTCTCCTCATAGTACCTACATGGTCACTTGGACATGGTGAGTGCATTCAACACATATTTGTTAAATTGATTTTGAGTTTGTCAGTCTTTCTGTGGGGGTGACAATTTTCATTGACTCCTGGGTATCATTAATATTATTAAGTGAGAACATACGTGATTAAGGATGTGCCAGACACAAACCTTTCCTACCTTCCCAGATTCTCTCATCTGCCTCCTGCCATTCTTCTGACTGGCGCCTCCCTTACATGCCTCAGCTCCACTTCACTCCACTCCACTCCACCCCACTTCACCCCACTCCACTCTGGGTTTGGATGAACGACCACATTTCAGGGCAATGGAGTCAGCTTCTGGGGAGCCTCCAAAGGGCCAGATGGCACAACACTGAAATGCAGAGGAACTAGGTTCGAATGGGATGAAACTCAATCAAAGGTAAGTGAGACAGATAAGGGGAGCCAGGCAGATAACTCTCCATTCTTTCTTTTCTTGCATCCTTTGTGGAGAAGGTCCCTCATGCTAGAGAACAGACCTGTGCTCAGCGAAATACTGTGCTTTTTGAGTTAGTTGAGAAGCAATGGCCAGAATGATACCTCGTTGCCTTATATGGCTTTGCATTTTTCCTCATCTCGTTTCCTTTCTTTCCTCACCTGCACTGCCCTGGGCTTGTACATATCAAGTAAAATGGCAGCATAAGACAAGGAATAAAGAGAGACATGATATGTCATAACAGTAATAATCCAAGAAACTCTAACAAACATGTACTTATCTGTACTTCGCAACAGAGACATGAAAGATATTTATAAATAAAACAATTGGTTCCACTGGGGGAGACTGGCAAACTCTAAACCACAGTGGGAGATTTTAACACACCTCCTCAAAGCTGATAGAGAGATGTCAATACTCTTCCCTTTGGCAATGAGAGATCAAGAAAACAAAAATTAGTAAGTCTACACCAGATTTAAATGAGAAAAATGATGGAAAATATCCTTGAAAACCCAAAGGAGCTCAGAATCCTATTAAACAATCATGACATAGCTTCTATGGCAATAGAGGTTTGGAGGTTCAAGAAAAGTATTACCATACCGTCTTTTGGGACCTGACAACTTAGTTTGAAGGTAGGAGAGAGCCCATTCCTCAAGGTCAGGTCCAATACTCTGGCACCTAAGATTCCATGGGCAGACACTCACTGGCCCAGGCTCACGATTCACTCTACAAGTAAAATCTCCCAAAGTCACTCAACACTGCTGGTCAAAGCCCACATGTGTGCCATCAGAATAAAAGGTGGGCCTTTGAAGATTTATGGTTTTTACCCCTAGCCTCCCACTTCTTTAACTATCTCCATGGGCTGAATCTTTTACTTTTCAAGCAACGATAACATTGATAATGCAGAAAACTCTGAGAAAGTTGTTTTGATGCAAATGCTTTTACTAAGTTATGCATCTGAGATTCTTGGTAGTCTTTTACCAGTGAATAAACATCAAATTTTACCCTTTCACAGTTTTTCTCTTCTGCTATATATTCAATTATTATTCATTTGAATTCCTTTCTTCCTGAACATTATATTTGGAATTTTCCCAATGACACATTTTATTAATTTAAAAAACACTTTCCATTTTTTTCTCATTATCAAAACAAACTGTGCTCATTGTAGCAAATTCAGTAAATACAGAAAAGCAGAGAGAAGAAAATAAAATTCATCCTACCACCCGGTAGTAGTCACTTTCACATGTCATTTTAACCCTGCGACAACTTTTCGAAGCTTACGGGTTCAACTTTCCTGAAGTTCTTAGGCTTGGCCTTTGGCTTCCACCTTTGTCCTTTCTTTCCATCCTTATTCTTTCCTTTTTCCGTCCTTATTCTTTCCTCTTCCCCTCTCCCATTTTCTTTACATCTGCCAATTTATCAGTCAATAACAAATAGAAAGGGAAAATTAAATGTTTAATCTTATTATAAATATCTTATTATTGAATTAAATTTAGGTGTAATAGAGCCATGTGTGAAGACAGAAATTTGTCCATCAAATTTGATATTAATGGTAACTCCTAGCACTAGGCATCTCGGATATGAACTCAGTGAAACAGGAGTGGATCAGTTCATGGGGTTATCCAAAAAAGCTCACTTTCCCCAGCTCTACAGAATCAACAGTCTGAACTTCTCTAGAACAAAGGCTATCTTATTTACTGTGTTTTAATAATAATGGCACACTTATTAAGCATCAACCGCTGATAGAACTCGTTTACATATATTAATTAATTTAGTTTTCACAATAATCCTGTGGCAAATACTAGTAATATTACTCCCATTTTGCAGATGAGGCTACTGAGGCACAGAAAGATAAAGTGACTTGCTCAATGTTTCACAGCTTTTAAGGAACAGAGCTGGCATTAGAACCCTGGCAGTCTGTTTCCAATGTCTGTAGTTTTAAACCACTGCCAAGCTTCATCTAAAGTGTTTGCATATTTTGTAAGTTGTGATTTCTATAGCATATAATGTTAGAAATAACTTTAGATGGTTCATGGAGTTATTTTAAAAAATATTACGGTGGCACATGCCTGTAATCCCAGCACTTTGGGAGGCTGAGGTGGGCGGATCATGAGGTCAAGAGATCGAGACCAGCCTGGCCAACATGGTGAAACCCCATCTCTACTAAAAATACAAAAATTAGCTGGACGTGGTGGTGTGTGCCTGTAGTCGCAGCTACTGGGGAGGCTGAGGCAGGAGAATCGCTTGAACCTGGGAGGCAGAGCTTGCAGTGAGCCAAGATCGCGCCACTGCACTCCAGTCTGGCGACAGAGCGAGACTCCGTCTCAAAAAAGAATTTTATGTTATATGATGTGTGTGAGAAAACTATATCTTACACAGAAATCATAAGTATTTCTGCTTAGGATGAATAAAATTTTAAAGTCAATGTCAAGAAAAAATTAAGTAATTAGAGGTATAAATGGTATGTAAACGTTGCAAAAATAACAAAAGTGAAAGTGACATGCTAATTAACACTGTTAATGTAAACGCTCAAACCATTGGCTGGGTACGGTGGCTCACGCCTGTAATCCCAGCACTTTGGAAGGCCGAGGCGGGCGGATCACCTGAGGTCAGGAGTTCAAGACCAGCCTGGCCAACATGGTGAGATCCTGTCTCTACTAAAAATACAAAAATTAGCCGGGTGTGGTGGCACACGCCTGTAATCCCAGCTACTCAGGAGGCTGAGACAGGAGAATCATTTGAACCTGGGAGGTGCAGGTTGCAGTGAGCCAAGATCATGCCACTGCACTCCAGCCTGGGGGACAGAGCGAGACTCTCTCTCAAAACAAAAAACAAAAGACAAAAAAAAAAAACTCAAACCAAGATGTCACCTCTAATTCAATGTTGCACCTGGCAGAGATTCCCCACCAGCAGAGTGGATCAAAGATGGTAGGCCCAAACTCTCACCCATATTTTATCCTGTAGCACTGTGAGTGAGGCTTCACTGGTTGAACATTTTTTTAAGTAACACCTTTTGCTTTTCCATACATTACAGTCCTATTAGCTTATTAGACATTTTCTGCCTTGAACAATTGCCAGTCTGAGTTTCTTAGACTGAGGTTCCACCCAAGGAATAGGCAGAGAGCTGACAGTTATTCTATTACTAATCTTTGCTGTATTTTATTGACTTTCAGATAAATATGTTAGAAGTAATACCAAGTTGCGGTTCTTATAACCAAACCCTCAGCTGTGGGCTGGCTTCTTTAGATGGATATAGACCTCTTTTTATTGAAGTGTACATAAAACCTGTCCCTACAAAAATCAGGTTCAAGAGAGACAGTGTCATGGCAACTTTCGCAGTGGATAAGATAAACATGCGCTGTCTCTTCTTCCTTGAAATTTATTGTCAAGTAATTGAAGTCAGCTTCAATGACTTGATGCTGTAATCCTACAAAGCTCTTGTCTGTACAAAAGTTGAGCATATTTTTTCAATTTTTTTTAAAAAAGGTCCTCTTTATGATGATGCATGAGGCACTTTCTCTTTAATCTCAGTGACAGGAGTAATAGCCTTGTTTTTATTTTAGGAAATTAGGAATACAATAATTGTTTTTGATGTAAGAAATCTTAACAGCCAAGATTGTAGCCCTCATGTCTTAGCAATGAAGGGCTCTCATATCTCAGATACATAGAATCTATGGCATGCAGTTTTTGACTTCTCTTTTATCTCATCATTTTTCTGCTTATTTTTCCTTTGACCTGTTTTATTCATTCTTTTTTTTCAAAATTTTATTTTCTTTTTTGGCATACAAATGCATAAAATACAATTTACATGGTGTATGGAATAAAATGAGATGTAAATAAGAAGATTATTGCCCAAATCCTACGTGTTAGATTGTGATTCAAATCACCAAAGGCAGCAAAACTGTAGAAAATGTTTTTACTGCCAATCTCAACTAAATTCTGCTTGTGGGCCAAGCCAAATTTATAAGCCTTTGCCAATCCCACTCCCAGGCACATATGTTACAGTAGCATTTGACATCATGTTTTTTCCTCCTTCTGCTTTATGCCTCAATAACTGAATTGATTGCCTGGGTGTGGAGCCCATGCAAGCAAACTTTTCCATTTCTTTTTTCTATACAGGCTGCCTGATCTATTTTAGACTGGGTCTGGGTATTTGTGGTAATAGTCATGATTTTCTTCTTCTATTAAAGTTCATGGTCATTCTAGATGATAGATTTACTTAAAGTTAAAAGGAAGTTACTAAAGAAATTCACAGTAAAAAGAAAGAAGAAAACTAAAGTGCTAGTCAAAGCACTTCTTTGAGACTTGTGTGTAAAAGCCTAAAAAATATCTTTGCCATGTCCTTGTAAAACTATTTTCAGTTTAGCCCTTTTAATTAAACGGTCATCAGTAGTTTTTAAATATCCTGCTTCACTCTCTGTCTGTTCTGAAGATGATGGAAAGATGCATATATGACTCAAGTTTTCAGTGACTACTTTAGACTCAAATTTTATCTGTCATGGACATAGGGAATCCATGTTATGGGTGTCTGGAGAATCTATGAACCACCTGTATGCAGAATTTTGTAAAGACAGAAAAATGACCCTTAGCTTTCATTAAATTCTCAAAGGAGCCTGTCACCTAAACAAGGACTAGCTGCTCTGGAGGCAATTTAAGAAATGTTTATGCTCTCTTTGGTACTAACAATACCCTCAGCATCCTATCCTTTGACATTGAGCCAGCAGTACAATCACTATTGATTCAACTCAGTCAACAATTCTTAAGCTCTTCCATTGGCAAGGCACTATTAGGCCCCACTGGGAAACAAGGATGGTCTGGTGTAGTCCAGGCTTTCCAGGAGTTACAGCCTGGAGGGAGAGGGAGACAAGCATCTCAAATCTTAATGTGTGAGAGTATCAACTGGGGAGCTTATTTCACTGCAAATTCTGATCTAGTAATTTTGGAGTGGGGCCCCCAATTCTCCATTTTCTTACACACAGAAAGAAAGAATAATTATTATCTATTAGAATAAGATCTAATAGATAAGATTAAGATTTATTATTTTATTCTATTACCTATTAGAATAGAATCTAAAAAGTAAGAATAAGTATCACATACTTTACACATGTGCCTCACTTGAAGCAAAGAAACTCAATGTTGGCAAACTCAATGATGGTTTTATTCAACAGTTAAACCAGGAGCTTATCATTGCTATATTAAGTAATGCATCATTTACTATGTTGGTTCTCATCTCTGCCACATATTGGAATCACCTGGGAATCTCTAAAAACTACTGATGCCTGGCCCCCATCCCCAGCCAGCTGTCTTAATTGGTAAGGGTGCAATGTGAGCAAGGCTGGGGAGGTTTATAAGCTCTAAGATCATTCTAATGTGCAGCAAAGTTTAGAAACCACTGATCTAGTAGCTACCAACATTGTCTTTGAGTCTCATATCCAAAAGTGATTAGCAAAGTTATGATAAAAAACTTGATCTACCTGAGCCCTGAGTCTCCCACCTAAGGAGACCTTCTGAGCTTTCATTTCAGACACTGTATATCCATTTTCTATAATTTCTCTGTAACCTTTTCGAGGACTTGACTCTTATATTTTCCTACTATGCTAAAGGCCAATAATCAAGCACAATGAGAAGAAATAAATTGTTTAAGGTAACATGAGATCTATTTGTAAGAATGATCTTAAATAGTGCAAAGGACAAAGAATAGTTCAAAGTAGCATTGAAAGCTGCTTGGAAAGAAATGAAAAATTTCTATTAAAATATGTAAAGTCTATAGGAAAAGGTAGTAAAACTTGGCCAGGTGTGGTGGCTTACACCTGTAATTGCAGCACTCTAGGAGGCCAAGGCAGGAGGATCTCTTGACCCCAGGAGTTTGAGACCAGCCTGGGCAACAGAGTGAGACTCCATCTCTACCAAAACAAACAAAAAAAAATTAGCCAGATGTGGTGGTGTGGACCCATGATCCCAGCTACTCAGGAGGCTGAGGTGGAAGAATCACTTGAGCCTGGGAGGTTGAAGCTTCAGTGAGCCATGATTGTGCCACTGCACTCCAGCCTGGGCAACAGAGCAATATACTGTCTCAAAGAAAAAAGAAAAAAACCCAGCTTGGCCCACATGGTGAAACCCCGTCTCAACTAAAAATACAAAAATCAGCTGGGCATGGTGGAAAACGCCTGTAATCCCAGCTACTTGGGAGACTGAGGCAGGAGGATCGCTTGAACCCAGGAGTTGGAGGTTGCAGTGAGCCAAGATCACACCACTGCACTCCAGCCTGGGCCACACAGTGAGACCCTATCTCAAAAAAAAAAAAAAAAAAAAAAAAAAAAGGAAGAATAAACCAACACTGAGATATCTAATAGAAGACTTAAATTAGGGGAGAAATATAATGTGCTCCTGGATAGAAGGACTAGAAATATAATATGCCAGTTAACTTGATGGACTAGGAGTCAAATTCCTGTTTGATTCTCAGCTCTTCAGATGATTAACTTCTTGAATTTGGGCCAGAACTCATGGAAATACCGAAGACACAGCACACCATCAGGGCTCACAAAGGTTTTTCAGGAGCCAACACAGCTGTGGCCTCAAGAGAATCCAGACCAGTGATTTCCAAACTGTAATGTGCAAATTACCTGGGGATCATGTTAAAATGCAGATTATGATTCAGTAAGTCTAATGTTTGACCAGATATTCTGCATTTCCCACAAGCTCATGGTGATGCTGATGCTGCTGGTCTTGGACCACACTTTGAGCAGAGAGGATCTAAATTTCTTCAGCAATGAGAGTTATTAAACCCTTTTCTAGTGCTCTGCCAACATTGTGGTTCTTTCTCTGCCTCTGTGCCTTTCCATGTATTTGTAGCTTCTATCCCATCTCTAATCACTTGTATCTTAATTATTAATTCCACAAGAGAAAAGATCAAATTGATTTATCTCAAGGTAGTGGAAATATAGGCATCTTTTAAAAAATATTTTTTATTTCAATAGCTTTTGGGGTACAAGTGGTTTTTGGTTACATGGATGAATTATATAGTAGTGAATTCTGAGATTTCAGTGCACCCATTACCTGAGTAGTGTACCTTGTACCCAATATGTAGTGTTTTTTTTTTTTTTTTGAGACGGAGTCTGGCTCTGTCACCCAGGCTGGAGTGCAGTGGCGCGATCTCAGCTCACTGCAACCTCCGCCTCCCAGGTTCAAGCAATTCTCCTGCCTCAGCCTCCCGAGTAACTGGGACTACAGGCACCCACCACCATGCCTGGCTAATTTTTTGTATTTTTAGTAGAAATGGGGTTTCACCGTGTTAGCCAGGATGGTCTCGATCTCCTGACCTCGTGATCTGCCCACCTTGGCCTCCCAAAGTGCTGGGATTACAGGCGCGAGCCACTGCGCCTGGCCCCCAATATGTGGTTTTTTATCCCTCACCCCCCACCCAACCTCCTGTTTCTAAGCCTCCAAAGCCCATTATACCACTCTGTATGCCTTTGTATACTCATAGCTTAGCTCCCACTTATAAGGGAGAGTATGCAGTTTTTGATTTTCCATTCCTGAGTCACTTCACTTAGAATAATGGTCTCCAGCTCCATCCAAGTGCTGCAAAAGACGTTATTTTGTTCCTTTTATGACTGAGAAGTACTGCATGGTGTATATATATCACATTTTCTTTGTTTAATTTTTATTTTTATTTTAAGTTTTGGGGTACATGTGCAGCATGTGCAGGTTTGTTACATAGGTAAACATGTGCCACGGTGGTTTGCTGCACCTATCAACCCATCATCTAGGCATTAAGCCCAGCATGAATTAGCTGTTTTTCCTTATGCTCTCCCTCTCCCACCACACACCCCAGCAGGCCCCAGAGTGTGTTGTTACCCTCCCTGTGTCCATCTATTCTCATTGTTGAGCTCCCACCTGTAAGTAAGAACATGCGGTGTTCTGTTTTGTTACTGTGTTAGTTTGCTGAGAATAATGGCTTCCAGCTCTCTCCATGTCCCCGCAAAGGACATGATCTCATTCATTTTTTTTATGGCTGCATACTATCCCATGGTGTATATGTACCACATTTTCTTTATCTACTCTATCATCGATTGGCATTTGGGTTGATTCCATGTCTTTGCTATTGTGACTAGTGCTGCAATGAACATACACATCCATGTATCTTTGTAATAGAATGGGTTATATTCCTTTGGGTGTATACTAAGTAATGGGATTGCTGGGTCAAATGGTATTTCTGCTTCTAGCTCTTTGAGGAATTGCCACATCATCTTCCACAATGGTTGAACTAATTTACATTACCATCAACGGTATAAAAGTGTTTCTATTTCTCCACAAATATCACATTTTCTTATCCACTCATTGGTTGATGGGCACTTAGGTTGGTTCCAGATCTTTGCAATTGTGAATTATGCTGCAATAAACATACATATGCATGCGTCTCTTTAATATAATAACTTCTTTTCCTTTGGGTAGATACCTGGTAGTGGGACTGCTGGACCAAATGGTAGATCTACTTTTAGTTCTTTAAGAAATCTGTATACTGTTTTCCATAGAGGTTGTACTAATTCACATTCCCACAAGCAGTGTATAAGCATTCCCTTTTCACCACATGCACACCAACATCTATTGTTTTTTGACTTTTTAATAATGGCCATTCTGACTGGGGTAAGGAGATAGTTCACTGTGATTTTAATTTGCATTTCTCTGATGATTAGTGATGTTGAGCATTTTTTTCATGTTTCTTGGCCATTTGTATATCTTCTTTTGAGAAATGTCTATTCATGTCATTGCCCATTTTGGATGGAATTATTTCATTTTTTTCTTGCCGATTTATTTGAATCAAATTTGTTTGAGTTCCTTGTGGATTCTCAATACTAGTCCTTTGCCATACACACAGTTTGCAAATATTTTCTCCCATTCTGTGGGTTATCTCTTTACTCTGTTGACAATTTCTTTCACTGTGCAGGAGCTTTTTAGTTTAAATAGATCTCATTTGTTTATTTTTGTTTTTGTTGTATTTACTTTTGGGAATTTAGTCATAAATTCTTTGTCTTGGTCAGTGTCTAAAAGAGTTTTTCGGAAGTTATCTTTTAGAATTTTTATGGTTTCAGGTCTTAGGTTTAAGTCTTTGATCTGTCTTTAATTGATTTTTGTGTTAGGTGAGAGATAGGGATCCAGTTTCATTCTTCTACATGTGGCTAGCCAGTTTTCCCAGCACTATTAAATAGGGTGTCTTTTCCCCCATTTATGTTTTTGTATGCTTTGTCGAAGATCAGTTGGTTTTAAGTATTTGGCTTTATTTCTGGGTTCTCTATTCTGTTCTATTGGTCTATGTGCCTACTTTTATACTAGTACCATGCTATTTTGGTAACTATAGCCTTGTAGTATAATTTGAAGTCTGGTAATGTGATGTCTCTAGATTTGTTTTCTCTGTTTAGTATTGTTTTGGCTATGTGGACTCTTTTTTTGGTTCCATAGGAATTTTAGGAATTCTTTTTCTAATTCTGGGAACAATGATGTTGATATTTTGATGGGAAATGCACTGAATCTGTAGATTGCTTTGAGCAGTATGGTCATTTTCACACTATTGATTCTCCCAATCCATGAGCATAGGATGTGTTTCCATTTGTTTTTGCCATCTATGATTTCTTTCAGCAGTGTTTTGTAGTTCTCCTCGTATAGATCTTTTACTTCCTTGGTTAAGTATATTCCTAGGTATTTTATTTTATTTTGCAGCTGTTGTAAAGGGGTTGAGTTCTTGATCTGATTCTCAGCTTGGCCGTTGTTGGTGTATAGCAGTACTACCGATTTGTGTACGTTGATTTTGTAACCTGAGACTTTACCATGTATTTAGTAGCTTCTTCCTCACATTTAATTAGTCCAAATGCATAATGTATAATAAAGTCAAAACTGACATTGGCCAAGATCAAAGACCTTCAGAATCCCCTCCTCTGATCATTCTTGCTTTTTGTAGCAATATTAATATTCACTATTTTTTGAGCACCCACTATGTGTGAGGTGTGGGTTGGATGTTTTGCATACATTCTCATTTCATTTTCACAACAACCGTACAAGACAGACTTTATTAATTTCATTTTCTGGAAAGGAAAACTAATAATTTTGGTTAACTCAGTATCCAAATTGATTTGTACAGAAATCTGAGGCTCACAGAGGCAAAATATATTATCCATGGTCATACAACTGGAATTTGAACCCATGTTTGCCAAACTCTAAGTCCTGTGCTATTTCTGGTACATTTCCTAAATCTTACTGAACATATTCATTGTCCTCATCCTGACATTCTCTCTCCTTTTAGGCCATAACCCATATTCTGGCTTCCCTTATTTCAAGTATTTTATGGTAGCATCCCAGAAACCAACGACTCCACATACATTTCTTGGTTTTTACTTTGCCCATTCTCATGCCTAATTCTTACCATCTGATTTTTGTCCTCCTGCTCCAATGTCTGGAGATTAAAATAATATAAAAATGTGGAGTAAATCCTTTGGAAGCTGGAAGATTTATTTAGCACCTAAAAGGTTAACTCCAGTGCCCACACAGGTGTTGTTGATGGGTGCCAGTCAAAAGCAGCTAATACTCAAAGAATAACTCAGTCTTATGAAAACACAGCCAGACCTTTTAGGAACCAGGCCAGGAGCAGTTTCAGCTGTAGACCAAAAGGATGAAGACTGAGTCCACAGGGAACATTCCAGGAATCACATAAATACCTGAGACTTAGTACCAGGGCGTGAGCAGGGCTTGGATCTAGAAGAGCCTGGTACGGCTAGAGGTCATGCTATAAGCATCCAAATAGACAGGGTGTAGGCTGCAAGACACAGTGGGCTAGCTGAGTGTTCTGCCTCTTTCCTAAGGAGTGGCCTGTGGCTACCCGCTATGTTTACACTCAAATGTGCAGAGTCTGAAGCAAAGTATCTAAAGTTAATCTTCAGTGGCTTGGGCTGAGGACTCACTGAAGTCAGCAATCCTTGAATCAGCTCTCTTGATTTTCTATTACGTTCCCTACAGCATTTACCCTATTAGTTTCTAGTCACAGCCTCTCACCCTTTCTAAACAACCCCAGCATGACTTTACTCTGAATTTGGAGATGTTCCATGTGAGCATCAGTTTCCTTCCAGTCCACCTTAGCAAATTCTTCAGCATTTTAATTTTTTAAATTCGTCTTCTCCTTCCATCCTCATGCCTTCCATCTTGGAACTCACACTTGCTCCACCACTGCTGCTTCCTTCAATGGCATCTTCTCTTACCTGCCTTTTCACTGGTCTCCTCTCTCAAGTTCTTTCTATTACTCAGGTCTTTCTTATCCTAAAGTATTTATGTACTTTCAATTTTCTTGCCTATTTGAGGCACTCTGTTTCCTCATGCCATCTTCAGTTTCTACTTCCTCACCTCCAACTATCATTCAACCCTTTGCCACTGACTTGTGCTAAAATATCTCCTTTCCAGCTAATCAGGGACATCTAATTGCCAAGACCCCTGTAGAGCTGTGGATCCCCTTGACCGCTTCCTTCCACTGGCAACTCTCGCCTCTATGGTGCTGAAACCCCTGGTTCCTCTCCTGTTCCTTCTTTGCTTTGTTTTACTGTCTCCTCTTCCCACAGCCCATATATAGGCAAGTCCTAACATTTGCTTTATCCCTAATGATGGTAAAAGCTTCCACTACTTAAGCCATATACTCTACACATCAATCCAGTTTCAGTGTCCATCATTGACCTACTGAATCCAGCTCTGCCCTTTGAGTTGAGTTTATTTTAGTCTGGTTGTCCTGATTGGGTCTCAAGGTGCTCATCGTTTTCTGTATGCCCTCCCTCCTAACCTCAGAGAATAATAGTTATTATAATTATAGTTACTAATATGTATATGTTATAGATGTGCTTCTATGTGCTATAGGTTATCTATTGCAATGCCAATGGCATCTCAATGAGGTAGGTGTTTTTATCCTCATTTTATAAATGAGAACACTGAGATCGTGATATAACTGGCCCAAGTTCATACAGTGGAGCTGGGATTCAAAGCCAGATCTAACTGCATCAACCTATATTAACTTTTATGCTTTGAGGACAGTTTAAGATAGTAGTTAAACACATGGCAGCTGATGCTAAATTTTCTAGGTTCCAGTGTTGGCTTATGTTGAGATACCCTTGCAAGTTTTATTTGATCCTTAAAGTCTTTGACAAAACAAGAGAAGCTTCAGGCAACTAAACTTGTATTGACTGCTAGGCTGAGAGAAAGTCAGAACTGCTCCCCTGTGGACTGTCTTTTGGCATTTGAAAGATCCTTCTCCTCCTCCTCTTCCTCTTCCTCCATCTTTTAGCATCTGCACTGGTAGCACAGTAGTTATCTGTCAAATATTTGTTGAATGCTGATTATGTCCCAGTCACTGTGCTAGACACACAATGACATCAACAGTGAACTCTCAGATATAAATAAAACTGCTTTCTGAGAATGGGACAGTGTGAGCCTGAGCCAAATTGCAAAATGACAAAGATAGGCTCTATACCATTTCCCTTCTCCTCTCATTATCCTTTTGGCATGGACCCCACCCCTCTTCCAAAAGCCTAGGCCTTTGTTGCCACTCCCTAGATTTCTGAAGCAAACAGCATATTAGCTGGAAAGAGGCATTGGATCAGGGCTCAGGAGACCTTTCCTGATACTGCCACTGTATTTATTTGGTCAAATTGCTCTATCACAAAGAGTTTCAGTGTTCTCCGCTACAAATGTGAAGTTGTGTTGAGGCTGCCTGGAAGACAGCACTAACCATCACTGAAGAAGTATCTTAGGCCCTTGGATAAACATTTTAGAGGGAATCTCTAAAATAAGCTAGTTTTAATGGTAGTCAAATTGCTATTAAATTTAGGTTTCCAAAATATTTTACTATTGTTAAACTAAGGTTTCCAAAAATATTTTACTCTTCAAAGCAAATTAACAGAATGTGAGTATTACGGCATAATGGCACAAATTTTTATTTTTTCTCAATTTGTTTCTGGCATTTTAAAGGCATCCACTGTGGGATAATTGGCATTGTTTAGTTTATTATACAGAATAAAGGCATTCTCTTCTCCATGTCCCCTTTAGTTGATTAAACTCATTGGGAATCACTTTGGATAACCCTTTAGAAAAATAATTTAGATTAAAAACTTTTATTTCTATTATACATTTATGTAAGTAAGGCAGAGACATTGTGAGACTTTCAAAGGAAAGAATGAAACAATAAAATTTGTATGCTACAAATTGAACACAATCCATGTCAATACTTTCTCAATTTGAGCAGTGAATCTCAACTGGGACAGTTTTGCTCCCCCCTCCCCCGCCCACTCCAGCCCAGAGGACATATGGTAATATCTGGAGATATTTTTGATTGTCACAACTTGGCAACTGGAGGACAGGTGTTACTGGCATTTAGCGGGTAGAGGCAGGAGCGCTGCCAAGCATCCTGCAATGCACGGGACACCTCCACTCCCCAAGAGTCATCCAGTCCAAAATGCTTATAGTGCCAAGGTTGAAAACCCTTGACTTAGAGACACAGCCAGGGTGGTTCAAACCTGTCTTCTAGTTGCTAAACTGGAACACTTCATGGGTATATGAACTGAATTCTGCTAAAAACAAACAAAAATAAAAATCAAAATGGAGTTTCTCTAAATTTCATAGGGATAGAGTTGGTGGCATTCCACTGATGGCAATGTACTCACCACTTCTGTCTTTATTTTGGCATGCAGAGCTTAATTATCTGCAACAGCACCCATGGTGAGAAAAGGAAGTTGTCATGATGGTACAAGAAGAAATAACCACCCCCAAAGTCCTGGAAAAGTTTCAATAAAAGTGGCAGTCAGGAGAAATGGAAGGAGGTAACTGTCACCCTCTTTCTAAAACAACTGAGCCCTCCTGGAGGCAACTGCCTTCAGCCACGCTGTGTCAAAAGGACCTTGTCAAGTAAAGGCTGTAATTGCCAACAATTTCCCTGGGAAAAAGGGAAAGAAAAAAACTGAAAAGTTTCTGTCACTCTGCGAATTGCTTTAACACAAAGCACAAAGGGTGGGTGGATGTGACAGCTTTTAAGCAGACAGTTGTTCTAGGTGAGCCAGCAATAGAGTGACCCTGCAGATGTTTAATGAGCCCAGTGGAATGAGTTCACTTTGCTCCCCTCCACTAGCTGTGAACTGTTCTCACCAAGAAGTACTGAGTCAGGGTACAAATATTTTTGAGTAAGATGTGCAATTTCTCTTGGTTGCCTATAAATACATTGTAAAATGTATAGCATTGCAGAATTATAGTCTGTTAGAAACATAAAACGATAAAGAAATTAATGTTAAAAGATAAAGAAATTAAGGATAGTATTTATTCCTACATGAGACAGAAGAGACAAGAGCCTAATACATGGAGAGTGTATGAAACATCAGGGACCTTAGGGTCAGGAAACGATAGGTACCTTCTCTTTCTTCCTTCACACCAGAAAATACCCCAAATTGTTGACAATGTTGCCTCAATGCTTTTCAAGTAGGTGGTAAAGGATTATAGGTAAGAAGCTAAGAATGGGGGAAATATGTCTAGTGGGACAGAGTTTTGGGGAAGGGAGCACATCTAGGGAAGAGATCAGACTCTGGAATGGCTTCCAGATGCTGATTTCCAAGGTTCCAAGGTGAGTGCCCAGAGACAGGGGTACATAAATTCCAGCCACTAACCCAATGCAGTCTCTTTGACTACATTGTTCATATATTTATCAAACTTCTGTCTGTATATATGCACAGAAAGATGTCCATAATGATGTTTGCTAATTGCTAATGCTGGCTTTTTCTGTATGGTAGGAATTGGGATGCTTTATTACTTTTTTCTTAATTTTTTTAATTGATTGACATTTTAAATAGGCACATATTTAAAAAAAGTAATTACAATGCAAAAGCAAAACTCAACCAACCAACAGAACCAACCAACCAATCAATCAGGGCTGAGACTAAAGTGAGGCAAGTCAGGTTCCAAGGGCACAAAATTTAAGGAGGCACTCCCTCTAAGGGTCATCCAAGTACAACCTAGGCTCCTCAGTTGCCTCCCTATAGTCCCAGACAGCCCTTTCAACAATACAGGGGGACTACAGATCAATGTGGATGAAGAACTACATGTTTGGAATCCTGCGTAGATAAGTAAAGCATACTCTTTCTTCATTATAAATGATTATTTTGCTTAACTGTCTGCAAAAGAAATCATAGCCTTTACATTTCAGAAGTTAATTGATGAGATACTCTTAAACTAACCAACACCAAATTTTCCCGTTCTTTTCCTCTCCCTCAATTCAACACATGGTTGAGTAAGCTATAGCTTCTGGCCAGGGCCAGGGAAGGGCGCTAGAGAGGGGCATGCTTTCTCCAGCATCTTGCTCTTCCCTCAACTAGGGCTCTCCTGATCACATTAGCTAAAGCAGCACACCATCTTCCTCTGTTTTTCCAGCCCATTTTTCTGCTTTAACATCTTCCTGGTGGTTATCATATTCCAAACATATTCACACTTTACATATGTAGCTTTATTTTGTATATCGTGTTTGATTGCTTGTCTTGCCTTGTTAGAACATAAGCTCTGCAATGCTACCCTCATGGAAGCATGATAGCACATAGTGGATTTTAGTTAATATTTGCTGAATGGAAGAATGAATGAGTTCATTGGATTTTCAATGAATGATTGTGAATCTGATACTGTTCTTGGCAACCTGAATATGAATAAAATATACAGTCTTTGCTCTCTACAGAAAGTCCACATGCTAGACTCTTTCCCTGCCTCCGCTCCCAGGCCTGTTCATTTGCCTCAGACAATCTTATCTAACAAACACTGAACTTTTGTTTTTACCCCTTTTTCCTTTTCTTATATTCTCTGTCTCCTTTTTTTTTCCCTCAACTTTTGCCTAATTATAATAGGGGAATATTTGTTCCTCCCCTAAAAAATATCACTGAGTGATGAACATTAAAAAATAGTGTTAGTAATTACACATTTATCAAGAGAATCAATTTTGGAGAGAAAACAGTAACAATAGTATTATTGACTGTGAATGTCTATTAAGTGCTCGCTATATACCTGACTCCGCCAAGCAATTATGTGCATTGCCTAACATAATCAGTACAGATAAGAAAAGGATGGTGCAAGAAGTAACTTGCCCAGGCCACAGAGCTGGTAACTGGTCTGAACTCATGTCAATCTGATTCCAGATCTTGACTTCTCCCAGGGGTAACAGGGAAGCTGAATTGCTAATTTCCAGTATAATTCTCTCTGTGGGGTTTCTCCTCCATCCCCTCACACATTACGAGCAGAATGAGATGTTGCTTTCTTCACACTCCTATAGCACTCTGCTCATACACTACTTCAGCTCTTATCACATAAAATGTTTGGTATGCATCTGAAAAGTTCAGCTGGGTACATTTTCACTCATTACCAGTGTTATAAACTATTTGATTCCCTTTTCATTGCAATCAGGGTTGTAATAGAAGTAGGAGCTTCAGGTTTAGACAGACCAGAGTTCAAAAGCTGGCATCTGCTACTTACTAGCTGTGTCATGATGGGGAAATTATTTAACCCTTCTGAATCTTAGCATACTCATGTGTAGCATGAAGATAATGATACTCGTGTAGTGGTGTAATAGGAATAAGCTAAGATATGTCTGTAAAGGGCCTGGCATAGTGTCTCAGACAACATAGGTGCTCAGTGAGTACTTTTCATCTCTCTCCTGCCCACCTTGACTCTGATTCTCCCACTACATCTTACACAGCATTTCAGCTATATTACATGTTACCTACTATGGTTTGCATTAGTTTTCTATTACTGCTCAACAAATTACCCAAACTTAGCAGCTTAAAACACAAACACTTATTATCTCAAATTTTCTCTGGGCCAGAGATCTGGGACCATCTTAGCTGGGTAGTTTTAGGTTGATCTCTTATGAGGTTACAGTCAAAATGTCAGCCGGAGCTACAGTCATCTCAAGGCTCAACTGGGGGGAAAATTTGCTTCCAAGTTCACTGACATTGCTGCTGAGATGCTTTAGGAGATCTGTGTCTTAGTCCATTTTTGCTATAAAGGAATAACTGAAGCTGGGTAATTTATAAATAAAAGTTTTTTGTTTGTTTGTTTGTTTTTGGCTCATGGCTCTGCATCTGTTGAGGGCCTCAAGCTGCTTTCACTCATGGAGGAAGGGGAAGAGGAGCCAATGTGTGCAAATCACACGGGGAGACAGAAAGTGAGACAGAGGAGGTGCCAGGCTCTTTTCAACAATCAGTTCTGTGGGAACTAACAGTGAGAATTCTCTCACTCCTGTGAGAATGGCACAAAGCCATTCATAAGGGATTTGCTCCTACAATCCAAACACCTTCTGCCAAGCCCCATCTCCTAAGGGATTTGCTCCTACAATCCAAACACCTTCTGCCAAGCCCCATCTCCAACACTGGGGATCAAATTTCAACATGAGACTTGGTGGGGACAAGCAAACCATACCCAGATTATAACAATCTGCTCTAAGCTTACTCCTGTGGGCTTCTCTATAGGGCTATCTCAGGACATGGCAGCTGGCTTTCCCCAGAGCAAGCAACCCAAGAGAGAGTGAGAGACAGCACCCAAGATGGAAACCATAGCCTTTTTATAATTTGATCTTGAGAGTGACAGCCCATGACTCTTACTGTATTTTATTCATTAGAAGTGAGTCAATAAGTCTGGCCAACACTCAAGGGGAGGGAATACTACAAGAGCACAAATACCAAGAGGTGGAGATCACTGGGACCATTTTAGAGTCTGCCTATACCACATGGTTTAAATAGTCTTACAGAGCTAACCTGAGGATTATGAGCCAGCCAACCTCATTTTATAACCTCTTTTTTTTTTGAGACAGAGTCTCACTCTGTTGCCCAGCCTGGAGTGCAGTGGCATGATCTCGGCTCACTGCAGCCTCCGCCTCCTGGGTTTAAGCGATTCTTGTGCCTGAGCCTCCCCAGTAGTTAGGATTACAGGCACATGCCACCATATCCAGCTAATTTTTGTACTTTTAGTAGAGACGGGTTTTCACCATGTTGGCCAGGCTGCTCTTGAACTCCTGACCTCAGGTGATCCACCCCGGCCTTCCAAAGAGCCGGGGTTACAGGCGTGAGCCACCATGCCTGGCCATCATCTCATTACCTTTTATAGAAAACTTAGTCTTGCCTTTATAAAAGGGACTGACTTACTCACCTTGAGACCATAAATATTACTAAACTGGGTAACATGCTATACCAGTAATAGAGTTCAACACAATCTAAAAAATAATGATAATGGTGATAATGATTTCTTTTGCATAGACTTAGAAGTTATCATACTATCTTTCCATTCCTATTCTATGTAAAACTACATTTTTTCTTTGATTCATTTTTTTAAAAACTATTTCTTCTAAGGCTGTCCCCTTGGTACATTTTACACTTTCTTTTCTTTGGTCTGTAGACACACACACACCCAGCTTCCTTCCTCAGGGAGCACCAAAGGTCAGGTAGAAAGTCATGGAGAAATAAAAATACCACTTTCAGCCCTTACTGAAAGGGCAACTTGTTTGTTATTCCCAACTAAGCCACAGTGTGCTCCAATTATCTCCCCAGAGCAAAATGTCCTGCCTATGACTTATCTTCTCTCTTTTTTCCCCTTTCTCTTGCTGGCTGCCTTTAGTTATGGCACTGCCTGGTTGCATTAGCTTCTAGTTGCAACTAGATGCCTAGCTGCATCCCCTAAAGGGGATGAAATTGATCAAGTTTGATATTTATATCCATTCAGGTTGATAATAAAGATTATATAACTACTAAAGTATGTAAGATATAAGTAGCAAAACATATTTAAATATACATTAAATTTTTATTTTACAATTATTTTTTAATTTTTTAAATTAAATTAAATTTTTATTTTACAATTATTTTTTAGTTTTTTAAATTAAATTAAATTGTAAAAATAATTTAATATTTTACAATTATTAAATATACTGTGTATATATATATATCTCCAAGCAGGTTATATACATATATATATATATATATTAGATCCAACAATAGAGGTATGATAGTTCATGTTCTTCTATTTCTATGAATTACTGAGAATCCATTTTATTAGAGAAATAGAGTATCTATAACTTTCCATCCTCAACAAATTCTGCTTTTGCATCATTCTTTCTCAGTAGAAAGAAATAAGGAGCCAGATGAATATACATAAAAAGGAAGATAAGGGACTATGGACAGATGAATATATATTCTGAGGTAAATGAATTTGACTTTGTACTTTTAATGTAATTTTCCCCCAATTCTTGTGATACAGCATGTCTCAGAAAGATTAAAACTGGTATCAGATGGCCGAATAGGAACAGCTCCAGTCTACAGCTCCCAGCGTGAGCGACGCAGAAGACGGGTGATTTCTGCATTTCCAACTGAGGTACCAGGTTCATCTCAATGGGGAGTGTTGGAAAGTGGGTGCAGGACAGTGGGTGCAGTGCACCAAACGTGAGCCGAAGCAGGGCGAGGCATTGCCTCACCCGGGTAGCGCAAGGGGTCAGGGAATTCCCTTTCCTAGTCAAAGAAAGTGGTGACTGATGGCACCTGGTAAATTGGGTCACTCCCACCTTAATACTGCACTTTTCCAACAGTCTTAGCAAACTGCACACCAGGAGATTATATCCCGCACATGGCTCGGAGGGTCCTACACCCAAGGAGCCTCGCTCATTGCTAGCACAGCAGTCTGAGATCAAACTGCAAGGCGGCAGCACAGCTTGGGGAGGGGCGCCTGCCATTGCCAAGGCTTGAGTAGGTAAACGAAGCAGCCGGGAAGCTCGAACTGGGTGGAGCCCACCACAGCTCAAGGAGGCCTGCCTGCCTCTGCAGACTCCACCTCTGGGGGCAGGGCATAGCCAAACAAAAGGCAGCAGAATCCTCTGCAGACTTAAATGTCCCTGTCTGACAGCTTTGAAGAGAGTAGTGGTTCTCCCAGCACGCAGCTGGAGATCTGAGAACGGACAGACTGCCTCCTCAAGTGGGTACCTGACCCCCGAGTAGCCTAACTGGGAGGCACTCCCCAGTGGGGGCAGACTGACACCTCACATGGCCAGGTACTCCTCTGAGACAAAACTTCCACAGGAACGATCAGGCAGCAACATTTGCTGTTCACCAATATCTGCTGTTCTGCAGCCTCCACTGCTGATACCCAGGCAAACAGGGTCTGGAGTAGACTTCCAGCAAACTCCAACAGACCTGCAGCTGAGGGTCCTGACTGTTAGAAGGAAAACTCACAAACAGAAAGGACATCCACACCAAAACCTCATCTGCACGTCACCATCATCAAAGACCAAAGGTAGATAAAACCACAAAGATGGGGAAAAAACAGAGCAGAAAAACTGGAAACTCTAAAAATCAGAGTGCCTCTCCTCCTCCAAAGGAATGCAGCTCCTCACCAGCAATGGAACAAAACTGGACGGAGAATGACTTTGACTAGTTGAGAGAAGAAGGCTTCAGATGATCAAACTACTCCAAGCTAAAGGAGGAAGTTCAAACCCATGGCAAAGAAGTTAAAAACCTTGAAAAAAAATTAGACAAATGGCTAATGAGAATAACCAATGCAGAGAAGTCCTTAAAGGACCTGATGGAGCTGAAAACCAAGGCACGAGAACTACGTGACAAGTGCACAAGGCTCAGTAGCTGATTCGATCAACTGGAAGAAAGGGTATCAGTGATGGAAGATGAAATGAATGAAATGAAGCGAGAAGAGAAGTTTAGAGAAAAAAGAATAAAAAGAAATGAAAAAAGCCTCCAAGAAATATGGAACTATGTGAAAAGACCAAATCTACATCTGATTGGTGTACCTGAAAGTGAAAGGGAGAATGAAACCAAGTTGGAAAACACTCTGCAGGATATTATCCAGGAGAACTTCCCCAATCTAGCAAGGCAGGCCAACATTCAAATTCAGAAAATACAGAGAACACCACAGAGATACTCCTCGAGAAGAGCAACTCCAAGACACATAATTGTCAGATTCACCAAAGTTGAAATGAAGGAAAAAATGTTAAGGGCAGCCAGAGAGAAAGGTCGGGTTACCCTCAAAGGGAAGCCCATCAGACTAACAGCTGGTCTCTCGGCAGAAACTCTACAAGCCAGAAGAGAGTGGGGGCCAATATTCAACATTCTTAAAGAAAAGAATTTTCAACCCAGAATTTCATATCCAGTCAAGCTAAGCTTCATAAATGAAGGTGAAATAAAATCCTTCACAGACAAGCAAATGCTGAGAGATTTTGTCACCACCAGGCCTGCCCTAAAAGAGCTCCTGAAGGAAGCACTAAACATGGAAAGGAACAACCGGTACCAGCCACTGCAAAAACATGCCAAATTGTAAAGACCATGGAGGCTAGGAAGAAACTGCATCAACTAATGGGAAAAATAAGCAGCTAACATCATAATGACAGGATCAAATTCCACATAACAATATTAACTTTAAATGTAAATGGGCTAAATGCTCCAATTAAAAGACACAGACTGGCAAATTGGATAAAGAGTCAAGACCCATCAGTGTGCTGTATTCAGGAAACCCATCTCACGTGCAGAGACACACATAGGCTCAAAATAAAGGGATGGAGGAAGATCTACCAAGCAAATGGAAAACAAAAAGAAGCAGGTGTTGCAATCCTAGTCTCTGATAAAACAGACTTTAAACCAACAAAGATCAAAAGAGACAAAGAAGGCCATTACATAATGGTAAACGGATCAATTCAACAAGAAGAGCTAACTATCCTAAATATATATGCACCCAATACAGGAGCACCCAGATTCATAAAGCAAGTCCTTAGAGACCTACAAGGAGACTTAGACTCCCACACAATAATAATGGGAGACTTTAACGCCCCCACTGTCAACATGAAACAGATCAATGAGACAGAAAGTTAACAAGGATATCCAGGAATTGAACTCAGCTCTGCACCAAGCAGACCTAATAGACATCTACAGAACTCTCCACCCCAAATCAACAGAATATACATTCTTCTCAGCACCACACCGCACTTATTCCAAAACTGACCACATAGTTGGAGGTAAAGCACTCCTCAGCAAATGTAAAAGAACAGAAATTATAACCAACTATCTCTCAGACCACAGTGCAATCAAACTAGAACTCAGGATTAAGAATCTCACTCAAAACTGCTCAACTATATGGAAACTGAACAACCTGCTCCTGAATGACTACTGGTTACATAACAAAATGAAGGCAGAAATAAATATGTTCTTTGAAACCAACAAGAACAAAGACAAAACATACAAGAAACTCTGGGACACATTCAAAGCAGTGTGTAGAGGGAAATGTATAGCACTAAATGCCCACAAGAGAAAGCAGGAAAGATCTAAAATTAACACCCTAACATCACAATTAAAAGAACTAGAGAAGCAAGAGCAAACACATTCAAAAGCTAGCAGAAGGCAAGAAATAACTAAGATCAGAGCAGAACTGAAGGAAATAGAGACACAAAAAACCTTTCAAAAAATCAATGAATCCAGGAGCTGGTTTTTTGAAAAGATCAACAAAATTGATAGACCACTAGCAAGACTAATGAAGAAAAGGGAGAAGAATCAAATAGACGCAATAAATAATGATAAAAGGGATATCACCACCGATCCCACAGAAATACAAACTACCATCAGACAATACTATAAACACCTCTATGCAAATAAACTAGAAAATCTAGAAGAAATGGATAAATTCCTTGACACATACACCCTCCCAAGACTAAACCAGGAAGAAGTTGAATCTCTGAATAGACCAATAACAGGCTCTGAAATTGAGGCAATAATCAATAGCTTACCAACCAAAAAAAGTCCAGGACCAGATGGATTCACAGCAGAATTCTACCAGAGGTACAAGGAGGAGCTGGTACCATTCCTTCTGAAACTATTCCAATCAATAGAAAAAGAGGGAATCCTCCCTAACTCATTTTATGAGGCCAGCATCATCCTGATACCAAAGCCTGGCAGAGACACAACAAAAAAAGAGAATTTTAGACCAATATCCCTGATGAACATTGATGCAAAAATCCTCAATAAAATACTGGCAAATCGAATCCAGCAGCACATCAAAAAGCTTATCCACCATGATCAAGTGGGCTTCATCCCTGGGATGCAAGGCTGGTTCAACATATGCAAATCAATAAACATAATCCAGCATATAAACAGAACCAATGACAAAAACCACGATTATCTCAATAGATGCAGAAAAGGCCTCTGACAAAATTCAACAGCGCTTCATGCTAAAACCTCTCAATAAATTAGGTATTGATGGGACGTATCTCAAAATAATAAGAGCTATCTATGAGAAACCCACAGCCAATATCATTCTGAATGGGCAAAAACTGGAAGCATTCCCTTTGAAAACTTGCACAAGACAGGGATGCCCTCTCTCACCACTCCTATTCAACACAGTGTTAGAAGTTCTGGCCAGGGCAATCAGGCAGGAGAAGGAAATAAAGGGTATTCAATTAGGAAAAGAGGAAGTCAAATTGTCCCTGTTTGCAGATGACATGATTGTATATTTAGAAAACCCCATCATCGCAGCCCAAAATCTCCTTAAGCTGATAGGCAACTTCAGCAAAGTCTGAGGATACAAAATCAATGTGCAAAAATCACAAGCATTCTTATACACCAATAACAGACAAACAGAGAGCCAAATCATGACTGAACTCCCATTCACAATTGCTTCAAAGAGAATAAAATACCTAGGAATCCAACTTACAAGGGATGTGAAGGACCTTTTCAAGGAGAACTACAAACCACTGCTCAATGAAATTAAAGAGGATACAAACAAATGGAAGAACATTCCATGCTCATGGGTAGGAAGAATCAATATCGTGAAAATGGCCATACTGACCAAGGTAATTTATAGATTCAAGCTACCAATGACTTTCTTCACAGAATTGGAAAAAACTACTTTAAAGTTCATATGGAACCAGAAAAGAGCCCGCATTGCCAAGTCAATCCTAAGCCAAAAGAACAAAGCTGGAGGCATCACGCTACCTGACTTCGGACTATACTACAAGGCTACAGCATGGTACTGTACCAACACAGCATGGTACTGGTACCAAAACAGAGATACAGACCAATGGAACAGAAAAGAGCCCTCAGAAATAATGCCGCATATCTACAACTATCTGATCTTTGACAAACCTGACGAAAACAAGAACTGGGGAAACAATTCCCTATTTAATAAATGGTGCTGGGAAAACTGGCTAGCCATATGTAGAAAGCTGAAACTGGATCTCTTCCTTACACCTTATTCAAAAATTAATTCAAAATGGATTAAAGACTTAAATGTTAGACCTAAAACCATAAAAACCCTAGAAGAAAACCTAGGCAATACCATTCAGGACATAGGCCTGGGCAAGGACTTCATGACTAAAACACCAAAAGCAATGGCAACAAAAGCCAAAATTGACAAATGGGATCTAATTAAACTAAAGAGCTTCTGCACAGCAAAAGAAACTACCATTAGAGCGAACAGGCAACCTACAGAATGGGAGAAAACTTTTGCAATCTACTCATCTGACAAAGGGCTAATATCCAGAATCTACAATGAACTCAAACAAATGTATAAGAAAAAAACAAACAACCCCATCAAAAAGTGGGCAAAGGATATGAACAGACACTTCTCAAAACAAGACATTTATGCAGCCAACAGACACATGAAAAAATGCTCATCATCACTGGCCATCAGAGAAATGCAAATCAAAACCACAATGAGATACCATCTCACACCAGTTAGAATGGCGATCATTAAAAAGTCAGGACACAACAGGTGCTGGAGAGTATGTGGAGAAATAGGAACACTTTTACACTGTTGGTGGGACTGTAAACTAGTTCAACCATTGTGGAAGTCAGTGTGGCCATTCCTCAGGGATCTAGAACTAGAAATACCATTTGACCCAGCCATCCCATTACTGGGTATATACCCAAAGGATTATAAATCATGCTGCTATAAAGGCACATGCACACATATGTTTACTGTGGCACTATTCACAATAGCAAAGACTTGGAACCAACACAAATGTCCAACAATGATAGACTGGATTAAGAAAATGTGGCACATATATACCATGGAATACTATGCAGCCATAAAAAAGGATGAGTTCATGTCCTTTATAGGGAGATGGATGAAGCTGGAAACCACTATTCTCAGCAAACTATCCCAAGGACAGGAAACCAAACACTGCATGTTCTCACTCATAGGTGGGAACTGAACAATGAGAACACATGGACACAGGAAGGGGAACATCACACACCAGGGCCTGTTGTGGGGTGGGGGGAGGGAGGAGGGATAGCATTTGGAGATACACCTAATGTTAAATGACGAGTTGCTGGCTGCAGCACACCAACATGGCACATGTATACATATGTAACTAACCTGCACGTTGTGCACATGTACCCTGAAACTTAAAGTATAATTAAAAAAAAAAAAAACTGGTATCAGTTCACATAGTGATTGGCTTAGGACTTGCAAAGAGTAGTGTCTTCACAGGTATTGGTTGACTATTCTTTTTTTTGAGACAGAGTCTTGCTCCCTTGCCCAGGCTGGAGTACAGTGGCATGACTTTGGCTCACCGCAACCTCCATCTGCTGGGTTCAAGCAATTTTCCTGCTTCAGCCTCCCCAGTAGCTGGGACTACATGCGTGCACCACCACACCCAGCTAATTTTTGTGTTTTTAGTAGACATGGGGTTTCTCCATGTTGACCATGCTAGTCTTGAACTCATGACCTCAAGTGATCTGCCTGCCTTGCTCTCCCAAAGTGCTGGGATTACAGATGTGAGCCACTGCGCCCAGCCTGGTTGAACTATTCTCAGACAATATGATGTCATATTCATGTGTAACATGTCATTAGTGCAGATGATAACTGAAGAAACTACATGAAGTCTACACTACTGAATTCACCTAGAACAAAGGCCAATGTATCCCACCAAACCTACATCCTAAGATCCACTCATACAAGTAAGTCTTTCCCTATGAAACCTACTCCGTAAAATTAGAAGAAATGACTTTTTCACCAGATGCTTAGAAATCAACATAGGAACACATCAAACATGAAAAGTCAAGGACACATTACTCCTCCAAAGAAAAACAGTAATTTTACACTAACAATAATAAGCAAATACATGAAAGGCCAGAAAAAGAATTTTTACAAAATCTTTAGGAATTTCAGTGAGATACAAGCAAATATAAAGACAATTTAATGAAATGAGGAAAATAATTCATGATTTGAATGAGATATTCAACAGAGATCAATATCATAAAAAAGAACAAAACAAAAATCCTAGAGCTGAAGAATTCAGTGAAGGAAATAAAAAAATACAACTAAGAGGGTCAACAACAGATTAGACCAGAAGAAAGAATTTCTGAACTTGAAAATGGGTCTTCTGAAATAATAAAGGAAGGCCAAAAAAAAAAAAAAAAAAAAAAAAGTGAAGAAAGCCTACAGAACTTATTGGATACCAGTAAGTGAACAAATTTTGTTGGTATTATGGGTGTTCCAGAAGGAGAAAACATGGAAAAAGGTGAGGAAAACATATTTCGTGAGACAATAACTGAAAACTTCCCAAGTCTTGGGAGAAAGACAGACATTCAGGCCCAGGAAGCTTGATGAACCCCAAATGGATTAAACCTGAACATATCCTCTCTGAGGCAGATTATACTAAAATTGTCAAGAGTGAAAGACAAATAAAGAATTTTAAAGGCAACAAGATAAAAGTTTTAAGTCACATATATGAAAATCTCCATTAGATTTTTCAGCAGGAATTTTATAGGCCAAGAGAGAATGAGATGATATATTCAAAGTAGTGAAAGAAAAATACTTGGCAGCCACAAACGTTATACCCAGCAAAGCCATTCATCATAAAAGAAGAAAATAAAATCTTTCATAAACAAGCAAAAACTAATGGAAATCATCACCATTAGACCAATTTTTTAAGAAATACCCAAAGGAGTCTTACATCTGGAAATGAAAAAAACAATCACCACCACCATGAAAACATGAGAAACTATAAAACTCAATGGTAGAGCAGAGACACAAAGGAGAAAGGGAAGGAATAAAAACTCATCACTACAGAAAACTAACCAATAGTAAAAACAAACAGTAGGAAAGGAAGTAAGGAACAAAGGATATACAAAAAAACCCTAGAAAACAATCAATAAAATGACAACATTAAGTCGTCACCTATCAGTAATAACCTTGAATATAAATGGATTAAATTCCTCATTTAAAAGATATAGACTGGCTGAATAATAATAATAAAATAAGACCCAACTATATTCTGCCTAAAAGAAACTCACCTCATCTTTAAGGACAATCACACTGAAAGTGAAGGGCTCAAATAAAAAGTATTTCATAAAAACAGAAACTAAAAGCAAGCAGGAGTAGCTATACTTAGACAAAATAGACTTCAAGTCAAAAGCTGTACAAAGAGACAAGAGAGACATTACATAATAATAAAGGGATCAATTCAGCAAGAGAATATAATAATTGTAAATGTATATGTGCCCCAAACTGGAGCACTCAGATATATAGAGTAAATATTATTAGATCTAAAAGGAGAGATAGACTCCAATACAATAACAGTTGAGAACTTCAACACCCCACTCTCAACATTGGATTGATCATCTAGACAGAAAATGAAGAAAGAAATATTAGATATAAACTGCACCATAGATCAAATGGACCTAATAGATATTTTACTAAACATAGAACATTTTACTCAACAGCTGGTAAATACAAATCTTTTTCATCAGCACGTGGAACATTCTTCAGGACTGACTATGTATTAGAACACAAAACAAATCTCAACAAATTTTTAAAAATTGAAAACATATCTACTATCTTCTCAGACCACAATGGAGTAAAACTAGAAATCAATAACAAGATAAACATTCAAAACTATACAAATACATGGAAATTAAATAACAGGCTCCTGAGTGACCAATGGATAGAGAAATTTAAATATTCCTTGAAGTAAATAAAAATAAAAACACAATATACCAAAACTAGAGGACATGGCAAAAGCAGTATTAAGGGGCAAGTTTATAGCAATAAATGTCTACATCAAAAAACTACAAAGATCTCAAATAAACGACCTAAAGATACATCTCAAAGAACTAGAAAAGAAAGAAGAAACTAAACCCCAAATTAGTAGAAGAAAAGAAATCAGAGAAGGAAATATCAGAGCAGAAATTAATAAAATTGAGACTAAGAAAAAAAGTACAAAAATCACTGAAACAAAAAGTTGCGTTTTTTTTTGGAGAAGATAACCAAAAGCAACAAACTATTAGCTAGAGTAAGAAAAAAGAGAGATGATCCAAATAAATAAAATAAATTAAAAGGAGATGTCACAACAGATACCACAGAAATACAAAGAGTTATTAGAGACTACTATGAACAAATACATGACAATAAATTAAAAAAACCAAAAGAAAATAGATAATTTCCTGGACATAAACAATCTACCAAAATTCAACCAAGAAAAAACAGAAAACTCAAACAGGCTAACAACAAGTAACAAGATTGAGTCAGTAACAGAAAATCTCCCAATAAATAAATGTCAAAGACTGGATGGCTTCACTGCTGAATTCTCCTGAATCTTTAAAGAATTAGTATCAATTCTTGTCGAACTATTTCACAAAATGAAGCAGAGAAAATTTTTCTTAACTTATTTTATGAGGCCAGCAAAACCCTGGTACCAAAAGCAGACAAGGACACAACAAAAAAAGGAAACTATAGGCCAGTATTCCTGATAAACACAGACACAAAAATCCTCAACAAAATACTAGTAAATCCAATCCAAGAACACATCAAAAAGATAATACACCATGGTCAAGTGTTATTTATCTCACGAATACAAGGATGGTTCAATATATGCAAATCATTAAATGTCATACATCTCATCAATAGAATGAAGGACTACTAAAAACCATATGATCATCTCAATAGATGCCGAGAAAGCACTTGATAAAATTCTACATCTGTTTATAATAAAAACTTTCAACCAACTAGGCACAGAAGGAACATACCTCAAAATAATAAAGGCCATATATGACAAACTCACAGCTAACATCATACTGAATAGGGAAAAGCTAAAAGATTTTTTTCCAAGAACTGGAAGAAGACAAGTATGTCCACTTTCACCACACTTATTCTACATAGTATTAGAAGTATTAGCCAGAACAATTAGTCAAGAGAAGGACATAAAAGGCATATAAATTGGAATAGCAGGAAATCAATTTGTTCTTGTTTGCAAATTCCATGATCTTATGTAGAGAAAAACCTAAAGACTCTATCAAAAAACAGAATAAAACAAATTCAGTAAAGTTGCAGGATATGAAATCAATATAAAAAAGCAGCATTTCCATACATGAACAATGAACTAGCTGAAAATAAAATCAAGAATGCAATCCCATTTGTAATAGCTACAAAAAATAAAATATCTAGGAATAAATGTAATCAAGGAGGTGAAAGACTTTTACAAAGAAACTGCAAAACACTGAAGAATGAAATAATGAAGATACAAACAAATGGAAAGACATCTCAAGCTCATGGATTATAAGAATTAATATTGTTACAATGACAATACTACCCAAAGTAAACTACAGATTCAATGCTATCCTTACCAAAATGCCCATGATATTCTTCACAGAAATACAAAAAGAAATCCTAAAATTTGTATGAAACCACAAAAGACTCCAAGTAGCCAAACCAATGCTGAGCAAAACAATGAAACAAATAAACAAGCAAGCCAGCCAGCCAAGTTAGAGGAATCACACTACCAGCCTTCAAAATATCTTACAAAGCGGTAGTAACCAAAACAGCATGATACTGGCATAAAAACAGACACACAGACCAATGAAACAGAATAGATAACTCAGAAATTAATTAATGTATCTATGGCTAACTCATTATTGATGAAGGTGCCAATAAGGCACATTGGGAAAAGGACAGTCTCTTCAATAAATGGTGCTGGAAAAACTGAATATCCATATGCAGAAGATTAAAACTAGATTCCTACATCTCAACCTATAAAAAGTCAACTCAAAATAGACAAAAGACCTAAAAGTAAGATCCAAAACAATAAAACTTCTAGAAGAAAACATAAGAGAAATGCTTCAGGACATTAGTTTAGGAAAAGATTTTATAAATAAGACCTTAATAGTTCAGGCACCAAAAGCAAAAACAAACAAATGGGATTATACTAAAGCACAAAGTGTCTGCACAGGCAAAAACAACAACAATCAACAGAATGAAAAGACAACATACATAATGGGAGAAAATATTTGCAAACCATTCATTTGACAAGGGGATAATATCCAGAATATACAAGGAACTCAAACATCTCAGCAGCAAAAAAAAAAAGTTTAAAATGGACAAATGATCTGAACAGACATTTCTCAAAAGACCTAGAAATGACTAACAAACCATGGTTAAAACTAACAAATATGATGTTAAAAAATGTTCAGCATCACTAGTCATCAGGAATATGCAAATCAAAACCACAATGAGGTATCATCTCACCCCAGTTAGGATGGCTATTATCAAAAAGACAAAAAATAACAAATGCTGGCAAGGATGTGGAGAAAAGGGAACTCTTATACACTGTTGGTGGGAATGTAAATTAGTGCAGCCACTATGGAGAACAGTATGGCGATTCCTCAGAAAACTACAAATTGGACTACCATATGATCCAGCAATCCCACTACTGGGCCTTTATCCAAAGGAAAGGAAATCAGTACGTTGAAAATACATCTGCATGTTTATTGCAGTAGCATTCACAATAGCTAACATAAGGAATCACCCTAGATGTCCAACAACAGATGAATGGATAGAGAAAATGTGGTATTTATATACACAATGGAATACTATTAGGCCATAAAAAGAATAAAATCCTGTCACAGCAACTCCCTCCCTCCCTCCCTCCCTTCCTTCTTTCCTTCCTTCCTTTTCTTCCTTTCTTTCTTGTCGCCCAGAGTGGAGTGCAGTGATGTGATCTCGGCTCACTGCAACCTCTGCCTCTCAGGTTCAAGCAATTCTCTTGCCTCAGCCTCCCAAGTAGCTGGGATTACAGGCACTTACCACCATGTATTTTTAGTAGAGATGGGGTTTCACCTTGTTGGCCAGGCTGGTCTCAAACACCTGACCTCAAGTGATCCACTCATCTCAGCCTCCCAAACTGCTGGGATTACAGGTGTGAGCAATAATATATAGTTTCAAATAGCTAGAAGGAGGATATTGAATGTTCCCAACACAAAGAAATGCTAAATATTTGAGATGATGCATATGCTAATTACCCTGATTTGATCACTATACGTGTATGGAAACACCACTTTATACTCCATAAATATGTACAATTATTGTATCAATTAAAAATTAAGTTTAATTTTTAAAAGGTGAATACAGTTAAACTTAGCTTTGTGCATTAGAAATGTACCCACAAAATTGTATGCAACTTAATTTTTTGGTAAATAAAATTGTTTCAGTTGCATTAAAATAATGATCCATTTAAACCTTTCAGTAAATCTTTTTGGTAAAGCAACAAATCTTAGGACAATAAGAATCATCTCTGCATTGAAATTGGCAATGAGATTAGGTATCTTTATGCTTGATTTTGCTTAAAGCAGGACACATCTGTAGAACTGCCTTCCTACAAATTAATTTGACTTGTCTCAATGATGGATTTATAACAGTATCAGATACTGATATTTCCACCCAAACTCTCTAACTTTTACCTCCTTTAAGGTGCTATAATTAATGAAATGTATTTGTTTATAAGCTTCTCACATATTAATAAAAACTTTACAACAAATTGATGCTCTTTGAAAACATTTCTCCCTTGTATTTTGTGGGAAGAAAACAGCAAATAAAGTAGATTTGTCAGTTGACCCAGTAATAGAAAATAGTATGAATAAATTAGAATTGCAGAGATATCTGATGGTTTCTGAAATAAATGATTGAATGAAACCTAAATATTATACTTTTAAAAATACATGTTGATCTGATCTTCATTGTTTTATTAGTAACATAAATAAACTATCATGGTATGCTTAAACAGTTAAATGTTTTTGTCAGCCTGAAAGTTAATAGTTTTCTTTCTTTCTTTCAAGACAGCATTATTAATAACATATTATTTCAAGTTGACTAGCCCTAAAAGGTATCTTATTCTCCAGTCAAGTTTGCATGAACTTTATGGATAGTGCTAACTTGACTGGAGAAATAGGAGATCTTTCAGGCTTATGTTAGTTAACTGATCAACATACTTTGATCACTAATGGTCTTTGAACTGTTTGAATGACAGTGCTCAGTGGAGTGGTTTCACTCATAGGTATAATTTTTACTAATTACAAAGTAGACCTTGGCCTTCAGTGAAAACAATGTCTATATTGATTTAATTTATATTGTAGGAACTGTAACAATAAAATAAGAGTAACATAAGAAGAGACACGGCTATATGATTTTCTTAAACCTTTTGTGGATGAAGGTGAAAAATAAATGAGGCATCTATGTTTACTTAAATGATTAAAAAGTACATTTTGATCAGATGAGGCAATGTATGCTAATGTACTCTTTTTAAACGATAAAGCATTACACAAATGTAAAGCATTGCCACAACCTGAGCCACCTCTAAGCTTCACCTTCCTGTTTTATCAAAGAAGGAGACCATGAGGCTGAGGCAGAGGCCTGGAAAAAGATGGATTCAGTGGCAGATACCTGGTTTTGATTTGGCTTCTTTGATATAGTCTCTTTCCTACTGAAATACTTTACCGTCTCATATCAACTGATATGATAATTTACATATTGTTTACCTAAACAATGTACTCACATGATAGGCTTTCTTTTGGCTGGTAACTGAGCAAAGAGTATTGACAATGAATAATGCCTAATGTGTTGTGTTCTGCAGTATGGAAAACTTTTTCCACTACATTAACCCATAATCCTCTCAAAAGCCATTTGAGGGTGGCATTTTTCATGCCTTTGTAGAAATAAAGAATATTGGAGTTAAATATGATTAACCCAAGATCTCATCCCTAGTAGTGGCAGATCCAAAAATTCAATGCAAAATCATGAGTTCTTTATACCACCCCACACTACAGGTAGTTTTGGCTCATTTCCACCAAGGCAAAATGCTGTTCAATATTTGACTCATCATGAGAACCTTTATAAGGAGATTGAGAAAAACAGAAAAGCAGAAAACTCAATTTGCTCATTTGTAACTCCTATGAATGGAGGGGTAGATTAAAATCTTAGTAATAAGAAAATTTGGATTGTCCACATACTCTTACAATCTGTGAAGCTATATAAACAAATGATTACAATTTATAAAAAACAACTGAATGGTTACTACATGACCAACTTTCCCACAGATAACAATTACAGTGCTGAACAAAATGCAAAAATCAACTATCTGAAGGTACTGCAGAATGGCCAAAACCAAGCAGCAACTGAAGGAAAATCTATACTAGGAAGAAGAGTGAATTTTCTGCTTTTATGACTTTGACAAGCATACACTAGAGTCTATCACATAGATCAGCTAAAACTCATGTTTAGAGCAATCTGGCTCAATGTATCATACATCAGAGTTGGGGTGACAAAGGCACCTTGAAAGTGAGAAGCGGGAAACCTCAGACAGGATTGAGTGAGAACAGAAGCTCCAGATTCTGCATATAAATCGTCCAAATATTTGACTGACCGCTAAATTATGCATGTGTAGTTCAGCTTTTAAGCAACCTAATTAAGAATAAAATAACTGAACACAAATTTCAGCTGCCATGTACCACAGAGAAAATAAGAGTTTTTTGTTTTATTTCATCCAAGCTAACAGGCTGCTAAAACAAAACAAAACAAAAACACTCTTTGGAGGAATATAACAGAATCCAGAGATTCTATTATTTACAATATCCAGGACATAATCCAAAATTACTAGGTATATGAGGAGACAGAAAAATGTGACCTATACTTAAAAGAAAATGCAATCAAGGCAGAATGACTCTAAGATGACCCAGGTTTCAGAATTTGCCTACAAAGAGTTTAAAGCAGCTATTATAACCTTAATCAAATATGTAAAGGAACATAAACTCTTAATAAATGAACACATAGGAAATCTCAGCAGATAAATGAAACTATATAGAAAAAGAACCAAATGGAAATTTCAGAACTAAAAAATACACCATCTGAAATTGCATTTCTGATGGGCTTAGCAGCAGTTTGAAGATGACAGAAGAACCAGTAAACTTGAAGCTGGAACAGTATATATTATCCAATGTGGAAAACAGAGAGAAAAATATCAGGGAAAAAAGAGGCAGAACCTCAAAAATATGTGGGACAATATCAAGAGGTCTAACATTTTAAAAATTGAAGTATTAAAAGGGAAGAAGAGAATGGGCAAAAAATATGTGAAGAAACAATGGCTGAAAATGTTCTAAATTTGGTGAAAGTTATAAATTTACAGATTCAGGAAGCTCAGTAAACCATAATCAAGATAAATACAGACATATACTAATTAAACTACTAAAAACCAAGAACAGAGAGAAAATCTTAAAAGCAGCCAGAGAAAATGGTATATTACATACAAATTAGGTCCAATTTGAGTTATTGCTGACTTCTCATAAGAAATTAGAAAATTGATTATTTTTAGAGTGCTGAGAAGAAAAAAAAAACCAGCAAACTTGTCAACCCAGAACTGTATACCTACTGAAAATATTTATAAAGAATTAAGGTACAATAAAGACATCTGCAGATAAATCTTTAACAAACTTCCAGGTGAAGAGACATGACATGAGACAGGAATGAAGAGCACTGGAAATAAACGTGTGAGTAAATATAAAAGACAATTTTTTCCTCTTATTTCTTTAAAATACTAAAGAATTTTAAAAGAAAATATGAAAAATTTTGTGTGGGGTTTATAACATATAAATGTAATCTGCATAAAAATTGTAACATAAAGCACCAGATAGTTGACAAACGGACCTAGATAATTGCAGGAATCATATGCAAGGGTTTATATGAATTGGTATATTTACTCTAACTGGACTGTGAAAATTTAAGGATGCATATTATATTCCCTAGAGCAATCACGATAGCTAGAAAGCCAATAGATAAAGTGAGATTATAAAATATATTTATTTACTTAAAAGATGTCAAAAAAGGAGGAACAGAGGAACAAAAATCAGATGGTACACATGGAAAACAAATAATAAAATAATAGATTTAAGTCCAAATCATCTGATAATTATATGAAATGTAAATGGACTAAACATTTCAACCAAAAAGCAAGGGATGGGGACAGAATTTCAACTTAAATAGTAATATGAATCAAAGAGATTTTAGGGTAATTACTTTGGTTCTGATCATAAACATTGCTGACTTCTAAACTAATGTATCCATGTAATTCTGCAGGCTCTCAGGTTTCTCAAATGGTTTGAGTGTAGCCTTCCCTTATAGCACAGATACATAATCTTCAGGAAATATCCATAAACTCAACCTTGGAGAATCATGAGTTGGGATCTGAGTGCTTCTTCTCTGAGAGAGGGCTTTGGGATTCATATACAAATTGACCTATCTTTCTATTATCCAGATTTGTATATCATTAAGATTTAATTTGCTATTTGACCTGTTATCTAAATACCTCAAATAATCTCTTACAGGACAAAAAGTCATCCTCTCTAGATCAAGAAAAAAAAAGCTGTATCACACTACAATAGTACTATGATTTATAAGTTCCTTGATAGCTGCCTTTCTTTCAGTAAGACTGAAAGCCCTGTCTTGTTCTTTTTTGTCTCTCCAGCAAATTAACCCAGTGCCTGGCATGTAGTGAACAAGTAAATATTTATTGAGCAACTAATACAACATGATCCCTAACCCTAGATGTAATTTGCAACTTGTTGGATACATTCACCTGTATACTTTTTAATTTTTAGAATTAATTTTAGTGATATATATATCTTATGTAATAGTTTCTTATTTTAACTATACAGTCTGATGAAAAAAGTATATACCCACATAACTACACCACAATCAAGATATATAATATTTCCATCGCCCACTTCCCCTACAAATTCTCTGTTTTTCATCATCAATCTTTATCACCACAATCCCTCCTACAACCCAACTAACAGGTTCTAGACCACTGATTTAGGTTGTGTCACTTTATATTAGTTTGCATTTTCCAGAATTTTATATACATGGGATCATATAGTATGTACTCATTTGTGTTTGCCTTGTACACAACATAGTTTTTGCGATTTATGCACATTGCTACATGTATTAGTAGCTTGCTCCTTTTAGTTGAATGCTAGTCCATTGTTTCACTATACTACACTGTATCCGTCTGTTGATGAATATTTGGATTGTTTCCAGTTTGGGGCTATTATTAACAAAACTGCTATGCACATTTGTAAACAATCCTTGCTTGGACATATGTTTTCACTTTTTCTTGTGCAGATACCTAGGAGTAGAATGGGTAGATCATTAAGGTAGGCATATGATTACAATAAACTGCCAAATTGTTTTACAAAGTGGTTTTACCATTTTACACTTCCACCAGCAGTGTATGAATTCCAGTTGTTCCATTTTTTTATTTGTTTGAGACAGTGTCCTATGCTGTTGTCCAGGCTGAGTGCAGTGCCCAGCTCACTGCGGCCTCAAACTAACTAGGAGGCTCAAGTGATCCTTCCACCTTAGCCTTCTGAGTAGCTGGGACTACAGGCATATGCCACTATGCCAGGCTAATTTTTTATTTTTTGTAGAGGTGGGTGTCTCCCTATGTTGCCCAGGCTGGTCTTGAACTCCTGGCCTCAAGCGATCCCTCCACCCCATTCCGCCTGGGCCTCCCTAAGTGTTGGAATCAGGTGTCAGCCACTCTGCCGGGCCAAGTTGCTCTATATCTTCAGTAACATTTGGGATTGTCTTTTTTTTTTTTTCTTTAATTTTAAGTCATTCTAGTGGTTAGGCGGTGGTATGTCACATTAAAATTCACATGCCCAAACCTCTGAATCCCCATTTACAAGAATCCCTATCTTACACGCTAACACTTTGGATTTTCACTTAAAAAAATTAATGATATCATGCTCAAAAAATTAATGATAAAGCAACAACAGACCACTAAGTATTTATCATTCTCCTAACTTCAGAGAGTAAGCTTCATGAGGCTAAGACCTATCTTGTTTTTCTTACATTTCTAGTATCTAGCACAATGCCTGGTGCATAGTATGTACCTTTATTAGTTATTTGTTGCTGTGTAATAAATTACTCCAAATCTTAGCAGCTTAAAGCAACAAACATTTACTGTCTCACATAATTTCTGAGGGGCAAGAGTGGGGAGCAGCTTAGCTGAGTGGTCCTGAGTCTGAGGCTATCATGAGGTTTTAGTCAAGCTATCAGCTGGTGCTGCAGTCACTTGAAGGCTTGACAAGGGCTGGAGAACTGGCTTCCAAGATGGCTCACTCACATGACTACTGCCAAGAATCGTCAGTCCCTTGCTAGTTGTTGTCAGCAGTCTGCAATTCTTTGGCATGTGGAGCTCTAGATTTGCTCAACATGGCAGCTGGCTTCCCCAAAGTGAGTGATTCGAGAAAGAAAAAGTTGGTTACATAGACCAACCAGGAGATGGTGGATGTTGTCCCTAACTTCCTGGAGGCTGGCTAATAAAGTGCATAATTAATATTTATTGATTAAAGTAATGTGTGTCTGATACTGTACTAAGCATTTTACATATGTCATTTCATTTAATCCAGATAACAATCCCATGAATCATCCTCATTTGAGATATGATAAAACTGAGGCTTATACAAGTTAAGTAAACTGTCAATTTCTACGAAGCTAGTGGCATAACAAGAGTTCAAACACAGATCTCTTTAGCTCAAAGGCTGTGAAAACATGGTTCACAGTACAAATGAATAAAAGAATTACATTATTCTAAGAATAAAGTGATTTAGGTGGTCTTTTTAAACTTTGTTTAAATTGAGTCAAACTCATTTGTATGTGGCGGAAGAAACTAGATGTTTTATCAGGCGGGAAACCCTAAAATTCTTCAGGTGAGTAAAAAGTTAATTGCTTCCCTATTCTGTAGTTGACAAGGTGTTGTTTCATTTTTTCTCTCTTACTACGCTGTTTCAAATTCTTGGCAGATTATTGGAAACAAGGAAAGTCAAGAATTCTCCCAGTGACTACCCATAGAATTAAATCAACAAAAACTGTTGATCATTGACTGTGCATATGGCACTGTGGCAGCTTCCCAGATCTACAAAGCAAGTGAGACAGTATCTGTTGTTTAAGAGGTCATAATCTCTTTCGGATTAAGGTGATACAAAAATAATAACACAGAGAAGCTGAAGCATCATGGAGAGGCACACAAGGAATGCTTATTGAGGTCTGAATTTTTAAAAGACTGGACACGTCTTTAAAATACATTTGGTGTTCGTTAAAATAATCTAGTGTGATAACCTCTGGAAATCACATTATTTTAAATGGAGGGAACTAGCCTTCTTTAATTTTTTTTTTAAAAAGCAGTTGGAAAACTTGAAGACAGGGACTTACTTACCTTTCCACATGTCTCTGTCAGGAACCAGTTTTCTAGGAAGGGTGGCAGAAATGAGCTTCATATGTTTCTGGAATGCAAGAATGTAGAAAGGGGGGTGGAGGTTCAAAGTCCAGGTAGCCCTCTGTGAGAACGCAGGAATCAAATCAGGACAAACAAAAGAAGGGTGAAGTGGGTAGGGCAACGGAGTTTCGGGATTGACTGGAATGAGAGTTAAGGTGATAATGCTGGGGTGGAAATGAAAGTCAGACCCCTCCTTACGGACTGGGAAGAAAGGAGCCCTCCTAGTAAAGTTGAAAAGACCAAGTGTCCTCTTCTCCATTTCACCGGGGAAACGCTCCTGTGCCTAGTCGTAAGGTACAGGAGAGTCTATGGAGCCCATGGAGAGTCTAATGCAAAAACTAGTTTCCGACCAAACTTTGCCTTGGCCACTGAGCATGCTCAGCTTTGTCTTCTATAGAAAAGTGAACTCCGTGGCTCCAGATTTTAGCTATAGCAGCTGGAGGGCGGGAGTGAGTGTGGGAGAGCCAGCGTGGCAGCGGCCGCAGGTGGAAACCTGGAGTTTGAGTATGCTTGAAAGGGAAAGTGTGGAACGAAGGGGCGGCCGGGTGGGGAATCAGAGAAGCCCCCAAGGAAATGATTCATCATTGTGATTGACCTTGACTTTAGCAACCCTTCATTAAAGGAGAAAATTTGGTTATTCGGAGATGGGGACTGTGTTGCAAACAGTTACAGGCAAAGAGGGGCAGTTCAGGATTCCGGCCGTGGTCCGCAGGAATGAGTCGGGGCGAGGGAATGGTTGTTATAACCCAATAGTGAGCCTCCCCGGTCATCCGGGCTGGACGGGACTGGGGTTGTAGCAGAAAAGCAGGAGCTGTATGGAGGATGCTCACCTGGCAGCCTCGATCTGCCCCTCTTCCCTCGCTCCTCCCTCCGCACCAGCCACAGCTAGTTGTCAGGGGCCAACATCTGGGCCGGGCTGGAACTGGCTCAGAAACTCGCGTTTGCCTGCTTATTTCTGCAGCTGGGCTCCTTGCCAGGTGCAACCACATCTATGAGAATCTCGCAGACTCTCAGACTCCTATGCCTTTGCTGGTACAGGGAGGAGGATTTACTATCACTCACTGCATAAACCATGATCACCAGAGATGTGCTCCCAAGTTACAAAGCCTGCAGGCGGTGCCCGAGGACCAGAGGGCCGGGCGCGGCCAGCTCACACTTCTGGGGCAGCCGTGAGCAGCGGGCACACGGGCAGCCACGAAAGCAGCAGCGAGGGTGGTGCAAACACCTCAAAACTACACCGAATCCAGTAGCGCCTGGCGCCCCCGGCGCGCAAGGTACGCTTTGGGGCGGTCCTGTGTGACCCCGGAAGAGAAAGTTGTTTTGGGGAAGGGGAGCAAGGAGAGGAGTGCGAGTTAAATAAAACTAAATATCAAAGTTGTTCTGCTCTGCTCAGGCCGCCTCTACTCCGCCTCATCTTTGTCCCAAGTCCTTTCACAGTCTGCCTTCCTCAAACGGCCCGATGCGCCCCCGTCTTTGCCGGAGTAAGCAGACCGCCAGCAGCCGGCCCGCAGGTCAGTCGACCCTCTCTGGATGCAGGTCGCCGGGAAAACCCGGAGCGGAGCATCCCTCGGGCCGGGAAACGCCCTCGGCGCGCACCCACTGGCGCGCATGCTCAGTCCGCGCGGCGGCTGCGAGTAGGAAGCTCCGCGCGGCGGCGGGGGCGGCGACGGCGACTGGCGGGTGGGAGTGGAGGCACCGGCTGGCGGGCGGGGGTACAGGGACGGGGCAGGGGCTCCCGCTCCAGGTTCCTTGAAGCACTTCCGACCGCGAAGCCCGGCGCGAGAAGCGAGCTAACCCAAGAGCCAACAACGAGCGCGGAGAGGGCAGCGGACTGAGCGGAGCCGCCGGCCAGAGCGGGCTCGGAGCCCGGGTCTCCGCCGCTCGGGACCCGGCTAGGCGGCGGCGGGGGCGGCGATGTTCCACTGCATCCCCCTGTGGCGGTGCAACCGTCATGTGGAGAGCATCGACAAGCGCCACTGCTCGCTGGTCTACGTCCCCGAGGAGATCTACCGCTATGCCCGGAGCCTGGAGGAGCTGCTGCTGGACGCCAACCAGCTCCGCGAGCTGCCCGAGGTAAGGGTCCGGCCTCACCTGAGCGCTCTGCCCGCTCGTCTGCTGTCCCTTCCGCTCCCATCCTCTCTCGTCCCCTCTTCCATCTCCGGGTCCGGCGTGAAGGAACCTTCCCTCTTTTATGCATTCACCTGCTTCTTTCTCCCCCTGTCTCTTTACTTCCATCCTTTCCCAGTAAAAGTTCCTTTTCATTTTATTCAAAGTGACCGGATATTTTGCGCGTAGTCACTGGGGCTCGTGCTATTGGAGAAGCGTTCTGGACTGTTAAGTAACTTAGATCCATGCTAGGTACTGACACCTGGCACTTGTGCCCGGTCAGGTGAGAAGCCGGGTGATTCGGGCTGTTTCCATCTGGAAGCTACAGAGCACTGCATCCTCCCCCCCTCCACTCCCCGGGGTCGTTCCCCCACCAAGGGCCGGGCGCGCCTCTCCTTTAGTCAAGGCATGTCCCGGAGGACCTTGTGACCTGGGCAGCGCTCAAGCGGGCCGCACTATCTCGGCATCTTGGGAGGAATGAGGAATGTGCTCCGTGCTTTATCGCGGGTGGGCTTGGCCGGCTGGCCTGCGGTGGCTGCGGGGGTGGACGCGAGATGGGCGCAGGGGAGAGCTGGGCCTGGAGCGCTAGGGGCAGGTGCCCAGATGCCGGCCGCCCGGGCCTTGCCTACGTGGACCTGTTGCGTGGTGGGAGCTGCGGTGAACGTCAGCGGAGGCTCTGCCCGCGGGCCAGCCTTGCAGCCGCCTTTCCCGGAGCGGGCACAGTCGTCCTGCTGACTTTCTCTCCTTGCAGTGATGCGTTATCTCTTCAGAGTTGTTTATGTAAATTGATCACTCCATTGCCGCCGAACTTGTCAAGCGACATGTGCTGATGGTGCTTTGACCGAGAGTAGGGGTACAGCGAACTTCTTTCAAGCTTGCCTCGGGAACTTAGCTAGAGTAACCCCTCGGGGAAGGTGTCTCAAACCCAGGTGTGTGCAGGAAGTCGGTGTGCAATAATCCAAAGGTGTGCAGGAAGTAGGGAGACTGCTGGCAGTCGGGGATTGGACCTGTTTTAGGCCTGAGCTTTGGAACGCAAACTTCTTGTTGCCCTTTAGTTAACACAAGCCAAATCATTGTCACAGAAACACTAGTCAAGTGTTCTGACTTGTTAGAATGACCTGATACGTTCTCCAGCGCTGATGGAGCATTTAAACAATAAGAACTGTGTGTTTTTCTCAATATTTTAAGTGGTGGTGTTCTTCTTGGATTAACTTTCCTGGGTTCATGTGGAATTGATTGGATGTTTGCTCTGTGTAATCATGGAGATTATCCTCACTAGGACCTTTGCAAAGCCCCCCAGGCTTTATTTAGCTTAGAAGCAGCAAAGCCATCAAGTTCCCTCAGGCGTTTATTATTTCGCAGGCATTTTCAAACACATGATTTTTTTCTGGCCTTTTACGTCCTTGAAGATTTCTTACCAGTCGTCAGCTCCCTCACTGCTTTAAGTTGTGTAATTTTAGGCAGTGATATCACCAGGAATATAGAATATGTAATTTAATAGTTTTCAGGGGCTTCAGGATGACATTATTGAAGATGGAGTGAAAAGTTATTCACTAGAAATGATTCATTGCTCTTTGTGGTATTTGTTTTTTTGTTTTCTTTTGTAGAACTGGAAGATTTCCTTTGACTGGATTGGCTTTTCACTCCCTTCTGCAGGGTTTGTGGGTTTTCCTGTAATGTTGGGGAATTCAGCTTGGCATGGGAAATTACATAATTTCCCATGCCAAGCCGAAATGTCAGGTCTTTCTGTGATCCTAAATGGAAACTTGTCAGAATCTCAAAATATAGTCTGATGGCACTCTGTAAATATGGTAAATAAACAAGCTTTTCAAAGGTTACAGGTGATCTTGCTAATGGATTATTATTGCTCTAACAGCTGTTAAATTAGTATTAAAGTTTTTAGGTTGTGTAAAATCTACTTCTCCCTGACTTATTGTGTGTCTTGGTGCCTGGGTGTGTACATGCCAGACATGAGAACCACCTTGCAAACATAGATATCTGTTCCATCCCTTCCATTCTTTCCTTGGGCTATCTGTTGTCTCACCTCTGAGATCTGTATAACTTATTACCACTGGTCTCTGCTGCTCCTGCTCCAAACCCCTGTCTCCTTACCTGCCACACACAAGCGCATCTGTTTTGTTCACAAGCCTCAAAGGTCCTTATTTTGGTGGCCATACCAGCTGTATGTTCTCCTCTCTATAATTTGTTTGGAAGCACAGCTTAAGGGGAAGCCGGTACCCCTTACCAGGGCAGCAAAGATGCACTCTCCAGGTTTCAGTGTAATAACAGCCACCTTCTTTCCACTGAAAGGCCTGCAACTTCTGGTTTGCGCCAATATCTTCCTTTTACAAATTCAGATTCAGAATTGAGGTGACTTTCTCAGGGCTGTCCAGTGAGTTAGATGCAGTTGCTGGTGGGTCTTGTTCATTCAGATGTCAGCCAAATACAATTGCTTTGGACACCTAGCAGGAATCTTCTATCCTGCTTCTCACACCCATCAAATCTTTATTTAGTCTCTCCTGTTTTACTCATGTCATTATAACTTAGCCTTAGCCAAGCATTTATTGAGACTCCATTATTTACAAGTTATTGGGAATATAGAGATTAAAGGAGGCATGATTCACATCTTTGGGAGGAAGCAGATGATTTTAATCCAGATGTAGTTAGTGTGGGATGGAAAGGACACCACGGTTAAACTACTCCTAAGCTATGGACTTGATGGTTACTTCCCTAATCTTTTAACCTTTTGCATCAGATCCCTCATCTTCAGTTTGGTTGCAGTTGGGTGATAGCCTCACCATCCTTTTTGCATCCACCTACTTCTCCCCCATACCCGCAGTTTGATCCTTTTTGGCTCTGTGCTAACAAAGGCAGTCTCACTGTAACCTTCTTGAGATGTCTGTGTGTTTTTGCTTACCTTTGTTTATTTTTTATTTATTTATTTTTTGAGACGGAGTCTCACTCTTGTTGCCTAGGCTGGAGTGCAGTGGCACGATCTCCACTCACTGCAAGCTCCTCCTTCTGGGTTCACACCATTCTCCTGCCTCAGCCTCTCGAGTAGCTGGGACTACAGGTGCCCACCACCACACCCAGCTAATTTTTTAGTATTTTTAGTAGAGACAGGGTTTCACCATGTTAGCCAGGATGGTCTCGATCTCCTGACCTCATGACCCACCCGCCTTAGCCTCCCAAAGTGCTGGGATTACAGGCGTGAGCCACCATGCCCGGCCTTACCTTTGTTCAGCACAGAATCTCATCCTTGTGACACCCAATAGGTCTTGCTCAATAAACAGTTATTTATCTGTTGAATGAATGTTGCCGAATCTTATAAAAATCTTCCTCCCTCTGCTTCTTTCTTTTCCCTTAAGCATATCACTGCTCCAGCATCTATCCTTTTCTAATATAGTCAGAATATTCAAGTTGGAAGCAACTTCAGAAGAAAAGGTCATTCATAGGGTGACACTGTTTTGTCCTACTTGCCCTGCAGGAACCTTGGCTTCCCCTCTGTACTTCCTCAGCCTTTCACATGCCATTGGTTTTCTCCTCAGTGTGCACCAGTTCTCAGATACCTTCAAATGCGTGTGTTTTCCTGTAATCTCCAGCACCAATATAGCGCTTCATGTAGTAGTAGGCAGCACATATTTTAAATGAATATACTAAAGGCTTCATAGCTTTAAAAATTTGAATTTCACCTTGCCACCTCCTCTTAAGAGTTCAGTTGATTTTTGTTGATTGCCAGATGGCATTATCTCAAATGCCTGCCCCCTACATCATTCTTTCTCATATTCTGCTTTATTTTTTCCTGTCCTTTAGAGCATATATCATTACCTAACTCCAGACCATATATTTGCTTTCTTGTTCTTTGTCTCTCTCCCTAACTAAAACATAACCTCCATGAGTGCAGAGGTCTTCACGGCTGGACCTAGGACAGTATTTAGTACATAGTGGGCACAAAGATGTGTCAGTGAGTCCTAACATGGGTAGATGGGCCCTGTTTCTTAGCCGTCATAATTCCCCTTCCTATGGTCAGACTTTTGTACACCAATCTGGTGAAGCTATTGTTGACACAAAGTCTTCTTTCAGAATCCGGTGTCCTTGTCTTGCCAGTTTTTGTTTTCCATCTCTTCTGTGCTGGACACCTTTGATTGCCTTATCTTTGAAAGAATCTTCATGCATTGTAAACATATTTTCTATGAACATGACTTAAAGTTTAATATATCCAGCTGTGATCTGTTAAGGGAATATCCATCTCCACTTGTGGTAAGTCCCTTTTGCCTTAAACCAACCATGTTTTAATTTAGGTTTCATATTGCAAACTGACTGCTTTTCCCAGAAGTTCTGTTTCTAGGGGGCAGGGCAGCTATTCTTTCCATCTCAAAGGTCCAAGGACTTACCTCTGATCCTTCCTTCTTCTCTCCATTTTGTTGCCAAGTCCTGCCATTTCTGTTTTCACAATGCCACCTATTCTCTCTCAGTCCCTCACTCCCATCTGGTAGGCTTCATCTGGATTTATGTTGTGCGTTGCTGGTTGTCTTCTGCTGAGGCTCTTTAGGGCTGGTCTTGAAAGGGCAGAGAGCAGAGGTACTGGATTCAGATAGTTCAAAATGCTGCCCCAACACTTGGAGACTCTGTTCAAGCCTCTGTTTCCTTGGGTGTTACCTACTTTATAGGGTTATAGAGTTATTAAAGACTATGTGTAAAGCACTAAAAGTGTCAGCACAGAGTTAGCTCTCAGATGTCTAACATCTTTCTGGATACTGTGGCAAGATCCGTTTATTTTAAAATAATGTTTCTTTTTCTTTTTTTTTTTTTTTTTTTTTTTTGAGACGAAGTCTCTCTGTCACCCAGGCTTGAGTGCAGTGGCGCGATCTCAGCTCACTGCAACCTCCGTCTCCTGGTTCAAGTGATTCTCCTGCCTCAGCCTCTCGAGTAAGCTGGGATTACAGGCGCACACCACCACGCCCAGCTAATTTTTGTGTTTTTAATAGAGACGGGGTTTCACCATGTTGGGCAGGCTGGTCTTGAACTCCTGACCTCAAGTGATCTGCCTGCCTCCGTCTCCTAAAGTTCTGGGATTACAGGCATGAGTCACCATGCCCGGCCAAAATAATGTTTCTTAAACTGGAGTTTGAAGACATTTTCCTGGGAGTTATTTTTTAAAGCCAGAATTACATTTTTAATATTCTTTTCAATAATACTTTTTTTTTTTTAGACGGAATCTCACTCTGTCGCCCAGTCTGGAGTGTGGTGATGCAGTCTTGGCTCACTGCAACCTCTACCTCCTGGGTTCAAGCGATTCTCCTGTCTCAGCCCCCTGAGTAGCTGGGATTACAGGCGTGTGCCACCACGCCCGGCTAATTTTTGTATTTTTAGTAGAGACGGGGTTTCACTATGTTGGCCAGGCTGGTCTCAAATTCGTGACCTCAAGTGATCTGCCCGCCTCAGCCTCCCAAAGTGCTGGGATTACAGGCGTTAGCCACTGTGCTTGGCCAATAATACATTTTTTAAAAAAATCACAGATTCTGTGACATCTTGATGACCTTATAAATGAGCAGTGCCAGAAGACTTTATTGACTGTGTTTGAGCATTCCTTTAATTGTCTCTAGCTAGTGGGGGAGGAACAGATGTGAACTTATTACAGAAATGATTTGTTGGTGTCAGAAGATGGCTGGAAGTTGTATGAACAAAGGTTTCATGGCAATTTGTTAGACAAAAGTGTTGGGTAGCTGAAGGGGTCACAGCGCACATTGGTGTCAGCAAGCAGAATGTGAATGCAGGCTACCTCCTCCATGCTACTGTTGTATTTAAAACATTGCAAGCAGCCATACAGTGTCTGCAAAATTGCATCATTGTTGTCTGTCATGTTAAATTAATGTTGAGCTTTCTTTTATGTGTTTTTACCAGATTTAAAAAGTGTTTACCTTATAGTTTTATAAGAGCTAAAGCATAGAGAAGACATAACCTAGTTTTATGTTTGGACATACTTCAATAACATTATAATAAATGTAATTTAAGTCAAAGCTTAGGGGAAAGGGGATCCAAAGGAATATTTCCCCTTTATAGTGCTGATCTATACATTTCTCAAGCTGGGGAAACAGTTGTCATTTCTCAGATACCCTGTTACTATCACACAATTTAGCATTTAATTGTTTCCTGTGTTAGTCCCCCACCCCTCACCCCATACCTCTCCTCACCTCTCATACTTAAAAGTGAGAAAACTGAGACCTAGAGAAGTTGTCATTTGTCTGGGGTTAGTGGAGATTAGAGTCTCTGGTTAAGAAACATTTAGTGAGTATCTGTGACATATTAATAATAATTATAATGGGTTAGTGGAGATTAGAGTCTCTTCAATTAAACATTTAGTGAGTTTCTGTGATGTATTAATAATAATTATAATTGTCACTGCTTATTGAGGTTTAACTGAGTTTTAAGCATTGTATTAAGTGCTCTACATAAATAATTTCTCTAAAATGGAATAACAGCCCACTGTAGCCATTATGATTTCAGCTTGGCAAATGCAGAAACTGAGTCATAAAAAACTTACTTAAAAAGCTTAAAAGCCTTGTTCACGGTTAGTTCTGGAGCAAGCAAGAAACTCCTGCAACATGTGTGCATTTACTGGTATGCTGTACTGCCCGCCTGGGAGCAAGGAGGCATGGCGATGTGAAGAGCCTCTGCAGAATGCCATGACAGCTAAGGAGATGAACTCTACCCTGTAGGCAGAGGAGCCTCAGGGAAGGTGTCTATGCAGAGGTGAAGTATGGAAAGATCTTTGTTTCTAGAAAGATCATTCTGGGGCAGAGGAGAGAATAGAGTCCGGGAGACCAGGCAGGGGCTCGTTGCAGTGGTTTAGGCCAGAGGAAAAGATAGAGTACCTGTGGGATGTTCTGGGAGATGGTGTCATTAAAGTTTTTACCGCTGGGAGCCTCTCCCTTCCCATCTGCTGCTCTTTCTACTATGCCGCCTTGTGTTGTGCTGACCCATCCAAAGTGCTTCATAAATTTGTGGGACGCCAAATACAAAGCATTGTCCTCCCTTCTGTGGACATATTTTCCTTGATTGTGGGGTGCCCTTGTAAGATGCTCAACAAAACCTGGCAAGTTTTGTAGTAGGCATTGGCTTGGAAGAAAGATGGACAGCCAGATGTGTTAAGGGTAGGAAGAGTTTGCTTATTTTTGGTTTTGTTTAGATGAATGTGATCATTAAATTTATAAAAATGTACCAGCAGTGACCCTGGTAACCCTGTGGGTTCTAGTTTTCTGAGTAATATGAATGTATATTTATGTTTGTTCTATACTATGAATTTTAGTTTCATCATCCTGTGCTAGAGTACAGGTGCTGGAGTAGAGGATGCTTTCAAAGACAAATACTTGGAGAATATTTATTATTCTAGAGTAACTTGAAACTCATTGCTTGTATATCTTTTTAAAAAGTAGCTCAAGTCCTTGAGAAAAACAAACCATTTGCTTAATGAAACTTTGTGAGAGTTGACAAAGATAGAGTCATGCTTTTAGTATGGTAAAACAGCAAAATGAGCCTGCTTCCACAACCCCCAGTTCCCTTTTCCTGGGGCTCCCAGCGGAAAAGGAGCACTTTGACTCCACCTCACAGGCTTCCAGTGAATTTCCCCCGTTGCCGGAATTTTGCATCTTCTGTACTGTAACAAACAGGTACTTGGGATTTCCTTAAAACGGACCCTTTACCACAGACTTGAGATTTTAGGAGTAAGCCACTCTTGAGATTTACACAAGAGTATCAGAAATAGCAGTGTAAACATTTCTTTGCGATGATGACAGATCCCAGACATGGTCTTGCTGTGCCGTGGAATGAGATGTCGTGTTCTTTTTGGGTGAGGATCCAGTGAGTGCTGCAGGCTTCTCACTGTGCTCACTGAAGTCTAGGGCAAGTTCACCTATTTTAGGACTCTACCCAGGATTCAGGGCTAGAAATGTTTGCCCTCTGCTTCATAAGATAGTTCTGAGGGGTGATGAGACCATGGGCCAGATCTTCCTAAATGCATAGGAGAAACTTCTGGATGTCCATTAACTTTCTCTTGGGTATGATTTAGTGGACAGGAATGGAATGGTAATTTACTATTGCATGTGGTATTTTAGAAGATCTAATAGAGTGTGTGTGTGTATGTGTGTGTGTGTGTGTAGTGTAAAATACGTTGGACTCCTAAAATAAGATGTAATATTTAAAATTTTTCCCTCCTCATTATTTTGATCTAGACTATAATGTTTAGATTTCAGGGAAGTTGACTCAGTTGGAAGAAATTTGGTGTTTTTGTTTCTAAAAACCCCAAGGAATGGATTTGCCATGTGGTAAGTGGAAGGTGGTGTTACACCTAATTACAGCATGTTCCAGACTGACTCCTTGATTGTGTGGCTGAATGGAGAGGACTCTGTCCATCTGGCCACCATAGTCACCTTTCTTTCCGCAGTCCACCCCCGCTTCTTGGGAAGAGATAATCTGGAGGGCTGTCCACTGGCTTGTGAGAACCAGGCGCCTGAGTCAAATGAGCAGTTGTGAGGGCCAGAAAGGGGCTGCAAACCTCTCAGGATGTGATGTGGGCTCTGACTGCTTGACTTGATCTGGAAGATGCTGAATAAATGCCTTTGAGGCTCATGTTATTAGTGCAAATGACCTTGGCTATGGTGTTGTCTTGTGTTTATCTTATTATGAGAGTAGTGTGTGTTGGATGCTTAAAATAATTCAAAGAACAAAAAAGAAAGAATAGTCACTTGATTTCCTTGAAATGATATCATCCGTTAACAATTTGATTGTATTAAATTTTTTTATTTTATTTTTAATTGACAAATAATTGTATACATGTATATGGTATAACATAGTGTTTTGATACATGTGTACATTGTGGGATGATCAAATCAGTCTACTTAAAATACCCATCACCTCACATATTTATTATTTGTGGTGAAGACATTTAAAATTCCCTTTGATTTTAGGATGTATTTTAATGGATTGTTTCTTCTTCTTATATCACCATGTATTTGTTGTTATTAAAACAAAAATAGAACTCCCACTATATAAATTGTTTTGCTGCTTGTTCTTTTTACTTAACACCATATCTTGGACATTTTTCATATCGATGTATATAGAAGTATTATAGCATTACTGCGAGTGCTATAGTATTCCATTGTATTGGATATAGCACTGTTATTTATTTTTTAACTCTTTTCCTATTACTGAATATTTAAATAGTTTCTAATTCTTTGCAATGATGAGCCATGCTGAATTAAAAGTTCTTGTATTTATTACTTTGTATACCTGTGCAAATGTTTCTTTAAGATACATTTCAAGAAGCATATTTGCTGAATCAATGGATATGTACTTTACAAAATATTGCTAGATTTTCAGTTTTTTAGTCAGAGTTGGATGGAGGCCTAGAGATTACACAAATCTAATCTGTCGTTTTGCACCTAAAAAGCTAAAGTCTAGAGAGGTAAAGTGATGTATTAAAGGAAAATAAAGACATGGGCTACACATTCCCGATTCTTGACACCCAAGTCCTGTGATCCTTGTGAGATCTTGAAAAATAGGCCTAGAGGCTGTCTTTTTTTTTTCTTCTTTTTATCTCTGTGCCCATTATTCTTGAGTGCAATTCTTTTCCGTAGGTCTGGAAAAGGCCTCGGGTAGGCTTTAGTCAGTTGAGCAGGTATTTGTGCCAGATCTTTGGACGACTAACATCTAATACTTGCCACATGAATGTGCATGCCAAGAGTTGCTATGCTATGGGCCCTTGTCAGAGGCTTGTTGCATTTGAGGTGTAGGAAAGCAGGACTCCGGCTTTCAGTGCTGCCGGGCTTTGACAGGCTGGGAAGGGAGGAGGGCATTGCAGACGGGGAGCTTTTGTGAGGTGACATATGCTGTGTTTGGAGCATAGATTCTTACTCTGGGTTGACTCGGTTCTCTTTCTGGAGTGAGAGGGCAGGGTGGTGTGCAGGATGTTTGGGAACACAAAGCTTGGTCATTAACTTGTGATGTCTGCATGGATCAGCACCCCCACCTCAGTCTCTTCTACTGAAGTCTCCACTCAGGCCAGATCCTCTTACTTGAAGATGAAGTATACATAGTTGTTAGGAGATTGTCCTCTTCATGGTGACACCTTGGATAGGTAACTAGTCTTTCATTGTACTTCAGTTTATTCATCTGTAAAAAGAAGGTAATAATAGTCCCTACCTCATGAAGTTGTATGAAAGTTACATGTGTTACTCTGTAGACAGTGCTGAGAACAGTATCTGGGAGATAGAATGTACCCACTACAGTCTGATCATTGTTATCAATACTGACTTTTGTGGTAGAGGCCCACACTCCTTCATTTGTGCTTCCTTCACATCCTTTCTCAATACTTGGTCAGAATGATCTTTCTAAGACACAGATGTGACAGTGATTGCCTGCTGTGGTGGCTTCCCTGCACCAGCAGGATACAGTCTGGCGGCATGCCATGCTCCGCCTACCCCCACCACCTCACCTTCCCTCAGCCTTGTGTTTCAGCCCCAGTTAGCTGCCCTTAGTTGCTGATGTATTGTTTCATGCTTCTTAGTCTTCGTTTTTTGTAGTTCCGCCTGTGGTGAAGTACTCTTCCCACTTCTTTGCCTGTCTCACTGCTCCTCATCCAACTGGACAGACCTCTGGAGCTAACATTCCTGCAGGAAGCCCTCCCATCTCCTCTGTGGTCTCTGGAGACACTTCTGACTTTATCGTTGCATTTTTATAATTATCTCTGTCCCTCATCAGAGCGAGTTTCTTAAAGCTACACATCTTTTCTTTGCATTCCTGCTGCTTATTAATAGGGTGGTTGGTGCAGAGCAGACCTTGAATACATATTTGAAGGGCATCTTGGGGGAAGTTTTCAGCCCTTTTGGGGAGTGGATTTAGTAATGGCTTTGAACCAGACCTGTGAGGGAGAGCTTGAACATGACACCATGAAGAACCGGGCAGTCTATAGTCCTTGTGTGTATGGGTGGCACCATGATGGAGTGGAAACAGCACTGGCCTGGGTGTCAGCGCTGGGTTCTTGTCCTGGTCCTGTCCAACACTAGCATTGTGACCTTGGGCGGATCACATACTCTCTTGAGCCTCAGTTTCCTTACCTGAGTGGTGTCAGCAAAGTCCCTCTGTGTGTTGACCCTCTCTGATGCTAATTTTATGACTTGATGTCCCAGAGTGAACCTTTGATGAGTGGTGCTACAGTTGGGCACATACTCTGTGAGGTTGCTTCATGAGGTTTAGTAGAACCACAAATCTAGGCTTAATCATTATAATCAAGGATTTGATAATAAGGAAAAGCTGTTCCAAACACTTACCCTCCTGTGGTCAGTTGTTGATTCCCAGAACCAATTAAGGAAAAAAGATCAGCAGATTTTCTTTGGTTAAAACACTCACTCCCTCACCCCCAACAACCTTTGAACACTGAAGTTTTTCTCTTTTGTCAGTTGCATTTTCCCAGCTTTTCAAAATGAGGCAAAATGGTTGAATTTGGCTGGGATCTTTTTTGTGTCCTTATTAAATGAACTCAAGCAATTCAGAGGGTGTTGTTTGAAACTTCCCTTTATGTTGATTTTAGTACCTGAGAGATTGTATTTTGAGAAACAGTTTGGGGACTGACCATTAGAAATATCTATGGGTCAGTATCAGATTGAGGTGGCTTTGCAAGGAGTAAGTTAGGATCAAAGGCTACAGCTCTCTAGTCTCCTCCTGAATAGCTGGCTTCTCTGATGGGATGTTGGTGTCAGGCTTCAGAGACATCTTGGTTCAGGAATGGGGACTAGGGATGGGTCTCTGCCGGATCCTGACAGACCCTCCCTCCTCCTTCCCTCATTCACTCCACATGCTTATTGTTGAGTGCTGGCTGTGCTTCAGGCATCGTTCTATCTAGAAAGGCAAATAAATCTCTGTCTGTATGGAGCTTCCATTCTAGGTAAGGATGGAAAACAGATAAGAAAATATGAATTTCAGGTAGTTACAAAAGCTATAAAGAAAACAAAACAGAGAAGCCAGGCGCAGTGGCTTACGCCTGTAATCCCAGCACTTTGGGAGGCTGAGGCGGGCAAATCACCTGAGGTTGGGAGTTCAAAACCAGCCTGACCAACATGGAGAAACCCCATCTCTACTAAAAATACAAAATTAGCCAGGTGTGGTGGCGCATGCCTGTAATCCCAGCTACTTGGCAGGCTGAGGCAGAAGAATTGCTTGAACCCGGGAGATGGAGGTTGCAGTGAGCCAAGATCACGCCATTACACTCCAGCCTGGGCAACAAGAGTGAAACTCCGTGTCGTCAACAACAACAACAACAACAACAACAACAACAACACCCCCCAAAACAAGGAAGTACTGTAGAGAGTGATGCAAATGGAGATTTCTATTTAAGGCCTCTCTAAGGAAGTGACATTTGCATCGATGGAGTGGGGCAGCCATGTAAATATGGCAGAGCTTCCTGCAAAGCCTTGGGGATGAACTTGGTGAGTTTATGGGCAGAAAGAAGGCTAGTGCAGCTGGAGCCCTTGGCATGGGCAGTAGGAAATCCAGGTGAGGATATTGGCAGGGCCTGGAGGGCCTGGCAAGGAGAGTGGATGGGTTTTCATCAGTTGAAGTGTGGCAGATCATAAGCCTATGAGATACCTGATTTATGTTAGAGAGTTCACTCTGCCTGCTGATTAGAAATTAGATGATAGGAAGAGAAGAAGCAGGGAGACTGGGAGAGGGGGCTTTTATTGAGAGGTTCTAGTGAAGTGCTGCTGGTGACGTTGACTGTGGTGGTAGCAGTAAATGGTGAGATAGCTTGGGGGTAAAGTGGACAATACCTGCAGGATGTAGATTTTTGGTTGTATTGATGGGGAGGGGGTAGCAGAATTATTTATTGATTTAGGGAGGACTGGAAAAGGGAACTGCAGTATAGGAACTGCAAAGTACTTGAGTTGAGTCATGGCAGAAGTTTTTATGAGACCTAGAATTTAGGAGAGGAAACCTGGGTAATTGATAATTATAATAATGATAGTCAGCATTTTATGAGCAATGTGCCTCAGTCTGCTTTAAGCACTTCCTGTGATTAACTCTTTTAATCCTTACAACCATAGCTATATTTCACATAAACTGGTTTATTTTACAGATGAGGATACTGGGACATGGAGAGGGTAAATAACTTGCCAAGCAGCTACTAAGCAGAGTAGCAGAGCTGTGATTTGAAGTGATGCAGTCTAGCTCCAGATCCAGTGTTCCTTATCATGGACCTTCCTGCTTCAAGGTCAGACATGGGGAGACAGTGTTGTCTGCACCAAAAGCCACCTGATGAGCCATAAGTTGCATCTGTTCTGTGAAGGGGAACAGAGAGACATCCATGACCCCTGCACTCAAGCCTGAGTGACAGAGTGAGACCCTGTTTCAAAAACAAATAAATGAAAAGAAAAAGAGCACTGAGCTGCAATATCATTTAAGGAAAGGGGTCACTAAATATTAATGAGCTGATTCAAACATAATCTTTCAAAGATTAGTGACACCCATTCTTTGGTGCTGGATTTCCTACTTTCAGGATGTAACTTAACAGCTGAATCCTTATATACATACTTAAAGTCAAAGCACATCCGTCTGGGAAAACAGTAGGAAGCTCTCTGAACAGCAATGAGCATTTGTTTTCTCATAGCAGCACTCCAACTATAAGTCTGCTCATAATTATTCAGCTATTATATACTATTTTTTCCTGTTCTCAAAGCATATCAAGTGATTATGAGGAAATCATTAGTCTTGACTGTAAAGGTCAGTATTATAAAGAGGCTCTAATGTGCTTTCTGGAACTATACATATTTCAGTACTGTTATAAATGGATGCTAATAAAAGTTAAGGGAAAACAAGCATTTTACAATAGATCCATCTTATAACATATTACACTTATTCTCATACCTTGATTTTTGATAACTTCATTGCAAAATGGCAGGAGGAGGAAGGGGGCAGTGTTATTTATGCCCCACACCGCTGGTAACTATAGTGATTCACTGAAATTGCATGGGGACAGGAGCAAAGCGAATCAGATCTCTGTTCTTCAACCCAGTCACCATCCCTCTTTGGTAACTTACTGTTTAAAAGGAAATTTTGTATAAAGGTGGTTTTGGTAAGGTAAATACAGCAGAAGATATTTACTTGTGTACTTTATTTAGTTTTTAAAAAGTTTATATATTCTAAAATGTTTATTTCAATTTTCAGATACAGGTACAAGGTAAATCTGGTCCAAGAGAAGCATCAGGTAACTTCTGTGGTTTCAATTCACTGGTAGTTTCCCCTTAGTGGAGGGTTCAGCCCTAGAGAGACAGAGGAATGTATCTGGAATACTCTGGACTGCAAATAACAAAAATCTCAACCTAAAATGCCTTTAATGAAACAGGTATTTAGTTATCTCACACATCAGGAAGCCTGAAGGTAGGGGCAGTGCTGGGCGCTTGTATGACTTCCCCGTGACTTGGTCCTGTGGTGGTACCCTTAGCAGAGAAGAAAGGGATAGATAGAGTCACAGGCCAGCCCTGGCCACCAGCAAGGCTGACAGTGACAGTGTCTGGCTTTTTTATTTTATTTTAAATTTTGACTCTGTAGCGGGAAGCAGGTAGGCAAAGAATAGTTGGAAAAAGAGGTTGGGAATGAGTGTGGGGTGGGCACTGTGCAGTGTCTGCTGCAAGAAGGAAGGCAGGAAGGAAGGCAGGCAGACAGTGAGAGCCTGCCTGATTCTTGCAGACACCCTTCTTTCCCGTCAGGGAGTAGTAGATAAATGTTATGTCTCTCGTTTAACCCTATGTCTTCTGCCAAAAGCATAAGGACCATCTGCTCAGGAAAAATCTCTAGCAGGAATGATTCTGTTTCAAAGTATTCTTAAAAAAGCTTTTACGACTGGGCATGGTGGCTCACACCTGTAATCCCAGCACTTTGGGAGGCCGAGGCAGGCGGATCATGAGGTCAGGAGATAGAGACCATCTTGGCTAACATGGTGAAACCGTGTCTCTACTAAAAATACAAAAAATTAGCCGGGCGTGGTCGTGGGCACCTGTAGTCCCAGCTACTTGGGAGGCTGAGGCAGGAGAATGGCTTAAACCCAGGAGGTGGGGCTTGCAGTGAGCCGAGATCCGGCCACTGCACTCCAGCCTGGGCGACAGAGCGAGACTCCGTCTCAAAAAAAAAAAAGCTTTTACACGTAGACATTTTCCCTAGATTTTATTCTCACTTCTTGTGTGAGAAATTTTGAGAGAACAAAAACATACATAAATAGGGTATAATAAAAATTAAAGTGATCAATACACTTAGTTTCTAACTTGTTAATTTTCTGTCACTCAGTGATAGGACTAGCTCTCCCAGCCTCTGTGCCTTTCTTGGTGCTGTCCATTCTGCTCAGAATGCTATTCTCCAATGTCAGTGCCGCCTTCTCTGTGAAACCCTCCCAGGTCTCCAATCTGTCAACGTCTCTGCTCCCCCAGCCTTTGAGGTTTACTTTTCTAATGAGATTCATCAGGACAGGACTTAGCTGTGTATCTGTTTGTTTTCTATCAACTTATCATCAGGGACTTACTTATGTGTTTCTACCCCAGGCATTGGGAAATTCAGTGCGTTAATCACAGAAATGCTCAAAAAGCGTATTTTTTTCATTAAAAAATATATTTTGTATGGAGTAGTTTAGATACGTAACTCCTCAGATATGTCCACATTCTCATTGTGTCTAACCACTCTGTTTTAGTGCCTTGGCATAGTGAGTTATTCTGAGGGCCCAGTGATGACAGGAGCACAGCTTTAGTTTCTGTTTGAGACAGGCGTCTGTCTCAGGAGGAACTCTGTAGGCTACAGACCACAGCTCTGGCCCCAGCTAGGCATGTTCACATTTGTTTGCTATCCACCTGAGAGGCAGGTGACGATGGTGGCTGAGTCAGCATGTCCTGCTGGCAGAGGGTCAACAGTAGCACAGAAAGATAATATGTCATTAGTCATGTTGAGAGAAGGACGTTTCCTCTCCCACTTGTCTATTAGTTGGGGTGTTAATGAGGAGTAAAATGGCCAAAAGGCAGGGAGCTTTCTCTCAAAAGAGAAGGCCTGAGCTGCTCACACACAGGATAGGAAGGGTTGACTAAAACCTCAGTTGTAACTTTTAAAATACTAATAGCAGCTCTTTATTAGCTGCATACAGTATTCCAGATGTACAGCTAGGCAGTTAAACAGATTTTGTCCTGCCCTCACATCAGCCTTATGTGTGAGGATTTTTTTTAAGTCACACTTTACAGATGGGAAAACTAAGGCTGAGCACTTTGCCTGGGGACACTCAGCTAGGAGAAGCCTGGGCTGGGGTTAAGTCCAGGTCTGCTAGACTACAAAGGCGCAGGCTTTTACATGCGAGGTACTAATCTGACAGGCCCTGTCGATTGGGTGGCACCTTTGAAATCGTCATGCAGTGAATGCATATTGATGGCCTGCTGTGTGCCTTAGGCACTGGGGATGCAAAAGTGAGTGCACAGTGCCTGCCTTGACACCTGAGCAGATCAGGTCGTGGTGAGCCTGTGTTGTGAAGCTAATAGCAAAGTCTTCCTGGAGGTAGAGGGCATTGCATGCACAGGCAGGGGCACCCCAGAGCCAAGTGTTGTTGGAAGCATGGGGTTTAAGAAGAAGGTGTCAAGAGATAAGGCCCCATCATGGGCAGCCTTGAATGCCAGGTTAAGGAGTTTGGCTTCTATTTTGTAGGGAGAGGAGTGTCTTGTTAGACACTGATTTAGAGCGCTCAGCCTAATGGCAGCTTTTGGATGGATTTGAAGGGAACAAGACTGGAGGAGATAGGGTTAATATTTAGAAAGCAAACCAGGGCAGAATTTAGTGACTGACTGGATTTGAAGCCGAGAGTTTGGTGGTTGGGGGAGTGAAGGATAACAGTTGAATTATTGGTTTGAGTGACTGGGTACCACCTTCAGAATTTGAAGAAAGAGGCCGGGCGCGGTGGCTCACGCCTGTAATCCCAGCACTTTGGGAGGCCGAGGCGGGCGGATCACGAGGTCAGGAGATCGAGACCATCCTGGCTAACACGGTGAAACCCCGTCTCTACTAAAAATACAAAAAATCAGCCGGGCGTGGTGGCGGGCGCCTGTAGTCCCAGCTACTCGGGAGGCTGAGGCAGGAGAATGGCGTGAACCCGGGAGGCGGAGCTTGCAGTGAGCCGAGATCGCGCCACTGCACTCCAGCCTGGGCAAGAGTGCAAGACTCCGTCTCAAAAAAAAAAAAAAAAAAAAAAAAATTTGAAGAAAGAGGGGAAGGATGCTTGTGGATAAATAAAAGATCAAACCTGTTGGCTTTAGTTTTCTCAGTTCAGGATGAGATAGGGCAGTCTGCTAGGTGAGGGAGGTGGAGGTGGAGCATGGGGTGCCTTGGGGGTAGTGAGAGAAAGGAATGGGAGGGGGAGCTAATGGGCATTGCTGAGGTTGGCATGAAGTTTTGGTGGTGCCAGGCTTCTGATTTTTTTTTCCTCTAGAGTGCTCAACTATACAGGCTTAGAATAGAGAAAGGTGGATTGTGGGTGCTGGTTCTACCTATGGAATAGGGAGTGGCTGGATGAGAGGGTGGGATGGGGCCACTGAGGATGCCGATGAAAAGGTACTTGGGATGCTGTACAGAGAGAGAGAAGGGAGTTCCAGAAGGAATGGGTGGGCAGAAAGAAAAATGGAACAGCAGCATAGTGGATTGTGGCCATGGGAGAGGTCATGGCCAGATCCAGGATACTGGAGTTGAAGATTCATAAGAGGAAGCAGCTGTGAGTGAGGCCATATTATGGGGTGTGACTCAGGAGTGGACTGTGTGGATTGGAGGGGTGTGGTGGTCATTGCCCTTAAGGAAGCCCAGGAGTTGCTATGCTTGCTTGCTGGGTGGATCAGCTCCATGAGGGACCAAAAAATCAAATACCTGTGGCAGCGCCAAGTGGGCAAATTGTAGGATAGGGTGGGCTAGTTATAGACAAACCTGTGCAAACCAGAGAGTGCATGCCCCCTCTACAGAGGACAGCTGCCCCTGCCCAACTTTACCAGCTGGAAGGTGGGCCTGCTGTTACTGCCTGGCTCAGTGGTTTTTTTTTTTTTCTTTTTTTTTCTGGAAATCAGTTTTTACGTGCAGTTTCCTGATTTTTAAGTGTTCAGTAATTAAAAATGGACAATGATTCAACAATTTGGAAAATGCACTGTGAGCTGTAGGAATCAGGTATACAGGTTGGGTTTGACTCTGCGGGCTGCCTGTTTGCACCCTCTGACCTTTGGACACCTTGACAGGTCCTAGGACTGTGGCAGGGGGTGAAGTGGGGAGGTGATTTTGAATTGGATTCTATAGTCTTGAAACACCTTGCCTTCTTGGTCATCTCATCTGGCTTGGAGGTTTTAAAGATAAGGAACTAAGTAAGTAGCTAAATTAGTTTTTCAGTAGCAGCTAATAGGTAATGATGGTAATCTGAAGCCTGTGGCTCAAAGGAACTGCAGATTGTGTTGGAAATTTTGCTAGCTCCTTCTGAAACCCTTGCATCCTTGCTCCTTTCCTCTATACAGAGTGTCCTTTGGCTCTCATGGTTTGTTTCTTGATTCGTACTTCCTCTTTTGCTTATTTACAGCATTTTCTTCTCTACTCCCTTTTCTCTTCATTGCTCATTTACTTCTCTAACTCCAACTCATCTTTCATAGGATTCAGCTCAATTTACTTGGCTAAAGTAATGTGTAGGTCAAATATTTGTGGTATTGATTTATTTAGTAAAATCTTCTATTTTCTTAGTTTTTAAACTCAGTGAATTAACTGAATTGTTGTTAGATGGTAGTGAAACTTTTTAAAAAAAATTAGCAGATAAAAAGGTGCTTACACATACAAATGCATATTTTGCCCTTAAATTAATCACTCTGTGGGTTTTACTCAAATTTCAAAACACCATTGAACCTCTTTGGGAATTATCCTCATGCCACCTACACATATCTGTCCATTATTGGTGTTTGCAAATCTTTGTTTCTTTGAAGGTATTTACCTTTGATGGTTGAGGCAGACTAAGAACTAAGTCTAAACAATAAGAGAAGTGACTATGAAGTACTGACACAGTGTCTATTGTTCTACTCAGCAGTGAGTCCCCAAGGTTGGTCCAAGCAAGAAGGTGCACAGATGTTTGCATAGTGCAGCCTGGTCGGAGTATGTGCTACCAGCATAGCTTTGAAAACCTTGCTTCCAGACATGCTATATTTATTAAGCTAACGTTAAATTTTCTTATTTTCAGACATTTCAGTTAGACCTTTGGTTGGTCTTTAGGGGATAAATGTGCAATTTCTATTGGCCTTTGAAATACTAAGATAGACTTTGAAACCTGCATTACTGTCTTTCTGGGCCCTTTGAGCTCTGGATATTGTAAATGAGGAAATATTAGGGTATGGGCTTCCCTAAGTGATGATTTTAAAGAATGATGTGAATGTGGCTGTGTGGTGGCTGCATAATTGTTGAACAACATGCATGTAAACCAGGCTCACCGCCGAGCCTCTTGTGTATAAGGAACTAGGCTGTCTTTCTTTGGCTGGTCACTTGTTGCGGGGAGCACAACAGTCGTTTGGACTGATTCTTTATGAGAAGCACCTGGGGAGTTCTTTTAAAAAATACAGATTCTAGAGCCTCATTTCCAGTAATTTCACCCATTATGTTGGGGTGGGGGTGGGGGTCATCAGTGGGACCAGGAATCTGTAGTTTTAGCTAGTGCCCCAGGTGACTGATGCTGACGGTCCTGGGGCCACACTATGAGAAACAGTGGGGCAGTGGGCTTTGGGTTGAATGGGCCTAGGTTCATGTCTTATCTCTAGCCTCTAATGGTTATATGATCTAGCAAAGCTACTTGTCATCTCCGAGCCTCATTTTTCTCACCTTTAAGTGAGGATGATGGTTCCATCAGGCACGGCATATAGCTCCAGGTCATGAGTTTTCCTTGGGCCTCCTCCTGGGCCATTATTTGAGATTTTCTTTTCTCTTGTTCTCTTTTCTCCCTCCACTTTAGGGCCTTTTTCTCCACATACTTGCATATGCACACACAGTGAGCGTGTCCTGAGGAACTAGTACCCAAAGCCTGCCTCAGGTCCAGTCCTCTCCTCTTAGCTTATTGAAACGTGGTGACAGTTGTTTATAATTTTGTCCTGCCAAGGCCCAGAGACTTTCCAGACTGTAAGATTTGGTCTGTTCATGTTGAGTCTGTAGGGAATTTAGGGCATTTGTTTTCAGTGGACAAACTTAAGCAAGTTCTCTCTCCTCCTGCGTTCACTTGTGAAGAGTTCACTGTACACAGATAGTCATTCCTGTGAAACTTTTTGTTTTGGCCAATATGATCTTGATCTTCCTGGAAGATAGGCAGGCCGGTTTTTAAAAATGTTTTATTTTTGTTTGTTTTTAATGCTAACACTGAAAAATAATACTTTGGTCTTGGCCCATACTGCTGTCAAAACAAAATGCTTCCTGTATCCAGGATATAAGTAGGTTTAACGAGTACCCAAGCATGTTGCTGCTTTTAGTTTTCATCTCTGCTTTGTAACTTTTGAAGTGGAATAACTCTGCATTCTTTTCTTGCTAATCACTTAAAATTTTAATAGAAAGTTTTACTTTTATAACGTGAGCTCTTTTGGCAAACGCATGAAGGTGTGTCTAATGTAATTCCAGTTTCAGAGGCACTTTTTAAAAAAGTAAAAGAGGCTTTAATCTTAAATACTTTTGACACTGGGCTATTTATTAGGTATTTTTAGTTTATAAATTATAGTGAGCATGGTACCAAAATTTACATTTTTTTTCTGTTTCATGTATTTCCTGATTCTTGGCTTGGTAATTATATTCAGGATAATTTAGTCTTGGACTATAAAATAGATGTTGGGTCTATATTCTCTACCTACTATACGTTAAAAATTCCGAGTTCATTACGTGACAGAATATATAGGTATATTTTAGGATTAGAATTGAAGCCCTTGGTATCTCTGTCAAAAGCTTCTTGAATCTCGTATGAAAGAAACATATGGGAAAGAGAAATCACTGAGATGGAAATGCTAAGTGCCAAGTGACTATAGAAATCAGTAAAAAGCCTTTTTATGTTGGTTTAGAGTTACCCAAATCAAAACAGGGCAATATTTTTAGTTGTTGCCTTTAAATGTAGCTTTCTTACAATCAGAATATATAAATCACAGGTTAAAGTTTCTTATTCAAGGTGTTATATATTTTCTAGGATACTTTGTAAACTGAATATTTCTTTCAAAATAACCCCATGGAGGGCAGAGGGAAGGATAAAAAATGTGCATAACACCTCTTCTTTCCTTGTATTTCTGATTCCTCTGCAACTTGTGAATACTTTCGTATATGCCGAACAATCTGAAAGTCGGAACCTCCGCTAAAAATCCAGCTCTCTTCCCCCTTTAAAACATTTCAACACATTAGCTTCACTTAAGACAAAGAAGATAGCCAAAATTTTAATTAGTGGCTCAATTTATGAGCTAAAAACATTCATTTCAGCTGATATTTTTGAAAGAGATTTTTGACCCCCAATTATGGACATGATATTGATGCCCTTTTAAGAAACTTTGACAAATGTAGAAATGTTTAAAGACATAGAAGAAAAGGTCACCCATAATCCCCACCTAAGATTACAGCCCCTAATTTCAATCCGAGACACTTGTCTGATGACCCACTTGCATACCACCTAGCTGGCTCCCTCATGAGCCCTGGGGCATCCTTCACCCAAGCATCATAGCTGCCATCTGGCACTGTGCATATCTGGCACACAGGTCTTTTTGTCTATGGGATTCTGAGCTCCTTGAGGGAAGGGACTGTCTTCATTTTTTTCTTATTTAAAAAAATTATATATTGACAGATTATAGTTGTATATATTTGTGGGGTACAAAGTGATGTTATGATTTTTTAATATAATGTGAAATGATTAAATCAAGCTAATTAACATGTCACCTCAAATATTTAACATTTTTGTGATGAGAACATTTGAAATGTTCTATCTTAGTGATATTAAAATGTGCAATACTCAGTTATTAGCTCTATTCACCATGCTGTGCAACTGACCTAAAAAAATCAAACTTATTTCTCCTAACTTAAACTTTGTACCCTTAAGAATGAATGGGGATTATCTTTGTACCCCCTTAAGAATGGAGATTATCGTTTCCCCATTCTCCTTACCTCCAGCCTCTAGTAACCACCATTTTACCCTCTGCTTCTATGAACTGAATTGTTTTAGGTTCCACATACTATAGGCATAATGGGTTAAGACATGTGGTACTTGTCTTTCTGTGTTTTGTTTATTTTACTTACCATACATAGTGTTCTCCTTGCTGCAGATTGCCTCAGTTTTTGTATCCCTAGAATCTAGGGTACTACAGTAATGTAGGTACTAAAAAAAAATGATCAAGCTACATCCTATGCATTTTAAGTTCATATCATTTAATTGCATAAAGCCAGTGCTATGTGCGCTGTATGATCAGCACTTTTTTTGAAATGTCTACAAATATTTTAAAGAGCATTTTATGTTTTGCATGTGTAATGTGTAATATATGGACATGGTAAGACATGAATACAGCACAAAAGGTGCACGTACAATGAAAAGTGGGTTTTCTTTACATCCCTTTTCCAGGTCTGTGCTTCCTTTCTAAGGAGAAGGCCACTCTTTTATTACCTTTGCATCTTTCCAGAAATAATCTATATTAATGCTTGTATACACACAGGCTATCTTTTAAAAAATCTACCTTTGGGTTATAGGGCAATGGTAGACATGTGAATGATACGGCTTTTTTGGAAGTCATTCTGGTCTTATCTATTAAAATTAAAAATCTAGCCTAATAATTCCAGTTCTGGCATTCTGTTTTATAAATAGAAATACCAGTGTATCAAGATAGAAATGGAAGGATTTTTATATCAATAGTGCATTTTTTTGTGGTGGCAAAAAAGAAAGGAAAAAGAAAAAGGAAATACAGTGAATGCCTGTCAATGAAATTGTTGAATAAATTATGGTACATACATACTATGGCTGTGGTGCAGTCCTTACAGAATTAAATAAAGTTTTATTATTTGTCACAGAGGAACTTTCTTGATAAATTTTTATGTAAGAAAAGAAAGGCAGATAAGATTGTATGAGATTCTGTTTTTACAAAACAATGCTAAACTCTGTATGTGACTGGATGTTTATGTATAATGGTATGAGCATGGAGAAAGATAACAGGGGAAAGGAGTTAAGTAAAAAATGCTTTCTAAATTAAAATTCTAAAAAATGTGTCCTTGAATCTTTTCCAGAATAGGCATCAAGGTAATTGAGGTGATTTGCCAAATCTACTTCCTTTTACTTCTAGGAAATGGTGGTGGATACTTAACCTCATTTCATTTCATTTCATAAATGCTTTTATTTTTTGGGGTGTGAATTACTCAAGGCAGAGCATAGGAACTCATGTAGAGCAGCTAAATGCTTTAATACAATGAATGCACCTTGGGTTTCAAGTTGTCAGGGAGGCACTGACCCTCATAAGAGTACAGGACTGTGGGGGTCACAGCACAGTTAACTGCACTGCAGGCTGAGAGACTGGAGAGGCAGTAGCATTGACCCATGTGGGGGATGATCAGAGCCTGAGTTAAAGCTCTATGGGATCGGAAACTATAAATGCCAAGAGCTGTGGAAGAGAGAGAGGCAATTAAGGGTCAGATGATAACTTGAGTGTCTTGTCAGAAAGGTGAATTAAGTGGCAGAATGATGCAATGATGAAGGTTAAAAATAGGCATTTTGGAGAAAGGAAGTTCGGGTATCTTTTCTGGGTTTACATCCTAACACAGCCCTTTGTTGCCCATCACATTTATCTTATGATCCTTATGATGTATGCTTCTGGCAGGTAGAACTAGGAGGAGGAGGAGGTAAATGTCATTTAAGGGCCTTGAAAAGTACTTAAAGAAGACGTTATGTTCCTACCCTCTTTTCACAGAAGTGACTAAATACTTACTAAGTGAATACATAGTAAGCCCTGGGGAAACACCTAAATTTCTGTTAGCAGAAACTTAAAATATTTAGTCTTGGAATGAGGAGGTACTTTGTCTGCTTGGACATCTGTAAAGGAGTAAAAAACCTCCACTTTGTGGACCACAGGATTGTAAAGTCAATTGGGAAGGAAAAGAGCACATTGGAGACTCTATATGTATTTGAAGGATGTGTGCCGCCATCCTGTCCATTCATGAACTCACCCTACCCTATTCTATATAAATTCATCTTCAGTTAAATATTTTTTCTAGTTCATTTATTTTGTCTGGTTATGCTACTACAGAGATACCACATTTCACCAAAGTCCTTAAAATGTGCTACCTCAAATGAGATTTATTAGCCAGGGCAGATAACTGTCACTCCCCTCATCCTGGGCTTAATACTTCTATGAATGCAGTCCTAGAGCATGTGAATATATATGTGTACCTATTGGATTCATATTGAGTTTATAGTTCAGTTAGTATGTATAACTCTTGGATTCACTTTGAGTTTCTAGTTAAATCCATCCCAGCATGTTCATGCATGCTGCCTTTGGGCCAGGTCTCCATGATTCTGTACAGAATGTTAGGGTTTTTGGATTTAAATGCAAGATTTCACCTTTTTCAGGTCTAAATTTAATCTCATTAGATTAGCACATTAGCTTCATTGCAGCTGCCTTTAAAGAGATCATTTTCCAGTTGATTTACATACAACTTACTGGCTAGTTTCAGGAACCCTGAAAATGAAATAAACATGTCCATCCAATGGAAAGAAAATAAAAGCTGGAGACTGAATTCAGACTTCTGCCATTTGCTAGCTGTATACTCTTCAGCAAGTTAACTTCTTTGAGCTTCCATCCCCATATGCTTTCCTAGATGTGAAGTGGAAAAAAGTCTCTATTTCACAGGCTTGTTAAAAGGGTAAGGTAAGTCAATGTGTGTACAGCATCTAGTATGGAGCTTTGCACATGGTAGGCACAGTGCTGGTCAATATCAGTAACTCAAATTCACAAGTTAAAATATTGAACAGTGTGAAGCCCTGCATCATACTCTCCGACAAGCAGATCATCAGGTCATGAGCCCACTAATTAGCATTCTGTGAATCGCCTTTGATTGTTCAACACGTTTTAACCTCCCCGCCCCCATTTTATTCTTCAGCCCATGTTTCTCCATTGTGTTCAGGATACTGTAAGAGGTTATCAGGTTATCACCTACCTTAGTGAATTCCAGATGTTGTATTTAAGGACATGGGAAATTATTTGTGATGTAATATATGTAATAAGATATAGAAGTCCCTTAGAAAAGTGGGAACATTTTTCTTTCTTTAGTTTTCTGGTGTTTGAAGTGTACATGTAGTAAAATTAAAACTTAGTAAATATTTTTTAAAAATGAAGCAGATATGACTAAAGGGAAAAAAGAACAGGGCCACACACTAGAATGTCAGCACTTACTATGGGAACACTATGGGCTACTACTGTAGTATTCCACAGTGCCAAGCACATGGGAGGATCTCAAGAACTTGTTGACTTATTTCTTCTTTATTCAGGTACCACAGCTTGTTCTCTCTTTATTATTCCAGAGAGCACTTATGAATATGTCACTTACACCACGCTTTCTTTGAAAAATTGAAAGCAAAACATTATTTTTTTCCTTTCCTTTATGCCTATTGTAATATGCAGGGTTCACTGTTCAGCTCTCACTGCAGAAAAGCATTTGCGCTAATGCTGTACATCATTTGAATGCTTTGTGGGTTCTCATGTGTCCACCTTGGATCTTGAGCAACTTGCCTTGCTAGCATCTGCTTTCTCTCTAAGGACAGAGCTGCATATGACTTTTCTGGGTCCTAGCATAGGCACTTTGCCTTCATGGGCTCCTTTCTCCATTAAAAAATTTATAGGTTATATTTTATTACTTCACTAGACAAATATTCTTTTTACACATTATTATATTTATTTTTCTTTTGATTTTAAAATAAATGAAAACATTTTTTGAAGGCCCTGAAAAGTATCATGGGCCATCAGCACTGTGCCTTCTATGCCTAATGGCTAAGTCACCTGGCTCAGGGACTCAGGAGTGCCTGTCATGGAGGGCCTCCTCTGCACAATGAGGTGTGCGTGATTTATGATGGCAGTGCTTCTCTGTTTTTATCCTCATTTGCTCTTAGAATATTGGATGATCATGATTATTATCTGAGAAGTAATCACTTGAGTTTCTCCTCTTAATACATTTTCTCTTGTCCCCTTCCCAGATTATTGTTCTCTGTTAGCCTTTCTCAGATTCTTAGGACTCCTGCACTATGAAAGATGACTTTAAGGGAATTTTTTTTCAGCAACGCTTTGGACCATTTACAGATGCAACATTGTGAGACTGACTTTGGAAAGGACCTGAAGGTTAATGCTTTGCCTTCTAATGCTAGTAATGCTAGTTTTTTTTTTTTTTTTCCTTTTCTGTTTGTTTTTCTCTTTTTTTTTTAGTGTGGTGAGGTTGTTATGTTCTTTTGATTTTTGAATGGTATCAGTCAAAAGCATTTAGGCATTGTCAGTGGTGATTTTGAAATAAAACTTATTAAAGAAAATATAATTACTGTACTTGTCATGTGCTGAGAGACAGTTTCTCTTTGTTGTTACCCTAGCTGTGTATTTCTAGGTTCTGTAAGAATAGCTCCTCTAGTTTTAAAGTGTCAGGTGGCTAGAAAGGAGTACAGATCCTTGACAAGAAGAACATAGCAATCGAGGGAGGAAAAATGCAGAGGAGTTGGGGAGGATACAGCAATAGTGAAGGCTCAGATGCCAGAGAAAGACCAAGGAACATGGTTTATACTTGCTTCTTTAGTGTTTAAACAGATGGGCAACTCTAAAATAAAGGTCCATATGAAGCCAGAGAAAGTACATTTTAATGAAGTACACCCTTGGAAGGGAGGAGGTCAGAGAGAAGTAATATGAGTTTTATTCCATCAATGTTGCTATAGACTAACCCAGGAGGATAGCGTTAGCATTTTGAGAGCCAGGAAAGTTGTTGGCATTTCCATTATCTTCATAAATAAGTGACTTGGAGCAGTGAAAGCATGTCTTACTAAAGGTTGTTGGGGAGGGTCAGTTTTCCAGTGCTCATATAGTTGCTGGGCTTTAGGCCAGGCCCTGATAAATGCGTGGACGGTGAAGTGGTTGGTTCACGTTTTGACTGGTTCACGCAGGATTACCAGACAAATGGCCACCTCATCTGTCACTGGCAAAGAATTGAAATCTCACTGACTGTAACTAAATTCTCTCTCACTCAGTTTTTTCCTACTCTTGGTCCTGGTGGAATATGCTCCTTCATAATGTGGGGGAAGAACAGCTACATAAAGAATTCATTGTCTGTGACTGTTTATAGACATTTAACCCCAATGTATATTCTTGGGAGATGTAGGCATATTCCCATGAGTGAGGAAGGCTGAGTCCAGTTAAGGTGTAAGCCCTCCCGCGTCCTGGAAAGGGTTGTCAGAGCAAACGCTGTCATATGATACCGTCCTTGCAGCTCTTCCAGCTGAGCCATCACAAATACACGAAAATAGCTTGGATATTTGGACACATCTCCCAACTTTAAGCTATTAAGGTTTTCAAAATTCTCCAGGTCCCTTGATCCTCACTGTGACTCTGGAGTGTAAGTTTTGGATAGGCTGCTATTGGTCTGAGCCTTTCACTCAGACATGTCATTACCAGTCACAATGCTATTCTTTTCTGTGAGGCTTGTTTTTTGAATTTAAAAAGAAAATAAGCTCCTATTAGTATGGACCATATTGATAGGAATCAAAATTTCATATTTAAAAGTTCTTTGTAACTCATGAGGGGATTACATGAACTCCCTTATTAAAGAACTTAATATATTGCAGCATGGATCCTTATGAAAAAGACAAGTTGATAATTGCCTTGCAAAAGCTTTCTTTTCTCCTCCTTTCTAATACTCATGAAAAGTAGTGCTAGGGTTTTTCTACCTGATTTGGTCAATGCTTCCTTTATTTTTCTTCTAATTAACCAGGGACTGTAACATCATGTTTTAACCTTAATTTTGTTTTAAACTTTTAAGTTCAAGGGTACATGTGCAGGTTTGTTATACAAGTAAACTCGTGTCACGGGGGTTTGTTGTACAGATTATTTTGTCACCTAGATATTAAGCCTAGTACCCATTAGTTATTTTTCTTGATCCTCTTCCTCCTTCCACCCTCCACCTCAGGTAGGCCCCAGTATCTATTGTTACCCTTTGTGTGTCCATATGTTCCCCTCCCACTTATAAGTGAGAACATGCAATATTTGGTTTTCTCCTCCTGCATTAGTTTGCTGAGGATAATGGCCGCCATCCCATCCATATTCCTGCAAAGGACATGATCTCATTCTCTTTCATGGCTGCAGAGTATTCCATGCTGTATATATACCACATTTTCTTTATCCAGTCTACCATTGAGGGACATTTAGGTTGATTCCATGTCTTTGCTATTGTGAGTGGTGCTGACATGGACATACATTTGCATGTGTCTTTATGATAGAACAATTTATATTCTGTTGGTTATATACTCAGTAATGGTATTGATGCTTTGAGTGGTAGTTCTGTTTTTAGGTCTTTGAGGAATCGCCATACTCTTTCCCACATGGTTAAACTTATTTATACTCCCACCAACAGCGTTTAAGTGTTCCTTTTTTTTTTTTACAACCTCGCCAGCAGATGTTATTTTTTGACTTTTCAATAATAGCCATTCTGATTGGTGTGAGATGGTCTCTTATTATTGTTTTAATTTGCATTTCTCTAATGATCAGTGATGCTGAGCTTTTTTTTCATATGCTTGTTGGCTGCATTTATGTCTTCTTTTGAAAAGTGTCCGTTGCCCTTTGCCCACTTTTTAATGGTGTTTTTTTTTGTTTGTTGATTTGTTTACACTCCTTGTAGATGCTGCATATTAGACCTTTGTCAGATGCATAGATTGCAACAATTTTCTTCATTCTGCAGGTTCTCTGTTTACTGTGTTGATAGTTTCTTTTGCTGTGCAGAAGCTGTTTGGTTTAATGAGATCCCATTTGTCAATTTTTGCTTTTGTCACAATTACTTTTGGTGTCTTGGTCATGAAATCTTTGCCTGTTCCTGTGTCCACAATGGTATTGCCAAGGTTGTCTTCCAGTTAACTTGAATTTTGGATGCTGTTTTATGACCCCAGAAAACCTGAGGTTTGCTTTTCTGCTTCATGCAAATGCTGTACTTGGTGCTAGTTAATTATAGGCCAAAATGCATATCAGGTGCTGTTATCTAAGAACCTTGGTAAATTTTGAGTAGGAAGAGGGGAATGTGCATGGAAACTGAGCTTGTAGAATCCTAGGGTCAAGAAGGTACTTTGTAGATCAACCATCCAGTTTTTCAGTTCCTTTGATAAAACCATACTAAAGGGTCACCTGGCCCATGCTTGAATGGGGAATTCACTGTATCCCCAGAGGACCCTGACACATTTTAGCTCACTATGTAGGGGAACATTTTTCTTTCATTAGTTTTCTGGTATTTGGCCATGCCACGCCAGTCTAATTCTTTCACCATATAACAGACTACATATTCAAAGGACATTTGATGTTCCCTGCAAATCTTCTCTTCCAAATCTCATCACTAGCCTTGCTGTCTGGGTGTGTTCCAGTGTGTGTTTCAGTGTCCTCTGCACTACTTAGTGTTGCCGGTAAACCATGCATGGGGAGAGATAATGGAATTTTTCTTTGTAATTTTGTTCATGTGCTTTTTAGGTGTACTTCATAATGGCAATAGGTTCCAAGTATTGACTATGTAATGATGGAGGTGTGCACTTTGGATGTTTTTGTAGGTCTAGGCAGAGGAATACATCTTTGAAAAGTGACCAAGTTATAAAATTTGCCTGCCTTACCTTAAAGATGTAATTGTGTAAGAGCCTGCTAATGTGGGCAGTGGTCAGTCCTGCTAGACCAAGGAGACTGGGGCGCCATGTCAGCCCCTCCCTCTCGTGTTATACTGCCACTGTTTTGAAAGTTAACACTGGGAATTGGCAGATAAGTCATTGGTATGGGAAATAAAGGATTTTATAAACATTATAAGTGTGCTTTGGGTTCCTGGGGTTGTAGAATCAGGGAAGGGGGCTGCCTCCAAAGTTGATAGTGCCTCCCGGACTTGGCTGTTCATGAGAGTCACCCGGAGAACTTTGTAAACTGAAATGCATCGCCTCACTGCAGACCTATTGAGTAAACTCTGAGGGTTAGGCCCAGGAGTCTGATGATAACGCAGCAGACTAAGAACTGGTTTGTAGGCGTTAAGTGGGGAACAGGTGATGGTCCATCTTTTAGAACCACAGACTAGATAATCTTTAAGCTACTCTCTGGTTCTGAAATTACAATTTTTATATCCTTTTGATTGTTCTTTATGCTGTCTTTTTATGGTGTGTGCTTTTTATTGCCTTCTTTTTCTATTGCTGTGTTCTTTCACTTTCCTTCTGTGGTTATTGTTGGCTTGTTTTACCCATTTGAGTAACTTACTGGCTGAGTGTCCTTGAAGATTTTTCAAGCAGAGGAATGGCATGGTCACAGTTTTCATTCCTGTCGTTGCTGGCCTGTGATGACCATTTTTCCCATCTTTCTAGTGTGTCTAGAAAGAACACACTAGGTCAGAGCATCCTTTTGCTAGGGCTGCCACCTACTCCTGCCAGCCCCCTGCCTACGTGTGGGCTTGCTGAGGCATGATCTTTATGTCTCCTCCACATATCTGCCTTTTTTTTTTTTTTTTTTGGACTCCTGATCACAGCTGTCCAGGTGTTCCTTTTGAAATGGATCTGAATTTTTAATTTTAACCCAAAGAGGCCATGCCTTCTTACAACCTAGAGCCTAATTTTGGTTTATGTTAATAGAGGAACCTCCCCAGTCTTTCCAAGCCAGCTTGAAATAATAAAGGATGTCCCACTGCATCCTCCAAGAGAGACCACAAAAGGAGGACAAAGAGCCCCCATTACTCTCCATAGATAACCTATTAAAAGCTTGTATTTGATAAGGTGCCCTGTTCTGAAGGTGCCCATGTGCAGTTAGCCTCTAGCATTCATGTACATATTATCTTTGAACTGTTTCTCAGTTAGCAAATCTTTACTCAACTCAGAGCAACTGTAGGACAAGTATTTGGGATAAGGGGGACATCTTTTATGCAAATGTCAAGAGTGATTGACTTTTTTCATCTTCTTAACCCAGAGTTCCTCAACCTTATTTTCATTAGGTCCCCCTCCATGCCTCTTTAGACATACATTTTGTAATCTCCCCTTCGATTATGAAATCTTAACACCACTGATGTACTGTATATCTGTATATATACTGTGGCCCTTTGAACAAACACAAACCATTTTAATAGCTGAGACTTTTTTTTTTTTAACACTCTTCCTCCCCCGATTAGTTTCCCTTTCCTTGGTGACTATAATGCCTCTATTGTAAATGCATGTTTTGACCCACCTGCCCAACCTTGGCCCAACTTGCATAAGGTATATTTAAACCAAGTGATTCTAATGTGCATCCAGGCTTAGGACCCAGTGATCTTACCCACTGTTTCCAAAACCTGGCTTGATCATAAGAATTAACTGGGAACATTTGTTAAGCAATCATATTCCCAAACCCTTGTGCCTGGAGATTATGCACTAAGAATTCTTATGCTTAACAGTTGCCTCAGTAATTCTTAAAATGTGGCAGATTTGGTTCTTTCTCTTCTGACCCAAAAGCTGCTCTCTCTGCCCATTTTCCAGCCTAGAGGTTGTGAGGGTGGGGAATGAAGTTGCTTACAAAGCATAGATATACTCTAAATATCCTGAGTTGGAACTTAAAATGAAATCGAATAAACACTTCCACAAAAAAAAAAAAAAAACAGTTGAAGTAGTGTCATGTTACTTCACTAGACAACTAGCATTGAATATCTATTGAGTAGAACTGTGGCGGGTATTCTGAGGGATGCCTTAGTGTGTATAATATGGTTTATTACTACAGGGGGCTCATTAATCTCTTGAAGGAGCAGAGGCAAAATGCGTTGGAGAATCACCTTAATTTTTTCCAGGTAATTGGGTAAAGGCCTCAGAGAGGTCGTGGCATTTGAGGATGAATAAAATGCTGCTAGCTGGGGAAAGGTTGTTAGGAACAGGAAAGGCATAATGAATAGTGAATGATTCACTGGTGCCAGAACATGGGGTGCATGGGCCTGTGGGTGTGGGAAATGGAGTCAGAAAGGCCATGGATATTTGTGGGGCAGAAGTTAGAAAGGACACTGGACTGGAAGCCAGAGAGGTTTGTTGAAGGTGTGGCTCTGATACCTTCCATGCCTTGTCTTTCAAAGTTCAATTTGTGATAATGATTGCTCACTGGGCAGTTGTGTTGCTAGTGTAAGATATGAGCAAGCATTTTATAAGCTCTCAAAACCTACAAAAATGTTGATGGTGTTATTATTATGTGCCAGGTCATGAGGGCCCTGAATGTGAAACTGAGGAGCTTGTGCTTTGTTCTATAACTAGTGGATAGCTATTGGAAAGCTTTGAGAAGACCTGTTTATGCTGCATTAGGGGCTGAGCAGACTTTTATAGGCTTACTTAAAGACTTAATCACAATCTGTAATGGTCCTATGCATGTGGAAGTGCATTCTGAGCTTCTAGCTCTGACCTAGAAATGGATGTTTGGAATAGAACCCATTGGAGAGTTGGAGGCCCTTAGTTCAAAGGCCAAAAAAAAAAAAAAAAGAAACATGGGTAATTTGTCTTATCAGCTTTCCTTTATTTTCATAATTAGAGAATCACAGGCTGTTGATGTTGGAAAGGAGCACAGAGATCTAGTTGAGTTCATTTGCCATCTTAGGTGCTCAAAGCTTTGCTGTTAGTTATTCACAGGGCTAGGACCTGGGAGCCCTGTCACAGGGCAGCACCCATCTGGTTCTGAGCCAGGCAGGCTGATGCCGGAGGGGCTGGCCTAGCCAGGCTTGTCTCCGTTTTCCAATATGTACAGCTGTTTCTCCTGGGCAGGATCTAGGCCTCCTCTCTCACCCTGTGTTCCTTTTGTGCACAGTTTAGGTCCACCCTTCATTCAGTGTTGACTGACTTTGCAGTAAGATGCTGAGCCTCCCTGAACTCCTTCCATTCCTTTCATGTATGTTTTAGCTCACTTGTTGCTTTGTTTTTGATGATTAGTATGAAAAACATTTCTTTAAATTTACATGCTATGTTTGGATAGTAGCTTGAATACTTGGTAGATTGGATTGCTGGACTTGTTAATCAGTCCTGAGACCCTTTAGACATTTGGTCCCTGCAGTCTGTTGATTTCTGCTATAATATCTTTTTGTTTGTGGTCCTTCTCTGTTTTTGAAAATGAAAGAAGTCTTAAAAGTTGGCATGATTCTTGTTTAGCACTTAGCCTCATCCTACCAGTACACTCCAAGGGCAACAAGGTGTTATCATTAGATCTAATATTTTTGCTCTTGAAAAGCTTTAGTAACTTGGATATATAGGAAGATGTGGTATGTGGTGGTTTAATAGTAATAATTAAGGCTAACATATATTAAGCATTTCTCATATGCCACACACTATTCTGAAAACCTGTATTTACTGTATTAAGTAACTTGTATGAGGTCACACAAACAGCCAGTAAACTGTTGGGGAGTTGGGATTATGGAGCTTGGGCTCCACAGTGCACCTTCTTTGCCTTGCTCTTTATAGTAGACATACTGGGACTTTGAACATGAGTCTGAATCCTGGCACAGACACATCTATGTAATCTGGACCCAGGCAGGTAATCTCTCTGTGCTTCAGTTGGACCATTTGTGAAATCAAAGTAACTGCCTGGCTCAGGGTTGTTTTTAGGATTAAATGAGATTATGTATGTAGAGTGCCTGGCCTAATGTCTGGCACTTGAGAGGCATTTCTCATTATTTTAGAGATGTTCTTGTAAAAAGTAGTGTTGTAAAGTTTTTGAAATTAGACTTTGAAAACCTGTCTAGTAATAAATCATTTTAATGTTAAATTGCTCTCACTCACGCATATGAGATGTTCTTCATTAAAGGAAATCTTTGATGAGTTGTGGGCCTGGAATACCAGGCTGTGGAAAGTGCTTTCCAGAGAGAAAAGGGGCCCATGGTACCAGAACATGGTCTCTCCCTGGTTGGTGCTAATGATACGACATAGTGAGTCATGACACGGGTGATCTTGTTTCCTTTTATTATACAAATCTGGGTAAAAAATTGGACTCTCAGCTAGGAGTAGGAACTTGGGGAAGTGGTAGCAAAGAAGCTATTGGTACCACTGAGCTACCTCAGAAAATTGTCCTGGGAGCTTACCGAGAACGGATTGTGCCCTTTGGTCTGAACACCTGGGAGCTGTTGCTTGCTTCCTGGTGCAGGAATGCTGTTGCTCTTACACTTTACTTTGGGATTATGATTGGGAGTTTCCTGTAGAATTCCTGCATTCCTCTTTTCTTGAATATTCTTTTTGATTGCATGTCACAAAGAGAGGTTTCTGACTCAGAGAACTCTTGAGGTGATGTGCTGAACAAGGTACTCACTAGATAGTGTTTCTGCAGAGGAACCAGCTGGTCAGCAAATACAAGCACACTGTATTTTAAGAGCTGAGCTGCAATGAAAGAACTGTCCTTAGATGCTGTGGTAGTGAGATGGCTCACTGGGTGGCCTGCGGGCCACTACCCAACATTTCTGCACATTCTTATATTAGACGAAGGCCAGGAGTGTTAGTTCCACATCTTACGTAGGTTGTTGGTAAACAGTAAAAATAAAATGTAAAGACTGTCTGTCAAAAGGAGCAGTTTTTAAAGAAGTGGCTCTGAAGGAGCTTTGCCTTTTCTTGTCAGAAAGAAAGCAGACTTGTTAGATGTTAACATCTAATCAGATGTAACTTCAGGACATAGGAGTTGAGTAGACTTTGTTGGATACTAATGGTCTGCCTTGTTCCTTAAACAGTAGGGGAATTAAAAAACTTTGCAATTAGGCCTTGTCTTTGTGGTTCTTCATCTGGATTAATATTAGAATTTAATATTTAAGTTCTGTTTGTGGAGCCAAAATGTGGTGATCAGCATGAGATCTGTTTCGTGTTTGCATAACTGTTTGTGAGTTGCTAGGGAATATACTCTCAGTTTTTTCCATCTTGCCTTTTTACTTAACTGTTTTGGTAAACCAGTAGGAAACTTTGTGAATGTAGTATGTGTGAGAAGTTTAAATGTTAGAGAGGATTTATTTTCAGGGTGCAAGACTGCCTCTTACAGGAGCTGTAAACACTTTGGAATGTAAACCTATCTGGTTGGAGAGGAACCCTTATACAATTAGGTTGGTTAGGTTGGTGCAAAAGTAATTACGGTTTTTGCCATTATCTTCAATGGCATTATTCAATAATGCCATTATTGCAATTAAAATTGTGTGATTTTATTATGTTGGTGCAAAAGTAATTATGGTTTTTGCCATTATCTTCAATGGCATTATTATTGAATAATAGTTATTATAATTTTATATATATATATAATATATAGTTATTATTGAATAATGCCATTGAAGATAGTGGCAAAAACTGTAATTACTTTTGCACCAACATAATAAAATCACACAATTTTAATCTTAAATTTTGATTGTGGAAATACCACAATATATGTTTTAGCTTATGTATATTTAGAATATGTTAGAAGATGTTTTGAGGCAAGTTAAGCCCTTCTCCACTATTAAATTCTACAATGGTTATAATTGGATCATTGTATTTCTGAATACCTGAAATCTGGTTAGGGCCTAACAGTCTGAACAAACGGCATTACATAGTCAATCCAGTTCACATGACTTCTTTGTAAATGCAAAAAGCCAAGTTGCATATTTAAATTGTTTGGAATCCTGTGGGATTTCAGTATGTATGCATCTGATATTTGGGTTATTTGTTCTCTTAGTATTTGCGATATTCTATTGCTTGACCATACCCTCCCGCCCCTTTTGGAAAAGTGCTTTGGCATTCCTTGAAACAAACTTTCCAGAATAAATATAGCAATATCATGGTTACCATTGCTGGGCTTAATCCATCTTGCAGTTTGTTAAGAGATGAATTCTTGGCTGCAATAAATTGTATTAACTGGTTAGTCAGGTCCCTCCCTGACCCTTCAAGATCTCCTGATAATGGTTTAAAACAGTTAGGTCATCTTCAGCATTACTTAGAGTAAGAGATAAAGTCCTTTTCTTTCCTCCATTACTTACAATTTGTATGCACTCAAAGTGCCATTAAATGTTGCCTTAGAGAGTTATGGGCCATTCTTGAGTGATTGTAATCTGTCAACTCAGATTAATTTTTGAAGTACTATGTCAATGCCTGAGTCTTCCATTTCTTGCTTGCTGTCCAGAAACATCAAACCTTGGCTAGGGGTGGTATCGACGTATTTGCTTAAGGAGATTAAAAACATTAACTAAGGTATTCTCTCATGGATAATAGGTAATCCTAAAGTATTCTGTTGTCCATGATCAGGACTTATCAGTGTTGCCTATGTGAGTTTTTTCTTTGCTCGGCCTGTCACTTCAGAAGGTACTCTGAGTGCTGATTTTAATGTTGGTGTATTTGCTGAGAAAATTCAGAAAGAATCTTCCTAACGCAGTTCCTCTGAACAACCCATTCTTACTTGATGCCTCATAGGAATCTTTGATCCTATTGGTATGATGTGACTGACCATAAAATCGCCTAATTGACTTTTGTTTTTTTCTCGGAAGAAGCATAACAGATAAGGTTTATGATGACAAGAGCCATTTGTTATCCTTTTATGGCAGTTTGTGCCTCATTATGATTTTCATTTTCTACCTTGTATTTTAATTATTGATCCACCTCTCCTGTGTCATTTCCTGGATGTCCTTTAGGAATAAAGACTACTTTTTATTTGAAATCTCTTCCATTTTCAAACCTTGCACATAGTTGGCATAGTATGTATGTGGTGCTTGTTGTTGCTATTAGTTTGGATAAATTGTATTGAATCCACGGCACAATGCCCACTAAACAAAATTTTATTCCATTTGAGTCATGTAATGCTTTCCTGAGTACAATGTGTGAAAAATGCAACCTTATTGAAAATCGCACATCAAAATATAAAAAACACTGTAATAAACTTTATTGGATATCTGTTTGACTGCTTTTTGAAAGAACCTTTTTCTTTTCTGTATGTAAACAGATTATATCCCCCTCTTTTCAAGTTTTACTTGATGATACATTTGGTTAAAATGTGCAGGAAAAACAACCCTTTCTAGATGAGTAGAATCTTTGATTTTCTGTCGTACAAAACATCAATACCAAGAAGTTGAATGATCCTCTGTCATCTGGCCTAAGTTCCTTTTTTTCTCAGCAGATTTACCTTTTTAAAACAGTTTTTCTCCCTAAAATTTCTATTACATTTTTTAATAAAATAGGACTTATACTGTACATATATACAATTTTACATTTCTTTTTTCCCTTAACCCTAAAACATAGTGTTTATTATATTATTAAATATTCTCCAGAAACATGATTTTTAATGGCCATATAATAGTTCATTGTATGCATTTGCCATCCTGTGTTTAATCATTCCCCTATTGTTAGTTTCAGTTCGATATCTTTTTTCTCTCCTCATAGTTGATCTTTCCCTCTGAGGTACCAACCCTGCTTGGTCCAGCTCTCATCAGTTCTCCATCTGCACCATCAGTCTGGTCCTCCCATGTCAACAGCTCATCCCTTCAGTCAAGTTACCAGTAAAGTAATGCTGTCCTGATCCATTTTGCTTTTAGTAAAAGCTTCTTTTCTCCAAGTGATTGCAGTTGCCACTACCAGTCTGATCCACCCTTCTGATCATAGCACAATACAGAAAACATGCCTGGTTTCTTGGTTTTCAAAGTGATTCACCCTTGAGCTATTTTAATTATGGGGGGCAACCTTGGGGCATTTATATCTTTGTTTAGGATCATTAATGGTGACAGCTTAATAATGCATGAAAGCACCTTGGAAACATTAAAATATACCAGCAAATGAGAGGATAAAGGTATTAGGGGAGGCCAGAAAAATTAGAAAGATAAATATTTTGAACAAAATAAATGTAAGCATCTTTATTATAAATGCTCAAGCACACACATGCTAACACTCAGTGGAAACTAATTTGCTTCTCTGAAATTTGGTCATGCAAGGAAAGGAGTCAGCACTCTTTCCTTTGTTGCATAAAGAAAAGGGTACTTGTGCCTCTGAAACATGAACCTATTAAAAATTATATTTTAGAGCAGGAGAGGCCTTTTTTCCCCCTGTGATCTCTTTCATGTATTTGTCTTCTGGGCAAATAGATGGGCAGGGAGAAATATCTCTTCAGATTATAGAATAAATGGTTAGTTTTATTTAGAGATTGAACCCTTTATCTTATTTCATATTTATTGTCTATCACCTGGCCTATTAGTACATGAATATAAACTATTTTGTCAATCAGTATTTCAAATTCTTAAGTATTTGTGATTCTCTGGAATTCCATTCTGTGTCTATGAAAATTGTTCAGCATTAGTAAAATTCTAATTGCCAGTTGAACAGTGTCATCCTTTTGAGTTTCTCCAGGACTGTCCTGCTGCTCTGTGATACCTCCCCTATTGCCTTCAGAAACTAGACCTAGCTGAGCCTTTTTTCTTTGTATGCCCTTTTGCTGTATCGTATTATAAACTTGTATCAAATTTTGTCTTCTGCTTTCCCTGTTTCTTTCAGCCTTCCCTTGCCCAAGGCTTTATCGGGATGTTTGTTATATCTCTGTGCCCCTGATCCTCTAGAAGTTGATTCATTCTTATCTGTCTAGATTTCTTGCATGTCTACTCTCTCTGTCTGGATTGGTTTGGCAGCAACCCCACTTATGTGCTCTCACATGTAGGTTTCATTAGCATGCTCTTTTCTTCCGCTCGCAACTTGTCAATCAAGATGGAATCTGACAGCATTGGTAATTTTAGTAGTTATTTCTTTCCTAGCTTACCCTCCCGCCTCCACCTCCAGCATGACTTAGTTTTGGTTAGCTGATTAGAATGTAGTTTCACACCAGTGTTTTTTGTTTAGCAGGTAGTTATCTGAGGATTTCTACTGTGTGATCCTCCAGCATGGCTCTGTTTGGGAATTTTTCCTAAAGAATATTATTAACTGGTCTGCAGTATCAGGGAAGCCAGTAAAGTTGCTGGTCTTCAGTTTCCTTATCTGTTAACTAGAGATAAAAAAAACTCTACCTCACTTGGTTATAGAGATTCAGTTAAATAAAAGTATCTGTGCCTATAATACCAGCACTTTGGGAGGCCGAGGCAGGCGGATCACGAGGTCAGGAGATCGAGGCCATCCTGGCTAACATGGTGAAACCCCATCTCTACTAAACATACAAAAAATGGTGGCACACACCGGTAGTCCCAGCTACTCGGGACGCTGAGGCAGGAGAATGGTGTGAACCCGGGAGGCGGAGGTTGCAGTGAGCCGAGATCATGCCACTGCACTCCAGCCTGGGCGACAGAGCGAGACTCCGTCTCAAAAAATAATAATAATAAAAATAAATAAATAAAAGTATCTGTGTATCCCCAGCCCAGTCTTTTCTTACTAATAGGAATTCCTTCTTCATTAATGTCTACCAATTCTGTGCATTTTTGACATCTTTATTAAGATATAATTCACATACCATACAATTCACCCAAGTGCGCAATTCTCTGGTTTTTAATAAAGTCACAGTTGTGCAACCATTACCGCAATCAATTTTAGAATATTTTCATCACCCAAAAGAAACCCCATATCCTTTAGCCATCGTTTTCCATTTCCTAGGCAACTGCTAATCTACTTTCTGTAATTTTATGCATTTTAACTTCATGCTTAATGTTATATTGTGTGCTAACAGGATTTTCATTTTTCTTTTGGCACAGGGAAGGTATTTTGAAATGCAATTCTATAATTTTTAGAGCTACAAAGAGCCCTTTATCATTTAATGCTATTTTTTCACAAGAAAACAAGAGGACCAGAGAAGTTAAGTGATTCACCCAGAGATATTCCTATTCCACACCTCTACCAAACACACTGACAAAAAGTGTCTCATTCACGCTTATTTAACTAATACTTATTTATGAGTGTTTGCTAAAACCCTTTCAAACTCAAATTCTGGATGTGGGATATGATTGTTTGAATTATCTGCTTTAACCAAACTAGTTCTTTCAGTATTCTGTGACTATTTCTTGGCCTTTTCTTTTTGTCTATATCCTTTTCATATATAAAGAATCTTAGCCAAAGTTTATTCAGTGTATTATTTTCTCTTCTGATTTGCTTTAGAAAAGTCATTACTCTATAATCAACCATAGAATTTTGTACATAATCTACCCAGTTTTCATGTGTGTTCTGTGGCATATCTGAGGTTTCTACCTCATTTAATCTACCAATTTTTTCCCACCCTCTCCCTCTTTTTAACATGATTTTTGCCATTCCTTCCATCTATAAATGAAGATGATTTCTCTACTCCCTTAAATATGGGCCGACTTTGTGACTTGCTTTGACCAATTTCCATTGGCAGAAAGGACAACATCAGGCAAATTTCAAGCTTAGGCCCCAAGAGTCCTTGCAGCTTTTGCCGTTGCCCTTTTTGAATGCTCTCTGGGAGCTTCATATAAGAAAGCCACTCTAGCTTAAGGGAGGAGGACAGAGGCCTTGTGGAGCACAGAGGAGCTCTAGCTGGCAGCTGGCACTAACTGCTAGACATAGCAGTGAGGCCAGCATGGATCTTCCAGCCCTTCTGACACTAGCCAAATGTAGATGCATGAGTCCAGATGAGAGCAGCAGCGGAATTACCTAACCAACGCACAGAAACGTGAGGAATAAAAATCCATGTAGTTTTGAGCCACCAAATTTGGGATGGTTTGTTATTCAGTAAAAGCTAACTTATATGCGTAGGTATCAGTATTGCGGCAACCTTGAGATGATTAAAGAGTATAATCCATGTAAAGTGTTTGGCTTACTGCCAAACATATAGTGTCCCTCAGTAGAGGTTAACTGCTGTATTATTATCATTATCATTGTTGTTTTGGTTATAATGGTCGCTTCTCCCTCCTCCTCTAGATCTAATGCCATTGCTCTTTAATATTATTAACTTTGATGAATTAAATAATTGGATGTCCTTAGTGGTAATTGGTATTTTCCTTCCTAATTAGTAAGTAGTCTAAAACTTTAAAAAGTTTTTTTTATTGTGAAATAAAACACATATATAGAAAAGAACTTAAAGCATAAATTTACAGCTTACAGCAAATTATAAAGTGAACATCTGTCACTGCCATTCAGGTTAAGAAATTGAACATTACCATGACTCCAAAAACTTGTATCAAATTACATATTCTGCTTCCATTGAATGCTTTTCCTGATCATAATCCCCCCTCTTATATCTAGAGGTAGCCACTAACCTGATTTTATAGGAATCACTCTTTGCTTATCCTTTTGGGTTTTATTGCCTCTGTATGCATCTGTAAACAAATTAGTTCAGGTGATTTATTCAACATATAAATGAAATAATATAGTATGCATTTTTGTGTGCCTGGCTTTATTCACTGAACATTATCTCTAAGATTCATCCATGTCATAACTAACGGTAAGCTTTCATTTTCATTGCTGTGTAGAATTTCATTGTAATAATGTATAATACCTCTATCAGATCCACTATTTATGGGTGTTTGGGTTTTTATAGTTTTGGGGTATTATAAATAATTCTTTCAAGCACATTTTTATATATATATTCTGGAAAAAATATATGTGAGAGTTTTTTTTTTAAAGATCTATACCTAGTAGTATAACTTCTGGGTAACAAAGTCACAGTCACTTTTTGCAAGTCTCACAGAAAAGAACAATACCAGATGACACAAATGATGTGTACTGTGCATCTTACCTTGAGATTAGAACTGTTGGTTTACCATGCAACCACATACAGGTGGTTGACCAAAAAGGCAGTCTAGGTTGATGGGGACCGGAGTAGGGATGGTATGAGAGTTATGTAGGATGAAAAGGGGTCAAGATGTATGTGATAGGTTAGAATGTCTCTGGGAAGGAAATCTGTGAGTAAATTTGGTGTTATTATAGTTAGGAGTCCCATAGTTTTTCAGGAATTAATAGCATTTTTTACATTAGTTGTTCTCCATTTGAATTTGTAACAATGGTTTATGTTTTCTCTATATTGCAGAGGAGAAGTTTGGGCAACTGGGGGACAATTGACTGATCCTTGGCCATATAATAATAAAAGGGGACCCAGCTCTTCTAGGACTGAGATTTTCTTTGTCCCTTTCTAAAAAGCAGAAGGGAGGTACTAACACTTTACCAAAAAAGAAGGAAAAGAATCTTGTCAGAAATGGAGAATGGGAGAACATTTAGCCAAATTAAAGGCTGTATCTACTAAAAGCAATGGTGGCTCTAAGAAGATGGGTGTAGCATAACAACCCGAGGCAATTTGGGTTCCTTTGCATATAATTGTACAGAATGTGCTCTAAGTGGGTTAGTGAGCTATAATCAAACATGGTAGAGTTGAAGAATGGTGTCTGTGTGTTCTGTCACATGGTTGCACTGCACTGAGGCTTCCTGCCAAGACAGCTACAGGAATTGTTTTTCATGGGCTCTGGCTGATCTCAAAGGCAAGGCAGAAGGGTTTATAGCTTAGTGAGTTATTTTTCCTGACTCTCTAAGGAAGCTGAATATTTGAGAATTTAATACAGTTTCCTTGGCATTGTGTTGATCTTTGGATACCATATTAAGATCACATCAGGATAATGAGGGAAGGATTAAGGAATTACTGGTTTCATTTGGGATCATGTCAGATGGGGTTGTTTTTACATCTGGCATGTACTTCCCAAGTTGAATAAAGTAGTATTTGTGACAGGCTCTAGTGGAGGATGCTGGTAACATGCAGAACCAAACCTTAAATTTGCATGCTGTTATGACTTCTATTGGATGTGAGGATTTGTAGGTTATCGTTTCCACAGATGTAAAGTGAACTTATTATTCACTGTACATCTAAGTACCTTATTGACTTGATTTCTTGTCTTATTTCTGAATGGTCCCAGAATGTATGGAGATGGTGATGGGTTTTGTAGTTTTGCTATTATGCCTTTCCTAGAAAACAAAGTGAGCTTTTCATGCTTGAGTAAACACATTGATGTATTATGAAACTGTCAAGACTCTGTACAATTGGCATAAGCTCAATTATTCAAATACGTGACTCTATTGAATGGCTTTTGTGCTGGCTGATGCTTTAGTTCAGCCAGTATAAAGACATTTCAATATCTTTCCTTAAGAAATTAAATCTCAACTGCATGAGTAAAGAAATGCAAAGGATTAGTCCTGTAGTTGAGCACTTTCCTCATCATCTTGTATAGCTAATTGGTAGCATTCATTTGCTGAGATTTATAGTTCATTTTATTTTTTAAAAAAATATGGTTTTTAAATTAAAAAGTCATTCATGCATTATCTTTGTCACCCAACATAACTGCTTTTTTCTTCTTTGTTCTCTTCCTGTCAGTCCACATGCACACATGCTTTTTTAATGTAGTGTATCAGCAATTTTGTTTTCTTTTTAAGTTATATTTGCATGGTAAATCTTTTTCAAGTTCTGTGGTCTTTATAATATTTATTTTTATTGTTGCATAATATTGAATTATTTAATAATATGCAATCATTTTTCTTATTTGAAATGTATGTTTTCTAGTTTTTTATTTTTACACATAATAGTGCAAAGATGTATTTGTGCATTATTTTCAGTTATGAGGACAGGTGTCCAGAAGTATTTCAGTGGACTTGAAAAGATTTTTTCTTTTACGTATTGCTCAATTGCTTTCCAAGAGGCAATTGTATGATTATATAAATATACAATCTTTTTTACCAACAAAAAAAAGAAAGATAAAGTCTATTAAATGTTAGCATCCTACAAAATTAACATTTGGAGCATCCTGTAATCTTAGTAGAGACTTCTTCATTTGTAAATTCAATTTCTATTTTTAGCAGAGTAATGTATGCAAATAGTTTAAAAATCTAATAAGCTGTTTAGTGTGACAGTGAAAAACAGCAGCCTCTTGCCTCCTTCCCCACTCCGGTTTCTGGCTTTTGACTATTTCTGCGAATATTTGCCTCCATATTGCTAAATGACTTTTGCGGCTTGATTTTTTTTCCTCTTTGAGTTATTTATGGATTTCTTTTTGTGGAAGATGAGGCTTTAGTTCTTACAGTTTCTTTCCCATTCTCTCAATATTGACATAACATAAATTTTGGTTTTACCAATATAGATATTATAATGTTATGACTGTAAGTACTGTTCATAATCAAATTTTATATTATGATTATATATTCTTTCACTTTATATTTTCCCTGGAATTAATAACCCTCTTTCCTTTTGCTTGCTTTGTTTTCTTTATGCCTATTTCTAATTTATCACCAAACATTCTGAAAGAGTTGCAAATTTCCTTTGATACTTCCAAACATGTCAGATAATTCCTCAGGTGTGTTTTTATTTATTTTTTCAAAACCTCCCTCTGGGAGCTGTCATATTGCTGCAGTGTAGATGGGTTGCTCTTGGGGCCTGATATTCAAGCAACATTTTGGAATTCCCTTCATGATTTTATTCTGGGAATTTCCTTTGCCTTTCTCTGTTTTGTTGATTCTCTGTTTCCTGGATCTCAGGTTGTTTTTCTTTTAAGTTTACTTACATATTTTGATGGAGTCCTGAGAAAGGTGCAAGGAAACTGAACTTTTTGATACCATGCGTGACTGAAATGTTTTTATTCTGTAATCATACTTAATTGATAGTTTGGCTGGGTATATAATTTTAGGTTGGGAATAATGATTTTTTTGGAATTTTGAAGGCATTGCTTTATTGCCCTCTTACTTTCAAGGTTGCTTTTGAGTCCAGTGCCATTCTGATACCCAATTCTTTGTTAAGACCTTTTTCCTTTATTTCCTGTGCCTGGAAACTTTTAGAATCTAATTTCTGGAGTTCTAACATCTTATGGTATGCCTTGGTATGTACTTTTTTTTTCATTCATTTTATTGGTCGCATGGTGGGCCCTCTCAAACCAGAAAAAGCATGTCCTGCAGTTTCCTGTATTTCTCTCTTTCAACTACGAATTACTTTGTAGTACCTTGTGAACCGGTCCATTAGTTTTCCTCTCTTTTTTTCTCCCACTTTCCCATCTTTTTGTCTTTTTATTCCACCTTCTGAGGACTCTATTAACTTTATTTTTCACCTCTTTTATGGGATTCTTTTATCAATGCTACAATATTTTTCACTTTCTGAAAGCTTATTTCTAATTCTTCTAATTATGCTTTTTATGGTGTTATGTTGCTTCATCTGTGATTTCTCTGAGGATATTAATTATTTTTTGGTTGAGGAATTATTTTTTCTGCTCCCTGCATCATGTTTGTTTCCTCTGGGGTGGGGGGGTATGTGTTTGTGTGTGTGTGTGTGTGTGTGTGTGTGTGTGTGTGTGTGTGTGCGTGCGCGCACATTCTCTTTCTTGCATGTGGCAGTGGAGATCAGATGAGGTGGGCCTGTTTGGAAGCTCCGTGTGTTGGTGAGGCTTATAACCTGAAGCTTCTTTATAGGAAGATTAGTGTCTGCAAGTCTGTGCTCATGCCCAGGAGCCGGGATGCAGGGAGAAGAGAGGGTGGGATCTTACTGACCAGGCTTTGTCTCAGTCCCCTGTTTTTAGCATGGTTATGTTACCCCCTGCCCTCAGCTGTGCTTAGCTGTGGTAGGACTTACCTCTTCTGGAGAGGAAATTTCCAGGCTCCTGCCTGGCTCTGCAGGGTAGAGAAGAGAATATGGCAGTTTAACTGTTCATTATATAAATTTTCAATCAGTTCTCCTTTCCTCAGAGGTACCTGGACCTAGTTTCTTATTGGCTACTCGCCCCACAGGCTTAAATTTCAGCTTTGTTTCAATTTGTTTGTTAGTTACCATTCATCCCTCTGTTTTCTAGCTTAAAGGATTTTGTTGCATATCTAGTTCGCTTTTTGTACTCTTTCATTTTCTGTCTTCATGGGCTTATTTCACATTATATTTATGTTCATGTGTATATAAATTCCTTTAGTGTCATTTTAATACAGTTTTTAAAAAGTATGGGGAAAGAGCATGTACTCAGTCTGCCATGGTTGATGGAAGTATCCAGTGCAGACTTTTTAGACTGGTCAAAAATATATTTTTTGCTTGCACACATTTGTGGGATATTTATTATACTTTCTGATATACAATAATTTCTTTAAAAAATGTCTTTTTAAAATATTTTAAAATTTAAATAATATTTTTAAAAGACATTTTTACATGTCTTTAGCATTGCAGATTTAATGTCAATTTTCATAAGTCGATATTTCTGTCTACTGGATAGCTTAAAGGAGTGACTGTTCTTTAAGTTGCTCATTAATTTTTAAAAACCTTTTATTTTGAAATAATTGTAGATTGATAGGAAGTTCAAAAATAGTACTGAGAGGTTCCTTATACCCAGTTTTTCCCAATGGTAACATCTTCACAACTACAGTACTGCCATCAAAGTTAGGAAATTGATGTTGCTACAACCTTCATTAGTTTTTAAAAGACATTGTTTTACATTTCATAGTAGCCCAAAAGTTTATGATACAAACATATGTGAAATCTATGTTAAACTCTTTTGTCTTTCAGCAATTTTTCCAGCTAGTCAAATTACGAAAGCTTGGACTTAGTGATAATGAAATTCAGCGGCTCCCTCCAGAAATAGCAAACTTCATGCAGCTGGTGGAACTAGATGTGTCTCGAAATGGTAAGAAAGATTCCACTTGGGTTGCCTATTTGTCTCTTCAGATGCTGGGGGTGTTTTTAGTAAATATAGCTACGAGTGAGAACATGCGGTGTTTGGTTTTTTGTCCTTGTGATAGTTCGCTGAGAATGATGGTTTCCAGCTTCATCCATGTCCCAAATATAGCTAGATAAATATTACTGGAGGTGCTTTCCCTGATAGTTATGGGAAAACTATATGATTCTTGGGGTGAAATTAATGCCATTTTTGAATAGGTCAGTTAACTTATAGGCATTTTCCAAAAAAAATTTCATAACACAAGTTTTAGGAGACAGCTTTCTCCAAATAAGTTCAATCTGATTCCTAGAGTTAGAGAGTGGGCTGGGCAATCATTTAACCTTGTCCACTTATTTTGCTGAACATGATATTGAGGACTGGTGGCATGGTTTTTGTCCAGTGCTTGGGTGCTGCTGTGGCAAGGGAAACCTGCCCTGGGGAAGGGTTGGTTTCTCTTGGCTGTGTCTCAGTTGCTTGGTATGCTCTCCCTGTAGTGAACAGACCTGCTTGCGTTCAGGCATCTTCTGTCTTAATGTGTTTCTAATTAGGCTGCTGGTGGCTTTGCCCACTTCAATTTGTGTGGTATATTTGTGAGTTTATTTTGATTTTCAGATCCCACTATTGATTCATTTTTACTGAACATTTGAATAGGGCATCCTAATAGATACCCCAATGGGATACTCAAATGCCTTTCATTTTTAAATGGGTACCTTGGTTTAACCCTCAGTTTTATACCCCTTAGAGTGCTTCCCAAATGGGCTGGTACTGCTCCTTGTTGTAGCATATTTGATTTATTAAATTAACGTAGCAACTCCCAGTGGTCCTATCTAGTGATGGAATTCAGTTCTTGTAAGGACCCTGGTACAATTTCCTTAGGATAGTCTTGAACAAGGTCTGAATTATTTATTAAAAAGGTAATTCCTTTATTTCTCTCCTATTACATACCTGATTTATTTTGTGTTTTGCTTCTGTTTTCCTACAAAAATCTATAGGTTTCTTCTGAATTGATTATCTTTAGGTCTGTATATTTCAGTCTGATATTTTTGGCAAAAACCCCAGGTCCCAGACATATAATTCTTCTGTGGGTCATTGTTATAATACAGCAATGGTAATCAGTACTTGGTTGGAAATATGGTGAAGAAAAAAATGATTCCTCCTTTCTAACAACTTCTAATAGGTTTTAAATTGTTTTTATCTGTTACATTCCATAAATTAGAAACTGTCTTCTGGCTTAGCCATGTGATCGTGACATTCTTCTATTTTGCATGAAAATTATTTCTTACTTTGAAGGTACTAGAAAAAGTAAAACAAAACTTTTTTGGGGGAGGGTGTCTTGTTTTAGAGTGGCTTATTTGGTCGCAGGGAACCCAGATCTACTTAGATAAAGTGGATTTGATTGTAAGGAAGGCGGGGTGGAATTAACATGCACCAAAAGCAGTGGCACCAAGCTTGCATTTGACACTATCTTGGGGGTTTCATGGCCTCTTTTTTCCAGTGTGTCCACTTCTGTTTGTGGGTTCTCTGTTCTTCCCTCCTCACTGAACTGCTCTGTTGGAACTGGCTTGTGGTGGCCTCTTTTTGTGACTTCTCTTTACGTACAGTTTGACTTTTGCCCCTGCTGCAGCATTTGTTTGCCAGTGAAGGATTTCTCAGTGAAGAGTGGTTGACCCAACTTATCTTTTTATGCCAATCATAAGACATAGGGTACAGGTCAGGTTACCAGCCACCCTAAAGGTTGGCTGCCCTGGGAGTTGGATGGCAACCAGTACAAAGCATGGCCCTGCCCCTCAGCACAGAAGTTGTTGATGAGCAGCTTCGCTTACACTGGAGTATGGGGTGGGGTGGGCATCTGGGGTCTGGCCAGGCCAGAATTGCCTCAGAAACTAGCCTGTATAATACTTTCCCAAGGTATATGTGATTGAAATGATTCTCTTGTCCTAGCAGTTACCTAAGTTATAAAGAATGACTAGCTATTAACTCTGCAAGGAAGCAGTGACTTTGTAAAATGGTCACGAAAGTCACAAAATCTGAAGAAATACATAGCAATTTTGAAATGGGGATTAGAAATAAACAGAAATACTTAAGAAAGACGAAAAGTTTTGGCTCTGACTATTTGGGCGGAAGGAAACCATACAGCTCAAAAGTTCCCAGTCCCGTAATTAACTCTAATGGGATGCTCCGTGGGAAGTCAGCACTAGTCAGCTGCCAGTTTTACCAGTTCCCACATCAGCTCTTTTCAAACATTTGTAGCTAGAAAGAAGGGCTCCATGCATCTTCCCGTGTGTCCCCTTACCTTCCAGCACGTTGATAAAAGAAACTAGGCTTTCACTGAAGACAGTATCAGGACACAAAAATGTTTCTGCTCCTTGGAACACCTACCCTGCTTTTTGTTGTTGTTGTTGTTGTTGTATTTTTCCCCGCTCACTTTCAACCTTTCCTTCTGCAAGTGTTGGAGTTTTGTGAGGGATCCTGCAGAACGTTCACCTTCTTATCCAGCTCTCTTAGAAATGCCGAGAGGGAGTTAACCATTCCCTTCCCTTCTTGACAGGGCCTGGCTCTGGCTCAGTAGCATTATGTGTGTGGTGGATGTGGGGGTAGAGGGGAAGACAGCATGGAAGGTTCAGGGCTTTCCTGGAGGTTATTAAAAGAAAGAGTGAACCTGGGCTGGGTGCGGTGGCTCACGCCTGTAATCCCGGCACTTTGGGAGGCCAAGGCGGGGGGATCACTAGGTCAGGAGTTCGAGACCAGCCTGACCAACATGGTGAAACCTCCAACTCTACTAAAAATACAAAAATTAACCAGGCTTGGTGGCACGTGCCTGTAATCCCAGCTCCTCAGGAGGCTGGGGCAGGAGAATCGCTTGAACCCGGGAGGTGGAGGTTGCAGTGAGGCAAGATCACGCCATTGCACTCCAGCCTAGGCGACAGAGCAAGACTCCGTCTCAAACAAACAAAAGAAAGAACGAATCTGTGCAGGTGACAGAGCAGAAGAACAAGGTCACTATTTACTGTAACCAACAGGTATAGGGGTCTTAGGCCATTTCTTGGTCAAGCAGATCTCAGTATGCTTCCACTCATTTTTTGGACAGATAAAATTATGTTAATCTGAATACCCTAGGTAACCGAGTAGGCAAATAAAAGTCACAAATCCTGCAGCTGGAGAGGCGATGTGAGAACCTGACTTTGTACAGGTGCAGGCATTTGTGAGGTTTGCGGCTGGTGCCTGGAGGCCTGTGTGGGCCTCTGGTCTTCTGTTGCCCCAGATGGCGGTGCCTACTTTCTGATCAGAAGCTGTTCCTTTGGGTCCCTGCCCCGCCTCAGTGGTTTGTAGCAGGGTTATAACCAGGGCTGGCCAGTCATGATAGGACCTTCCTTAGTTCTTGATTTTGCATTGTTTTGGCCATGGAGGAGAAAGTCCATTGAGTTAATGCTTATCATACTTGAATGTGCAAGGAATTATCTGAGACTTTTGTTAAAATGAAGATTCTGTTGCAGTAGATCCAGAGTGGATCTGGAGATTCTGTATTGCTAAGAAGCTCCCAGGGGATGCCAACCCTGCTGGTCCCCAGCCACACCAAGGAGAAGGATCTTAGACATCACCACCTGCAGGCTTGCTGCTAACTTTCCTTCAGCAGCTTCCTGTGGTTAGGAGCCCACATTCACTCCCCTCAGGCACCCCTGCACCCTCCCATGTGGAAGATAGGAGATCTTCCGGCCATTCCTTGTTAAAGGGTAAGATGCTGGAGCTGACTTTAGCTCACGTTTGCTTTGATTCTAAAAGCAAAACTAGACCTTTCTGGATGTTTCCTTGCTCAAGTGAGGAGAAAACCCAGGTTTTGCGTTTCTCTTTAAAGACGTTTGTAAATGAAGAGAGAAGTTTTTACAGCCTCACTTTCTGGGCCAAGAACTGCCAAGACCTTCAAACACTGACTTTTGTGGCTTTGTTTTCTGACATTTTAGGCGCAAAGTCAAGGGAATTGTGTGCTGTGTTGGAAAAGAGAAGCATGAGTTTAGGGAAAAAGAGGGCAGTGCTTATGGATTATCTAAGCTGCAAGGATTTATTTATTTTTTTTCTGAAGGACAAGTAGAGAGCCTTGGGATGAGCACAGTGCATATGGTCTCTTCCCCAGAATGACTAGATGTGCTCAGCAGAGAGGACCCTGGCTCGGAGCCCTGGCTCTGCTGTCAGCACGCGGTCGACTTTGGGCAGGCCCCTTCCGATGCCGCTGGGCCTTCTTTTGCGGAGTGGGACAAGACCCTGCTCCCTGTATGAGCCCAGTGAGAGTCAAGGAAAGTGACACACTTCTCTTGTCTTAACTTGGTGGATTTGTTTTTTTAAAACAGGCAAATGTCTAAAACATATATGAGAAAAAAAAACTAGGTGTTTCCCCTGAACATAGATTAGAGGATGATTGGAGTATATGAACTAGATATCTGAATTTGCTGGTAACATTTTGTCTACAAAAAGTGTACAGACTTAGAATTAAGTTCTGCAACAGTTTTCTGTGGTGAAATGCGTATGCTTCAATGCTTGGAACTTGTATCTGCTTTCTCTGCTAACTGATTATTAGCTGCTTGAGGAAAATGACCTCTGATTATGTGAGAAGTGGTATTATCGCATAGTAGGATCTTGCTATTCAAGAATCTAGGGCAGACTTTCTTAATGCTTCATGATTCCTGCCTCAAGGGTTAGTAATTTGAATTTTATAATCTATGCTGTAATTTGACTTACATCACAGTACTATGTCATTATCCATTTAGTTCAGTTTTCCCCGAAGTGTAAGGTGTATACTACCAGCACTGCTAGAGATGATTTTAACTGGTACTGCAAAACAGCAATTTTAAATTTTGAGTCATGGTGAGAAAGTTATCCTTTTATTTTCAATTTTATTCCTTTTGGATTGCATCTGTAAAATTTGATAACACTGTATTGTATTTGTTACATTTATCTTTTGTATCTCGTGGTGATAATAGCTTTGAATTCGTGTTAGTGATTTAAAACAATTTTCTTCCTTTAAAAATCTCATCCAAATTTTAAAAGTCAGTTTAAAAGAATGAGGCAAATGATAAAGAATGCAGGGGCTACACCAGGATGGCAAAAATTGTGAAGGTGAAATAGAGATGGGTGAAGTTAAGGAAATACTTGTCAGTATTAGCATAATGTGCCAAAGAGTTCATGAATTTATTTCTCTTATGGGGCAAATGGAACTGCAGATAGAAAAAAACATGTCCAGAGACTGCATACCTTCACTAATTATTTCATCAACTTGAGTTAACAAGAACTTAAAGGTAAGATAGTTTTAGTACAATCATCACTATCATCAGGACAGCACTGCAGACTAAGTGGACTGCCTACCAGTAGGGACATTGTCTCATCTAAAGCCTCTTCTAGAGGCTGGACTTTGAGTGCATGATTGGGTTAGTTGTCCTCTGTCCAACCACGAGATGCTGATCAATGTTTGGTCTATAGCTATGGATTTGTTTCATAAGATCTAAAACCAATCTCGAACCCTGTTGAAATGATAGCATCAAATCATGGTACTTTGTTTATGCCCTGAAAAGAGCTCGTTCTGGCAAGTGGTAACTCTAGTGTGCCTAAAAGTCCTCCTACTTAGTTATGAACAATTAACCTTTTTTGTTTGTTTGTAATAACTGTATACACACACACCAGAAGTGTGGTAGAAACAAGTTTTTACCCATGCGGACTTCAGACTTGCCACAATTAAGCCATTGTTCTCTCCTTTCTTGCAGCCTAATTTGGGCCCAAATTTAGCACTTTCTTTAGCAAACTGCCCCAGTGGCTGGACTTCATACATTACAGTAGGAGAGTTTTGTTGTCACTGTCATTGTTAAAATATCACAGGAGACATCCAGCAAAGGGAGCACGCCTCTATGCTCACTGTACCTTAGGTTGTGCTGGCTGGGCAGTGTTGAGCCCAAAGCTTGCATTCTTGCTTTGCAAATATATCCGCTTTCCCATTGTGAGCCTCCTCTCTGCCTTAACCTTTACCTTCTCTTTTGTTAGGAAGAAGAGTTAATGTAGAAAAATAAATTGCCTTCTACACACATTTTAATTTCAGATTATAATTACCTTTAAAGTAGGGGTGAAGAGGAATCAGGCTTCTGTGATGTTTTCTAATCACCTTTCCATTCTGCAAATTTCAGCGAGCATTGTTTAAACATGAAGATATGGTTTCCATTTCAAACGCTGAAAACGTTGGGATAAACTTTACACATATGTCTCTTTTGATGAGTATATTTTACACTTTTTACCCATTTTCTTCTTGCCATTCCATAGTCCTTTTCTGCTCCCATCTGGAAGGGTCTTTTCGGTCTGCTTTCAGAGGGTCAAGTGATCTTCCTTCCACTTGCTTTGTCAGAACATATATATGGAAGAGTAAACTGCCGTTCCTCTTTATTCTGTTAATATTAATATTCTGTAATCAGAAAAGTTATGACTGATGAATAAGTTGTAGGCTTACATAACTTTTTTTCTTTTACTCTTTTTTTTTTCCAAGACAGAGTTTTGCTCTTGTTGCCCAGGCTGGAGTGCAGTGGCGCCATCTTGGCTCACGGCAACCTCTGCCTCCCAGGTTCAAGTGATTCTCCTGCCTCAGTCTCCCGAGTAGCTGAGATTACAGGCGTGTGCCACCAAGCCCGGCTAATTTTGTGTTTTTAGTAGAGATGGGGTTTCTTCATGTTGATCAGGTTGGTCTAAAACACCCCACCTTAGGTGATCCACCCACCTCAGCCTCCCAAAGTGCTGGGATTACAGGCGTGAGCCACTGCGCCCGGCCTATGCTTTTTTTTTTTTTTTTTTTAGTTAGCAGGTTTGTTGTGATAGATCTGAGTTTGAGAACAACACCTTTGAATATGTTTTTTAAGTCAACAAGTTCTTCATTCAGTTACAGGTTCTCTCAATGTTTTGTCTATTTTAAATAGCTCCTTATCTTCGTACTCCATCCCTCCCTAGCTCATTCATTCACTTTATCCGTACATGCTACGCTCTGTGTTAGATCTTGACTTTTCTAAAACAATGGTGGATTTAACCGAACAGGCTAAGTTATGGAAGGAAAAATAATTGCAATGGTTTCTCCTGAAATAAAACAAAACCCTAACATATGGGATGACAGTTTCTGCTCACTTTTTAATTAGGCCGTTTCTGTAGGTATCAGGTTGATGGTTTCCAGCCACAGTGCTCACATCATTTTGATTTTGAGGCCACCCATTTTGCCGTGTGAATCTGGCTGAGCCAAATGGTGCTGAGGCTCCAGGCAGCTGAAGGTTGGATGGCATCTTTTTGTCAGGATGGTAACACCAACATGCTCGCACCACTGCAAACAGCGCTCTCCTCTTACTGAGCTAGAAAAGACAAATCTTGGAAAGGGACTTGAGCCAAGAGGGAAAGAGGGAATGAAAAGCAGTACTAAGAACTGCAATTTGAAGATTAAATATAGAAATGGTATGATTCTTAAATTAGCTTTATAAGTGTTGAATAAGTCCTTAATCTAACTAAGGTGTCGGCTCAAAGTGAATAATGAAAATGATTTTTAAAAACATAGTGGTGTGTGACTGTTGTCCCAGCTACTTGGGAGGCCAATTTGAGAGGATCACTTGAGTCCAGGAACTTGAGTTTACAATGAGCTATGATTATGCCACTGTACTCCAGACTGGGGGATAGAGCAAGTCCCTTTTTAAAAAAAAGAAAAATGATTCTGTATTCTTTTCAGTTTGAAAAAGCCTAAAACTCTGGCACTTTAAAAAATGCTTACAGTTAACAACTGTAGCTCATAATAAGATTTCTTTTTTTTTTTTTTTACTTCAAGCAGTATTTATTGAGTACTTACTAAATGTAAGGCTCTATGCTAAATTGTTCTATCCCTTAAGGAAATAACAAATAACTCTACAGGCACAATAGACAAATATAATAACTTATATTGTGGTATAAATGAAGTGCTCATTATGTTCAGAAAAGTGTCAGTAACTAGGATCAGTAGCAACTGATGTGAAAAAGACATGAAAGAAGAAAAAGACATTTTTGATTAGATGTTGGTAACAAGCAGTGTAACAGTTCTTATACTTTGGTAGCAAATTTAGAGGGAGTCAATGAGTGGGTTTCTCAGTTGGGTTGTCATTTGTCGTTTGTTAGAAATTTATTTCAAATGTTTGTTGTAGCTTTATGGAGTCAACAATATCATTAAAAATGCAGATATCTGAGTGCTTCTCTGTGAACTATTCACTGAAAATTTTAAGGTTCATCAAAAAATCAAAGAACATAATAACTAAAACTCAGTGCATAATAATAACAAAGCTATATGAATTGTCATGGGATTCTTTCTCTTTTTATTATATAGCTGATACTGTGTTGCAAAGGGTTTGCTTTGCTAGGTGAAATGTTAAGCTCTGTGCATTAGCATAGGCTATTGATTTAAAAATCTCAGTGGCTTAACACGGTGAGGAATTTTATTGCTGTTCAGTTTACAGTTTAGAGTGTGTGTGCTTATTACCTTGGGGAAGTAGGTGGTAAGAGGCTGTGCTCCATAGAGTCTTTCAGAGATCCAGGCTTCTTTCTTCTTGTGATGTCACATCTTTATTCAACTAGTGGCCACAAAGTCTTTATGGGAGGGGAAGAAAAAGGAGAATTGCATCTAGGAAATTTTTACGAACTATGCCAACAAGGTAGTGTACACCATTTCTATCAACACTCTATGGCCAATTTTATGCCCCTGACTTAATTGAATGGAGCTGGGAAATTCAGTTAGCTAGAAGAGGAGAAGAAATATGACCATTGATGACCACTAGATCATCTGCTACACCTGGCACTTAATTGAATGCTGGAATTATGTGGTTTTATGCCACTGATCACACTCAAGCCTAGTTTATTAGATGTCTCCAGGGAAACAGAACTAATAGGACACACACACACACACACACACACACACACACGTGAATATATATATATATAAATCATATATATATGAATCTATTCCTAATCTCTCTCTCTGAGACAGATTTATTAGGAATTAATTCATATATTTCTGGGGACTGAGAAATTCCAGGATTTGCCCTCTGCAGGAAAGCCAGTGGTGTAATTCCAGTCTGAGTCTGAAGGCCTGAGAACCAGGGAAGCCAGGGGTGGAAATTCCAATAGAAAGGCAGGAGAAGATGATGTTCTAGCTCAAACAGGCAAGCATGAAGCAAAAAGGGGCAAATTCCTCCTCCTTCCATCGTCTGTTCCATTCAGGTCCTGAGCAGATTGGATGATGCCCACTACATTGGGCAGAGCAGTCTCCTTTTTGAGTCTAACCAATTCAAATGCTTATCCCATCCAGGAACACCCTCACAGATACACCTAGAAATAAATACTGTTTAAATTTGGCATCCTGTGGTGCAGTGAAATTAACATATAAAAGTAACCATCACACCTAGTAAACATAGATACCACAGACACACACACATGCGCACACACACATACACACACAAAATCTCATTGCACTTTCACAACTTCCTAGTGAGTAACATGTTTATAGGAAACTCAGATGCCTGTCCAAAGAGGACAGGGTAGCCTGCCTTCCCACAACTGCACATAAATGCATAAACCTAGACATAAGTTAACATGATTGATGGCCACTGATAAGTTAATAGTTAGCATAAAACCTATGCAAGTGTTTGCGACTTTTTTATTTGAAGTTTTAAAAACTACATTCTTAAAAAATATGTTTTAGAAACTAGAGGTTTATGTTTGAGGAATCCTTGAAGTACTTCACTTTAGGCAATATGTCATCATTTTAAGTGTGTGTGTCTAGGGATCACTACCTTGGACAAATTGCTTAATCTCTCTCTGCCTCAGTTTATTCATCTGTAAAATGATTTTAATAGCACCTACTGTATAGAGATGTTTTTGACTCTTAAAAGAGGCTGTGCATGTAAATACCTCCACTAAATTAGAAGTATGCTTTTTGTTAGAAAAATTAACATAAACAACTTAGAATAGTGCCTTTCATAGAATGAACACTCCGTATAGATGCTGTAATTCTATCATCTTTCATTTTGGATCATGAAAATCTGAACTAAGCTGCGAGAGGACTGTCCAAGTAAGAATACAGGGTGGGTGTGAGGACACAAGCAGGCATGAGGGATAGAGTGATACAAGTGAGGTTTCGGCTCAAGACAACTTCTAGATACTGTGCACCCATATGCCAGCCATTGTCCTGCTTCACCACATGTGTCATTTAATCCACACACTAATTCTGTGAGGTGTGGCTATTAGCATCTCAGGGATGGCTGATGAAGAAACTGAGGCTTAAAGAAGTTGTCATGTGCCCCAAATCATACTCCTAGTTAGTGATGGACCTGAGATAAGGAACCCAGGAGGAGAGGTGCTTTTCATTGTTTTTGGAGTTTATTGAAGATAATAAGGGCAGAGCTGATAGTTATTTTGAGAGGAAGGATGGACAGTGTATAGACTAGTTACCCTCTGAATTTGAAGATAAAAACTGGAAAAAGTGATCCTAAGACATTTAAACTTGCAAAAAAACCCATAAAACTACTAGTGAATAAGTTCAACCACCTGTAGAAATGGCCAACTCTAAGAGGTGGTATCTTTGTCTGTTTGGGCTGCTATTACAAAATGCCTTAGACTGGATAATTTATAAACAAGAGAAATGTATTGCTCACAGTTCTGGAGGCTGGGAAGTCCAAGATCCAGGTGCTGGCAGATTCAGCGTCTCATGAATACTTGTTCTCTGCATCAAAGATGGTGCCTTGTTGCCATGTCCTCACATTGTGGAAGGGCAGGGGAGCTCGTATTACCCCCTTCTATTTTCTTTTTATTGTTCCATCTTCCTCTAGTTGAGTGTCTTTTATAAAGGCACTAATCCCATTCATGAGGGCAGAGTCCTCCTGACTTACTTCCCAAAGGCTATACCTTTTAATAGTATCACATTGGGCATTCATTTTGAACAGGTGAATTTGGGGAATACCAACATTCAGGTGGTATTACATAAATAACAGGTGGTTCATATTTTTTTTTTTTTTTTTTTTGAGACGAAGTTTCGCTCTGTTGCCCAGGCTGGAGCGCAATGGTGTGATCTCGGCTCACTGCAACCTCTGCCTCCCAGGTTCAAGTGATTCTCCTGCCTCAGCCTCCTGAATAGCTGGGATTACAGGCGCTCACCACCACGCCCAGCTAATTTTTGTATATTTAGTAGAGACGGGGTTTCACCATGTTGACCAGGCTGGTCTTCAACTCCTGACCTCAGGTTATCCACCTGCCTTGGCCTCCCAAAGTGCTGGGATTACAGGTGTGAGCCACTGCACCCAGCGTGTAAATCTTTTATGGCTAGAAATGGGGTATCATCCCATAAAAAGTAGAAGAGCTTTCACAGAAAGATCTGACATAACATTTCTGGGGTAACTGTTGTGCTGTCTTGGCAAAAGGTTGAAGCATTGCCAGAAGTGTAGTGATAATCAGGAAAGACAAATACTAGGAATGTATTGGTTTTACCTTTGAAGGAAAAGTAAAGGGATTTGATAACATGAGTGTCCCAGGTCCCTTGGAAGCAGGTGTAGCTTTCTTCTATGGAGATGACTTTGTCCATCTCTGATTACTGATGATGAAAATCATCCCGTGATCCTTTCTCAAGGTGTGGATATTCACTAAGCACTGTGATGGGGCATCTAATTTTCTGATATGGGTGCTGAGGAGAGGTGATACACTAACGTGATGACATCAGTACCTAGTTCCATTAGCATTCACATTGGTCACAAGGAAATTTTCTTAGTGTGGCACATTTCCATAGTCATATCTTCTCTGAGCAAACCAACTGACCTGGCAACTGGTCAACTCTGACCTGGTTAGCCACCAAGTTTTGTCTCACTGGTAGTGTACTACACGAGGCTCTGCTTCAAGCAGCCAATAAGCTTGCCTCTTTGAAGTTCTTCTTTGCAATATAGAGTAGCGTTAATTCAGCAGGTTTCCTTGTTTTAACTTGGTATCAATGAAGTGAGTTAAATTTGACCTATCCCTGAGAAGACTAAGAAGAGCACTCCAAGAAGGGTAGAGAAATCAGTTATTAGGATCATTTATTTTCTGGTTTATGTTCTTTAAAGTACATGTTCTTTGTTGAGAATTAATAGTGAAATATAAAGAAACATTGTTGAAAAGCAAAGAGAACTGTGTGAATCCTTCTCATCAACATATTTATTGGGTGCTTACTGTGTACCAGGTATGAGGCTAAGTACTTCATATGTATTATATTATCTCATTTAATCTTCAAACTGTCTCCGAGAAATAAGCTTGCCATCTCCTTTTTACAGGTGACAAAACTGAGTCTCAGGTTAGAAACTTTGATTGTGTGACTCATGAGTAGTGAATTGGTATTTTGTCTCAAGTTTGTTGAACTCTAAAATCATAATTCTGTCTCCCTAGTATAAAAACATTTATATCCCACTACCCAGAAATAATCATTAACATTTTTGTACATTTTATTTATCTTTTTCTCTTTTCATTTCTGTTTTATAAAATTGGGATCATTTAACAAATAGATATTCCTATCTTGCTTTTTATTCACTTAACATAGGTTGTAAGCATTTGTCATGCCATTGTTTGCACTTAAGCACAAGTTTTTTAAAAAGGCAGATTAATCAATAACTTTTGCCTTTTCTATAACATGAACATCAACAGGAAGCTATTAGGTTTCAAAGGTAAGGTTGATGTGTGGTAGATAATCGACAAGACAGGGGGATTTCCAGAAGGTTGTGATAAGTTAAAAGTCAGCCAGACAGAGTGAAGAAAGAGGTGAGTAAGCAGTTTCAAAGTCTTTACCTGATTTGGGCTTCCTGGTACCCAGGGCCATGTAGGTACAGAGGGAAAGAATGTGGGCAGAGGCAGGCCAAACAAATGTGCAGCTTTTAAAAGATACTCTGAAGCAATCAGCCTGTATTTATGTAACAAAACACTCTGCTTATAGAGGTGCTTGGTGAAAGTATCATACCATGAACATTAACAGTTGATGTCTTGAAGTATTTAATCTTTGTTTTACAAAATGTTAAAGAACAAGCCTTCCATTCAGCGAGTGAATGAATGAGTGCTGGGTTAAGATGAACAAGTGGGTCTGAGCAAATTAGGCAAAACTGGAAGGTTGAGTGCCAGTAACTCAACACAGGCCCAACACAAAAGGTAGCCCAGAGCCAGTGGGGAAACCTAAGTAACACCAGAGAGGCTGAGGAGGACTGAAGTCTCTCTGCAGAGGCCGAAACGAAGTTGGCACAGCAGCAAGCACCTCGGGGACCTGAGGGAGTCTTTGGAATTTCCTGCTTCCTCATCTTACATTGAATGTGCTGCCTGTATTGTGGTGTGCCTGTTTACCTGGGTAGGAACTGATGGGCCACAGCATGGCAAGGACCTGTGCCCATTTGACATTAGCCATAAGTGGAGTCAAATGCCATGGAAATGTGCTTTATCACAATCACAGGGAGCACCTTTGCTTTAAGAAGGCCTTCCTCACCCCACCCCAGCCCCCTTTTAGGTCCTTGCTCTATTCAGGAGCTATGCATTATGTCGTTGGAGAAGATAAATTCCTTCTGCTCTTCCTCCTCATCAGGGCCCTGCCTTTGGGTCTTGTCTCAAACTACTCAGCCTTCAGTTTTGAACAATTGGAGCATGGTAAAGAGGTCTCCTTTTTGCAGCTCATTGGCATCTTCTGAGCAGATGCTTTGGTCTTCTGGAGCCCTTTCTCACTGCCAGTTGAGTTTATTCTTATCTCCAAAACCCTTCTTTACTGTGCTAGCAACTGTTCTGTCCTTCCTTAGGGATCCAAATTGTAAGAGATAAACTCAAAGAAATGTTCTAAATAAAGGCCACATATTTCATTATGAATAGCACAGCAAGCAATAGTGAAAGTCTTGGCAACAGTGTATGCTTCATTGTGATAAGGGACGTAGGGACAGGAACGAATTTTTAGAATGAGTTTTATTCTTTCATGAACATTTAACCAGTGCCATGAATTTGGGTTCTGTGCTAGAAGCTAGAGATAAATCAGTTTAGCAGTGGCTCTTGAGGGATTTAGGCCAGAAGGGTGGAAGGACCAAGTCCATCCGTGATGACACAGGACAGTGTGGAAAGTCCTGTCTCAGAGGTATTCCTGAAGGAGCTGGGAGGTTGTGGGGCATGCTCCATCATTTTGGGGGAAGTAAGCAGTATCAAAAAGACTTCCTGGGAAACATGACACTTAGGCTCTGAGCAGCAAGATGCAGATAGAGACAAATATCTGCATTTGTCTCAGAAGGTCATTTCTGGGCAGATGAAATAACATGAATGTGTGTCTGAAGGTTTGAAATAGCATGATGAATTTGGGGAAATGCAAGAAATTACTGGAGCCGGTGGAAAGAGATGAAGCTAGAGAGGGAGATGACAGCAAGATCACAAAAGGCTTGTGTGTTTGCTAAGGAATATTTTCTTGAAAGCTGTGGGGAATCATGAAAGGGTTTCAGGCAGGGGAATGGCTCACATATCACCCTGGCCCTAGCAGGGAGCATGAAGTCGATTAAGGACAGCCTGGATGTGGGAGGCCAGGCATCTATGTCAGGGGTGGAGGGCCTTGAGAGGGGATCAGTAGAAGAGAAGATCTTGGACCAGGCATGAGGACAACTAGCTGGTAGCTTGCTGGAGCGGGAGGGAGAGGTTTTGGGTCTGGATAAGTTCCCACTTCCCACCACAGGTAAGATGGGAGAGGCTGAAGAAATGATCAGGTCTGAGGGTAAAAGATGAGTTTATCTGTGGACATGTGGAGGGTGAGATGCCGTTGGAGTATCTAGATGGAGCTGTTCAGTAGGCAGATGAATATAAAGTTCTGAGGCTCAGGGGAGAAACTTTAATAGGAGATACAGGTTTGAGAGTCATCCATCTGTCGGTGATGGTTCAAGCCACAGGTAGGAATGAAGTCAGTCAGGGAGAGGACATGGAATTGGAAAGGCAGATGAGCTTGCAGAATATCCCTGCTCAAGGGAAAGCAGAGAAAGAGGGGCCCTTGTAAGATTCTGAGAAGGAACAGCAGGAAGACTGGTCAGCAGTGGGGACTGGTAGTGTGGGAGCCAAGCAACAGAACGACAGAGCAGAGGTCATCACTTTAAACCTTATGGAGGTGACTGATTGCATGGGCTGGAGCTACTGTGCAGATTAATGGATGAAGCGTTGTCATCGGTGAAACTGCCCAGGCATAACCTATAGAAAGGCAGAACCTTGGGAAGCACCATTGTTAAAGGACTGGTGAAAAGAAACTTGAGTAAGAGACTGGGAAGCAACAGGCAGGGAAACAAAGAAATTCTCGAGAGCTTTTATGATGGAACTTAAGGCAGGGCAGCACATTCAGAAGGGCTGTGGTGTAAAATGGGGGCAGAGTAGTCAATAAACGTGCACTGAAAAGTTTCCGTTGGATCTGGCATTTGGGAGGTCATCTGTGACACCAAAGACAGTGTCAAAAGTGGTTCACAGCCCACATTGCTTGTTGTTTTATGCTTTTTCCCTTGACTGTTTTTGAAAGATCAGAGGAAGGCTTGAAACATATCCACAATTACCTTGAGGAAACAGCAGCGATCACTGTTTCCTGCTGGATCTGCCAGTTCTAAGGGATGTGAGCAATTATTCTGGTGGTATGTGTCTTGGACAGCTAACAATGATATAATTAATGGAGGAATTTCATAACACTCTGCTCATAATGTGTACATGTTTGATCAGCGTCTGGCATGGGTGTAAGCCATCCAGGCATTGCTGTTGCCACTACAAGGCAGACCCAGTAGGCAAAAGGTGGGAGTAGCTAGTCACCAATTATCTCCTTCTGGAGTCTGGTCGTTGGCCATGGTTAGGACCAGGGTGGTCTCTGGCCATTTCAGGTATGTTATTCCATGTTAAGTGTTGAGAACCACAGGCAGTTAGTAGTCCCTCCTTCTAAGACTCTACTAATTGCATTTATCTCATTGTGTTTCCAAGTTTATTTCACTTTGGGATTTTTTTTTTTTAATTATAAAAGCAATATATGGTCATTAGAAAAAGTCAATGGAGGCAAGTAAAAGAAAAGTCAACAGACTGCCCTTCCCACTTCCAGACTCTCCCTGCCCTGGTGGAGGGTTGCCAATGTTGGTGTCACACTGTATTGGGCTTATTTTTATGATAACCCTCTCCCCCTCTGTGTTATGAGATCATAGTGGCCAGAGACTGTCCCTCTTGTATTCATCTTTGCCTCCTTACCTTCTGCCACATGGCCTGACATAAATAATCAGGGCCCATCATATATCAGTTGCTTAAATAATCAGATAAATGAAAGAATGAGTGAATGGAGTGATTTTTTAGGCTTTGCCCTTGGGACCATTGTTTCCATCCCTTTCACTGTAATTTTAGAGATAAACTGGATACAAGAGGAGAGCACCATTTTTGTCACTTTTTGATTTGTAGGAATGCTTATTATATGGATGGTGCTGTGTGACAAGGTATGGGGTTTACAGCCCCTTTATCCTGCTAGAGGCACAGATTTATTGAATTATGTAGATAAAGTTAATCTCATTTAGAAACTGGTAGATGACTGGCAGAGAATAAATCAGAGATGATGGGTGTAGCACTTCCATGGAATTATAAGATGTAATATTTGTAATATATTTTAAGTTTTTAAAATGCTTCTTTTAAAGAACTTAAAATGTATTATAAATATCACATCTTTTAATTAGTTCTTATATTACTTCTATACAGTCTAGAAACTTACTACGCACTCTCTGCATGTCAGGCACTGGGATATTATCACAAGTATAGCAGAAGGAAGATTCTTGGCTAAGAGAGGACAAAACACGGTCATATCCCTAGAGACATTCAAACCATGTGGACAAAGCTGCCTCTGTAGGTTTGAAAGGGAAGATAGAGAAAAATATCTTGAAGGTCAGCACAGAGAAAGGGGACATTCAGGAGTGATGGAAGCAAGAATTATTTTTACTTAGATTTTGGATTATGGCCTGTTTTCCTTCACTTCGAGCAGTTGTTTCTCCCAAGTGGGCTCTGGAACCACCTATATAGAATTCTTATTAAAATTGCATTTTTCTACCTCCTAAGGAATATGCAATCCAAATTTCCAGAGCAGGAACCCAGGAGTCTGCATTTTAAGAAATGCATGCAACTTTAAGAAAATTCATGCAACTCTAAATTGCAGCTAGGAGCCATTCATAAAATAGCATGACAGAACCTGAGCATTTCCTGACTGGGTCAAGACCCTAAACAGCATTTAGACCGAAAGGATGTCTTTACATTATGATCTTTTTCAGATAAGTCCGTGGAACAATGGCTTTACTACGTCCAGAAAATTATTTTTGCCCAGTTCAAAATTCAAGCATCTATTATAATGACCTGGATTACCAGGCCATTGTGACACCAACATTGGCATCCTTCTGCCAGGGTAGGGAGAGTCTGGAAATAGGAGGGGCAGGTTGTTGACTTTTCCTTTACTTGTTTCTATTGACTTTTTATAATGACTATATATTGCTTTATAATTAAAAAAAAATCCCAGAATGAAATAGACTTGGAAACACAATGGGATAAATGCAATATTATAATCTTAGAGCGAGGGAACACTGTCTGTCTGTGGTCCTCAACACTTAACATGGAATAACAGGCTTGAAGTGGCCAGAGCCCATGCTGGTCACAACCATAGCCAATGACCAAGAGAAAACTGGTGACTGGTTACTTCCACCTCAGCAAAAGCTAACATTCCACCTTCTCTCTCCCTTTCACCCTAAGTTTGGATGACAGTGCCTATGAGAATTGCTTTAGGACATAGAAATTGATCCAGTATCCCACAGTATATCATTTTCAGAGTGAGATTCAGCTGAAACACACTATATATTTTATTCTGATTCTCAGTCTTGAATTTTCTATAATTTGTAAGACAGTACTGGTTCTGCAAAATTTTCTCATAACAGTACGTCATAAGCACCACTCATTATAATTCTAAAAAAGGACTAAAACATTCATTCAATGGCAGAGCCAGAAGAATATATGTGCATGCTTCATTGATGAATACTTTGAAGGGGATAATACCAATTTCAATGTGTAAGTTCTGATATGTTTCCTTTTATGAAGTTTAAATGTATTAGAAATATTTTACCTTTTCATCTGTAAGTTGACAACTTATAATTTTTAAGCTCTTAAGCTCTTTACAGTATTTCTTTGAAAAATGTGAACATGTTTTTGAATTCTTTTTAGAATGCTTTTTGTACTCCATTTTCTGGTTTAATCTTTTTTAAAGGGTTACTTTTGAAAAGATGTACTTGTATTATAGTAGAAGGATTTTTTTTAAGATCAATTTTATTTCAAAATGAGAAGGCAGTTAAATTAGATCCAAACAGTCCTGCTTTTCATCCATTTCCCACCACCTCCTTTCCCCATCCGCAACTAAACAAAACAGCTTTCCCTTGTCACATTGCTATTGTTACTTCCCATTGGAGGCAGTTTAACAAAGCCTTCAGTGCAGGCTCTAAAGGTTGGATCTGCTTCAATGTAAGAGCAGAAATAGCTTTATTATGGGGGTGAAGTGTGGATGGGAGCCATGAGTAATTGTCAGATACCACACTAAAATGGGCAGGGCAACATGGACGGAGCTGGAGGCCACTATCCTACGGGAATTAACGCAGGAACAGAAACCCAGATAATGCAGGTTCTCACTTATAAGTGGGCGCTAAACACTGAGAACACATGGACACAGAAGGGAACGACAGACACTGGGGCCGCTTTTAGGGTGACGGGTGAGAGAAGGGTTGAGGATTGAAAAACTGCCTATTGGGTATTATTATGCTGATTACCTGGTACACCAGATTCCTGTGACACACAATTTACCCATGTAACAAATTTGCATGTGTACCTTTTGAACCTAAAATAGAAGTTAAAAAAAAATAAAATAAAATGGCCAGGTCCTCATTGGCAGTGGTTCTCAACTGCATGTTAGATTCACCTACCTGCATGTAGGTGTTGTTGTTAATGTCCTTGAACAATGCCCGAGTCCTACCCCAGGCTGACTTTTCCAATTCTCAGGGGACGGTGGTCCCAGGTGATTTTGATCTCAGCCAGAGCTGAGAACCACTAAAGTTAAATCCCTCAGTGTTTTTTAGAGGTTGCCATTAGACCTCCTTTATCTGAATCTCCAAGAGTGCTGGGTTAAAGTGTAAATTCCTTCTCGTCATCCTAGATCTGCTGAATCAGTCGCTGGGAGTGGGACCAGACCATTCTTTAAGCGGGTCAGATGATTCTTTTGTGCTCTGAAGTTTGAGAATCCCCAGCCTCTGGGATAACCAGTGGTTATATTAAACCTGGATTAGGGATGTGCTTTGGAAAACAGTGGTGAGACTATTGAGAATCAGTGTTCTAGCTAGTTTATCTGGGCCAAAGGGCTTCTCCTGCCCTTCTGGAAAAGTGTGTTCACTCCTGGCCCTGCACCCTCCTCTCACCTTCTCTGTGTGTTACCCAGAGAAGGTTTTTTGGGTCTGAATGACTCATTCAGCCTGTGGCTGAGTCTCTAATTGACAAACACTATAGTTCGGGCGTGTGAGAGGAGAACACATAGTAGGATGTCTGTCCCAGCTGACAAGAATCATAGATCCTATTTGGAAAGATAAGTGTTGCTTAGAAAGGCAGCACAGAGGGATGGAAGCTGGTAGCATTGAATTCATGCCGAAAGAGTGAGCCTGACCATAGAGGCTTATTTGCTGTTCAGGGGAGGAAAAGATTCCCATGGCCTAAGGAAGGTGGAGAAGACTTCAGAGAAAGTTAAAGACTTCATTTCTGGATCAAAGCATTCATCCATTGGAAGACTCCATTTCTCTAGAGAATTCTGGTATGAACATACCAGTAGTTGTAATTTTGGCCATATTAAATGGGAATGATTAAAATGAGCTGTAATGTTGAGTGAAAGATATGTATCAGATGAATACAACTTTTTTCCCCTCATTTTTGATATTTGATTGCTGTCTTCTTGAAGTAGCCATTAACCTGAATCGTGTGTGTGTGTGTGTGTGTGTGTGTGTGTGTGTGTGTGTATGTTTATGTATATAGTTTTGGAAGAAGAGTAAGTAAAAAGTGCCAAACTGTCCACATTTTTTTCTGCACATTATCCCATATGAAACCTCACATTTAATATTCTGGAATTCACCTTTACTTTGTGTGTGTGTGAATCAGCATCTTGTACCCCAGGACATGTTTGTGTTTATTTAAGCCAACTCCGTGTGGGAGGAAAAGCTGAGGTATAAGGGTTATTTTGGTAATTGTGGCTTTAGGTGAAAACCTTTTTGATTAGGAAAAATTTCTGCCAGCGCAAGTACCAAGAATTGTGCAAAATAAAATTTTACAAAGGCCGTCTCTCTTTCCTGCCTCCCCTTCTGTACCATCAGGAGACCCATGCCGCTCAGCCTGTGTATGCTCTGGAAAGGCTGCTTGGAATTATGGCTTTGTCTACAAGGCTGGCTGCCTCCTCAGTGAGTCTGTGGTGGTTGGAATAATATGATAAATGGGATGCATTTGAAAAAAATTCTCCATTTAACATTTTTTTCCCCCTGCACACCCGGAACAACAGCTGTGGTAGCAAATGCAGACTTGGCTCATGGATTCATATTTAGTCTTGTTTGACAATTCCAGATATTTTTAAGCAGGATTGAGTCAGGCAGCCCACAGCACGGCATTCAAACTGTCTTAATCAGCCAGCCTGTTTGGCACACAAGGACTTTGTTTTATCCTAGTAGTAAATAATTCTAAATCAAGCAATATGATGTACTGAATGTACCCAAAGTCACAGCATTCAGTATTTTACTACAGCCTGTCAGCATCTCTTTTTACATGCTTGTTCTGTTCACTGCTAGTTGTTTTATTCATTATAGCTTTTGAATTCCATTCTTGGCCAGGTCTGGATTCATGGTTTTCATACATAATAGGATCCTATGTTTTCTGCCCTGTGGCCCTTCCTCCCTGCCCTCCTCCCTTTACATAGCATTGCCAAGTAGATGCAGTGTTCATTTTTGCCCAGAAGGGTTTCCTATTGTGACACCTCATTTCCTTCTTAGGATCATGGGATTTTGTCGTTTGCCTCTTCTGTGGATGAGTGAATCTCATCCCAAGAGCCTGTTTTCGATGTATGGGGTTTCTTACACTGTTCCAGGTCTTCCGCTCCCGGGCTCTTCTTCATCTCTCCACGTAGATAGGTCTCTGAAGTCTTTATGTTCAAGCCCTCCCTTCAGCTCTGTGGCTGTCCTTGCTGCCTTCTGAAGAAGGACTTTGTTTGTCTTGTCTACCTCTCTGCTAGCTCCTCAGATTTTCCAGATAAGTCAAACCCGAAAACATCAGAATGAACTTTCCCTTGACCTTGGTATTCTCCTCAAGCTATTCACCCTTTTTCTCTTCTGGTTGCCAGGCTTTTTGAAGGTATACTCTACCCCATGTTCTCAGATGTGGAGATTTAACAGAACAGTGTAATTTTTTTAATGGGATCTGACACAGGATTGCTAACTATTTTGATAATAAAAATATATCACCGTCATTTAGTAAAAGACAAAGATTTCAACCCACTAGTCAGGATATAATCTCAGATTAAACAACAGTCCTTTTAAGTAAATAAATTCAGCTTTATTATCAGAAAACCTTTCTCTCCACTTCTTTCATTTTGCCAACTGTGAATACTGTGTCTCCGACTAGAATTTGACAACAACTGTGCATGCTCACTCTGTCTGCCTCCTCTTTATCTACTGCCTTCTCAATCTTTGTAAAAATAGTTTGGCGTTCCCTCAAACCACTCTGCCCTTGTCCTCTCAAAGATGACCACGGATTCCTGACAGCCAGGCCCACGTCTGTCTTACCTGTTGTGTTGCCACAATGATCCCCCCTCTGGGTGACTCTCTGCTCTTTTGACTTCTGGGACTACTCCGCAGTTCTCTTCCCCTCTGCCTCCTGGGTCTCCACAGAAGCCTGTGTCTTGTTCCCCTCCTCATAACAGCAGGTTCACTTCCCGGCAAACTTGCTTCCTCTCTCCCCACACTGCTCATCCACCCCCATCTCTGTGTAAAATGAGTACCAAATGGTATCTTGGAACCTCAGGCTTTGTTTCTGACTCCTCATTTTGTCTCTCCATATGCATTCCTCCAGCATTTTTGACTCCTGCAATGTATCTGGAGCTGATCAAATCTGACTTCAGACCCTCAACCGCTACTTTGCAGTCTTCCTCGGCCACGAGGCAGATGGCTGGAATTTCAGAGCCCTGCTCTTTCACATGTCAGCAGAATGACCTTGGACAATTTATTTAATGTTTCCAAGCCTGCTTCTGCATCTGTTAATGGGACTCCTGCTATCTATCTCAATACTTGTGGCAAAGATTAGAGAGAATGCATGCAAAGTGCCAGTCATGATACCCGGTACATAACAGGCCCTCAAAAATGGCAGCTCTTCTTGTGTGGAGTTATATAGTCAAAGAGGGCTTGGAGGGAAGTAATTCATTCCCCTTTGCACTTTTCCTGATCTGAGCCTGTCCTCTGCTGTTTCTCCCAGTGCCTAGGACTTACCACTTATGTCTAAAGTGGCAGTGACACCAGCTGTCAGGTGACTAATTTTAACAAAGCCTTCTTTGAGCAATCGATAGTTGGAAAGCAATTCCAGATTTTCATTGGAAATAGAAATATTGTGCTTAAAAAATATAAAGTGTCCATATGGCTGAAAGGAGGCGATTGCGTGTGCACTCTTGATACCATGGCAGCCAGCTGGAGCACAGGCGCCAGCTCAGCATCGGCCAGGATGAGCCATAGTGCACATTTTCTTAGCAGGAGTTGATGTAGCATTTTGAGAATTCAGTGTGCTAACAAGAATATTAATCTGCTGTAATAATTCCTCTCCTCTCATAGTAGAGGACAGTGTTGTATGGGAAGAAGATCAAGTTCTATGTAATCTTGCTTTTGCATTATCCATAGCACTTTAATATTGGTAAATATAGAAGGTGATCAGTACAGATGTTAATAGTTTACATGAGAAGCATGAGAAGGAAAACCTAAGTGGGCTTACCTGTAGGTCACATCTTATATATTTTCTCCTTAAACACTCAAAACACAAACGTAATTAGACTCAAATGGGGAAATTGTTTATCTTGAGCAAGTCCCAAGGTGACGTAAAGAATGTCTGTGCAGAAGGTTGTTAGTCTTTGATATCTACATGCAATTGCTGATTCCTGTTAGGGTTCCCTCTGCCTCTGGACCTCTTGATGGGACAGTTCGTGGAGTAGTTTTATTATTGAGGGTACTATTTGTTTATGCCATATTATTTTTTGTTTGTCTCTGATTTGTTTTAACATCAGCGATGTGGCAGTGAGGGTACTGTCTTCAAATTCTTGATTGCTTATGCAGTTACATGTTTTTTAAATCTAATATTAGATACTAATGACAGAGAACTTACTTAATGACTCAGTCTTTCTTTTTTTTTTTGAGACAGAGTCTTGCTTTGCCACCAGGCTGGAGTACAGTGGTGTGATCTCGGCTCACTGCAACCTCTACCTCCCAGGATCACGTGATTCTTTTGCCTCAGCCTCCTGAGTAGCTGGGATTACAGGCACGCGCCACCATGCCCAGCTAATTTTTGTATTTTTAGTAGAGATGGGGTTTCACCATGTTGGCCAGGATGCTTTCGACCTCCTGACATTGTGATTCACCTGCTTCAGCCTCCCAAAGTGCTGGGATTACAGGCATGAACCACTGCGCCTGGCTAAGACTCAGTTCTTTCTATATTGACAGAGGTCTTGATATTTCCTTCCTCTGGTTTGAGTGTGTCCAGGTTGAGAGGAGACCAAGAAAGCATATGCCCCAGGCCTTACCAGTTGGTATGAAAAGTGACCCACATGTAAAAACCATCCTGGGCCACTTGGGGAAGGTTGCCTTCCTCTCCCTTCTTATAATCCTGTACATTTGCATACTTTACCAAGTTATAAAGTACATTCTCACTTTACCTCTCAGTAGACTTGTGAGGTGGAGGAGACAGAGATTCCAGATCCCTTTCACAAGGAAACAGAAGCCCAAAGTGGTTGAAGTTTGACTGTATTTAATGAAGATGCTGGCTGTGGAGTCAGTCTTGATTCCAGTCCCTGTGGGGTTAGTCAGTACGTGTTGTTGAATGCCTGCCAAGGCCCCACACTGTGGCGATGGTGGGGCACAATAGAGAACGATATAGGTCTGGTTCCTGACCTAGTGGAGGATACAGCTAGTGGGAAAGTTATTGAATAGATTTTATGGATAATCACTGCTGAGAAAAACGCTTCAAACAAGGAGTATTGGGCACTGTGGAAGGCCTCATTATTTGGGGGGGATTCATGGAAGATTTAACTGAAAATGTAAGATACTATGTTGCCTTTTTATTAGTGCTACATTAAGTAAGAAATAATTATGAAACATTTTAACATTGTGTACTGAAATACTGTTTGTAATCCAAAATTGATAAAGATTATTCATACTAAAGAATTAAATAGGGTTAGATTTTTAAAGTTTTTGTTACTTTGATTTTTTAAATTATGTATCTTGAAAATGAATCTTAGTTTGGCCAGTTTAATCTGAAGAATTAGGTAAAGAAAAAATTTAAATCTACCCTAAGTCAGATCAGATGATGCACTTCCTCTCTGGTTCCCTTAGACTGAGCTGCTGAAGATTCAGAGACAGCGTTATCCTTGGCTTTGGCAGGTGGCACGCGTCTCTTCACCCTAACTTGTTATTTTCAGAGGCAAGATGTCTTGGTGGTCAAGATCGTGGGTCAGGACTGAGATGGCATAGGGCCAAATCCTGGCCTTCCCACTTACCAGCTGTGTAAACTTGGACGAGTCCCTTACCCATTGGGTGCCTCAGTTTGCTGATTCGGAGAATGGAGATGATAGTAATAGTACCTCCTTAACGTTTTTGTGAAGGTTTAAATGAGTTCATTTGTGCAAAGTGTTGAGAATTGTGCCTCACACTTAGTAGGCGCTCAGTAAAGTTCTGCCGCTGCAGTTTTATGATCAGGGTGGTAAAGGGCCCTCTGAGTGCAGTGAGGCTGGAACCAGGAGAAAGAAATTGGTCTATGCCTGGGCCGAATCCAGGACTGTAGTAATGTTTATATTGCTAAACTATAGATTTCATGTTTTTATTTCTAAAGTATGACTATAAATCTCACTAATTGAAAGCAATTCTAATTCAGAAATAATGATAGCTTAGAGTGGGGTCAGAATTAAAGGTTAGCTTAAGAAAGTTGTAGGAAAAAGATTAATTTTACAATCATTCTTAGACATTTTATAAATATCAAATTTTATGCTTTTATTCTTGATGTATGTAGAACAAGCCCAATTTGAATTAATGAAAAGTATGATTAATTTATTTTTATTTTTATTATTTTTTTTAACCAGGAGTGGTGGCACACGCCTGTAATCCCAAACACTTTAGGAGGCTTAGGCAGGAGGATTGCTTGAGCCCAGGAGTTTGAGACCAGCCAGGGCAAGATAGTGAGACCCTGTCTCTACAAAACATTTTAAAATTAGCTGGGCGTGGTGGCGTGCACCTGTAGTCGCAGCTAGTTGGGGGCTGAGGTGGGAGGATTATTGGAGCCTCGAGATCAAGGCTGCAGTGAGCCAAGATTGCGCCACTGCATTCTAGCCTGGGCAACAAAACGAGACCCTGTCTTACCAAAAAAAAAAAAAAAATTTTTTTGTTTCACCTTATGTAAAAGCTTGAACTGAGTGTTGGTACGTAGTAATTTTGGGTTACATTCCTTAATGAGTAGATGAAAATCTCATTAGTAGTACTAAGTATTAGTATACTAACTATATAATAATAAGTATTTCTAGTACTTTAAGGTACATAGATGGTTATTTAGGGTTTAATCATTATTGCTTCTCAAATAGTTAAAACTAGCAAAAACCCTCTAAATGTTATTTCTATTGGTAATGCTACTCTTTTTTTTTTTTTTTTGAGACGGAGTTTCACTCTGTGCCTTAGGCTGGAGTACAGTGGCCTGATCTTGGCTCACGGCAACCTCTGCCTCCCGCGTTTAAGCGATTCTCCTGCCTCAGCTTCCCGAGAAGTAGCTGGGATTACAGGCATGCACCACGATGCCCAGCTAATTTTTGTATTTTTAGTAGAGATGGGGTTTCCCCATGTTGGCCCAGGCTGGTCTCGAACTCCTGACCTCAAGTGATCTGCCTGCCTTGGCATCCCAAAGTGCAGGTATTACAGACGTGAGCCACTGTGCCCAGCCAATATGATGCTACTCTTCAAATTATTTGGCCTTGAATGGAAAACAGCGGTCATCTCTTTTGATCCCCTCACGTAGTGTTCTAGTGTGCCGTTTATTTTACTCCCCTTTATCCTGCTTAGATTGTAAGTTGGAGGTGTGAGTATCATCTTTTTTATAGGAGAGGGAACTCCTTGTCTAGCAGATTAATTGTAAACAGATCAAGCTGGCATATGGTAATCTGCTATCAAGAGATCTTTCCAGCCTTCTCTCCAGATACTCTCATTTTGATAACCTGTTGTTCAGGCAGACTGTACCATCATTCCCTAGGGATCACCCTCTCATCACTGTGCATCAAATATCACATTCATGCCTGTGCTTCTCCTTTGCTCTTATTTATTTGATTCAAAGCATAGCAGGGTCCTTCTTTGTCTAGCTTCCTCCCTTCTCAACTCCTGCAGCACTTACATTATGATATACTAGCATTATTTAAAAATACTTGTCAATGATCTATTTTACAGGTAAGGAAATTGAGGCACAGATAAGTAGTTTACCCAGGGGCGCAAACCTAATAAGTGCAGAAAACTGGTGCAGATATTGCTCTTATGGCTGTTCGGATTTGATGGAGGACAAATTGAATAGAGAGAGAGACCATTTAAGAGGCTATTGTCATCATCTGGTAGATTGAGGCCTGAACCAGGTTGATAATAATAGGAGTGGACAGAAAAAGATGGACAGGAAAAATAATTAGAGAATACCAAAAGGATTTGGAAATTGGTCATGAGTGTCAAAGAGGGGGATGGTGGGGTCTGGGGGAAATACTCAAATTACAGTTTTTAATGGGGTATTGTGGTCAGGCTAGACCTCATTGAGAAGATTTTTTTTTCTTCATACATTTAGTTTTAAACCTCACATTTGTCCCCAGCAGAACATTTGGGAATCAATTAAAAGTGATTTCAGCTGGGAATAACCTGCAAGCTGTATAGTATCTCTTGTAAGAGATGTGGCACTAAGCGGTTTTCTTAGTGGTACAATAGAGATACTGTATACCACATGAAATAACAATGTTCTGATACAGTCTTTGTTGCATATAGTTTCTCATCCATTCCTTCAGGACCTATGGACTGCGTACAATATGCTTGATACTGTGTGGGCTCTGGAGAAACTGCAAGTGACAAGGTCACCATGGTCTCTCTTCCCAGAGACCTTAGAGTTTAGTAAGGGAGATTTACCATCATCAAACAATTAATTAATTAAAACTGTAACAGATCTTACAAAGGTGAAGCCCAAGGAACTTGAGAGCTGGAGAACCCAATCTAATCTTGGAATTCAAGGAAAGTGCCCCTGAGGATTTAACATGTTAGCTGAGTATTTCAGGGTAAGCAACTTGCTTAAAGCAAACCAGCAATCAAGACTCTTTAACCCACACTATTGCCTTTCTTGTCTAAAGTTTTTATTTTACAGGCAAATACATTCAAAGGGTCAAGCTAAGGACATGGATGTGATGGAAAGAAGTGGTGTTGGGAGTCAGGAGACTTGCGTTCTGTTTACTGTCTGCTACTTTGTGCATACAAGCAATTTAGCCTGGAGAGAGAATTTACCTTCCTGTAAACCGGACCTCTAGGTCTGCTATGTCTGGACTTAGTCCAGCTGTGTTCTCTGGCAATTGTTTTTGTTATCCTCTGATCGCTGAATTCCAGACCAGCTCGACCAGAATTTCTTACAGCCACCATTCATGTGATTTCTCGGTTGGCCCATCTTCTCAGGTCTCAGTGATGCTTCTGTTACTCTGAGTAATATTAAAGCCTTCTACCTAACAGACATACCTTTCGTCTTTTCCCTGTGCTTCTTTGAGTTTTGTTTTTCGTTGATAGAGTAGTAAGCCACTGTAAAATTTATATTTTAATGTGTGGCTTCATCCTCTTCCTCAGTACTTGTGAGACACCTCTTTTCAAATTTTTCTTTCTCATTGCTGTAATTTATTAGGAGGTATCTTTTTTAGTTTTATCTTTAATGGACACATAATTGTACATATTTATGAAGTGCAGTGTTTTTGATACATTTATACAGTGCATAGTGATCAAATCAGGGTAGTTAGCATATTTGTGACCTCAACATTTATAATTTCTTTGTGGTGAGATTGTTCAAAATCTTCTCTTTTAGTTATTTTGAATTTAATAGATTATTGTTTATTCTAGTTACCATGCATACTGTGGAATGGAACACTAGAACTTATTCCTCTTATCTTACTGTAACTTTATACCTGTCAACTTTTTTCCCATCCCCTCCACCCCACTACCCTTCCTAGGCTCTCTTAATCACTATTCAACTTGCTACTTCTATGAGATCAACTTCTTTAGGTTACACATATGAGTGAGATTATGTGATATTTGTCTTTCTGAGTCTGACTTATTTCACTTAAATAATGTCCTCCAGGCTCATCTATGTTGTCTCAAATGACATTGATTTCATTCTTTTTTTATGGCTGAATAGTACATTGTGTGAAATATACACATTTTCTTTATCCATTCATCTGTTGAGGGACACTTAGGTTGATTCCGTGTCTTGACTCTTGTGAATAATGCTGTGATAAACATGGGAGTGCAGATATATCTTTGATATGCTAATTTCATATCCTTTAGATATGTATCTGGTAGTGGGATTGCTGGATCATATGGTAGTTCCATTTTGAATTTTTTGAGGAACCGCCGTAGTTTTTCATAATGGCTGTACTCATTTAGATTCCCATCAGCAGTGTGTAAGAGGTTCCTTTTCTCTGCATCCTTGCCGGTATTTGTTGTTTTTTGTCTTTTTGATAATAGCTATAATAACTGGGGTGAGATGATATCTCATTGTGGTTTTGATTTGCATTTCCCTTGTGATTGGTAATGCTGGGCATTTTTTTCGTGTACTTGTTAGCCATTTGTATGTCTTCTTTTGAGAAATGTCATTCAGATCAGATCTTATGTTCATTTTTAAAAATCAAATTTTTCTTTTTTGCTGTTGAGTTTTTTCTGTATTCTGGATATTAACAATCCCTTGTCAGATGCGTAGTTTGCAAATATTTTCTGTCATTTTGTAGGTCGTCTCTTTATTCTGTTGAGTCTTCCCTTTGTTGTGAAGAAGCTTTTAAGTTTGATAAAATCCCATCTGTTTGTTTTGTTTTGTTTTGTTTCGTTTTTTGAGACGGACTTTTGCTCTTGTTGCCCAGGCTTGGGTGCAGTATCGTGATCTCAGCTCACTGCAACCTCTGCCTCCCAGGTTCAAGCGATTCTCCCGCCTCAACCTCCTGAGTAGCCGGGATTACAGGCAAGTGCCACCATGCCCAGCTAATTTTTGTATTTTTAGTGGAGACGGGGTTTTGCCATGTTAGCCAGGCTGGTCTCGAACTCCTGAACTCAGGTGATCGGCCCGCCTTGGCTTCCCAAAGTGCTGGGATTACAGGTATGAGCTACCGCCCCTGGCCTGTTTTTTGCTTTTGTTGCCTGTGTTTTTGAGGTCTTGTCCAAAGAAATCCTTGCCCAGACCAATGCCATGAAGCATTTCTCCTGTTTTCCTTTGGTAGTTGTATAGTTTCAGGTCTTACATTTAAGGCTTTAACCCATTTTGAGTCAATTTTTATATATGGTGAGAGATAGGGATCTCGTTTCATTCTTCTGCATGTGGATATCCGGTTTTTCCAGCGCACCTAATGTGTGTTTTTGGCACCTTTGTTGAAAATCAGTTGGCTGTAAATGAGTGGATTTATTTCTGTTTTTTAAAAAAAATTTTTATTTCCGTAGGTTTTTGGGGAACAGGTGGTATTTGGTTACATAAGTTCTTCAGTGGTGATTTGTGAGATTTTGGTTCAACCATCAACCAAGCAGTATACACTGAACCCAATTTGTAGTGAGTGGATTTATTTCTGGGTTCTCTATTCTATTTCACTGGTCTATGTATCAGTTTCTATGCTAGTACCATACTGTTTTGGTTACTATTGCTTTGTAGTATGGTAATTTACATTTTCACTAACAGTGTATAATAATTTCCTTTTTTTTGTATCCTTTTGAAGTCAGGTAGTATGTTGCTTCCAGCTTTGTTCTTTTTCTTTAGCATTACTTTGGCTTTTTGGGGTCTTTTGTGGTTCTGTAAGAATTAGAGGATTGTTTTTTCTATTTCTATGAAGAATATCAGTGGTATTTTGACAGCAATTGCATTGAATCTATAGATTGCTTTGGGTAGTATAGACACTTTTAACAATTTTCTTTTCTCTTTTTTTTTTTTTTTTTTTTTGGAGACAGAGTCTTGCTCTGTCATTCAAGCCGGAGTTCAGTGGTACATTCTTGGATCACTGCAACCTTGGCCTCCCACGTTCAAGCAATTCTCTTGCCTCGGCCTCCAGAGTAGGTAGGATTACAGGCATGCACCGCTGCACCTGGCTAATTTTTGTATTTTTAGTAGAGATGGAGTTTCACCATGTTGGCCAATCTGGTCTCGAAATCCTGACCTCAAGTGATCTGCCTGCTTCGACCTCCCAAAGTGCTGGGATTGCAAGTGTAAGCCACCATGCCTGGCCACAATGTTAATTCTTCTAACCCATAAGCACAGTATATCTTTCCATTTATTTATATCCTCTTCAATTTTTTTCATCAGTGTTTTATAGTTTTCATTGTAGAGATTTTTTACCTATTTGGTTAAATTTATTCTTAGGCATTTTATTTTTTGTAGCTATTATAAATGGGATTGATTTTTAAAAATTTCTTTTTTAGGTAGTTCACCATTGGTGTATAGAAGTGCTACCGATTTTTCTTTTTTTTTTTTTTTTAATTGAGACAGAGTCTCACTCTGTTGCCCAGGCTACTGTGCAGTGGTGCGATCTGGGCTCGCTACAAGCTCCGCCTCCTGGGTTCATGCCATTCTCCTGCCTCAGCCTCCCGAATAGCTGGGACCACAGGTATCCGCCACCACGCCCGGCTAATTTTTTTTTTTTTTGTATTTTTAGTGGAGACAGGGTTTCACTGCGCTAGCCAGGATGGTTTTGATCTCCTGACCCCGTGATCTGCCCGCCTCAGCCTCCCAAAGCGCTGGGACCACAGGCGCGAGCCACCATGCCCGGCCGGGAAATGCTACTGATTTTTCTATGTTGAATTTGTATCCTGTAAGTTTATTGAGTTTATTTACTAGTTCTCATGGGTTTTTTATGGAGTCTTTAGGGTTTTCTATATGTAAAATTATGTCATCTACAAACAAGGACAATTTAGCTTCTGCTTTTCCAGTATGGATGCCCTTTATTCCTTTCTCTTGCCTAATCTCTCTGGGCAGGACTTTCTTGTCTTGTCTAGATCTTACGAAAAAAGCTTTCAACTTTTCTTCATTCCATATGATGTTCATTGTGGGTTTGTCATAAGTGGCCTTTATTGTGCTGAGATAATGAGGCATCTCTTTTCTCAGCCTTATAGACTGCTCCTCAGAACCAGAAATAGTGACAAGAAGAGAGACTACCATGGAGTATTCAGGCTGACCAGCACTTTTCAGACCATGGCAAGCCAATGGCATGGCGCGGCCTTGCTTGCCTGAACAGTGATGCTCATCCTGTGATGAATTTGCTTGTTTATTCTTAAGCATGGCAATGCCATGACTTGAACATGGGAGGGCCAGCACTCAGTGAAATAGACCTGTAGTGGTGGGTGAGTCACTTCATCTCTCTGAGCCTTAGTGTCCATTTTGTATAATGAAAGTTAAAATATTTTGAGGAGATTAAATAAGATAATGTTTATAAAAGGGCTACAGCCGAATTTGTACTAAGGGTCCACAAATGTTCGTGAGTTTTAAAAATCTATTCCAGATTCAACTATAGATTTGACAGCTATATATATATGATATATATATAATATTAGTGAAAAACAAACACTATGGTCCTACTTTCACAAATAAGCTATTATATTTATGCTATTACTTTCATAAATAAGCGATTATATTTATATAAACTAGGACCATAGTGTTTGTTTTTCACTACCTCATTTGACCATGCAAGGCAGAAAATAGTGTGAGGAAAATGTTAGCATAGATCCAAATGTTTTACACTTTTAAATTTGAACTAAAATCTTTCATGTAGCATCTGATTATTGTGAGGTTGTTGGAGCAAGACATCCATTTTTTCTTTAATTCTCCCTTTTCCCTATCACCCACAATTTAGAAATATTAAGTATGTTTTGGCTCAGATTGAATGAGTCAGACTGGTGGAAGAAACAGCAAGAACCAGGAGAAATCTTTCTATTTTAGCCATTCTCAATGTTAATATGTCCAAAATAAATGAATTTTTGAAGTTAAATGCTGCAGACTAACCTTTTAAAGGCCTAAAAGCTATAATCTCAAGTTTTCTATCAAGAAAGGAATTTAAAATAGCAACTTTGGTCTTTTAAAAATCACAGTATTTAAAGGCCAGTAAATATGGGGGAAAATGTTCAGCTGCAATAGTCATAAAAAGAATACAAAATAAAATGTTGCCATACTATTTTAGCAATACAATTGGCATTTTTTAAAATGTAAAAGAAAGAAAAGAGGAGGAGAGATGTTGAATACGGCATCTTGTACAGGCTGATGAAAGTATAAGTGGGCATAAGTTGCTGCTCGCAAAAGCAATTTAACAATATTTTTCAAGCTCTGTAGAGATGTTAATGCCTTTGACACAGTAATTCTACTTCTGGGAACATAGCCTAAGGAAATAATCAGGAATGCACATACATATAACATCAGGAACTTTGAAACAACCTAAATGCCCAACAATGGAGGATTGATTAAATGAAATATGAAAATATATACAATGTGCTTTTCTGCCATTAAGAACAGCAAACTACTTGGAGAAATAATGATAAGAGAAAAAAGCTTGTAAAGTAATGTAAGGTGCAAAAAACAAATTATCATGAACTTAGTATTGTGAAATATAATCTATTTATACACATATTCTGTGTGTATATGTGTGTGCACACGTGTGTGTGTGACAAGTAAAAAAAAAAATCACAATAAAAGATTACCTCTAGGTGATGAGAGTGTTGGTGGTGTTTATTTTCTTCTTTGTATATTTTACAAATATTTATGTTTGTAATCAGGAAAAAAATCGTAATTTAAAAGTGCACTACTTTGGAATACCTGGTACTGATACCACCACATGAAAATATAAGGAAAAGAAAGTCTAAAGGTAATTACAACAGAATGCCATCAGTGCTTTTGATAGAGTGATGGGACTTGATGGTGGTAGTGGCGGTTTTTGTTATTTTATTATTTAAATGATTTGTTAAATAATTGTACATATGTATGGGTACATAGTGATGCTTTGATACATATAATGTACTGTGTAATTACAAGGTAATTAGCATACTCATCTAAAGCATTTATCATTTCTTTGTGTTAGGAACTTTCTATATCCTCCTTTCACCCATTTGAAACTATATATTATTGTTAACTGTAGTCATCTTACAGTGCTATACAACAGCAGTTCTCAACTTTTTTTGGCACCACGGACCGGTTTTGTGGAAGACAGTTGTATTAGTCCATTTTCACACTGCTGGTAAAGACATATCCGAGACTGGGCAATTTAAGACAGAAGGGGGTTTAATTTGACTCACAGTTCCATCTGACTAGGGAGGCCTCACAATCATGGTGGAAGACAAGGGGGAGCAAGTCACATCTTATGTGGATGGTGGCAGGCAAAGAGAGCTTGTGCAGGGAAACTCCCCCTTATAATAACTATCAGATCTTGTGAGACTTACTTACTGTCATGAGAACAGCTCAGAAAGACCTGCCCCCATGATTCAGTTACCTCCTACCGGGTCCCTCCCACAACACATGGGAATTCAAGATGAGATTTGGATGGGGACACAGCCAAACCATATCATTCTGCCCCTGGCCCCTCCCAAATCTCATGTCCTCACATTTCAAAACCAATCATGCCTTCCCAACAATCCCCCAAACTCTTAACTCATTTCAGCATTAACTCAAAAGTCCACAGTCCAAATCTTATCCAAGACAAGGCAAGTCCCTTCCATCTATGAGCCTGTAAAATCAAAAGCAAGTTAGTTACTTCCTAGATACAATGGCAGTGCAGGCATTGAATAAATACAGCCATTCCAAATGGGAGACATTGGCCAAAACAAAGGAGCTGCAGGCCCCATACAAGTCTGAAATCCAGCAGGGCGGTCAAATCTTAAAGCTCCAAAATGATCTCCTTTGACTCCATGTCTCACATCCAGGTCATGCTGATGTAAGAGGTATGTTCCCACGGTCTTGGACAGCTCTGCCCCTGTGACTTTGCAGGGTATAACCCCTTACCTGGCTGCTTTCACGGGCTGGCCTTGACTGTCTGGTGGCTTTTCCAGGTGCACAGTGCTATCTGTTGGTGGATCTACCATTCTGGGGTCTGGAGAATAACGGCCCTCTTCTCGCAGTTCCACTAGGCACTGCCCCAGTAGGGATTCTGTGTGGGTGCTCCAACCCCTCATTTCCTTTCTGTACTGCCCTAGCAGAGGTTTCCCACGAGGGCCTTGCCCCTGAAGCAAACTTTTGCCTGGGCATCCAGGCATTTCCATACATCTTCTGAAATCTAGCCAGAGGTTCCCAAACCTCAATTCTTGATTTCTGTGTACCCGCAAGCTCAACACTATGTGGAAGCTGCCAAGGTTTGGGGCTTCCACCCTCTGAAGCAACAGCCCAAGCTATACTTTGGCCCCTTTTAGTCAGAGCTGGAGTGGCTGGGATGCAGGGCACCAGGTCCCTAGACTGCACACAACATGGGGACCCTGGACCGGGCCCAGGAAACAATTTTCTCCTAGGCCTCTGGGCCTGTGATAGGAGGGGCTGCCATGAAGACCTTTGAACATGCCCTGGAGACATTTTTGTCATTGTCTCAGGGATTAACATTCAGCTTCTCGTTACTTATGCAAGTTTCTTCAGCCAGCTTGAATTTCTCCTCAGAAAATGTTTTTTTTTCTATCATGTTGTCAGCCTGTAAATTTCCCAAATTTTATGCTCTGCTTCCCTTATAAACTGAATGCCTTTAACAGCACCCAAGTCACCTCTTGAATGTTTTGCTGCTTAGAAATTTCTTTCACCAGATACCTATATCATCTCTCTCAAGTTCAAAGTTCCACAAATCTCTAGGGTAGGGGCAAAATGCTGCCAGTCTCTTTGCTAAAACATAACAAGTCACCTTTGCTCCAGTTCCCAACAAGTTCCTCATCTCCCACCTCAGCCTGAACTTTATTATCCATATTGCTATCAGGCTTTTGGTCAAAGCCATTCAACAAATCTCTAGGAAGTTCCAAACTTTCCCACGTTTTCCTGTCTTCTGAGCCCTCCAGACTGCTCCAGCCTCCGCCTGTGAACCGGTTCCAAAGTTGCTTCCACATTTTTGGGTATCTTTTCAGCAGCAACCCACTCTACTGGTACCAGTTTACTCTGTTAGTCTGTTTTCATGCTGCTGATAAAGACATACAAAAGAAAGAGGTTTAATGGACTTACAGTTCCACATGGCTAGGGAGGCCTCACAATCACGGTGGAAGGCAAGGAGGAGGGAGTCACATCTTATGTGGATGACGACAGGCAAAGAGAGCTTGTGCAGGAAAACTCCCCCTTATAATAACCATCAGGTCTCGTGAAACTTACTATCATGAGAACAGCACAGGAAAGACCTGCCCCCATGATTCAATTACCTCCTACTGGGTCCCTCCCACAACACATGGGAATTCAAGATGAGATTTGGGTGGGGACACAACCAAATCATATGAGCAGTTTTTCCACAGACCAGTGTTGGGAATGGTTCTGGGACAAATGAAGCTCATTACATTTACTGTGCACTTTATTTCTATTATTATTACATTGTAATATATAATGAAATAATTATACAACTCACCATAAGGTAGATTCAATGGGAGCCCTGAGCTTGTTTTCCTGCAACTGGACAGTCCCATCTGGGGGTGATGGGAAACAGATCATCAGGCATTAGATTCTCATAAGGAGCACACAACCTAGATCCCTCGCATGGGCAGTTGACAATAGGGCTCATGCTCTTATGAGAATCTAATGTGGGCGCTGATCTGACAGTAGGTGGAGCTCAGGCAGTAATGCAAGTGATGGGGAGTGGCTGTAAATATGGATGAAGCTTTGCTCACCCGCCTGCCGCTCACCTCCTGCTGTGCATCCCGGTTCCTCACAGGTACTGGTTTGTAGCTCAGGGATTGGGGACCCCTGCCATAGAACACTAGAACTTACTCCTATAGCTATAATTTTGTCAGAGATTTGATGTTTTTATTATTTTTCTTTAATGTGCTTCTGTTGAGAATATAACTTATATTAGGAAAGCAAATATAAATATATTAAAATACTTTATAAGTCTAGGTCATGTTTGAATGGAGGTAGGAATTTCCAGATATTCTCTTGTGAGTGTGATCCATCTTGAGAGTGATGAAAACTGTTAATAATGGTGGCAAATTATAGACATTTTCTCTACTCCTGCAGAGATTCCTGAAATTCCAGAAAGCATTTCATTCTGTAAAGCACTGCAGGTAGCTGACTTCAGCGGAAACCCACTGACTAGGTAAGCTTTCTGCTTACTTTTCTGTCTATACTAGTAAGAGTATCTTTTTTGAGAGCCAAGCGGAGAACACAGTCAGGTTAACCATCTTGGAGGTACCTAGATGGATCACTGTCTTTATCAAGGATGGTTGACTTTCACAGATATTTCTTTATAAATAGCCCTGTACAATGAAAGGCGTACTATTCTATTGATAGAAACCTCAAAGTATGTTGTAGGGATAAGGTGCAGCACAGTGAAGTGTACAAAACAGGATGAGGAGTGCATTTCTGAATCAATGTGAAGAGTTGTAGTGCAACCTCCGCCTTCCGGGTTCAAGTGATTCTCCTGCCTCAGCCTCCTGAGTAGCTGGGACTACAGGCACCCGCCACCATGCCTGGCTAATTTTTGTATTTTTAGTAGAGACGGGGTTTCACCATATTGGCCAGGATGATCTCGATCTCCTGACCTCGTGATCCACCCACCTCAGCCTTCCAAAGTGCTGGGATTACAGGCCGGAGCCACCTCGCCCAGCCATACTATCTTTTTGTCTCAACTTTCCTCTAACTCTGCATTAAAAAACAAACAAACAAAAAAACCCAAAAAACCCATATCAACATCACTATTTCCTTAGCAATAGCTGTGAGGATTTCTTTTTTTTTTTTCCCTGCAAGTAAAGCCACCGTGTCAGTTTTACTACTTATTCCAGCTTTACCCTTCCTGGTATGACACAGTCTGTTGCCGAGGCATGGCTGAGTGGCATTGCTGTGAGCTGTTCCTTATGGCTCCTGGCTTAGTCGTGAGTCCACTCACCATGGGCTTCCAGGCATCTTGTTACTAGGATAACTGAATTGTGCCCACGTGCAATGCAGAGATAGCCCTTGGGCATCTGTTTTAGATGTCTCTTTGGGCCAGGTGGGTCCATTTATAAGATTTCTCAAGAATCTGAGAGGAACCTCAGAAGAAATGCACTCTTCCCTTCTTTTCTGTCTTTTTTCTTTTGATCTAGGAAAAGTAAGATTAAACTAAAATTTCTGAGTCATCTCACCCACTTCAAAATTTCTTGGGACTTCTTGGGTATGGAGTGCTGGAGAATGCACTATTTAGTTTTATTTTTCCAATACCTTCTTATTGCCAATAAATAAATGTTTTCTTTTTAAAACTATTTCTGCTTGTCCTTCTTTGAATTGTAGTGATTAAGTTGCATGTAACATTTATTACTGAAAAATAGTAATCTAGTAAGCTATACCCTAATAGCTTTCTTACTTATCACTGTCCCTCCAACCTTATCCTCTTTCCCCACCATCTTCCATTCAACTGTCTCTTCTCTTAAAACCTTTCTATAGCTCCCATCTCTATAAGATAAAGTCAGAGCTCCTCTATGTGCTATGTGAGCCTCTTCTTGCCCCTCCATCTGACTTTGATATGTCTCTCCATCTTCATTGACCTCAGTTACCTGTGCTGGACATCAGTCTCTGCTGTAACATAAAGTGCTTCTAGTTAGCTCATTTCATGCCTCTGTCTTCTTGAGAGTTCCAGCCTTTTCACCTTCCTTAAGTTGCAGTTTGAGCATCACACGTTTTCCAGAAGGCTTTCCCAATTACTATCCACAGGCCCCTCCTCTGGGCTCCCGTAATGCTCTCTGTGTACTTTTTTCATAACACTTGAAATTTACCCTTAAGTTATTTCTCTGACCAAGACTCCTTGACTAACCTAAGGAAGTTACTTGAATTCCTCTATTATTTATTATTGTGTCTTCAATGCAACTGTCATTCCTGGAATGGAGTAAGTGCTCAATAAATGTTTGTTGAACTGGACTAAACTTAAGGCAGCCTACAGGGTTTGGCAAGCTGGGAAATACTCGTTATGTTGCTGTTGGGTTTTTTTTAACCATTCAGTTGCGTATTCCTTTTTTCTATTTCTTTGATTTTCCTTTTCTAATGTCTGCTGACATTTGACTTTACTATTATTTCAGTGCTCTCTCAACTGGAACACACCTAGCTTGTGTGAGGCTTTACTGTTTTGTTTGTTTGTTTTAATTCTGGCTTTCTATTTGGCAGGTTTCTTAAAGTAAAGCCATTTTAATTTGGCAGGTGTGCTGTTTTTTAAGAATTAAGATGACATCTGTGAGTTGAAGAGACCTTAAAAATGATTTAGTTTGGCTTGCTTATTTTATGGCTAAAGAAACTGAGGCACATGTAGGCTAAATTACTTTTCAAGATCATACAGCTAATGAGTGGGAAGCTCGGACTGCAGTTCGTTTCTCCTAACCTTGGGTCTGTACTTCCTCATCACATCTAGTTTAGCCCTTAGGTTAACAGCCAGTAAAATAACACCTATTTAAATCAAAACTATATTTTTCTTATGTTTAAGAACATCTTAGCTAGTTTTTAAATTATAAAATGATATATGCTTTCTGGTTAAAAACTCAGGCAGAACAGATAAGTTGCATCTTTTGAATTATAAGTAAAAATCTTACCTCTGTTACCTGTTCCTCAGAACAAATTCCAGTGATTATAAATATTCCAGTTAATACCCTGATCTTGTGGGTCTGGATTTGGTTTTGAAGTTTGGAATTAACCTATATTAAATATCAAACATAATGTTATGTAGGCCTTTTTTAAAAGGAACCTAGAAAGATAAAAATGGAAGATTCTAATCTAGAGACCATCACTAAAGCCAGAAATCTCTCCCTCAGTGAAAAAAAGTGATACTTAAATGTTCTGTTGTCTTTATTAGCAGATTTATGTTTAATAACCTTCAGCATTTTAGATGCAATGAGATCCTTTGCCTTTAGTTAGGTTTTCCTTCCCTCCCTAAATATGGAAACCATAGAAATATTGAAACTAAACTTTCTTTGTAAATTTTAAATCATGATTTTATTTTAAAGCCTTGTTATTCTGTAGACTTTAAGGGACATATAAAAAATATCCCTTTGTGTAGAACATAGTAAAACATAAAATTATTTCAAGTGGTTGGCAACTTAAATAGAACTAAAAGAAAAATGTTAAGAAAGTAGCAGTTGTCGCGGTGGCTCACACCTGTAATCCCAGCAGTTTGGGAGGCCAAGGCGGGTGGATCACTAGGTCAGGAGTTTGAGACCAGCCTGACCAACATGGTGAAACCCCGTCTCTACTTAAAAATACAAAAATTATCTGGGCGTGGTGGCGCGTGCCTGTAATCCCAGCTACTCAGGAAGCTAAGGCAGGAGACTCGCTTGAACCCGGGAGGCGGAGGTTGCGGTGAGCCGAGATTGCGCCACTGCCCTCCAGCCTGGGTGACAGAGTGAGACTCCATCTCAAAAAGAAAGGAAAGTAGCAATTGTCTGTCAGTGGATCAATAAGTATTCCATAGCTTTCCCCTGGGTATTATAAACTACAGGAAGAAAAATTATGCAGTAGCTGTCCTGTGTTTTATTATAATCTCATGGGCTGATGAAATTTTCTCTTTAGTTTCTGCTAATCAATAAAGTATTTTTACTCTTAGGCACTTTTAGCTGCAGCAATAATTCATCATTTTCTTTCATAGAGTATTCAGTAGTCTCAACATTTTTTTGCCTTTATTCTTAGAGCTTGCATATCTTTCTACTTTAATTATTTCTAGATCACCATAACAATGTGTTTATCATGCCCCTGTACATCTATTATGTATACGAAGTCTTGTTTTTTCCTTACAAGCGTCTTATATATAGGAAGACAAGGCAAACATGCCATATATAATGTCATTTTTAGGAGGTTATTTCAGTTAGCACATAGAATAAATCATTATATTTATGCTTGGTATACACTATACATGAACTTTTTTAATTTACAGCGTTTTGTTTGTTTGTTTGATTTTAGGTTGCCAGAAAGCTTTCCTGAATTACAGAATTTAACATGTCTTTCTGTAAATGACATCTCACTACAGTCTCTACCTGAAAATATTGGCAAGTAAGTTTTTTTGTGAAGTTTGGGTGGATCAGGGTGAAAGGGGGTTTATATCATCAGCTCTAGCCTCCTTCCCTTTTAAAGCTCCTATTTGTCTACTCAGAAAGCCATTTACTCATTCTTTAATGTGACCTTCAAGAAAGATTATAGCCAGCCTCCTATGTTTTTGCATCTAATTTTCCCTAAATTTTATTGGTTAAAAAGGGTACTGCTACTTGTTACTAGTAAAAACCCTAAATTGTTTGGAAGTGCTCTTTAAACTGATGTATGGCAAAGTAGTTAATTTAAGCCAAGTACTATGTGTCATGTAGGTGGTCAGTAAATACTGGTAGAAACAACCACTCAGTAATTTTAAACCATGCTGGAGAGCCAACAAACAACTCCATTAAAAACGAAAAGTATGTGCCCCTAAAGAACAGCTATGTCTGACAGTATTTGTGAACTGTGGATCCAAGAATAGGGAATGAGAATGGTGTATTTGGAGAGTGGGAGTGGAGCTGGGAGAGGAAAGGAATGATATGGGCACATTCCATGTTGCCGGCTTAGAGGTTGTGGAGAACCTAGTCATGGCAAGAAATAGAATCCATTGAAGACAATGTATGCTGGTGAATAAATGTTCTGTTATACATTCCCACAGACGAACTAGTTGAATTATCTTTGCAGACTTTTTTCACTTTTTCAGGACATACAGTAGGTTAAATCAGGTTGATGCAGTAGCTCATGGTTAACCACTTAAAAATAAAAGTCTGACTTGTCTACCCTAACCTGGTAGACCAGTGTTCCCTAGCATCATAAATGATTTTCCTTGTTTGTACCTGTCCTGCGTAAGTTCTAAGACAGAACAGAAACTTGCTCTTTGAGAACCACAGTAAGCAGTTGAGCACAGTCTGACATGTCTGTTTTGCAAAAGTTCTCTTTCCAGAGGTTTATAAGAATATTTGCAGACAGCTTTTCCCTTTCCTTTCTATCCTCTTCAGGCAGAAGACAACTAGCTGACACCTGTTCAGCCAGCAAGTTGGTGTTTTTCTGAAATGTACACTGATGTTTTATCTTTATGCCATTAGACTTGCTAATTAAAAATTCTGCCCTTAAACTCTCAGGAGGAGAAGAAGACAGGAAGCCCTCAATACACTCTAGGTGTATGGTATCAGTTGCAGAGAAAACAGTGGTATTTTATTGTGAATTTCATGCATGTACAATTCACTTTTGCTGTATCAAGTGTCAGATATTTATAATGTAACAATTTTTGTGCTGGGCATGGTGGCTCACACCTGTAATGCCAGCCTTTTGGGAGGCTGAGGTGGGAGGATTCCTTGAGCCCAGGAGTTCAAGACCAGCCTGGGCAACATGACGATAACCCATCTCTACAAAAACAAAAAAAAAATTAGCTGGGCCTGGTGGCCCAAACCTGTAGTCCCAGCTACTTGGAAGGTTGAGGAGGAAGGATCACTTGAGCCCAGAAGGTTGAGGCTGCAGTGAGCCATGATTGTGCCACTGAATTCCAGCCTGGGTGACAGAGCAAGACCCCATCCCCGCTTTGCCCCCCCTACACAAAAAAATCTTAAATATAGTAGCTGTTTAAACACCCAAACTAACACTGTCCTCCTCTTGCTCCTCAGGATGTCTGGAGTTTAATTCCCTTATTACTCTCCCTTCCATTCATTCTTAGTCTGCAGCTGCCTAGATGGTTCTCCTTTCTAGCCTCTGATTCCTACCCCTCTCCTTTTTTCCCATTTTGTGTCTTTTTAAAAAGTCTTAATGCTTTGAGATAAAATATATTATTAAACCAGAGTGTCCCTCTCACCCTCTACTGTACTATTTTAATGGAAAGTATTATTTTAGAATACATTTTTTATAATGTTCATTATTATATATTTTCTGTTAATATCTGTACCTGCTTTTGTCAGTGTTCAAGATTTTTTTGTTTTGTTTTGTTTGTGGACTTAATCAGCTTCTGTTACTATTATAGCATTGTGGATACTGATTGTTTACTGAATAAAATGCCACTTTGATCTTGAAATTGACTGATTCTTATTAGGTCACTTTGTGAAATTAAATGAAAAAGAGAGAGTTTTCTATTCTTGGTTGTTAGTAATTTTGTCACCATAGCAAGAAACTGTGATTTCTTCTTCCTGCATGCTCAAGTAATGGCCTGTTCTCACATACCAGAAAGAAACAATCAAAGAACAAATTCTTCCTTGGAGAAGATTGGGCATACCTGGTGTCCAAGACCTTTTGGAAAATGCACTTGAAACAGTGAATTGTTGAGGAAATCTCATATATGCATAAGTGTACTACATTTAAAGCAAATTATTTGAAACTTGGAAGCTTTCCTTGTGGCAAGGCTTCATTCATTTCTGAAAGGATTCCCAAATAGTTTCTTTAGAGCATTTAGCACATTTAGTTAACCAATATTTAGTAACCAGTACAACTTCTTGGAGATGGAATTGTTTTGCATAGAAGACATACCTGTTTAATATTCCACAAAATTTGAAAGAACATGGAATGGCCATTTGATTGCTTGATTCTTACTGTTATCTTTGTGGAGTCTGATGTGGAATCCTTACATAAATTACCTCTGCTTATGTGGTCAGATGGGTAAACCACATTAGCATTGGCCTCTCAAGCTTCAGTGAAGATAGGACTTCATTTCTCCTCTTGGCACCTAGCACAGTAGTTGGCATTAAATGGGAAAGCTATGGATGTCTCAAGGACTTGGGCCTCCTCAGGATGGTCAGGGGTACTCAGACTAAGAGGGGAGGGTAAAAGCCTTTATATAGAGTGAGCAGACTTGCAATGCCTTGAACCTGGGGGCACCTGGACACATCTCTCCCATCATGTGTTTGGTTTGCCTATGGTCAGTTAATTTGAAGAAGTTTTTAGGAGTTGATGGCAGAGCTAGAACTGGACTACGGCTCTCCAGGTCCCAGTCCTGTGTTTTTTTACTACTCTACTCTGCCATTGCCATAGGACAGTTGGTTCCTGGGGCCCTTATGGGCTCAGTAACTTTCTTTTAATACTCCTGGAAATATCTAACAGTTCATTAAGTAGGTCCAAACATCTTAATAAGTGTTTATGTCCTAATAACCTAGTAGCTGTTTGAAAAAAATTATACATATAAGTGGAAAGAATGCATATTTTTATTTCATTCTTAAATATTCCCAATTATTTACAGTGAGTCCTCACATAACATCATCCATAGGTTCTTGAAAACTGCGACATCAAGTGAAACAAAGTATTATGAAGCCAAGTTTACCATAGGTTAATTGATATAAACAAGAGTTAAGTTACTGTGGCATATTTCTGATCAGAAAAACATCAAACTTCCAAGCAAAAACCCAAAACACTTCTAGTATCAAACATTGACATAAATATGAGCTATACATACATTTAAGAAAGGTTAATAAATACAGGTATAATTATTTACCTAATTTTTGGAGAACCAGTGAGGGATGGCAGTTATAATGGTGGTGGGTTAAATCAAGGAATAAATGTTTGCAAAGCAAAAATTTTAAGGAGCACTTCCTATGGTGCAGTTCAAAGACAATCATGAATAGGGTAGGCTCGCTGATTATTTTTGTACTGCATCATTTATTTTTGTGCATTTGTATGATTTTCATACACTTTGTTAATTTTTATTTTACAGTAATTTGTATTCATTCATTCATTTTCCATCCCGCTTATTCCAGTTCAGGTGAATGTTAAAATTTTTTACCTGCCTTGTCTCTTTCCAAACTGGCTGGGGTGTTTCATTTAATGATTGAAATTTTACATCTTTCATCATGCCTTCCCCAATGATTGACAGGTGAAATAGATCCCAGACTTGCAGGTTGTACTCCCCACACAATAAGCACTTTAGTCCTTTGTCTTTACACAGAAGTGTAGTTGTTCATTGTTTAATTTTATGTATATAACTGGTGTATGTACTGGGATCAGCTTGTACTCTGATACTACAGGAACCTTGGTTGTCCAGTTCTCTTTGTGTCTGTACCTACCCTGGCATTGTTCTCACATACCAAACAAATACACGTGACAAGGTACAGAGTATTGCCTCCTTTATTCCACTTGCTTCCAACATCACATCATAGGCAGTCAAGCTCAGGTTCTGGAAGATTTATGCTAGGACCACTTTAGCCTGTTCCTGCATTGTCACTTTTTTGGCCTAATGCGGCTGTACTCAATTTCTAGAAAAAGTTGTTTACAAGAAGCAACTATTAAAAAAAAACAGCTTCTGTTGCTCTAAAACCTTCCAAGAAAAAATAATTATTGTCTATTAATACTGCTTAATATTTCTGATGTAATATTAGGGAGACAATAAATTTATTTTTAAAGAAACAAATGCTTTACCAAAAGAACTGGTAAGCTTCTTCCTTTTTAATAACATTTCCAACATTTATTTTCCTGCCTTTGTTGCCAGTAAGCTTAAAGCTAATTCTGATAACCAGTGAGAGCAGCTGTGTTCTTTTCTGTGCGATGAAGGGAGAGATGATGCTGACAGTCTCGGTGGGGTAGGGACTCTTTGAGGTGCATATACTGTCTCATGACACCCTTCCTCCTGAGGCTAGCTTTACCCATCCTGAGCTTTATTAGCTTCCTCTGTGAAATGGAGATAAGTGATCTGCCCAGGTGTGCATTGCTGGTGGGTGGTAGAGCTGGCATTTGAACTTAGTTTCTTCCTTGAAGATACTGCATTTTCTTTACTGCATGCTTCTCATAATGAACACATTAGTGTCTCCCCTCTTTCATGGCCCTAATGTTGTTTCGTGAACCTTTTTGCATATTTGCAATTTTTAAAGACTTATTTAAATCCCCTTTAGAAAAAAGTTGGGGTATAATTAAGTGAATGACTTTCTATGTCACTGCAGATGCCGGTTGGCATGGGAGAGCATGCAGTGGGGTCTTACTGAGTCGAGTTCCAAGTCTTGGGACAGGATTTCAGAAAACTATCTGAATTAAAAAAATTGATATTTAGATATGCCCTTAAAAACAGTGCCTAGTCAACAATGGCTTTTTACTTTACTATCACTAAAAACACTTAGAAGATTCCACTGGTAAGGCCAGGAAGGATAATTTTTGCTTTAAGGAGTTTTGAAATGTTGGTACAATGTGTGAATGAATTTGTCTTTCAAAAGAACATTTTAATACTGAAAATATTTTTCTTGGGATCAGTTATATCAGTTTCTACTCAAGCCACACACTTTGTGTTTTACTTTTTAAAAATGAGTTACTCTTCAGATGACATGATCTTATATAGAAAGAATCCTAAGGAATCTGCAAAAATTATTAGAGCTAATAAATTAATTCAGGAAGATGGCAGGATACAAGATTACAAAACAAAAATCAGTTATATTTTTATATATCAGCATTAAACAATTCTATTTACAAAACACAAAAAAGTATAAAATTCTTAGGATAAATTTAACAGAAGAAATGTAGGACATGTACATGCTAAGTATAAAACATTGAAAGATTTAAAGAAGACTCAATAAGTGGTAAGATAATGTGTGTTCATGGGTTGATACTTAATATTGTTAAGATAGCAATACTCGACAAGTCGATCTACAGACTCATCTTAAGCCCCATCAGAATCCTTACATATGTCTTAATTGATTTTGACAAAGATATCAAAACAATTCAGTGGAGAAAGAATAGTCTTTTTAACAAATGCTGTTGGGAAAACTATGAACATACAAAAGAATGAAGTTATACTCCTACCTCATGCCAGACACAAAAAGCTAAATCAAAATCAGAGATCTGAATATAAGAGCTAAAACTGTAAAAGTCCTGTAAGAAAACAGGGGTAAATCTTTGTGACATTGGATTAAGCAGTGGTTTCCTAGCTATGACACCAAAGTCTGTGTAACAAAAGAAAAAATGGATAAATTGGACTGCATCAAAATTTAAAACTTGTGTGCATCAAAGAATACTTTCAAGAAAGTGAAAAGACAACCCACAGAATGGGAAAAAATATTTGTAAATCATATATCTTATCAGAGTCTAGTTACCAGAATATATTTAGAACTTTTACAACTCTGTAATAAAAGAACCAACCCAATTAAAAATGGTTAAAGGATTCGAATAGGCATTTCTTCAGAGAAGATATGCAGATAACCAATAAGCATATGAAAAGATGTTTAACAGCATTAGTCATCAGGAAAATGCAAGTCAAAACCACAATGAGATGCTACTTTATACCCTCTAGGATGATTATAATTAAAAAGATAAATGCTAACAAGTGTTGTTCAGGATGTAGAGAAATTGAAACCCTCATATGTTGTTGGTGGGAGTGTAAAATGGTTTAGCCCCTTTGTAAAACAGTTTGGGGAGGTCCTCCTTAAAATTGAACATAGTTACCATGTGACCTAGCAATTCCATTCCTAGCTATGTATACTCAAAAGAATTGAAAACCTAGGAGGGTTATTATTGGCATTATTTATAATAAAAAGGTAGAAACAACTGAAATTTTCATCAGTGGGTAAGTTGATAAACAAAATGTGGCATATGTATACAGTGAAATAGTATTCCTGGATGAACTTTGAAAGCATGTTAAGTAAAAGAACCAGACACAAACAATCACATATTCTATGACTCACTTTTTACAAAATGCATGCTATAGTCAAATCCATAGAGACAGAAATTAAATTATTGGTTGTTGGGTGTTGTGGGGTGGAGGAATGACTTCTAATGAGTATGAATTTTCTTTTCGGTATGATGAAAATTTTCTAGATTAGATAGTGGTGATGTTTCTATACCTCCTGAATAAATATATTAAAGACCACCAAACTGTACACTTTCAAAGGTGAATTTCATAGTTTGTGAATTATATCTCCGTAAAAAGAATGGACCTTAGGCAAATTTGAAGCTGGGTACTGCTGAAGGATGATGTTATACCTGGGAAACCGACCCAGTTTATTCTTACAGGAAATACTCTGTAATGTAACCTTAAAAGTAGTGTGCTAAGATCATTTTGTTTAGTTACTTGCACCTGGTGATCAGGCAGGTACACATAGCCAGAGTCTCCAAAATGCTCAAGTGATGTAGAGTGAGAGTGGAGGTCAAGAGCACACAAAAACTCCAGCGGCAACTGATGGAAAATTCTGAGGTTCTGGGAAGCCTATGATTGTGTCTGGGAGCATGCTGCTTTGTCTTTACTTGATATGCCCTTCCATGAGATTCTGTATCCTTTACCGTTAAAGAAACGAATACCCTCAAATATGTTAGCCTAAATATCTCTACTCCCTGTTTAACTGAGTTGTCTTCTCCAAAAATAGCATTCTTAGAGGAGAAGGAATATATGTAATGAAATAGTCCAGTACCCGAAACAGTTATTCAGTCACTAAAAGGTCATTATCAATAAACATTTAATTATTACAAGTTGCTGATAGAAGTAGAATGAGTAGGCCCTAGGTTCTCTGGCAGATTGAACTAGAGCGTGTGGGTCTGATTTTATGTCTGCTGAGTCTGCTGCCCTTGGGAATGGTGACCTTAATTTTGAGTGAGCTTGAACTAAGTGATCCATGTGGCCCCCGGTCACAAGGCCTAGTGCTAGGCAGCTTACCTATATTATAAGTGCATGCTGCCTAAAAGGAGTAAATCCTTTTTTTGAAAACTATTACCATATTTAATGTTCTTTTTTGAGTCCTGGGAATTACTATAAAATATTTATTATTTCAAAAACAAAAATAAAGATTTTTTAAAAAAAGTTTTCTAGAGCAAAGCCACCGTAAGAAAGTTTGTAACCAGAGGTTTTTGAATTCTAATTTGATGCTGAAAGAGTAGAAGTATTATGAATGTATAAGCAACTCCCCATTCCCCCATTAATAGTTTTTCCCAATCAAATAATGTTGCCATAAATAGTTGTTGTTTTATATATTAATGGGTTTACAGTGAACTGCCACTTGTTTGTTTGGTCTACCTTAATGTGTTTTACTCTTTATTTTCTTAATGATTTTGGCCGCTAAAATGGAAAAAAATTAACTCAAGTGGGTTAAAAAGGGTTTTGAAAACATAGTAGAGAACAGATGTAAATTCCTTAAAGTAACCATTCATCCAGTCACTGAAATAGAATCCTAAAAATACAGTTGGCCTACATTCTGACTTACAAAAGAGTGCAACTTTTGTCCCTGCTATTATGAACAGTGTAAAACATTAAGAATTAGTGTGCTGAGAAGAAATACTTCATGTATTCTCTTCCTGCAGGAGCTTGTTAGGTGTGCTCTCCTGCCCCCCAACTTCCTTTGTTGGTAAAAATGGTAGGAATTGACAGGGAGGATAGAAAGTCATGTTTTTTTTTGGTAGGAGGAGGAAGAAGAGGTCATTCCAGCAGTATTGTGTAGAAATTAATTTGTCAGAAATTAAAATTGAAGGATGAAATGTTTATTAATAGGGTTCTAGTTAAAAAAATAAAGGTATCCATAGACAGTAAGATACTGTGCAATTGTTGAAAAAATACTGGTATGTACAAATAAAAAATGAGACAAAAAAAATCTGGTAAGTGAGGAAAGCAAAGTGCCAGATATATATGTATAGAACGCTACCTTTCTTGTAAAAAAAAAAAAAAGAGGGAGAGAGACTATATACATTCACACCTAAAGAAAGCCCTGCATGAATCCATATGAAATTTTTAAGGTAATTTCCTGTGAAAACGGTTTGGTAGTGGGAAGCTGGATTGATGGGGGAAAAGAAGAAACTCTTTACTGAATATATTGTTGTAAATATATATAAATTGGCCGGGTGTGATGGCTCATGCCTGTAATCCTAGCACTTTGGGCAGGCCTAGGTAGGCAGATCACCTGGGGTCAGGAGATCGAGACCAGCCAGGCCAACTGTCTGGTCTGGTGAAACCCCATCTCTACTACAAATACAAAAATTAGCTGGGTGTGGTGGTGCATGCCTGTAGTCCCAGCTACTGGGAAGGCAGAGGCAGGAGAATCGCTTGAACCCAGGAGGCGGAGGTTGCAGTGAGCCAAGATCACACCACTGCACTCCAGCCTGGGTGACAGAGTAAGATTCTGTCTAAAAAAAAAATATATATATATACACACACACACACACACACACACACACACACACACATACACATAAAAATAAATATGTATATACATAAATATATTATTACCTATTTGCAAAATTGACTTACCAACTCGAGTGAGAGGCAGCACAACATAGTGGTTAAGAATGCAGATTCCCTGGTGAATCCTGGCTTTTCTACTTGGCAATTTTGTGAGACCTTGTTCAAGCTTCCTCTCTGTGCCTTAGTTTTCTCATCCGATAAGTTAATTCTCATAAAGAAGTTATAACGAAGTCTGTCATAGAGTAAGTTGCCAGTATTATTATTATTAGTAGTAGAACTATTAAAGTGTTTAATTTTTAAAATCGCATTTGTAAAAGTTTTAGAAATGCCTGATTCTTTCTCGTATCTCTGTAATACCATGTTTAACTGAAATAGTGGATAAAGGCCTGTGGAGGTTGGGTCTCCCTCTGTCTCTCTTGACCTTCTGATTAAGAGCTTGGGCTCTTCAGCACACAGGATTAGGTTTGGATCCCACTCCCGAAGCTGCTCAGGAGCATGTTCCTTATGGGGTGCTGTAAGAGATGTGAAGATATTTGAATTCAATGGGTTGCTTTGATGGGACAGGGACTTGATTGAAGATACTGTATTCTGAAAGACCACAAAAGGAGATTATTCATTCATTCACTTTTGTGTTAATGTCTCTGTTCCAATTCTGCATTTAGGCTGATTCTGTTTTATGTCAGCTCTGTTACTACAACAATTTGGAGAGAACCATGTTCTGGAGTGGGCTGGTTGGGTTCTACATTTTGGTGAAGGACTGTCCAAGGCAAGCTACTGATGTGAACCAAACCCATAGTTTCATTCTAGAATCACTTAGTGATACTTGGAACTGAGAATGACTTGTCCAGATTATGCTGTGAGGTTTGGGCTCATACAGGAGGTAGGAGTCTATAGTCAGAGCCTTTGTTTGCTTTCTATTTCTTCCAGTCCAGTTACAGACAATGTTTGATGAGTTAAAAATTGGCCAATGCCAGATGTAGGGCCTGTCCTTCAAGGAGTTTTTTAGTAGTGGAGATGACATCCGTGATTAGCAGCATCTTGTAGCAATCTTTCTGAAGACCCTGACTCAAGGCACACACATTTGTAAGGTACCTAGCTGCACTTAGGGACAAAGGGTGTCTTGAGGAAATAAGGCAAGAAACTGGCTCTGTTAACTTGAAGGGAAAATGTATTATGCTCTAATTGCCATAATAGATATGATTATATTTATTTTAGGGAAAATCGAGATTCAGCAGTAAACACCTCAGGCAAGCAAGCCTAGCTAATTAGTGAGGGACAAGCAGGATTCAAGCCTGGGCCCCAGGCCTCTTAGATTCCATGTGCTCTTTTTAGAGTGGCTTTCATCGGTGGCTCTATAGAGTCTGATTATAATATCCAAGTTTCTTTATTTTAAATAGTTTAAAATAATTGGGGAAGTATTACCTCAGAATATAAGGATATTCTTTTATATACAGGTTGAGCACTCCAAATCCAGAAATCTGAAATGCCCCCAAATCTGAAACTTTATGAGTGCCGACCATTTGCTCAAAGAAAATGCTCATTGGAGCATTTTGGATTTCAGATTAAGTATATTGCAGATACTCCAAAATCCAAAATTTGAAACACTAACAGTTCCAAGCATTTCAGATAAGGGATACTTAGCCTGTACTTTGTTAATTTTTACTTTTGAAATATTATAAAAATATGATATTTTTTGTTGTTGATGTATCACCCATACATCCACATTTTCTTTACTTCCCCCAAACAGTAGAAACTTAAGAGGTTTTGTAGCCAGAACTTTTTTACTTAGCAGGATATTATATCTGGGTGTTAGCATGATGGGGGTGGGAACTAGGGCATTTCAGCAGTATTTTTGCTCAAGTGTTGTTTGCTTATAGTAACTGTAGCCTATGCCATTTGCTCTGAAGACAAAATTTAAAGATAATTTTAAAATGTGTATCACATTCTTAAAATAAAATCAAACAGCAAAAATTCCAGTGTCTCTTTTAAGAAGGTAAGACTTATGTATATACCTAAAACTGAGAGGTGTTTTTAAAATTTAAATGAGAGAGTTTTGAAGAACAGAGACACCTGGAGATGCCTCAGTCAGTGAGGGTGAGGGCAGGAGCTTTGGCATTTGGCCAGGGTTGAATTGTGGTTTTGCCTGTTTCTATCAAGTGGGCCTCACACAAAACCTCACGGTCCTAATCATGTCATGGTAGCATCATCAACTTGCTGGGTCATTACTAACCAGATGAGATGGCTCACAGAAGGCGCCCTGCACAGCTCCTTCTGCCTTAGCAGGCTGGTTTCTCCCCCTTGGCTCTGGTCTATGTTTCAGGCAGGAGATGCTGAGAGCATGGCTGTGGAAACTTGGCATAACACTCAGCATGAGGCTGTGTGAAACTGCTTTGCAAGATGCTTTCAGTGATGCCCAGTGAGTCAAGTTTTTGATGCAAAGAAGGACATTTTCCTTCTTTCATTAGTGGGTGTCCTTGGTTTGTTAAAATAGGTGTGAAAGTAGTGGATTACCGAAGAGATAAAATGACAATCCTAACATTCATTTTAAAAATTTAAATGTGAAAATAGCTGAGGGATTACTGTCTTCTTAATAAAACTGGTTAGGCATTACATGGAAATTTAAAACTGAAAACAAAGCCCTTTGTTTTTAAATTTTTACTTTTCAAGTAAAATTATGATTTACAGATTATTTACAGATTGCTTTTGGAAGGAGATACTGGGTGGTGTACATCTCATCCTCCTCCCCTTCCCTTTGTTGTTTCTTCTACGTAAACACTTGGTCAAGAGAAAGTAGAACTAGAGAACTGCAACTCCGCACCAAGTTACATTTGATTTGAAGAACGTTGGTGTTAATTTCATGGTGACATATTAGCGGGGAGTTTTTTTTTCTTTTTTTTTTTTTTGAGATGGAGTCTCGCTCTGTCGCCCAGGCGTGATCTCAGCTCACTGCAAGCTCCGCCTTCCAGGTTCATGCCATTCTCCTGCCTCACCCTCCCAAGTAGCTGGGACTACAGGCGCCCGCCACCACGCCCGGCTAATTTTTTGTATTTTTAGTAGAGATGGGGTTTCACCGTGTTAGCCGGGATGGTCTCGATCTCCTGACCTCGTGGATCCGCCCACCTCGGCCTCCCAAAGTGCTGGGATTACAGGGGTGAGCCACCGCGCCCGGCTGGGAGTTTGTCTTTTTAAAAAGAAATTGAAAGTTTTGTTCTTGCTTTAAGTATGAAAATTATTTGGTTTTGTAAAATTGGAGAAGGAGATGCAGGATTTTTACATTTCATAATACAGTTAAAATATATTTTCTGGCAAACAGGTTTTAAGCATGTATATACACTGTTCATTTAAATTTACATTTCTGGATGTTATAAAACCAGCCTTGTTAGTACACGTGATTCTGGCTTTTTTGTTGGAAGGAGGGAGAATGGAGGATTAAGGCAGATTAGAGTGTTGGGATAATGTCTGACTTTTTGTGTTCTGTGTGCTCAGAAATGAAATTCCTCCAAATCTGGATGTTACTATGGTGATATTAGCAAAATGTGACTTTTTGGTTGGTATAGTTTAGTACAGTGCTTGTAGGGGCAATAGACTGTGTCACTTGTTTTCTGAATCAATATGTTTTGCCAGTGCTGACATAACTTCATGAGGGTTTCTGGTGATGCAGAATTGCCACTGCCTGTCAAGATTTGCCCCATCTGTCAAACATCTGTCACATTCCACTGTGCTCCTAATAGACTGGATTACATCCAAGAGGCTGGAGAATCTGATGAAGAGAGCCTCATTCTAGGGTTTAATCCAGAATAAAAGCAACATTATTATAGCTACCATTTATTAAATCAGTCCGTGTTCCAGGCACTGTGCAAGATACATTATGACATTATCCTGAATGCATTTAAATGAAAGTTACTTCCTTAGCGCAGCTGCCACTTGATCCATGAATTTATGATCATAAGTAGATCAACTTGGACTCTCTGGACTGAGATGTCCCCTACTTTAAAACAGGGATGATCTCTCACTGATACTGGGAAGAAGAGCTCTGAGCTCTGCAAGACTAAAGGTGCTACTGTTTTATGGTAACTGCATTTTTGGCATTTGAAAGTCTAGATGCACACATTCAGCTTCTGTCTCAGTCCTGAGAGTGGTTGTGTTTTATTGGCTGATGAGTTATTTCCACATATCACATGTACAAGGTATTTGAATGAAGGTGCTTTGTAGTCATGACACACTACTCTTTTATTAATTATTAATATCTTAAGATTACAATTTGAGAGGTAGAGATGGTATTGTTTTTAATGGGTGTGGGGGGTGGTGATGATAGGTATTTTTACCCTGGTAAGTGACCTACTAGGTTTTATTAAGTGTTGCAACTTGTCCAGTGTGTGTATGGGGGAAGGGAGGTAGGAAGAATCTCAGGAATTTCTCTTATGCTTTTTTTTCCTTCTGTTCATTTCTAGTCTTTATAACCTGGCTTCACTGGAACTGAGAGAGAATCTTCTTACATATCTTCCTGAGTGAGTCTTTGGGGAAAATAAGAGGAGATTTTGTGCAGAATGAATTTAAGTATTTAAAAAAACAGGACTACAGTATTACGTGAAAACATTTGTGTGTTTTGGGAAGTTTGGGGGATGCCAGCCGGCCTTTTCTTAACAATCCTTCCTGTGCAATATTTTCTACCATAAAAATAAAAATGGACCTTATTTTTGAAGCTAGTCCAAGTGAGGGATACTATATTGCTCAGCATTTCTAAGTATTCTCTAAGTGCTCTTTATTTATTTTTTAAAATAGCTCTCTTACCCAGCTGCGAAGACTAGAAGAACTTGATTTAGGAAACAATGAAATATATAATTTGGTAAGTCCGTATTAGAGATTTGAATTTAACTTTGTTTTTAGTTATGATCACACAGTATTTGGGGGAGTTCTATAGGGATCTTTATGAAGCCAGTATTTCCACAGATGTAACTTGGGGACACTAGAGAACCAGCTTTATTTCACACAAGTTAGGAATTATGATTCATGGGTGGGGGAGGTCAGGACTAGAGATGATGGACATAGGTGGAAACAACTGGCATTCTTGGGGAAAGTTTGGGCACTTTGAGGAAAGGGGCTGGATGTTAAGAGAAGTACCAGTGAACATCTGCTAAGGTACCCAGTTGTTAACAGATGAATTCAGTTTCTTTCTTTCTTCAGGGAAGACTGAAAATTGAATCTTTGTTACCGTAACTTTTTTTTCTTTTGTTTTAGCCAGAATCAATTGGAGCCCTCTTACATCTAAAAGATCTCTGGTTGGATGGAAATCAACTGTCAGAATTACCTCAGGTAAGTGGTAATTTCACAGTGTCTCCCCAAAACATAAAACAGCAACAATAAGCTTTGTGTATTTCCTGCTGCCACATAAGGTTTGCTATAAAAGGATCTTGAAAACCAAAAACATTGATTGAAAAGGCACATTTGGAAAAAACATATTGAGCATGCATCATTCTCCATTGCCATATAAAAACTGAAAACCTCAACCCACCATTTGTAAATATAGTAAATATTTCCTTTAGTTTGTAAAATCTGTATTTTATTGTGTCCTTGCTACCCATATAGCTTACTTCAAGCCCAGCAGATTAGTAAATTGCCAGGACCCATGATTCTGATGGTATACCTTTCCGCCACTCCATGATGTGCCAAGTGCTTTGGGATAATTTGACCATGTTTTGCCCCATAATAACTCATGTAAAAGCAATGTTAAATGCTTTTATTTCAGATTTTTTCCAAATGTTGCTTATGGTTTAGCTGGCATGTCATGGTGTTCAGGCCTTTCCTACTGTTCTCAAGTGGAAGAACCATGTCCCAAATGAAGCGGAGTCTTGTATAGACTTCTGAGCACATAGTCATCTTGTGGAGTCTTAGCAGACAGGCCTACATTCTAAGACAGAAACTGAGAAGTCTGAAACAAACAAAACCAACAGGCATTTTCCTCTTGTATTTTTTTCTCCAACTATTACTGAATTTTATTCTTTGATGTCTCTCACAGCCAGTTTTTCATGTGACCAGTTGTAAAGGGCTCTGTATTTTCAGTGGGGAATGCCATATCAATGCAGGGAACCCTAATACTAGAAGAAAGCACTTTAGTAAATTTTTAGTTGTTATAGCACTGAAGTTTCCATGATGTCACCTAATGACTAATGGAACTAAGGAACTAATTTAAGTCTGTTTATGAGATCTTGGCTACAGTTGGGAAAAGGAGACAGATTAGCAACTCTTGTGGGTAGAGTTCGATTCGTACTTAGATTTCTCTAGGAAATATGTGGGAAATCCTGGTTGAAAGGATGCTAGTTACTTTAGAAGTCAAAGGATGGGAGAAAACTATCATGACATTATCAGGAAAGTAATAAAATATCTGTAGGACATAAAGGGGAAAGGAAAGAGGTGTGTATGTTCAGATGTGTGTAAATGACTGTGCAAAGTGTGATATTCTAAATACAAAGAAATTAAAATTCCAATGATTGTGCTGTAAATGATTATTTAAAAATCTCATTTGCTCCTATAGTATAAATTTGTGTTAAATCAGCATAAACACACCAAAAAGTCTTAAATAATTAGAATGATTTTTCTTATCTTCAATGATGATGGAAAGAGAAAGATACAAAGGCATTGTTAAAAGGAATTAATGAAAAGTAAAACAACTTCAGGGATCTGGCCTGAAATTAGTATAAATCTAGTCTAGTTTCCTTTAGACAGGAAATACAGGGGCAGGATCATAAGGCAATATCAGGTGGATGATAAGCTGGAAAGAATAGATCAGACCAAATTAAATATAGATGGAGGAATTTGTACTCATGTAGACATCAGGGAGCCACAAGATGTTTTTTGAAAAGAAGGTGGTCCAATTATAGGACGAGAACTGGCTGTGTTTCAGGAAGGAAATGAGGAAGCACAGTTTATGGAATGGTCTCAGGAAAGGGGAAGTTAAGACTAGAGCCCAAGAGGCAGAGCTGACAGTCAAGGTAAAGGAGTAATGAGGTTAAGATTTAATATTGGGAAGTGGAATGGAAAAGTGGAGTCAGTGATAAGAGAGAAAGCTTGCACTTTGGGAATAGAAGAAAAGGTAGGTCTTGAATAGAATGTTAGACTCATGGAGGTACTTTACCTTATCCTGGTAGACTGTTTTCACTAAAGGCAGTATGCTGCTTTTAATGTTAAAGATACAGATAGGTATGTATGTTCCGGTTTTGCTGGGGAGCAATTGCATTGATGTTTGTGCTAACGAGTGCTACCTGTCATGGAAGGAAAATACAAAGTAGGTAGGTTCTTACCAGAGGAAATCCCAGGGTCACCCTGCAGTGTAAGCTGCTTACTAGAGATCAATTCCGAACTTGAAAAGCTAAATTCTAGCCTCCTTTTTCTTTTCTAATTGTGTGACCCTGCAGTCGTTTTTTCTCCTGTATCTTCACCTATTAAGTGGGAATGATTCCTTGCCTGCCTGAAAGGTGGAGGGCTTTGCATCCCTCCCAGCTCTGGGTCTGTGATTCATTCAACTTCCCACTTTCATTGGAAGGGGATCTAGGAATTTGCCCCTGCCTTCACATTTGGATTCATGCTAAAGATAACATCCTTAGGACCGCCCTGGGATTTAATTGTGAAAAATCACTGGAACAAATGCCTCTGCACTGTGGCAGGTTTAAGTGTGCGTTTATTTTTCCATGTCATTGTTATAGGAAATAGGAAATCTGAAGAACCTGCTGTGTTTAGATGTCTCTGAAAACAGGTTGGAAAGACTTCCTGAAGAAATCAGTGGCCTGACTTCATTAACGGATTTAGTCATTTCCCAGAACTTATTAGAAACGATTCCGGATGGCATTGGTAAGCATTGGAAATCACTAACTGCTAAACATACTGCCTGCCGTCGTCTTGAGGGTTTGGGGCACACTTTGATCCTTTGGTCACCACTTTCAGATGCTGAGGATGTGGCTCCTTAAAGTCTCCTTACTGTTTTTTTTTTTTTTTTTTTTTTTTTTTTTTTTTCTGAGATGGAGTCTCGCTCTGTCGCCCAGGCTGGAGTGCAGTGGTGCAATCTCAGCTCACTGCCAGCTCCGCCTCCTGGGTTCACACCATTCTCCTGCCTCAGCCTCCCGAATAGCTGGGACCACAGGCGCCCGCCACCACGCCCGGGTAATTTTTTGTATTTTTAGTAGAGACGGGGTTTCACCCTGTTAGCCAGGATGGTCTCGTTCTCCTGACCTCGTGATCCGCCCGCCTCCGCCTCCCAAAGTGCTGGGATTACAGATGTGAGCCACCATGCCCGGCCTTGCTGTTTGTTTTTAAAGAAGGAAAGCAAAGAGTATTTATTACAGCAGAAGTTTCTCTACATGCAGATGTTTCTGTCATCCTGGCTTGGTATCTATTACTGCTGTCGTTACTTTTAAGCATCGATTCATCTCTACTTCATCTGTATCTTCTCTCAATGATTTCATGAGGGATTACCCCAAATAATAAAATGTATTTAAGGCATATGAGCAGTCACTAAGAAATTTCTAATTTGGCATCCTAATAGTTCATGAGAAAATGACTGACTTATTCCATGACCTAAGGGAGGTGCTGAAAGAGTGGCGTAATTGAATTGAGCCTTTTTTAGTACATCGATCATCCTTTTATCATTCTGTGCTATTTTCTTTTAAAAAAAAATCAATCTAGACATTTTCTTTACTATGAAGGAACTTAGTCCAGTGTGAGAAATTAAACGCAGAGAAAGTATAAACAGATACGGACTTGGGAGCTCCATTGTAGCAAAGCCACTTTGAAGTTGAAAGAGACTGTATTTAACCATGGAGTTATCGTAGGATTGCTGTCTTTAATTTTATGCAGAACATCACATCAAAAGAAGTTTTTGAAAGGTTTTCAATAGTTGGAGAACTTGTATGGCAGAAGACCACTCCCTCCGTGGTATGTGGTCAAGATGAAAATTTCAGTAGAAATTCAGACATTGTGTTTTGGTTAAACCCAGCTGGAAAATCGGTAGGGGTTTTGGCTCTATGCGAGATGTTCACTGAGAATCGTTTATGGCATCTGAAAAGGGTTGTAGAGACTGGGCATGTTTTGTTGCTTGGAATAGGAAGCAGCAGCAAGCATGAGGCTGACTTCAAACGTTTAAAGGACTGTCTTCCAAAGAAAGAGATGTATTACAGCTTTCTGATCAAATGGGCAAAATGAAAGTATTGTGAATTTCATTTAAGAAAGAGCTTTAAAAAGCAAAGATGGCTGGGCATGGCTCACACTTGTAATCCTAGCACCTTGGGAGGCCAGGAGTTTAAGACCAGCTTGGGCATCATAGTGAGACTTCCTATCTACCAAAAATAAAATTATTAGCCAAGTGGGGTGGCACATGCCTGTAGTCCTAGCTACTCAGAAGCCTGAAGGGGAAGGATTGCTTGAGTCCAGGAGTAGGAGTTTGAGGCTGCGGTGAGCCGTGATTGTACCGGGGTACTCCAGCCTGGGCAATAGAGTGAGGCCCTGTCTCTTAAAAAAAAAAAAAGCAAAGATATGTTACAAATCAGTTTGGGCTGCTTAGTGAAGAAATGAGTACCTTGTCACTAGAAGTATTCAAGGAGAGGCTAGAAGACTAGTTGCCAGGAGACTTCTCTGTTGGGGTGAGATGTTTCGGTGCTTGGCTGTGCTATTCAGCATACCCTGCAGAAAATGCTAGTGGATCTCCTGACCGTGAGGGCAGGTGGAAACCCTCCAGTGACAGTGTTAGGCTATTGATTATGCTAAATAAAGAGCTTAAGAATTGGTTCCTTCTCCTATCTTGCCCTGTGGCTGCACCCGAGGCAAGATACGCCTTTCGGTATTTTTCTTTCTCCAGCTTTATGACTGTGTTAGAATAGAGGATGTTTTCTGATGTAGTGGGGAAAGTGTCAATGTGTTAGCCACTCAGTAGAGAATGAAGGGCGCCTGCTCTGTGGGCTTAATCCCATGACTTGTTGAAGTGAGAATCTGAATGACTTTACTAGTGGCTAGTGGGGACTCTGAGGAGGCTGCAGTAAGACTTGCTCTTCTTTCCCATGAACAGTGGGTATCACCAGGACGTCAAGTCTTCCTGGCCTGAGTGAAATAGACTCCATCCTTAATATGGCTTTCCAGAGGTTACCGCTTTATTCTGCACCTGTAGAAATACCGCACTGTAGGGATCTTCGTTGAGTCATTTTCATTCATAGGTGATTTAATAAACTATTTTTTTTTTGTTTATTATAAGGATAATGCTTGGAGTAAAATGAAAGTCTCCTCTGTGCATGAAACACCTCCACGGAGAGAAAGCTGTTTTGTTTTTCTGTAAATTTCTTGGCTTTGATGCAATGTTTTTATGCTTTTTAAAATGTTTTGTTTCTTATTGCTGACCGTTTTTGATGTTCTAAACAAATTATTTTAACTCCCAACCTTCAGTGATCTAAATGATAGAGTTTCATAATGTGAAAAGCTAGATGAGGAAAAAATAAGTAACTGTTTAAAACAAAAAGAACAGCAGATAGGAAATTCCAAGCAGTGATTATGAAAATAATTGTAACTAATGAATTTGATAATAATAATCATAATGCTTTTACAGGAAAACTAAAGAAACTGTCAATCTTGAAGGTGGATCAGAATAGACTCACACAGTTGCCTGAAGCAGTTGGGGAATGTGAAAGTCTCACTGAGTTAGTTCTTACAGAAAATCAGCTCCTGGTAAGTGTGGTTTGCACATATATCATAAAGACTTACTAGGGTAGATTCTACTTAATTTGTAATTTGAGTGGACTAAATGGAAATTTCTTCATATTACATCCCAAAACGGTCTTACAAAGCAAATGCATGACCTAAAGATCAGTTTTTAACCTGCTTAAGCAAAGAAAGTGGTGCTTAGGTTTCCCTGTTGAGCCTGTGTCCCAGTTGTGGTGCTTTGAATATAGAGACTGAACAAATGCCTCACAGATGTCTCCAGTGAGGTGTGGGGATAAGCTACTCTCGTTGGATGTGTTGATGCCCCAGCTGTGGTGCCCAGAGACCACCACTGGGAATATTCATCAGGATTCCTCTGGCCTCTCTCTGGGTTCTTTGAGCAAATGGGAAGAGCAGGAGAGAAGAGGAACGAGATGGACGTTGGCCAGGAAAAGCCTTGGCAGGATGGGGGCTGGGAAACGCTCTTGATCAAGGAGCCAGAGGATGGCATCTGATGGGCTCTGGTTAAGGCTGCTTCTTATTAGAACTTGGAAGTGGAGGGGACTGGAGGGGTCCTCTACCTGGACCAGGCTCCCACCAGACAAGGGCAGGGGCAATGCGTGCACCCCCTGGCAAAGGGTGGGTGGGCAGGGTGGCAGCAGATCTCAGTCGTCTTTTCCTGTCCTGCTGCCCCCTCTGCTTTTGTCAGCCCTTCAGTTGTCACTTCTCCTTCCCCCACTTTTAGTTGTCATATAGCACTCTCTTTTCTTCAGTTTACTCTCCTACTTTTCTCTTTTCTCCATCTTCATTTTGTCATTTTTTTTTTACTCTCTTTTCCCTTTTCCTTTTCCTTTTCGCTTTTCCTTTTCCCTTTTCTCCTTTCTCTATAAATAGAGTAAGTAATGTTCTTTAGGTGGAAAGAGCAGAAGGGACAGCAAGAAAGGATGGAGTGCACAGATGTGGGTGGGGAGCCCAGCAGCCCCTCTCCTCAGACAGCTGAAGCAGCCAGCCTCTGGCAGGTGTGGTGGGAGTTACCAAATCTTCCAGTCCTGCTTTGTGATTTTAGGCTTACAAATAGTAATCATAACAACTGTAAAAATAATATTCACCCCTGGATTGCACTGGAGTGTTGAAGACCCCCATGTGGGTGCCAGCCTGGTTCTGGTAGAGCTCTGCTCCCCACTCCAGGATGCTCACCTTTCTCCCATCCCCATAGCCCTTGCCTTTCCCTGCCCATGCGGCACCCTGCTTCGGGTGCTGATTCCCTGCCCCAGTGCTCTGGCTTCCACGGACATCTAAGCCACTGTCCCAGTGTGGTCCTTGAAGGTGCAGGCAGGGCAGGAATGAATCTTGAGGGTGCAAATTCTCACTTCCTTGAGTTGAACAGCATCTTTTTCCCTTTACAAGATGATTCCCTGTTCCCAGGTCTCTACTTTTGACTTCATTCCTTTAAAACAGACTTATCATTTCAACAAAAATTCAAAATACTTAATGTCGCACCCCCTAAGGGAACATTACAAATATCTGATATTCAGCAAGAACTATTGCTTCTGTTGCTGGATGAGATTATATTCTTTAGGTCCTTGCAAAGATCTTATTTACTGTGAGCCATGTTAAAAATGTGTGTTAAATTAATAGTGAAATTGTTATTTTAACAGACCCTGCCTAAAAGCATTGGAAAACTAAAGAAGTTGAGCAACTTGAATGCAGACAGAAATAAATTAGTGTCCTTACCAAAAGAGGTATGTGCTTTTAGAGAAATCACATGATAATAATTATGAAGAAATAATAATAATACATAAGGGATCAAAAATGTCAAATGCTTTGAAAAGACGCATGTGTTGTTTTTTAAAGGTGTGAACTCTAAATCTGTGAGTATAGAGCCAACTGGAGGAATTATGTCAAAGAATGATCATCAGTAACATTAAGGAGAGTTGGAAAAGGTGAATTTATAGGATTTTAAATGGGAGAAAGAAAGAGATTGACATTTTGGGTTTGATATACAGAGAATGGTGACACCATTGGCAGAAATTGATAATTTGGGAGTTTGACAGAGGAAGTGGATGCCTTTGGGTTTGATTTTTGAATTTAATGTGAAATTAAGCTCCATCCCATAAGCAATTGGAATTATAAAAATTGATCTTGATGCAACCATATTTCTGGGCAGAGATTTACATTGGGCCATGCTCATGTCTTGGATGAGGTTGAACAAACTGTTCACAAAGGCATACACATAGAGGAAGGTGAATGGGAAGCTAAAGCCAGCTTCCTAGGACTTTTTTTTTGGTTAGTAGTCTAAGCACGAGAAAATGAGACATCACCATCTGTTGTGGAGAGTAGCTGTATGGACTGAGAGGCATTTAAATTCTGGCAAGGGAGGTGGAAATGCTGACAATGAGGAGGAAGCTTATAGTGGGTCAAACAAGGAGGTGTCTAGTGTGTTGTTTAAAAAGAAGGCTTACAATTAGCCAGGCGTGGTGGCGGGCGCCTGTAGTCCCAGCTACTCGGGAGGCTGAGGCAAGAGAATTGCCTGAACCCGGGAGGCTAAGGTTGCAGTGAGCCGAGACCACGCCACTGCACTCCAGCCCGGGTGACAGAGCGAGACTCTATCTCAAAAAAAAAAAAAAAAAAAAAATGAAAAGAGAAAAAGAAGAAGGCTTACTTTCTATTGGGTACTGGAAGTGCTTGGTTGGAGAAGGATAATACTGAGCTTGATTTTTTTTATCAGCAATAAAGCCTAAAACTAGCTGTTGATGAGCCTTCTCCTTTGCTGGGTCCTCATCTGGAAAGGTATGGTATTTCCTTGGATGATATGATCACTGGCTGGGTGTAGTTTGCTTCATATTTCTGTTTTGACTTTTTCTAACGTCTATTTTGGTGTAATTTCAAAGCTGCCTTCCAGCCAGTCAGAACATGTGGCGTTCTTGTTTTCCTAGGGCCACATCTCAGGGTATCTGAACTTCCTCTTTCCTTTCCTCATCTTGGTGTTCGGCCCACAGTGTCCCAGTCTTCTCCCTGGGTAAGGTGGCCAGCATTTCTAAATGGAGACATGAGAATATTTACTATAAACATGATCATATTCTGAAACATCCTTAATATGAACACTGTCATCTAAGTAAACTGTTTCTGGCTGTAAGACTTCAGTCTGTTTCTCAGCAAAACTGGGACTCAACTAAGAGATTCTACTAATTAGAAAAGTTGGCTTCTAGTTTCTAAGCAATAAACCAAAATACAGAACTGATATTCTGAACAGTTGAATTTACTCTTGCTGAATAGTGCTTGCAGATGGATAGTAGATTGGGCATATAAACACACATACAGATGTAGAAAATATTTCTTTCTTTCTTTTTTAATGCCAGGCACTGTACTAGATGCTTTCAAGTATTTGTTGTACTTGTTGAATCCTTACAACAGCTTTTGCAGTCATGATAATTTCTTCATTTTACGAGTGAGGAAACGGAGGCCAGTAAGTAGTTTTTCTTACTAGGGCTCACACAGCTGGGAGTTGGTAGAACCTGACTCCAAAGATGAGTCTCCCAGTAAACACGTGACCACTTATGTAATGCAGGCTCAGCCCAACCTTTCCATCTGTGTGACCTTGAGGTAGGGCAAGCCCCTGATTTGTTAAGGAAAAGCCAAAGTATCTTTAGTTTGGACACTACAGAAAATTAACACATTTTAGGTGTTCTTTCAAGGCAGATCATGAGGAGAGCACTTTTAGGTGTAATGTTAATTCCCAGCAAGTTTCACCACCCATCCCCAGCTTCCCTGATCCCCTGACTCTCTTTCACAAGATTATGTTCTAGACAAGAACCTTGGAAATTTACTTTCATAAAACTTTCACCATCATTTCAGCATCGGTCCTCTTTTTCACTTTAAAAGAATGAAACACACTCAAGAGTTTCTGACTAGAGGGTTATATCTAGTCCATGCTATGTGTTCACTAAATTTACTAGAACAGTTTTTCATGACGTGAAAAGTGAAAATATGAAAGTATTTCTAACTTCAAAGCGTTTTAGTCATATTTTGTCCATTTTCTGAGAAATTATGATTGGTTTTCTGGCTTCTGGCATTTTAGAAAGAAATAGTCTGCGCCTTTCCTTTCAGCTGTCTGATAAAGCAGAGAATGTTTAGGTTTTTAGGAGTTGGATCTTTTCTAGATCACCTCCTACTTACATACACTCAGCTCCCAGCGTAGGAAAATGTGCTGAGCACATGTCTCCAATTCTCCCTCGGATCACAGTTTGCTGCCTAGCAGAAATGGTTGAGTGCTTGCCTCTGACCATCAGGGCTGAGCAGCCAAACCAGCAAGAGCCTCCTGACCTCTCATTGCATCACGTTGGCCCAGGCAGCACTGTCATGTCATGAGTCTCTGTGCAGTGAGTGTGGTAGGCCCTGTGACTGTGTGTATGTTAGCTCTGCCTCCAAGCTTGATGCCATTTGATCAAATCTTGCATTTTCCTGATTGGATTCTTCCAAAAATATATTGCTTTCTCTTGAACAGTTAAGTTGCATACATATCTAAACTGAAATGCTGACCGATTCAATTCATATGCCAAAAATCCATAGTAGTATTAATTGCCATTGGTCTGGTATGCTGTGTAGTTCTTCCTATATTTTTTCCTTTAAAAAAAACAACAACATTTATAGTATTGTGTGTTGCCAGTTTTAGGGCACAGCTCCTTAGTCTGTAGCAGCATTTATTTGCATTTTTTCCCCAAATGGTTGAGGGGAAGATGTTTGTACCATGTGGGTCACAATATGGATTCTGTTTGTGTTTTGTGGTGTTATTTGTAGTAAACATTTGCAAATCAATGAATGTCTTTTGTTTTCTTAATTGTTAGCTGCTTGGAAATTTAGAAAAGTCAGGTAAACTTGTTATCTTGTAAGTATTGTTCAGACCACAGTTGCATCTCTAACTTCCATTCTGCTTCTTAAATGCATGAAGATTCACATTGGCTGACTGCTTTGTGTGCTCTTCATTGTAAAATATTGGACATTTTCTTCTAAATTCATTTTTTTTTTTTTTTTAATGACTGCATGGCCTGGAACCTTACTTTGTTATGTGTTTTTCAAGTTTGTTCAGATTATTCACTCTCAAAAGAATGCTTTTCTGTGAATTACATTTTAAGTTATTCAGAAATCCTGAAAGGCATCATTTGGCAGCTCATCTGTTTTCACTAAATTGTAAGTTTGTCGGCACAAATCTGTCTCTAATGGAAAGGCTAGATTTGCTTTATTTGCTACACCTGGCATGCCTCTGATTTTTCAAGTCACTTATTTGTGTCTTTTATTTTTCATCCTGTTGCTTAAGTATATATACTTCTGGGAAAAGATTTCTTAAAAACTCATAGTGTTGGTGGAGAGGAGAGTTAAGGAACATATTGTGCAGTAGTATGATTGATTCATGGATAGATGGAGTTGGTGGTATATGTGTGAGCATGAGTATGATGAATGAGAGCCAGACCATAAAGAGTTTTTGGCTAGAAGAAATTGAGCTTATATCCAAGTTTAGGGTCCTGTTTTCTTTTTGTCTCCATTAAGTCCAAATGAAAGAGACGCCAACTAAGCCACACTTACCCAGTCAGATGAGGCAACATAGCATTTGCAGATCATTCATCAAAGCTTTTTTCAGTCAGGCAACCTGTAAATATTAATTACCCATAAATATTACTATGATACTCAGAAATGCCTGTGGTGATAGAATATTCATTTTGTGGATAGTTTTTCTGCCTTCTTATTATTGCAATTCAAAATTCTTTCAGTATAAGTTTCCGTTGTATTCTAAAATGAATTATTGATTAAAGACATGATATAGAATATAAAAATATTAGATAAAATATAGTTGACCATCAAATTTCAAGATGGAGAAGTAATTCCTAAACTTGAAATAAGTCATAAAAAATAGTTGATGGATTGTCTACAGGAAAATTCGATTTCTGATCTTCAAGAAGGTAAAAGCAGCCTTTACTTTCTTGAAAGGGGGCAGGGAGACATTTAAGGCATCTTAAATGAGAGATCTGTCTTTACTCTATTAGAAGTTCTTCTACACCAATAAGGAAAAGATGTATTTACTATAGAGAAGTAGACAAAAAGAAACTTCCACAAAAACCAGCAAGTGATTCACACAAGAACAAATAGAAATGGCAACTAATGTGAAACAATTTCAGCCTCATCAGTATTCACAAAAAAATTTAATAATGCCAAATTTTGGCAAGGGTGGAGGGAAATATATATTATCATGTAAATATAAATTATTATGACTTTCTGGAAGGGAATATGATAATAGTAAAAACTTTAGAAATGTGCGTACCCTTTGATTCTGCAATTCCACGTCTAGGAAAACATTTATGGATATACACTAAGAATGATGTACAAGAACATTTCTCACATTATACATGGGAGCAGGCACCATACCAAGTGTCCACAGAGGCAGCTAACATGTGCCAGGCATGGTGCCAAGGGCTTTTGCACTTATTCTTATCTAATTATCACAACAGTTCTATGAGGTATAGGTAAACCATTTTCAATGTCCAACAGATTGTGAAACTAAGACTGAGAGAGGTTAAGTCACTTGTCCAGAGTCACACAGCAAAGAAGTGGCAGACCTAACTAGCATTGTCTAACCTGGGCAGTTTCTTAAATAATCTGTGATACATCCATAGAAGGAAATAACTATGTGGTCCATAAAAGTCCTCTTAGAAGCATTGTTAAAGTGTGTATGTATAATCACAAATGCAAGGCAGTGGTACTGGAAGATTGTACCTCATAATGTTAATACTGATTATCCCTTTGTGGTAAGATTTGATTTTTTTTCATTGTGCTTTCCTGTGCATGTATGTTTAGTTTTTATTTTTCTAATCAATGTAAGGTACTTTTTTATAATCAGAAAAAAAAAAAAGAATTCCGTAGCTATTAGTGGATATTTTGATGTCAGTGGCCTCAGAATTCAGGGAATCCCAAAGCCACACAATTGCCAAAAATATTTATGAAGTAGGGAACATTTGAATAATATGCCATAGATGATGGGATTCTAAAATTATGCTTCATATTATTTTTGTTCAAATTGCGTTTTGGCCAGATTTTACTTATTGTACACTTTTCTTTTTTTGCCAATGGGGTGTGTGTTCAATTATGTTACAAATAATATTAAAAGGAATATACTGAAGGAAAGTGAAAGTTCCCTTATACTTAAGGCAAGCATTTAAAAAATGGAAGATAAACAGACGTGACTAACATAGGCTCCCTTTTTGAATCACTGAATCTGTCTCATGATCTCCTCCTTGGGTGAGCTAACCTGCAGGCAATTAATACCTAGTGAAAGTTGACCTGAGCAGAGGTTTGCTCAATAATCTGCAGAACCTATTTTCTTGAGATGGGTTAAATCAGTGCATAACAGCTAAGGAGAGTATCATTTTGAATTAAGAGAGACACAAAATGGCTGGACAAAGATTCTCAGCTATATTCCATAATTCTCAGAGAATCCAAGTCCAACCCCTTGTATTCTGGGAAGGTGCTATTATGTGGTTTAAGGGAAGCTTAAAAATATCAGCTTCCTACATAACTGGTAATAAGTTATTTAAACAGTGACTCTGCTTCCCAGAACTTCTAAGTGATACATTTTATCCTGATTACCACTGAGAAACCTGTAAACTCTGCCTCCTGAACCCAAAAGAGAAAGCCAAAATATATATGAATGATGTGTATAATGTCAGTCTTCATTATTATTAATACAAAATGTCACTGCGATACATCGTTAGGGAGATGGGTTTTTTAAGACATTCGGGTAAGTTCAGGAAAGAGACTGCCAGCATCAGTACAGTTCTAAGAACATAGTAGGTATTCAGGTGTTGATTGTACTCATCATTTGGATCTGAGGTTTTTATTTCCTGGAAAAAAAAATAGCTACCACATTTATTTGGCAACAGCAAAAGGCCAGTTTCTATGATAGGCGCCAAATTATATATGTGGTTTCATTTAAGTTAATCATTATTGTTACTTTTGGTTAAAGTAACATATCCAAAACCACAAAACATATGACTGAGCCTAAATTCTAGCCCAGGTCTGTATGGTCTCAAAGCATCCGCTCCCTCCATCATACCGCATCTCCCTCTGACGTCTATAATGAACTATATCTTTTCAGTTATGGGTTTGAATGCTTAATAATCTTTTCTAAAAACCAAAGGTTGTGCCATCCCTTCCTGGCTGATTTGGAAAGAGGGCTGTGTTTATGTGAATGTTCGCTGGGACAGCATGTGCCTTTGTGGGGTGATTAAGGCATCCCTAGCACACTCTGCAACAACATGTGCTCTTTGTTGGCATTGTTTTTCATAAACCATAGACAATAGAGATCAGGAGGTCACACTGCCTGCTTTGACAACCCAGAGGGCCTAAGAGGCTCTTGTACGCAATTGCTTTCCACCCCTTGACGTCTCAAATGGGTGTGAGATTAGAGTGGGAAAGGAAAAAGAAAAATGAAACAATAACACACAGTAGACAGCTCACACACTTCATTGAAGTTTACACAATATGTTCCCAAATGATTAATGGATCTTGTCCAGAACATTTATTTAGAGCCTTCTCTGACCCACTTTAATTAATTAATTTTTTTGACTACATAATATATGCATATGATACAAATTGAAAATGTTCACATGGTATAGCAGTAGGGCCCCAAAACAGATATCTTACAGGTTGGTGTGGTGGGAGGGCAGTGGACAGCTTCAAGACAAGATGCCCAGAATTAAAATGCAGTCCCAGCTCTGTATGTCTTCCAGGAGCTGATTATCCCATCCGGACGATCATATGAATGATAATATCTGCTTTGCCCCCCTTGGGTCACACATAAATCCTGTCTCTTCAAAGCTAGATCAGGACGCTAGCGGGGGTCTTCAGCCTCAGCCAACTGCTGACTTGGAAGCTCTCCTTCAGGGCATGCAGCCGTACCTCTGAACCCCAGCCTGACACCGAAGCTCCTCCACCTGGAGCAGGGATGCGGCAAGGGTGCCCCATGGGAACCTAGTCATTCTTTCTCATGAGTAGATCTTTGTCAGGATTGTCTAAATTTATCAGAGACTCTAATAATATTGATCATCAAAAGGATCAGGGTTTTGATTGCTTTCCTTCCATGATATTTCTGGGCACCTAGGTAGAATTGTTGATTCCCTTCCTCAAGGGAGGGAGAATATGCTCAGCCATATGGGAAATCCACACTATATTGGGGCTTGATGTTTCTAAAACCTAAGAAAGGCTACTCTGGTGATTCTTACTGGAACAAAAAAGAGTTTTGTTGTCTCCACTGCTACACATAGAGGCAGATAACTTTTAAGTAGAGGTCTTTCACAAGTAAGTAAATAAAGTGTATAAACATATGTAAATGAGAAATTTAGTGGGCAGAGAGGCTATGCATGGTGGGTAGATAGCGTGAATACTATACTTGCCAAGTACCTTGAGTGTACATAAACATGTGCAAATAAGCTGTAACTCAGGTAAATGATCTTAGGGTTCTTCATGTGGTATTTTGTGCTGTCAGAGGGTTAGACCGTAATTATGAAATGCGTGTTATTATATGGACCAAAGCGTTCTGTGAAGACTCAATGGAGGAATAGACGATGTTTAGCTAATTTTGGATCATTGGTAAGATTTAAAAAGGCATTTCTATAAAAAACAATGGGATCAAAAATATAAAAATGTATTTAGGGTATAATGACTAGACCATTTTTGCTGGGATGAGAAATATGTGAATGCGGAGACTAAAGGGAGTAATCTAAAAGCCTTTCTACATATCTGGGTGCTTTCCACATGACCAGAGACAAATGTTAGTCTACATTTACTTATATATTTATTTTTCTTTTATATACATTATGGTTAAATATTGTGGTTCAATACATTATTTTGAAATCTTTATATTTTTAAGGGAGGAAATAAAAAGATTATGTATGAAAGTAATTATGTAGCCATTCACAAAAATATGCATTCTGCTTTTGAAGATATTTTATACATATATTAAACACATGTATAAATAGAAAAGGGCAGAAGATATATTCAGATATCATTGACCATTCAAGTCTTGTGCTCTTTCACAAGTGGGAGGCTCTGGAGTAGTATTTTTCCATGTGTTGGAGAGACATCAATAGGTTCCTTCATGAGCCTTTTCTAGCAATTGCCCTTAGTCAGGAGAGTGAGTACAAGAAGAATGTAGTACTTTATGGAGTCCTGCAGAATGTTGTGTCTGGGATCAAGCTATTTTTCTGCCCTCTTGATTCAGTTTTCCTGACTGTAAAAACCACCGCCAATTTGTTCAAGAGAATCATTGGATTTTTTTGTGTGTTTATGTTCCTTTTTGAAGACCAGACTCATACAAAACTCAGTTACCTTTAAATTGCTTACTTTAAAAAAATGGTAATCAAATTTGGTGTGGATGGAGGTGTTGATTTGTGTGCTTTTATGAGCAGGCTGCAGCTGAAGAAATGGATGTATGGATTTACTCAGTTCACTTTCTGTGAAGATACTGTTGATTTTACATTCATCAAAAAAAGTGGATTTACCACATTAATTTGTGAATGACCAAAAGCTATTAAAAGATGTATGGTGGAAATTAATGTACTGTATCATCTGTAAGATACCCCTCTTTTTGAAAAAAAAAAACCAAAAAACAAAAAACTGGAACACCAAGAATGCTGAAGTTAATATAATGGGCAAGTCTTGAATTATGTGTGTATCAGTATCACCTTTGGCCTAACTTTTGAAAATAGGATTGTTAAACTCACATATTACCACATAGTATTTTTCTGGATTGTATAGTTTGGTTAACATTTAACAGATGCAGTTGCGTTAGATATCAGCAGTGGAAAATGATTTCTTCTTTAGAATAAAATTTTTTAACTGTATCATTGATTTTCTTGATTTAATTTAGAACATGTACATCTAACATTTTGCAGAGATTTTTATGAACATATGGGGCTGCGTTTTGTAAGATTTAAATTAATGATTGTTGGTCATCAGTGAGACCGGTGAGTTATGTGGTATAAGTTTATGCATCCTTTTTATACTGTTTGGTAAACAAGGTACTCTGATCCTACTCCATCTCCCCTAGAAAACTGGAAAAAAGATGTATTTTCTTTCTCACCATAGATCGGCGGGTGCTGCAGCCTCACTGTGTTCTGTGTACGTGACAACAGACTAACTCGGATACCTGCAGAGGTGTCACAGGCAACAGAACTTCATGTCCTGGATGTGGCAGGGAACAGGTAAGCCTGTTGTAGTTTGCTTTGCTTGAGGGAAACAAATATACATACATCCCAATCTTGGCAGTGCATCTTCAAATTTTTGTCTTTGCTTTATCTTACAGAATATAATCCTGATTTTTCAAATGACCTAGGCCTCAGGGAGTTCCTTCATAGGGGGGCTAGAGTGCTTGAGCCCAATGGAGCAGAGAAGGTCAGGGAAAACCTGAGCATGGGTTAAAGTGTCAGTGGACACTTTCGTAGAAATGCTTCCCAGAATGACAGTACAGTGATGCCAGGGAAAGAGCACTGACCTGAGAATGGGGAGACTTGGGTTGTGACTTAGCTCTTCTAAGTAGCTTTTGTAAATCATCATGGGCTTCAGAGTTTCCTCACCTGCAAAGTGAGTGCAAATGAGTTTGAACTCAGTTTTAACCAGGGGACCTTGATATACTCTGCTGGTGACTCTGAACCCCCTGAAAATACAAACAGAATTGTGTATTTAGGGAAGTGTTTACAGCTAATGTCAGAATCTCCAAATGATTCATAATACAAAAAAAGTTCAGAGCCGCCAGACTAGTATCCCCAAGGTCACAGCATCACCATTTCTCAAGTTCCGGAGCAGAGGTCATGTTGGACTGAGTGCCATTTTCTAAAATATGCCTGTTCATCATCTTTGTGGAACACATTTGTTTCCATCATTCTGAGCTAATTTCAGCACCCTAAATGTCATATGCGCCTTCTCTGTGAACAGAAACAGGCTATTCTTTCTTTTGGGGACCCTCTTCTCTGGCTCCTTGGCTCTCTTCTTCATCACTCAAGCTTTATTTTCTCCAGGGAGCCTCCTTTCTGAATCTGCATTTGGGGAATTTCCCCTGCCATGGCAGTCACAGTACCATATGAGAATTGCCTGTTTTCATATGGGTAACCCTACTAAGCCTGAAGTTACCTAAAGTTAGATATTCTTCTGATTTATGTGTCATTGTGTCACTTGTCCCATCAGAGTGCCTGGCACATAATGGATGCCTGGTAAATATTTTCAGTGGAACAAAAATGTTAATAGTTTTACAGGATGAATAGCAGCCCACTGCAGAATGTCTTATATCATAGGCTTCCTTGCCAAAAGGAATTAAAAATTGCTTTTGAGTGTGATGTGGTTAGAGAGGAGAAAAAGGTTCAACTGCTTGGGGGAAGATTATCAATGATCTTAAATGGTAAAGGCCAGCAGTCTAAAGAGTGTTTGGGAGGCTGTCTCCTGAGTGTTGATTAGCTGGTCATTTTGGTCAGGCACGGGTCACCATTTTTTACTCTTGCTAATGGATTATAGACAGCAGGGCTAAATAAACAGCAGTTCTCAGCTGGAATCTAGAGGTGAGTTATAGCCTCAGGGAATGCTCACCTTTTTAGAGTTAATGCTTTCAGGACATCTTGATAGATTCTTAAGACCACTAACTGGTTGCCGGAAACCCAGGATTAAATTGAGTTGAACCTCGGATTTCTGCTGAACTAAGCAGAACTAAGGCATGAGCCTTTACAGCTTGAGAAGGGTACTTCTTTCCTGATCTTTATCCTCTAGCAATAGCAACTCAATGAGTCAACATTTGCTGGTTCTTGCCACACTACTGAGCATGAATTTGCCTCAATTCTTGAGCCGAAAGATGGCTGTGATGCCGAAAAACTGTTTTTACATGAATGAAGGCCCATTTCTCCAGTTCTCAGAAAAAGAGAAAGTTAAATTTTTATTATGCTTGGGCTGGGATGGAGAAAACCCAATTAAAAAGTCGAGTTACATAGCTGTCATTTGAGTCAGTTAAGTGTGTCATTTAGTCCATGCATACATATATAGATTCATAACCAAATGTTAAGCCTATTAAAATATTTAATCACTACTTATTAAAAGTATCAGTATAGAAACTAATCTTTTAAAAAGGGCTACCTTGTCAGCCTTTTAGCTTGCAGAAACGTCATACCATGGGAAATCATACTAAATCATTAAATACAATAGAAGCTTCCGCCTCTTCTTTCAAGTATATGAAAATAACACATGGCAGCAGGAAACCTACACTGTGAGTTTCTAGAAACTTTCTTTGCAGTTTGGTAGGATAAATTATAGCAAGGATGACTATAACCTGTCACTTGGAAACTAAGTATTAAACCTTCTGTGACAGTAAAGAAAATGTCTTATATCATCAGTTACTCAGGCACAGAACACAAAATTCCTTAATACTTAGACTCTCTCCCATAGGAATATCCACCAAGTGTGCAAAACTGGGCATTTGAGGATCTTCCTTACTTGCAGTGTTAGTAGTACTGAATATTAGAATCAATGGTTGTCAATTGGGAAATAGGAAATAGCTTATACTTTTGAATTTTGTACTTTGTATGTATCTATTACCCAATCCAAATAATTAAAAATATTAAAAGACAAACAACAGCATACTGTTGTGGAATACTAAGCAGTCAAAGAATGAGATATTTCTCTGTGCAGTGACACAGAAAGAGACCCAAGATACTGAGTGAAAAGGGAAAGTGTTGAACAGTATATAGAGCTCTCATTTTGGTGGGGTTTTTTTCCTTAAAAAAGAAAAAAAAATCACTTATTTGTGCATTATACCCAAATACTAATAGTAGTTCCCCTAGATGAGACTTGAGGGTACAGGGAGTTTTCACTTTAGATATTTTAGTATTGTTTAATTTTTTGCCAGTTATGTTCCCAATTTATATATATTTTTAAATATTTTTGAAAACTTTGCTTAAAACTAAAAATTCTAGTAGAAAGTAGCAGAAAGATGAAACTACATTGTAAGGCGTATTCAGTCACTGGTGAAGTTAATATTAATCAGTAGGCCATGCTTAGATATTAAATTTGAGAAAGCAGTTGCTATAGTAGTTCACAGACATGGAAGGTCACTTGGGGCTGGGTTGGTCATGGACATAACTGGAGACAAGAGGCTTACAGTTTGGTTATTCATTTGCTTTAGTTCTTGTACCATTGGTGTGAATAGTAACCACAAGTTTTTTATTTCTGGGGGCATGTGGTCCTAAATAGAACACAGAGATGCCTGCGGGCTGTGGTTTCTTGTGCGTTGATTCTGTTTATTCTGTAGTGTACAGAAGGTACCAGAATAAACCAAAAATGTATTATTAGCTCCTTTGGAAAGCAGGAATGTATTTCTCATCATTTTCTGACTTGTAGCTGGGATGGTTTACCCAAGAGAGACAGAAAAGCATGTGTATGTCTTTTTTTCCCCAGGCTGTAGTGAGTTAGAGGATCAGCCAGCCTGCAGAATCTCTGTGGGCAGACTGTTCAGGGAACAGTGCCTTTTTTTCTCTTGGACACCACTGGCAACACTTCTGTCCGCAAGACAGTGGGCAGCTCATGTGTGGTGTGGACTCAGTCAGCAGCAGCCACATTCAAGTTGGCACTTTGATTCTTTGAAGCAAAACTGGTGTTTCAGGCAACTCATTAATTTGAGTTGAAATATGTTGATAAGATTTGTTGTTGTAGAGTCTAATAATTTATTTAGCTTTTGTCATATGGCTTGTCATCCTTAGAAGCTGTGATTTATTAATATTATTGATGCTCTTTTTAGCCTCTTATTTATACTTTTGCTTTAACATTCAGGTGGCTTCTAGTCTGAGAAGTTACAGTGACCACGTTTGAGTATCTGTGTTTTGTGCCAGTTTTCAAGTCTTGATTTTCTTCTTTCTGTTCTCATGAGTAAGACAGGTAGAGATGTTGACTGTAAGTGTCTTGCCCAAGACTTGAAACTTTAAACATTCTAGTGGATGTTAGCTTGCTTCCTCTTTTAAAAGATGTAGGAGAAAAATTTAAAAGAAATTACATTTGTGTTCAATAAAATGAAAAAGTTTGATGTACTTGAAGCTTTAACAGTGTATAATGCCTATTTAAGAAAATCCTTGTCACAGTACCTGGCAAATACATGTTTTTAACTTCCTCGCATTTGAGTTTACATGTATGCAACATTCTTTGGATAGAAAGAGAAAGAATTTTTGTATAAGCACAAGGTATTTCAGTTCTGTCCCTTAAAGAACAAATATCCCAGAGGAAAAAGAAATGGAATTGTGAATCTGCTGTTCCCTGAGGTTCCCTCAGGTGTCCTTCTCTAGCTGTGAGCACATGGTGGCACTGGGTGGATTCTAGGATTTAAAAATATGTATTTCTCACCTAATATTGCTCTCATTAGTGAAATCTTATAATGTACAATTCATAGTCTTTTCAAGGGTACTTTAACATAAGCAGTTCTCGTGGATGCACTGGCTTAAGAACCTCACTCCCACTTAAGTTACAGTTTCACAGTACTTCCTCAGTACTGCACCCAATACATATGCATGAGATGGACTCAGGCTTTACTGGACTAATTGTTAAGGAAAAGAAAATATTTTCTCATCTTTGAAACTAACACAGAAATCTTTTGCAAAATGTATTGTTACTGTAAAAAGTTTGTTAATAATGCATTTGTTGTTAATACTGTCCATGCACTCTTTGATTTTTTTTACTTCTTTTATTAAAGTAATTTAACCAGTTTATGCCTACCATTTACTCTGATTAGTTTTGTGTTGTTGGAATACAGCTTCTTTTCATATCTTTAGAGAGTTCTAGTTTATTTCCTGTAAGTTCTGTCAATTGAAATGCTGTGTGTGTCTGATAATTCACTATTACTTTTGGTAAGATGTATAAGTAGATTTCCTGCTAATGTTAACTGGAGATAGGTGTACATATGATTTCTGGCAGTGGTCTTTACTAAATAGATTCTACTGATTGCAGCCAATCTGTGAAATCTTTGTGCAAACATAAATATAAAACTAATATTTAGGTGTCACATTATAACATTTAAAGTACTTTCATTTATACTACCTCATTTGAAACTGAAATAATCTGATATAGATATTAATTGTCACCTAGGACTCTGAGAAGTGAGAGCTTCTAGAAACTGAGAGATAAAGGTTTAGAAGGGAATAACTGAAATAATCTCCCTAGAGAAAGCAAATGGAGTCCATCCAAAATGGTGTTTAATCTTTATTTTGGCTGCAACTTAAATGCTTTGACACCGCAGGCACCTCCTTCCTCTTGGCCTGATTCATCAGGTGCTCCTGGAAACAGGTAATCCTGCAGCTTCACACCAGCCCTGTCAGTGAGGCTGTGGCCATCAGAGGTAAAGAACTCCTCCTTCTGGGTCCTTCCAAAATCACCTTGACTTTCTCTCTTTACATTGAAACCTAGTACAAGACCATAAAAATGTGTCCTGTAATTTTCTCTCTCTTTTTTTTTTTTTTTTTTTTTTTTTTGCTCTGTAATCTGGAGGTTCTAATGGGAGAAGTGAGAGCAGAAAAGGGAAGCACAGGAACCTACTGAGGAATCCACTTGCAAAGAGTATGTTGCGTCTTAAAAACATAACACCGTTTTTACATTTTGAAACCAATCTCAGGAAGCTCCTTTTAATTTTTCCTCATTTTGTTGATAGGGATTGATTTGATTACAAAATTTGAGGTTGTGATGTCTCTTTTTTTAAAAAAAAAAAAAAAAACAGGTTGCTGCATCTACCTTTATCCCTGACTGCCTTGAAGTTGAAGGCTCTGTGGCTATCTGACAACCAGTCCCAGCCCCTGCTTACATTCCAGACAGACACAGACTACACCACAGGAGAGAAGATTTTAACCTGTGTCTTACTTCCTCAGCTGCCTTCTGAACCTACTTGTCAAGGTGAATTTAATTTAAGGACAGTATTCACAGGGCCACGAGATTGAGTAGGACCTAATGTCTGTCCATAAGGCCTCTTACTCCCTCATGTGATTGTGTTATATCCAGTCTGCACCTAGAGCCAGCTCAGGTGAGGCCACTGTGGGACTCTTCCGGGAAGGTTACCCTACATCCTTGCAGAAGAAGGGCCACTCCTATCTATTTATCATGTTTGAAATTCCATAAGCAGTTTTTTGGTTTTGAATTATAGCTAAGGCTGAAAATACAATACTTCTAGAAGTGGTAACAGAGTCTCTTAAAATCCAAACTGATAGTTCAGAGGATTAGTATTAACACCACTGGCATACTGTTTTTAAGCCATTGAATTATTTTGAGTCATTGTATCTTTGTTTTGTAAATTGTGTGGTTAAACAAAAAATTCACAGTAACAGCAAAATGCTATTATAAACCCTTTGCTGAGAGCTGGGTTTGGTGGAGGAGAACCGGAGTGTCCTGGGGGAATGGGAGCCCAAGTGGGAGGACTTTAAGACCCTAGAGAAAAACGTGGTGGAGTGTGTTACTGAGGAAAGTACTAGTGTCCATCATGTGCAGCCACATCACTGTCAGAACAGTTTTGAAGTTGTATAAAATAAGCATTTTAAAAGGGACTCTAAATTATGACATTCTGTGATGAAATAGTAAACATATTAATTTAGCAGATATTTTATATGATCTCAAATAGAATTATACATCATTAAAAAAGAAGGGGCAACCTTGTCCCAGGCCTTTTTCTTTTTGTTTTTGAATTTTGTGTGTGTTTGTGTTTTAAAGCCAAACTTGCAACAGAACACCCCCCTTATTTCTGGTGTTCTACCCCTGGTCCTCCGTATAGATTCTACCTTGTCAGCCGCAAAGTTCATAGCATTTACTGATCACATGAAACGCAATTCCCTGCTTATGTGGTCTTTGTCACTGCAGAGAATCTGCCTCGCTGTGGTGCACTGGAGAACTTGGTAAATGATGTCTCTGATGAAGCCTGGAACGAGCGTGCTGTCAACAGAGTCAGTGCGATCCGATTTGTGGAGGATGAGAAAGATGAAGAAGACAATGAGACGGTATGGAAATGCAGATTCTTTGCCTCTGTGGAAGTTCAAAATTAAAAGATTAGAATGGCACCTAATAAGGATATTCTTTATTTTCAATTAGTATGTTCTCTGCTTTGCCTTCAGCATTTAGGAATTTTTTTAGAAGACAAAGATAGGTAATTCTAGGTACTCACTCACAAAAGGTAAATGAGGCAAATGGAACTCATGGGTTTTTTTTTTTCTTCTTCTTTTTTGAGACAGAGTCTCCCTCTATCACCCAGGCTGGAGTGCAGTGGAGTGATCTCAGCTCACTGCAACCTCGACCTTCTGGATTCAAGCCATCCCCCGACCTCAGCCTCTCAAGTAGCTGGGACTGCAGGCACCTGCCACCATGACCGGCTAATTTTTGTATTTTTTGTAGAGATGACGTTTCACCATGTTGTCCAGGCTGGTCTACAGTTCCTGGACTCAAGTGACCTACCTGCCTCAGCCTCCCAAAGTGCTGGGACTACAGGCATGAGCCACTGTGCCCGGCCTGTTATTGTTGTGTTGTCCTGCTTTTATGGTGCTTCTTTTTCTTTATTTGTAATAGTTTCCCCTCCCACTCCCACTGTTTTCTTAACATGGAGAAACTTTTTTTTTAATTGTTCCCAGTGAATGCTGTCTCTTCCCATGTTGACTCCATTCACTTGCCATGAATTGACTTAGTGCCAGACCTCTGTGCCTTCTTCATGTAACCAGCTCACCTTAGCCTTCTTGTAGAGGGCTTATGATCTTAGTTGGATTAGTTAACAAGTTTTTGTTCAGAAATTGGAAAATACTAGTCACCATTACTTTCATCTGTACTTGAAAATTTCGTCTCTCAGACATCCATCATCTCTAGGTGTTGGTGACAAGGCTTGACATCTTTCTAGCAGTTGACTTTGGCTTCTTAAATTCCTTGAACTAATTGAGAGTTTTCTTAAGCAGAGCTTAGAGGGAGTACTTGCAGCCCCCAAAACAAAGGCAGTTTTTAAATTATTGCCTATAGTCTTTGTTATTCCAGCTGTCACCAAATGGGATTTTAGGCATTTACAATCGTAAAGGGCAAAACGCAAATTAGGGATGACAAAATCACTCACTGTGGATGACTCTTTAATGCTTACCTCAAGACTTCTTAGAGTGTGATTATCACCAGTGACTTCATTGCCTCTTCCAGTATTTTGTTAACCTAGTTTGGTTCCCCCTAAAGCTCTTGGATAGGCCATTTAAAAGATGTACATGCTGTTTTATGAGCTAAAGATCATGTAACATATTAAATAATATTTTAAAAATTACTCATACCCTGTTACTTAACTTCCAGTCTTAATTAGAAGAGTGTGAACTTTCATCAGTAGGTCATAGAAATAGTACACACAGCAGCAAAATAAGAAAAAGTATACTTCCCTCTTGATTTCCTTTTTCTCCCATGCCTCCCATGCCTCATTCTGGGTTGAAGGAAGCCAGAATCGCTTTGGGTAATAGTAGAACATTATAGTGACTTTAATTTAGGATTTTTTATTTACTCTTTTATCTTTTTCTTTCCCCACACCCTGTAATTATATCCTAAATTTTAAAATAAATGTTCTTGCTGTTTATGGAGCCTTTTTATTTTATAGTAATTTCATATTTTTATAAGTATTCTTTTATTCTGAAAGTAATCCTTCTATAGTAACTAGGTAAGTTACATGGAACACTTTCCCTTTTCCTTAACTACCAGTGGGCAGTTGATGAATGCACATACATCCAAAGAAAGCTTTTCCACCCATTTTAAGAATTTCTAAGAAGGTAACATTTGTATTGGAATGCTAATGCCTTGAAGCTGCATGTTTTGAAAAAAGTAGTGGAATAAAACCAAAACACTCACTCCACTGTTTGTTTTTAGAGAACACTTCTAAGGCGAGCCACTCCACACCCAGGGGAGTTAAAGCACATGAAAAAGACAGTGGAGAATTTACGGAATGACATGAATGCTGCTAAAGGACTGGACTCAAACAAAAACGAGGTCAATCATGCCATTGACCGAGTGACCACTTCTGTGTAGAGTTTCACCTCCAAGTTTTACCTCCTGTGTCTTCCTCTGCTGTCGAGACGTTCCTGTCTGCTTCCCGGGAGCCTCACGTGCTCCTTGTCCTAACCAGCCCCCGCGCGCCATCTTCCCGTGGAGTGTGGGGAAGCTGCTGTCTCCCAGGAAGTGCCTTACTCATCCCGCAACCAGTCAGCGCACCAGTGGTCTCCCGGTGTGATTTTTTTTTTTTTTAATTTCAGTTGTTTGTAATAAGTAGAATACACTACTGTAAACATACGACCTTTGTTTTTGTCTTATGTTGGGGTAAAGGAAAGCAGGAAGGGGAATTTTTATCCTCCTCCCTTCCGTAAAGTGCTGGGATATTTTGAATCCCCCAAGTTCCCTTGGACCTACTGATGAGAGATAGTTTTATGTATGGGGAAAAATGGATACTTTTTAAACCTTTTTTGGCAGCTCAGATGGTGTAAATTTTAAAATTTTGTATAGGTATTTCATAACAAAAATATGTATTTCTTTTTTGTTATTTTATCTTGAAAACGGTACATATTTTAGTATTTGTGCAGAAAAACAAGTCCTAAAGTATTTGTTTTTATTTGTACCATCCACTTGTGCCTTACTGTATCCTGTGTCATGTCCAATCAGTTGTAAACAATGGCATCTTTGAACAGTGTGATGAGAATAGGAATGTGGTGTTTTAAAGCAGTGTTGCATTTTAATCAGTAATCTACCTGGTGGATTTGTTTTTAACCAAAAAGATGAATTATCAATGATTTGTAATTATATCAGTTGATTTTTTTTGAAAAGATGAACCAAAGGATTTGACTGCTAATATTTTATTCCTTACACTTTTTTTCTGAATAAGTCTCTCATAATGAGTGCAGTGTCAGACTGTGCCTACTCTGATGGTATGTGCCATTTGTAAAATAAAATAGAGCAGAAAAACACAAAAAGAGAACACTGGTTCAGACATTCAGTGGGCAAGTAAATTATGGACTGCAAAATAATGATTTTTATTCAAGAAAGCTTTAAAAGTTTTATATCCAGATATACAACCACAATAAAGCAAAATAACCTACTATCAAAATAGAAATGTTGCTATCTTTATAAGTGCAATTTAATTTGTAAATAGAGTTTGAATCAAAGTATCACAAAATACTGCTTCAAGATTTAATTTTAAATCTGCTAATTTAAGGGATATTGGGAAAAGTTTTGGTGTGTTTCTGTTGATTTCTTTTTTGTATGCTGTGATAAAAGAGAAATGAAAAGTGCCAGTCACTGTGTGGTGTCTAGGAAAATCATATATATTTTTTTCTCCAAGAAATAAATTCATCCTGGACATTGGCCATACAGCTTTTTAAAATTATTACTTTGTATGTTCAAGTGATAGCAGGTAGCCAAATTCTTTGACAGTGTGCTCTGGTCTGTTAAATATCTAAATTACCCGTCAGTTGTGAGTGACCTCCTGTGGGACTTGCATTCACATGGGGCAGAGCCCAGAATTGCCTTTGACTCTGGCTAGTAATTTTGGGTTGTGGCTATCTGGCCAATTGGACTCCTTATAAACCCGTCTTCAACCAACCAAATACAATACTTTTTTTTACTTCTATACATTTACTTATTGGGTTCACTTAGCTTTTTAGTCTGTGTGTATGTAAATATGTGTGTATTTTAAAAACTATTTATGGAGCTGAAAGTACATAACACATAAGTGAGTTTCGGCTGGTCAGTTTTATACCTTGTTCCCTAATCTGTGCATACCAATTTTCTTTTCTCTGTTTTAAGATTTTTGACATCCTCTATTTTGTTTTAAGCTTATAAAGATAATGCCACTATCTCATGGGCTGATTATATATAAGCAAATTGGTTTTATTTAATGAGAATTGTCTTGACGTGGAAGAACAAGTAGAACTTGCATGGCGTGTTTTGTTTGTTTTTATATAAAGCCCATCCTTTACTACTCAGTTCATCATGGCTTTTCTGGACTGGAGGTGGACAGAATGGTGTGTGTGTGCTTAAATTTTCCTAGGAAATGTCATGCACCTAGTTTATTTCCTTTGGCCTATCTCCTTTAGTTCATGTTCACTTAGTTTGCTTTTTGTTTTCAGTTTGGGGGATTTTGTTTGTTTCCCCGCTTCCTTTGAGAGGGAAATGTCGCTTTCATCTGAATGTTTTACGCTGGTGACACTGCAGTGCTCTTGAACTTCAGGGTGCTGGAACCAAACTCAAGCTTCACAGTGGAAACAGCACCAGCCAGACAGTTCTGCCTTGAGAACATGCCAAGCCGTTTCTAGGAAGGCCCCTCTCATAGTTATAAGAAAAACTTGATTATGTGAAACGATACCTTTCTCTGTCAGTGCCCCCCCCCCCCCCACCACGACCCCCGTCCCCATCCAGCCCTTCCTTTAGGAAAGGGAGGAGTACAGTATATGGCTGGCTGTTTGTCTTGTGGGAGTGACAGGTGAAAGCAGGAAAGGAGGTTAGTATGACCTGTTCACCCACTTTTTTTTTTCCCATAGCCAGTTATTTCTTCTTTTTAGCAAGAAAATAATGTCTCAGTGGGTAAAATAGCCAGAGAAAAAATGAGAGGAAGTGAAATAATCAAAGTCATTGATAATGAATAGAGGGATTGGTAAGAAATCATAAAATGTCTGCCTAGATATTGTTTTTTTTCTGGAAAGTTTGGAGGAATTGTCCTGACTGACCCAATCTTTCTGTCTAAAAACATACTAGCTGGCTGTCAATGAGGTGAGCAGGCAAGGTGGGATCACTCGCACCAGCCTCTCATAGCAGCACTTCTGCCATCTCCTGTGAAATCTACCACACCCAACAAGACATGCTTAGTGAATGGGGTGGAGGCTGGGAAAATTCTGTGTCTGAGAGTTACTCTGAACAGCCAGTCCTTCCCTGGTAAAATGACTGACGCTTGGTCGGCCACAGTGGCTCATAGCTGTAATGCCAGCACTTTGGGAGGCTGAGGTGGGAGATCACAAGGTCAGGAGTTCGAGACCAACCTGGCCAACATGGTGGAAACCTGTTTCTATTAAAAATACATAAAATTAGCCAGGTGTGGTGGCGGGCACCTGTAATCCCAGCTACGCAGGAGGCTGAGGCAGGAGAATTGCTTGAACCTGGGAGGCGGAAGTTGCCGTGAGCCGAGATCGTGCCACTGCACTCCGGCCTGGGCGACAGAGCAAGACTGTCTTAGAGAAAAAAAGAAAGAAAATGAGTGATGCTCTGCCCTGGGCATGCTGCTGGTGTGTGGCAAGGCTGCAGCAGCACTCTCAAACAAGGGACTGCATTGCAGCTGCTTATTAATAGAAGGCAATTAGGGACATTGCCACTCAGTGACATCCATGGAGAGTTGCAATCTCACTTCACCATTGTTGTTGTCTTACCTCATCCAATTTTCCAAAGAGCCAATTAAAAAAAAAAAAGAGATAACTTTATTATGGAAAATTCAAAACATACAAAAGTAGAATCATCATTGACCCTCCTATAGCTATCACTCACCTTCAATAATTAGCAACACAAGACTAAGGCATTTAAAAATGCATGTTTTTAAAACATGTATTATGTTTTAAAATATGTCTATAAGAAAGTGCACAATGAAGCATTTTTTTTTAAAGCTCTGGAAAAGCAAGCAAATGTGCTTTTTAAAACTGCTTTGGAGTTACAATTTTTGAGTCAATATGCCAGTGGAATCATGCATATGGATATAGGTCTGAATCCCAGCCTGCCACGTAGGTATGGACAAACTAACCTCTCTGGGCCTCAGGTCCTTCATCTTTAAAATGGGGCAGTAATAGTCCTTTCAGGCTTAGAGTGAGGATTAAGTGGGATACATAAAACACGCTCTCAGGAAGTGGGTGGCTGCTATTATTACAGGTCTTGCTGTTTTTGTTGTTATAGTAGTGTTATTAGCACCCCTGCAATTCCTGCCACCAAGCCAACAGTGTGTCATCAGATGGGTATGTTCTCAGGAATGAGGACACACACTAGTTCTGATGGAGAAAACTTTATTTGAAAACTGTTTCACCTGTGGTTTTATATATAGACTCCTGCATTATGTAATGGGTGGTGATTTTAATTTGTCCTGTGTGCTTACTTAATGGTAGGTCTAGCAATGGTCTCATGGTAACCACCTCATTTTAACCAGACTTACTAACTAGCCATCCTTAAGGTAAAACTAGATCCTACCAAGAAACCATGAGACAGCTAGTTGAGAAAAGGGTCTCCTTTTCCAGAAAATGTCCCCCTCTTTGTCATATTCTTGGTTTTCTAGGTTCAGGTCTCTGGTGCTCATTTTGCCTTGTCTCTATTTCACCCTGGATTTTCATAACATCTCCTTTTTTACCTCTTGCTTTGTTCTGTCTCCTTTCTCTCAAAGGAGGCTTTCATGTATCAGAAGGAACGAGTCAATTTAAGACATGGATCATCCAGGGAGAAAAACCTGCTGGAACAAATAAATTAGTGCAGCCTGACGTGGGGCATGTAGAGAACACTCCCATCTTGTTGGAGTGGTTTCTTTTTTAAAAAGCAGACAGCTGGCGGGAAAGGGAAACCAGAAAAACCTGATCTGTTCCTTGTGTTCAGTGGGCTGTGTGGAAGATTGGAGATGAGGTTTTGTGTCTGGCAGTAGGCCAGAAGGATAGTGTAACTTTAGACTCTGAGAGTGGGCAATCATTGTGACAAGCATGGATTTTAGCCAAGGGCTCTTGAGTTCTGACTGGACAAGAACCTGACTGGGTCAATCCTCCAAGTTTCTTTTTTTTTTTTTTTTCTTTTGAGACAGAGTCTTGCTCTGTCGCCCAGGCTGGAGTGCAGTGGTGCAATCTCAGCTCACTGCAACCTCCCCCTCCCAGGTTCAAACGATTCTCCTACCTCAGCCTCCCAAGTAGCTGGAATTACAGTTGCATGCCACCATGCCTGGCTATTTTTTGTATTTTTAGTAGAGACAGGGTTTCACCATGTTGCCCAGGCTGGTCTTGAACCCCTGGTCTCAAGTGATCAACCTGCCTCAGCCTCCTAAAGTGCTGGGATTACAGGTGTGAGCCACTGTGCCTGGCCCCAAGTTTCTTTTGCAGCATCAACATTTAACTTCTAAACAAAAAACGAGCTGCCCTTTTTTACAGTAAGATAGTACTATGAACTACAGCAGCCATTCACTGAGTACTTACTATGCGCCCTACACTGACCTAGCTGAACACAGCCTCAGCTTTCCAGAACACCACCATGAGGTAGGTGACGCGATTTCCTTTGTGCAAAGCAGATAATTAAGACTCAAATAGTTTTAGGAATGTGCCCACGATCAAACAGTAAGGGACAAAGTCAGAATTCAAATTCACATCTCCGTTGACATTTCAATCACCCCTTTATTTTACTTTGCTCCCCTTCCCCAGCCAAAGCACTGTAACCTGTAATTACATTTAGAGTTGTATTTGTCATAATGGTGATGGTTCTGTTTTTGTCAAAATTACATAGGCTATAAGTTATAGACTAAGACTGGCATGGAACTGAGTGAAATTTAATGAAATTGATGCAGAATTGGGCCTTCATTTAAGCCTAGTGATTGCAAACACTGTGATTCTGCATTCTCTAACCCAGGGGTCCCCAACCTGTACCCCAGGGCCAGGTACCAGTTCTTGGCCTGTTCGGAAATGGGCCACACAGCAGGAGGTGAGCAGTGGGCAAGCAAGCATTACCGCCTGAGCTCCTCCTCCTGGCAGATCAGCGGCAGCATTAGATTTTCATAGGAGTGCAAACCCTATTGTGAACTGCACATGCGAGGGATCTAGGTTGCACGCTTATTATGAGAATCTAATGCCTGATGATCTGTCACTGTCTCCCATCACCCCCAGATGAGGCCATCAAGTTGCAGGAAAACAAGCTCAGGGTTCCCACTGATTCTACATTATGATGACTTGTATAATTGTTTTATTACATATTATAATGTAATAACAATAGAAATAAAGTGCATGATAAGTGTAATGCACTTAAATCATCCTGAAGCCACCCTCCCTCACTGGTCCATGGAAAAATCATTTTCCATGAAACTGGTCCCTGGTGCCAAAAAGATTTGGAACAGCTGCTCTAACCCTCCCACCACCTTCACTCACTTCTTGTATGTTGTCCTGGGCTAAGGGCTGTGGAAATGTTCATGGGGTCTTTGTTCTACCATCTCAAACTATGTGCAAATCCTAAGAAACTTGTGAGATAAAGTATTTGGCTAGTGGGAAAAAAAAAATTGATAACGTTTTTAACATTAACTGGAGTGACAGTTTGGTAATTGGCTCTCTGAGAAAGCTTCAGCATATTCTGAAAATTGGCAGGTAGCTCCAGAGTGAGCTAATTAGTTAGGAATGACTTTTAATACTCACTACCTTTAATAGCCTACCCTTGGAGAAAAGACAGATAATGAACACTGGGAAATCTATGGTGCTGCAACTTGACCTTTGTGCCATTTGGGGGAAATGAGGAAGATGAGTCATAATTTATTATTTAAAGTCCTCCTTTTATAATGTGTTGTTGTGAAAGATTTGACAAATAATGATTGCTCCTTTAGGGACTAATTTAATCAAAGAAGCAGAAAACAGGAAGAATAGAAAACTTGTGTGACTAAGCAATGTTTAATTTTATTTGAAACTGGCTCCACCACCCTGGTGATAGGAACAGAAGGTCCTATGGAGTCTTCCCATAGCAAGAAACCAGGCTTGTAACAGGGTGTAATAGAGTGACACCCCACACCTGATGCCCTGTAAATGCAGAGTCTGCAAATGCCTCTCTTTTGATGCTTTCTCAAGGTAAGTCATAAATGAAGTCTTACTGCTTTAAAAAAGTAGCTTGCCAACAGTTGCCCAGGCTCCCCATGGGACTGCGCTTCACTGAGCACCTGAAGAAAGTATTCACTGGAAATGGGCTCTCCTGGGAGACTGTCTGGATCCCGAGTGTCTGGCGTTCATGTTCCCACACCTGGCTGCTGCTTCTTGCCCTTCCTTGGCTGCAGGTGTGAGTGCTTGTTTGTTTAAACCTCGCTCAGCACTGCTTGGAAAAACAAAACAACATGGTTACTTGTCTGGGCATTGAATGTTCTTCCTGAATTTTGGTCCTGCCCATTGGCCCAGAGGCGGAATGGGTGGGGCAAGTTTCGGTGTGAGTTTGGGAAGTTTCGAGAAGACGCTATGGGCTGGGTCTGTTAGGTTGGGGTTGCTCTTGGTTTTAATCCTTTTGGAATGTCTTGAGGGTCAGGAGCGTTGCCATTGATGGCTATGGGAGTTGTCAGGCTGTGGCTCTCTTTCTCACAGAGAATGCCAGAGGCACTCGGGAAGGCATTTGCCAGGGCTCTGACAGATGTAAAGTAAGCCTTATCCATGTTGTGTTCTCACCTGGACACCTGGAAGGTGCTCAGTATAGAAAAGTCACGAGCTAGATGAGATACCAGCTTGATGTCGACTCCCTCCCCAACAATGGCTGCCTGTCTTCGTCTTGATGCCTGCCAGCAGGTAAAGGGGGTGTGCCCCTGGGACCTGGGTAGCAGCAGTCCTTGGGAAACCCAGGGTTTGTCACCTGTGGTCACTTGACCCTTGGTAAATTACCTAACCTTTTCATTCCACATCTCAAGGACAGCAAATCCATGTAGCAGTTAGGTTGTTAGAAGAAATGATGTTGACAACCAAATGTGAAGCTCTGATATGGTTCTTTTCCGGTATCATAGCTACTTGCTCTTTAAAGAACTGGTACAATGTTGGGGGCAGAAAAACCACATCATGCAGTGATGTTGCTCAGTCAGGCATACAGGTAGAGAAGAGCTGTCTCTATCCTTAGCTCCTTAGGTTTGTCCAGGGCTGCTCAGTGTGGCTGACCCTGTCTTGCTCACTGTCATGTAACCTGGAACCTACAACATCACTGCATGATGTGTAGACCTGGAACCTACTGTAGTATCTTTTTCTTGAAGGCTGTATTGTGCAGTAGTTTCCAAACTTGAGCATGCATCAGAACCCCCTGGTGGCAGTGTTAAAGCAGATTGCTGGACCCCACTCTCAGAGTCTGATTCCATAGGTCTGGGGTGGGGCCTAAGAATTTGCACCTCTAACATGTTCTGAGGTGCTGCTGCTGCTACTGGTTCAGGGAACATACTTAGAGAACCACTGCTCTAGTGTGCTGGAAGGAGCAGGAGCTTTGGAGTTAAGCAGATTTAAATCCAGCTATGGCACTTACTTAATGTTGTGACCTTGAGAGGTTTTTCTTAATTTCCCCAAGTCTTAGTGAACTCGTCTGTAAAATGGGAATAATACTTACTTCAAGACTTTCTAGAGAATTAGATGACAGAGCACATAGAAGGTTTTCAGCAATTACCACTCTTTTTGCTATCCTGAAACGCATCATATTTGCTCCATATGGGGAGGCATAAGAGCATCTGGTCTTAGCCATGTGTTGACCTTTAGGCTCTTCTTGCCAATCTATACAAGCTAATAGGAGTAGAGGAAGTGCTAACGGAAGTAGAAAGCATGTTTGCCTCTGGGTGAGTGCCTAAGGGGAAGACTGAAAATGTGGATGGCCAGATGTGGCTAGAATATATTAACACTTCCTGACTTGCCTGGTGGCGTATCAGCCCACACACCATGGACTCTCAGTGAGCAGGAACCAGATCTGTGCCTGACATTCAGGTCACAAATCTTCCAACCCACAATCTGTCCTTATACCTGGGCTTTTGGAAGAAATCTTCCAATCTTGGTATTTCAGATTGGGAAACACCGAAGCTCAGGATCTCCAACCTCATCTGTATTCTTCATGTAGCATCACAATCATTTTAGTGTCCTTAGGAAACAAGTTGCCTTATTCAACTGTTCCAAGGTTTAATGACTCTCTCCAAATGCATTATCCCGTTGTCATACTAAGGATGATCCTGAAAATAGGTAACTGGTATGGAAATATATGGTAATATGTAGACCAATACACACATTTTAGAAACTGTCCCTTTTTTGTCATATAAAGCAATATTATGTGTATCATAAAACTACTTCTCTAGAGATCTGAGTAGTAGTTCTAATCATTTATCATATTGCATAATTATGCATATCATATATGCAAAATTTTTGCATCTTTAGGGCTTATTTAATGTAGGTGGCTGCTATCTAAATGATGCCCTTCCCTGGGCCACCATTTGCTTTGGGAACATCAGACTTTTTTGATAGCATTCCTATTAAAATACTCAAGTCCAGGGGCTCTTAAACTATAACCCATTGCCTGTTTTTATAAATAAAGTTTTCTTGGAACATGACTATGTCCCTTTTTAAATGTGCAGAGACCAAATGGCACTCAAAGCCAAAAATATTGATTATTTGACCCTTTATAGACAGTTTGCAGGGGTTTCTGCCTCTAGTCAATAGGTGCAACCTGCTATCTTTTGCCACCAGACGGCGTTGGATGTGTCGCCTGGTTATCACAGCCAGACACCAGTCTGGACACCCTGGCTTTCCAAATGGGCAGAACTCAGAGAGCCTGTTCCTTGTTCCCTACCAACAGCATGACCTGCCCTGCCACTTGCTCTGCCAACTCTGGGATGCTTTGCAACAAATGCCTGGGGTCACCCCCTTCTCAGGCTGCTCAGGAGCTATAGCACACCCTCAACACTCTCTTGAGTCCCAATGCTATTATGTTTGGGGACCCTACTGTTATCTTACATTTCTATTCAATTTTCTTGAAGGATGGGCTGTATGCCTGGCTAAGCAACATCACTGCATGATGTGTAGACTCCATGACTGAAACCAGCATCCTATAGGAAGAGATGCAATATTTTAAAAATGGCCAAGGCAGCACATTTAGATACTGAATGTCAGCCTTATTTTATGGAGGAAATAAAGGCTTTCAGGAGCGAATTGCCAGTTTTTATTCCCTGCTACCCTCACCCACAGAATGCCTTTGCTGGACTCTGTCCTCTCCCAGACCTCACTTCCTCATCACAGCTAGCTCTTCCAGCCACTCTCCGATCCTTTTTCTCTTAGAGTTTGCTCCATTGATGATCCATTTTATCCCATATCTCAGCAGCTTCTATAAACATGTTTAGATACCACTCTAAATGAGCAAAAAACCTTGATCACCTAGGTCAAAAACCTAGAGCCACTGCACCCAGCCCTGATAGGCATTGTTTCTAAATCCTTGTGGCTACTTTTACTCAACTTTAATTGTCTCAAGTGTTTTCATTACAATTTTTGAATTAGGAATAGAAAATTGAATTGGCAAATAGGAAAATTGTTTTTTGATTACTACGTGAAGACTTACTCTAAAGACCAATTTACTTTTTGCTTTACTTTTAACTTTTGAGTCCCTGAGAAATAGACTCTTAAGTCCCCTCCATCATAGTCTTCCTTACTCTTCTCTGCCAAGGTTCTTAAAACAGGTCTATTCTTGTTCTCCCTGCTTCTAAGTTTCCATGCACTACCGTGAGAAGTCTGGCTCCCATACACAGCATGGTGGAACTGCTCTAGCCAGGTCAGCAGACCTCTGTGGGGCCACATCTGATGGACACTGATTCACCTCTTACCTTTCTAGACCTGTCTGCTGCATTTGACTCTGTGGAATGCTCCCTCTTTCTAGAAATTTCTACCTCAGTGCTTTTCTAACTTTTCTGACTGCAACTCAACTTTCTTGAAGGAACCTGTCACGTAGTAACCCAGTAAACACATACATGTACATAGCTGAAACTAAAGTTTCCCAACATAGTGCTTTTTCCTTAACTGTATATAAGGAACTCTGATATTTCCAATTTCATTATTTTTAGTGCTAATCAAAACCAAATAAATTAATTTCACAACTCATTAACAGGTCATGTCTTGCAGCTTGAACCCTTATGCTTTTGACACACCTTCCTCTGTAATGAGTAAGGAAGTTTCTAGGAAGTTTCTTACCAGTTGATTAGCATCAAATTTATAGTTTAACCTGTAAGAAGCTGTGTTGGAGGAAACCCATTAGCTTGGATGAGAGTGGGAGGAAGGTAAAGAAAAATTAGATGTAATAGGTGTTTGTGGTTGTTGATGGGGTGAAAAAGGGCAATGACAAGAGGAAGACTGGGTTTGTAAATAGGACATGTAGGGAGGTAAAGAGGATGATTACAAAAGCAGGGGAAAGAAATTTGCCTATTTGACAGGCCTATTGTGAAAATTAACTTTCAAAGTGGAAATATTATTTGGTAGTGTCTATTGTACTTTTGGAAGAAAGATTATATTATTATGAAATAAGAATCACATATGCTTTTTCTCTGCCCAATTAAAGATTGATGGAAAAACTTCACCCAAACTGGAGCATTTTCAGTAGAGATCTCCATTTTC